>NC_000002.12:76667625-77292625 GCF_000001405.40 Homo sapiens | reverse complement strand
GTGAGACTATGCGGTGTTTGGTTTTTTGTTCTTGCAATAGTTTACTGAGAATGATGATTTCCAATTTCATCCATGTCCCTACAAAGGACATGAACTCATCATTTTTTATGGCTGCATAGTATTCCATGGTGTAGATGTGCCACATTTTCTTAATCAAGTCTATCATTGTTGGACATTTGGGTTGGTTCCAAGTCTTTGCTATTGTGAATAGTGCCACAATAAACATATGTGTGCATGTGTCTTTATAGCAGCATGATTTATAGTCCTTTGGGTATATACCCAGTAATGGGATGGCTGGGTCAAATGGTATTTCTAGTTCTAGATCCCTGAGGAATCACCACACTGACTTCCACAATGGTTGAACTAGTTTACAGTCCCACCAACAGTGTAAAAGTGTTCCTATTTCTCCACATCCTCTCCAGCACCTGTTGTTTCCTGACTTTTTAATGATTGCCATTCTAACTGGTGTGAGATGGTATCTCATTGTGGTTTTGATTTGCATTTCTCTGATAGCCAGTGATGGTGAGCATTTTTTCATGTGTTTTTTTGGCTGCATAAATGTCTTCTTTTGAGAAGTGTCTGTTCATGTCCTTTGCCCACTTTTTGATGGGGTTGTTTGTTTTTTTCTTGTAAATTTGTTTGAGTTCATTGTAGATTCTGGATATTAGCCCTTTGTCAGATGAGTAGATTGCGAAAATTTTCTCCCATTTTGTAGGTTGCCTGTTCACTCTGATGGTAGTTTCTTTTGCTGTGCAGAAGCTCTTTAGTTTAATTAGATCCCAGTTTTCAATTTTGGCTTTTGTTGCCATTGCTTTTGGTGTTTTAGACATGATGTGTTTTAGAGAAGTAATCAAATGGGACATAATTTTTGTCATTCAAAATAAAAACATAATAATAGGTTTATCTAAGATCTATCAAAATAAAAAAATACAGACCATGGTGCTAAAATATAATGGTCACTAAATACAATGCTTTTAAAAAATTTTTCTTTTCTCAAGCAATTTTATCTCATTAAGATTTTCAGTTTTCTCTTATTTGAAGGAACTCTGCTAAATATTTGTATGTGAATGCTGTTATATTACCTTCAAGCTTTTGAACTTTACTGGCAATCTTTATTTCTAGTGATATCAACTTAAATAAGACAGACCTATGTACATGCAAACGAATTCATGGCTTCTTAAGTTTTGAAATGTGCTTTTGAATTAAAAATCTGTAAAAATACACATGGCAGAATTTGAGAAATAAGTAGTTTAAATTAATACTAAGATCTTTGTTGATTTCTCACTTTTCAATAGTTTTAACACTTTATTTGACAAAACTTTCTTCCATTTTCTTCTCAGAAAACTTCACTTTTTATACCAAATTAGTTTCAATTCTATTACAATTTTTATTAACCCCCAAGATGCATACCAGAGAGACATAATAAATCCTTATTTTCATTAACACAGCTATAGTTTATTTCCATCTCTCATCTGTATAATAAAAATCTCAAACAGTTTTTCTAGTATTAAGAAAATCTATGGCAGCTACTAAATATATGCACTGAGAACATAATATTGAATAAAGCACCACTCTTACCTTATTCAATAGGACAGAATATGGAGGTTATCTGTAGGCTGTAAGAGCAGAAAAGCCCAGCAGTAATGTCCTCCTCTGGGACTCTTATGTATATTGAGATTGGAAGATGCTTGAACTGGAAGATCACAGGGCACTAAGGAGGCATGAACAACATATCAGGGAGCTGATGCAACTCGGAAAAGCGCAAATTCTAAGAACTCTAAAATAATCATGTATGGCTGGAAAATTTTTAAAAAATCATGAAACTGTAGGAAAAACAAGAGGAAAAGGAAGCTAGAATTACAGGTATGGCTCTGTTGTGAAGGAATTTAGAGGCTAATCCTAGAGGTTGGACTTAATTTTTTAAAATTTTCATTATTACAGATACTGAATAATAGTATATATTTATGGGGTACGTGTGATATTTTGATACAAGCACAGAATACCTCAAATTAAGGTAATTGGGATATCCATCATCTCAAGCATATATCATTTCTTAGTGTTTGAAACATTTCATTTTTTCTTTTAGTTATTTTGATATATACAATAAATTTTTTGTTAACTGTAGTTGACCTATTATGCTACCAAACATTAGGTCTTATCCTTTTGTCTAACAATATTTTTGTATCCGTTAACTATCTCCTCTTTATGCTCCCCTCCCTATACCCTTCCCAGCCTCTGGTAACCATCATTCTACTCTCAATCTCCATGAGTTTATTTATTTTTACCTCCCACATATTAGTGAGAACATGAGACATATGTCAAATAGAACTTCCACTTTGAAGGCAATGAGACACCATTGAATTCAAGCATCCAAACAAAACTATTAGATTCATATTTAATCTGTCTTGAATTAATATCATATAGTGACTGGGAAAGTTTCACCTAATAGTAGGGTTTACATTAGTGTGGACTGGGCTTTTTATTTCATCTAGTTTGTTTCATGAGTCACACAGTTGAAAACTCTCCTTCAATTTTATATGTTTCATTGATTTTTATCCTGTTTTAGCCTATAAAATATTTGATTGCTTATAAAGTATTAAAAACTAAAAAAAAGCAAACAAACTTAAAGAAGAAGTAATATCCTTCCTACTACTACAATCACACAATAATTCCTCCTGGATGTTTTTGTTTTTCCTGATTTTTCCCTGAGGAATTAAGAGATAAATTAACTGGGAGACAGGGGCCAAGAGGAAGGCTAAAGGGACACTATTTTGAGAAACATGGGCAGTAAAATAGATTAAATATTGTGTGATTCTTCATATTAAACAAATATTTCACGTCAGAAGTTTTAAACATTGAGATATTTTTAATTTCAAACAATTAAATTGGCAAAAATCTTATCATGTAATCTTGAATGCAAAATTCAATCAATCTGCCTACATTGTAGCCAGAAATAGACCTGTTTGAGCAGAAGCCTGGAGTCCAAATTGTCGGTAGTAACCTAACTTGCACTCCAAATAACCATTTCTAAAAAAAAACCACTAACATATTTTCTTGATCCTGCCTGTGTTATTATTGGCATGAGATAAAATAACAAGTTTCTTTGTTAACTGTGCATTCTGAAGCCCATGGTTAATATAAATGTTAATCAGGGTTATGAGAGTAGCTCAGGGATTCTGGTAATTGTACAGCATATAAGGCATGCATGGATGTTTCAATTCAAGTATAAACATGTAGTTAATGAAGGGTACAATCACTTAAAAAACTGCTTCTGTACTCTCAGATTTAGAAATGTTAGGGATAGATAAATCCATTACCTTTCAAATTTTCCTTTTAAAAATAAAAAACCTCTATTCTGTATTAGTACCTAAATTAGGACATATTGTTGTAACAAAAAAAAGGATAAAGGGCTGAATTAAGAAAGGAACTATAAAAATATGCATAATGCTACCACTGTGTAAACTCCTTTCACATATTGATGATATTGGTCAAGGTCCAATTCATGCATATGGTATCTTTTTAATAAAAGGATACAGCTATACATATAGACATTTAACCTGCTTTAAAAAACATAAACTCCGTATTATAAGTGTATTTATATATCAGCAAACAACTATTCTTTTTCAAAATATTGCAAAGGGCAAACTGTTTTTCACTATGTAGGTGAGAGGTGCATTAACTGATGAATTTTTTTTCCCAGTGTTTCAGATAGCAAGTAATGTGGTAATAGCGTTGTAACTTTATTTCTGTGGCTCCATCCCAATTGGCTTCTGCTGAGATACTGCTGTGGAGAAACATGGCAAAAGTTATCTCTAATTGCAAGAAAGTCTGGGAAATTGGGAAACAGGATACACAGGATGAGTTTGAACATATCATAGTATTTATTTCCTAAGCATTACATAGGTATTATTCAAGTTTCTTCTAAAGATTAGATTCTGCCTGTAAAAATTTGAAGACAGACAAATGTTTATTTCTTTGTGTGTATTTTTTGCCTGGATGCGTGCTTATGAATTATATCTTTATAGATAAAATGCAATGGTATGTTTATATGTTGGACACATTACCTTGGAAAATGATGAGTTCTTAAAACCAACACGTATAGTCTTTTTTATAGTTTATGAATATTATCTTCTAAGATGATATTGACTTTTCAGTTTTGTTCCTTTTATATTTATCTTTCCTTCAGAAAGATCAGCTTTTCAGATATTGTTCTTTCTTCAATATCTTCTCACACTCCATTTCATTAATCTAATTTTTTACTGTTTTTCAAACAAGTTTTTCATATCATTTTTCAGCAATATTCGGTTATGTATTGTCTTCAAAGTGTATTTCAATTCCATTGTTTTGTTTTTAACTTTCTTTCCTATCTCTTCTATGTTTATCTTATAAATATATTATTTTATCTAATTTATAAATTATTTTTTCTACTTGACACTCTGCTTCTGATTAATAGTGGCCATGCTCTATTGTAATCTATTTGGTAAGTCAGTTTTCTGTGTTTTCCTTCTAGAATTTCTCTTGGGTCATATTTGCTTTTATATTAGTTCATACTGCTTTTGTTGTTCCTTTCTTTCTAACCATAGACCAATGTTGTTATGGCTGGCTGCCTTTTGTTTGTTTTTCCTTGAAGAATGTTGAGACAACAGATGTGTTGAATGATGTGAATACATTACCCTTTGTTGTATACAGTAGTGCCCCTTTATCCATGGAGGATAGCTTCCAAAACCCCCAGTGGGTGCCCAAGGCACGGATAGTACCAAACCCTATGTATACTATGTTGTTTTTCCTATACATATGTATCTATGATAAAGTTTAATTTATAAATCAGGCATAGTAAGAGATTAGCCACAGAAGCTAATTGTAAGATAGGACAATTATAACAACATACTGTAATAAAAGTTATGTAAATGTGGTTTCTCTCTCTCAACTACTAAGTTACTAACAGGTGGGTAATATCCACTCTGTAGTGGATAAAGAAATAATTCATGTCCTGCACTGGATAGAGGGAAATGGCACAAGATTTCATAACACTACTCAGAGTGGCACGTCATTTAATACTCATGAATTCTTTATTTCTGGAATTTTCTATTTGTTATTTTCAGACTGGGGTTCACCTGAGGTAACACAAACCTTGGGGGAAAAAAACATGGGTAAAAGGGGACTACTGTACTTGTGTTTAAATAAGATTTTGAATATCTAATATATACATATGATAGATATATAATATATATTTTAAATTTTAAGGTAAAGCATGAGTAGATAAGAGGAGCTCTCCATTTGTAATAGATTTTTACTATAATTCCTGTTGTTTTAGGACTGTCATTTTTCCCCATGCCTTGCTCCATTCTCTAAGTTCTAAAACAACACAAGGTGACATGAACAAGCCAAACACAAGTGCTAGTTCTCTCCCTGAATTTCCATTATACCCCTCCTGTTCTGCTTGTCTCCTCAGTAACCTACACGGGCTTACCTATGCAGAGATGCTGCGTTGTGTAACCCACATTTCCACACCCAGTGAATGATACAGAGGTCCTTCTTTTGGCACTGTGGCCTCGAACGTATCATTATTTTATATTTTTCCTATCTACTCTCCCCATTTGTGCAAACACAGAGAGGCTAAGTTAGTATTGAGCAAGAAAAAAGCAATTGTACTCTCCCAGACTAGAAGAAGGAAAGAGAAGCATAATTTATTATGTGATTCTGAGAACAGATACTATGGAGTGAGTGAAGTATTTTCTTTATGTAAACCAAATCTAAGACAGTCAATAAAATTAATTTTCAGTAGGTTTTCCTTCAGGTAGCCCATAATCCTCAATTAGAGTTGTTTTATTCATTAAAAACATGACAATAGCTAGATTTTTTATTGTAATATTTTGTATTGTTAATGACTACTTTTATGAAGTTTGGACTAAACTGGAGTCTCATATCAAGATACTAATTTGAAATAGAAGCCTTCTGTTTAGTGTGTACCCCTTGTAGTTTCTACAGTATGACTTTCTTCTTTGCTAGAGTTTTTTTTTTTCTTATATATATTTTGTTGGTGGTAATTTAGTGAAGAAAAAACTGCCAATTGAGAAAAAATCATTTGCATTTTATAATGCTAAAATAGTAGATGCTTAAAGGCCAAAATGTTAGTTAACATTTAGTATATTTTAATCAGCTAGGCTAGTTTTATGAATTTTTAAAAGATTTTAACTATTTTTAATTAAAGAGTATGATTATTAATAATTATCAATTTTTAAGTAACAATTTAAAAAATTAATATCATAAAATGATTTGGTATAATTTATTAATGTGAGCTTTGACTATGTTATATTGTATGTGTTTAAAAGCATATTTTCATTTTATTTAATTATTGACTGAGATAAGTATGAAGAACAAACTCTTAACCAATTCAAAAATCTGGATTTTAACCTATATACTCCAGCAGAATTCTCATGATGGAAGCAAGATTGAGGCAACTTGACTGGTCCCCATAATTTTTTCAACTCTGAAAATAACAGGAAACATCCAATTTTGCCATATAGAAGATGAATCTATCCAAAGTTTTTCAGATTCTAATAATTTCAGTGGCCATATTCAGTGCAGTTTAGCACACCTTAAAATATATGGTTGATGTCTATAATTATGTATAAGATAAAGTTATTGGGTTTAAGGAAAATGTTTTATTACTTTGGTAGCATAGACTTTTTATAATTACTTCCTTAAGGTTAGATATATAGCATTTTATTAGTGTTACTAACCAATATGACTTGTCCTATCCAACATTGTGAAGATAGAGATATATCATAATGGTAAAATTTGGAAGGTATAGAATACCTAAAAATATATGTTGCTTATTTTCTTTTATTTTAGACTATCAGGATTTTTTTTGTTGTTTTTTTGAGATGGAGTCTTCCTTTGTCACCCAGGCTGGAGTGCAATGGTACGATCTCAGCTCACTGCAGCCTCTGCCTCTGGAGTTCAAGCAATTCTCCTGCCTCAGCCTCCCAAGTAACTGTGATTACAGATATGTGCCAGCAGGCCCGGCTAATTTTTGTATTTTGGGTAGAGACGGGGTTTCACCACGTTGGCCAAACTAGTCTTGAACTCCTGACCTCAGGCGATCTGCCCGCCTCAGTCTCCCAAAGTGCTGGGATTACAGGCATGAGCCACTGCACCTGGCCAGGATCTATTTTTAGTATTTCTCTTTGTTATGGGATTTCTCTAATATTTGCTTGCAATACCTCATGTGACTATAATTTTTAGCATTTCTATTGGCCATATATATATATATATATATATAAATTTAATGCTGAGTAGAATTAATTTACATAGATTTAATTATACTCAACAATTATTTAAACTTAGTACTAAGACATTTCCTTTTACTGTGAGTTGAAAATATCCCCATTGCTTTTTAAAGAGAATTTGTGCCGAAATGCTCTCAAATAGGTATAGGGTTGCTTTCTATTGCAAGAAAATGAAAGAGCAGGAAAACAACCCACAAAAATGTTATTAGAATAAAGTTTTCCAGCTAAGTTTTACAGATATCAGAGGTTTATATCATTTGGCCTTTAGTTAAATATCCTGAACCGCCAGGAATAAAGGCTCTATAGTAGCATTAAGTATTATTGCTCTAATCTTCATCTTCTAAATGCAATCCTTAAACTACTTAAGGTTCACCTCTCACTGTTGGACACTTTCTTTAATACCTGTATAATTGTAAAGAGGGCTTTGATGAGTATATTAAGTTTTTTTCAGCTTCTGAGTGAATTGCTTGTTTAGCAGTAGATAAGCAGACTTCAAGGACTGTTGTTGAGATTATCAACATACACTTTCCTTTGATTTCTTCATTTTCTAATTTCCTTATAATTTGCCTCTTCCTCACTACAGTAAAATCTTGCAAGCAAGCACCATATTGAGGTGAAAGGAGCACAGAAGGACTTTGAAGAAATAAATTACGTTTTTAACTCCATCACTAACTTCTAGTTGATCTTAAGAAAAATTACTTAATTACCTGCAGAATAGAGAAACAGCATCAGATACCATCTGACTGGGAAATACTAGAAATTGTCAAGAATGTATTTAATGCTGACTATATATTTAATCATCATTTTAGTGATTCACAGATATTAAATAAGTGTATATGTGTCACCTGTCCAATGGAATTTTAAATCTAGTTGTAATTTTTTACTACTTTCTATATTTAATGAAAAGACAAAATATCAAAAAGCAAAACATTTTACTTGTGAAATAAAATGTAATTACCAGCCAGTTTAAATTTGGGCTTCTATTAATAGAATGTGTTATTATCTAACAGTAAATCTATATTAACAGAACATTATTTTATAGGACAATATGTAAGTATACTATGATAATTATCGCTAACAGACCATTGTGTTTACCCATGACCATAGGTGTACATCCTTCCCATGAGAAACACATCCCAAGGAAATATTTGGGATATATGTAACTATTATCTATTAACTCTCAAATCAGAGTGAGCTTCACTTGTTAGACAAAGAAAGGAACACAACACAATTTCAAAATACGTCTAAGGGATCTAAAAGTGTTATTTTTAGATATACAGGAGACAACACAGGAATGAGATGCTCTATTTGTTTCCTATTTATTTACTTATTTGTGCCTTCAAACTTTTTTCAACTTTTATTTTATATTCAGGGGCTTCATGTGCAGTTTTGTTGAATGGACATATTGAGTAATGCTGAGGTTTGGGGCACAAATGACCCCATCACTCAGGTACTAAGCATAATGATCAATAGGTAGTTTTTCAACCCTTGCCACTTACCTTCCCTCCCCTTCTAGTAATCCCCAGTTTTTATTGTTGCCAAGTTAAGTCCATGAGTATCTAATGTTTAGGTTCCCATTTATAATTGAGAACATGCGGTATTTTGATTTTTTGCTCCTGCATTAATTTGCTTAGGATAATGGCCTCCAGCTGCATCCATGTTGTTGCAAAAGATACGATTTCATTACTTTTTATGGTTGCATGGTATTCCATGGTGTATATGAACCATATTTTCTTAATCCAGTCCACCATTGCGTGTCACCTAGGTTGATTCCATGACTTTGCTATTGTGAATACTGCTGCAATGAACATCTGAATGCAGGTATTTTTTTGGTAGGAACATTTGTTTTCTTTTGGATACATACACAGTAATGGGATTGCTAAATCGAATGGTAGTCTTAAGTTCTTTGAGAAATCTTCAGTCTTCTTTCCACAGTGACTGAACTAGTTAACATTCCAACCAACAGTATATAAGTGTTTTCTTTTCTCTGCAGCCCCACCAGAATCTCTTGTTTTTTGACTTTTTATAATAGCCATTCTGACTGGTATGAGACGGTATGTCATTGTGGTTTTGGTTTGCATTTCTCTGATGATTAGTGATGATGAGCATTTTTTCTTGTTTGTTGGAGACTTGGATGTCTTCTTTTGAGAAGTGTCTGTTCATGTATTTTGTCCATTTTTAATGGGGTTATTTGAGTTTTGCTTGTTAATTTGTGTAAGTTCCTTATAGAATCTGGGTATTAGTCTTTTGTTGGATGGATAGTTTGTGAATATTTTCTACCATTCTGTAGGTTGTCTGTTTACTCTGTTGAGAGTTTCTTTGGCTGTGTAGAAGCTCCCTTTTTGTCAATTTTTGTTTTTGTTGCAATTGCTGTTGAGGACCTAGTCATAAATCCTTTCTCAAAGCTGATGCCCCAAATGGTGTTACTTAAGTTTACTTCTAGGATTCTTATATTTCGAGGTCTTACATTTAAATCTTTAATCCATCTTGAGTTAATGTTTGCATATGATGAAAGATAGAAGTCCAGTTTCATTCTTCTATATATGGATAGCCAGCTATCTCAACACCATTTATTGACTAGGGAGTCCTTTCCCCATTGCTTATTTTTGTTGACTTTGTAAAAAATTAGATGGTTGTAGGTGTTCAACTTATTTTCCGGGTTTTCTATTCTGTTCCATTGGTCTATGTGTCTGTTTATGTACCAGTATCATGCTGTTGTGTTTACTGTAGCCTTATAGTATAGCTTGAAATTAGTTTATATAATGCCTCTGGCTTTGTTCTTTTTGCTTAGGATTGATTTGGCTCTTTTTCTGTTTCATATGAATGCCCACTTTTACCATTTCTATTTAACATAATCCTGGAAGTCCTAGCCAGAGCAATCAGGGAAAAGAAAAAAATAAATAAATAAAAGGCGTCCAAATGGGAAAAGAATAAGTCAAACTATCTCTCTTTGTAGATAATATGATTCTATGCCCAGAAAACCCTAAAGACTCTGCCAAAAGGTTCCTATAAATGATAAACAACTTCAGTAAAGTTTCAGGATACAAAATGCGTATACACAAATAAGTGGCATTTTTATACACCAATAAAATTGAAGCTGAGAGCTAAATCAAGTATGCAATTCCATTTACAATAGCCACCAAAAAATGAAGTATCCAGGAATAAATCTAACCAAGGAGGTGAAAGATCTTTACAAGGACAACTATAAGACACTCTTAAAAGAAATAACATATGACACATAAACAATTTGAAAAGCATTACATGCTCATGGATTGGAAGAATCAGTATTGTTAAAGTGGCCATACTATTCAAAGCAATCTACAGTTTCAATGCTGTTCCTATCAAACTACCAACATAATTTGTTCACAGAACTAGCAAGATGTTCTATTTAAAAATCTACAATGTGAATGATTTTTTTTACATTTGTCACCTGCGTCTTATTTTAATTTTTTTATGTAGCATGCCAAAAGCCAGAAAACTAACATAGTCTACATGGTCAAACTTTTATTTTTGTGTACTTTCTCTTCTTGACTATTTTTGTGACTTTATTTGCATGTTTTCCTTAATATATTTACCTACATCTGGGCTTCTGTCTCATGCATTTTCATGTACCTCCCCATTCTTGAAAGGCTAAAGGTATTTGGATATAACACTTATCATTCTGCCATGCCCATTTTTTTTAATACTGAGAATTTAGCAGTTGAGAACAGCTGCAAATTGCCTTATTACCAAAGCACAAATGTGATTGGTTCTTTCTTTTACCGTAATAGTGAAGTCATGTAGGAAATTTTCTACTTCACCCCTACTAATTTTTAAATTTAGCTTTATCATTTGTCTAAAAAATAAATTACTATTTAAGACACAGTAGCTCATTGTTCTTCAGAAGTTTGGAGATAGCAAGCAAAAGAGGACAATGTTGTTGATATTAATAGATAGAAGCTCAAATTAAGAAACAAATCCTGAAATTATAAAGTCTGGAAACACTGTTATATTCTAGGCACTGTAGATCATAACCATCTACAGAAATCATGAATAATTTGAGATTCTTCAATCCTAAGAATGACCTTTGATAGACCATGAGCTTCTTGTAGGCATTTGCAAGACCTATTATCACAAGAAACACTAAACATGGTTTCTGGAATTAAGCAGCATAGAGGATAGAGGGGCACTCGGAAATCTTAGCCAAATAAGATTGACATTGATTTCAGATGAAACTCTTGAACCAATTATGAATGAACTTATTAGTCAGTACCTGAAATAAAAAACAGATACAACTCTGCTTCAATATGGGTTCACAAAGACTGAGTCATGTTAGACTAATTTAAATTATTCTTTAATAGGGTTAGTAGCTTAATAGATCAGGGGGTATTAGAGACACTACAGACAGGGGATGGATTTAAGCCAGGCATTTGACAAGTCTTCTGATATTTTTCTTGTTGACAAGACAATTAACATAAGCTAGATTTCAAGCAATTTCTGCTTGAGGAAAAGTTGATGATAATGTGTAAATAATTTGAAAAATCAAAATAATGATAAGTATTTATTTAGAATTATTCATATGCAAGCCACTGCCATATGCTTTACATGTATGCTCCAACATTCTTAATTCTCATAGTCTATGAAATCTTATACACATCCTTTATATTAGAAAACTGAGGCAAAATGAGGTTAAATACTTTATACAAGGTCTTGTGAATAGTAACGGGCAAAGTCACACTGCAAACCCAGTAAGTTTAATTTCAAAATTACACCCTTAACCGCTATGTGATATATCACTTCCCTTGTTCTGCACCTTTAGGCATTTTAATTAATTATAGCAATGAAAATTGTGCCATAAGCTGTATCTGAAGTAATAGAAGATATTCTGAGCAATGCAATTAACATTAAAGTTAGCTCCTTTGCATTTGTTTTCTATAACTATTATAACAAAGTCTCACAAACTCAATGGCTTAAAACAACACAAATTTATTCTCTTACATTTCTGTAGTTTTGAAGTCAAACTCAGATCCCACTAGGCTAAAATCAAGTTGTGAGTAAGTCCACATTTCTTCGGGAGGCTCTAGGGGACAATCTGATTTATTTCCTTTTCCGGCTTCTAGAGGCTGCCCACATTCCTTGGGTCATGGCCCCATTTTACCTCCAAAGCCAGCCATGGTGTATTTCTCTCTGCTTTTCTTCCATATTTACATTTTCCCCTGACTTCTGTTCCCATATGTGATTATTATATTGGGCTCACCCAAGTGATTCAGGATAATCTCGCTACTTAATGGCAGCTGATTATTTTCATCTGCAAACTTAATTATCCTTTGCCATGCAGACTAGCATGGTCATAGGTTCTGGAGATTAGGTATGGACATCTTCGAGTGGGGAGTATTATATTATTCTATCTACCACATTCCTTATAACTCATTTTCTATGTTATGGCAAGAGTGAAATTCTAAGACAAGTATTGTTTTTTTCCTCTCATAACCACTTGCACAAGCTCAGTAGTTCAAATCCTAGTTAAATATGTCCTGCCTCTCTCTTCATTTCCTTATAGATAATATTCAACCAACTTCATGTCTTATTATAATACTCTGTAAGTCGAAATTGTTGAAGTTGAGTGACAGACATATGGGGGTTTTATTATATTAGTCTAATTTTTATACATTTAAAATTTTTCATAATAGCAATTTAAAAATAGACTGAAGGGTTTCATTAGACCCTGTAATAGCTAGCTATATTATTAGAATAATAAAAGCTAATGCAATATGTACTAAATTAATAGAATTATAATACCTAGAATAAGAAAGCATGTTATCCCATAGTTTTATAATGGCTAAACAACAAATGAATTATGATATGCTCTTTTGAATACCACAATGGAAAGAAATGTAGACAACTGGAACATATGCATAGGAGAGCAGCTAAAATGATGTATGAATATGAATATACATAAATTTGGTTGAAGAAATAATGTTTAGCTTGACCAAAAACAAAACAAAACAAAAAACAGCGAAAGCTAGGATAATATTACCAAATATTTAAAGAATCATCATGATAAAAAAGAAGTAGATTTATTTTTTCTGTCCCCTGATAAGACTTAATATGTATTTAGTAGGTCCACGGAAAGAGATTTTGGAGTCTATAATAATTGAAGTTGTCCAATGATAAAAGGAACTGTCTTGAAATGCAGTGAGTCAGTTGATCCCATGAGTAAGATGAAAGCAAGTTTGTTTGTTGGACCTCCAATGTTTATAGTTTCTTCTCACCAGGGCATCTTAGAATTTGGTAATGGATGAAACTTTGGCCCTTGTAGCTAGCAACAATCTCCAAAGGCATGCATCATGCTCCACTTTCTTTCCCAGTTTACAGAGTCATCATTGCCTATTATAATCACACTTAATTTTTAGATGTGTAAAGTCTCATGGTTTTGAGCCAAAGTACAAAGGGCACACTATGCAGGCTAGTGGAACAAGGACAGTCGTAGGTAATGAATGGTGAAGGCCATGACGGTGGTCATGGGAGGACAATCTAATACTTGCCAAAGGATAACAAGTCAGAAAGTGGTAGAGTCCACATGGTATACACACTTTCTAACATGAAATGTACAAATTGGTAAAGTAAGATGTTGTGAGTGAGGTAGCTTTATCTCTCACACATATCTGAGTCCTTCCTCTTCAGCTATATGGGGATAAATGGCCCCTTTGCTCTAACTTAACCATGCCTTGAAAGTCACATTTTTACTTTTAATTTTTCTTGCCAATTCTTCCTATATACCTTTTGGGGAACATCAGTTTTGGGAATTTTTTTTTTCAATTGATGTGAAGACCACCATTATTTCCAGGCAAACTTAATCTCTTATTCATTGCTATAAAATGCTTGAAGAATGAAAAGCATACATATTTAAAAGTACTGATCAACATTCACGGACATAAGTATGGTGAATTTTTAAGCTCCTTCTAGCTGTTATAGGACAATGTTACATGCAAAGAAAATGTTTTTAACTTAACAATTGGTTTTTAATCTCATTTATGGATAAAGTTAATATTTTTGAAATGTTTCACATTTAGAAAATTTTTCTGGTGATTATAAGAACTGTTAAAAATAGAAAGGGCTCCTGAGGAAATGAAAACACACTGGCTTTGCCCATGGTGACATTGTTGATTAAAGGTGAGCAGGACTGAAGACGTGCTAGACAGGAGGAGAACCCAGCTTTGAACCTTGGACTTCTAATTATAAGTTTAGTGCTCTTTTCACTATGCCATGTGACCTTTCCAAGTAAAATGCCACATCTCTCCAACATGGTAATTAGCCTTCAGTGTGACTTTGCAGCAGCAGTTCTTCTGGGGGAAAGAAAGAGAGAGAAAGAGACAGAGAGAAACTCAAGTGAAATACTCTAGTCAACCCTAGCAAATGAATTTAATTCATTTTTCTTATGGACCTAATAAGGGCAAGAATTAATATGAAATGAATAGCTGCAGTTTTCTAATCTTTTGTGTGCCATACAGAGCTACTTTAAAAAGTACTCAGTGACATTTTAGAGTAAATATGACAAGCAAATGTAAATGTAATTACACAAGTCATGTATGGTGTGAGTCATTTGTAAAGTTCACTACGAATGAGCTATATTCACAGAATTCATTTGTCATTTAAGAAAACGAGATCATCTGCTTTTACATATGAACGGAGAAATTTAAGAGTGCACTAAGCTCTATCAAAGCCAGAAATTATCCAAATTACCATTCTCCAGTGGCTTAGGTTCAAATAATCAAACTGTGAGGATATCCCCCTTCACTTTCTCTTGATGAAAGCTGGTAGAGAAAAGAAATGGAAAATCTGAAGAATACATATATCACCTTAATATCTTGAGTATTTGAAAATATTTTTTAATAAAAGATGGATATCTTTGCTGTTTAATCTCTATTTTTTATAACTCTATAGTATAAATTTTTATAATACACAAGTTCAAATTTTCTGTGAAATGATATGCAATTAGCAAATGATTATTTTCTATTTGATATAAGAGAATAGTTAAAACTTATACTGAACTAAAACAAAGTATTTTTCATTGCTATACAAAGCTACACTAAAAATAGTAAAATTTATTTTCTCAGAAATTATGTCCTCTGTGGGATTGTTGATAACTATCTGTAATTGGTTTTGCATGTAACTGTTTCCAAAGAGTGAAAAGTAGAGAACAACGAGGTATGTGGCACATTACAGAAAATCATTTCAAAATGCACACATTGAGTTGTTCCCTCTGCCCTGACATATACTGTGTAGTTGTAAGTCACTGACCTTACCTAGTGTTTTTTAAAGACTGAACATAGGCGAGCACAGAATACTGATAGAGAATATACAGCCATTATCTCAAGGACAATGTGAAATAAGGCAGCTAATACACTTACCCACACCTTGCCCTCTTTTCCTGGCCTCGAAATTTGCCCTCTTTTCCTGATTATTTCCCCACTTAACATTTATCAGATGAAGCTCTCCTGTCTTCTGAACGCTAGAAGACAAAAGTTTCAGTTTCTCTGTTCTTCCTTCTAAGCTTTTTCCCTTTAGAAATCACTTCAGCAGCTAGGGTTAGAAATAAACATGTCTCCATAAAAAGAAAACATATATATATATATATATATATATATATATATATATATATATATATGCGTACACAAATTTATATACAAGAACATTTACTGATCTTCTATTGATTGCATCAGGCTATATTTGGTTCTATAAAAATAATCCAACAAATATTTATTTAGCACTAATTATGCAAGACGATAATAAATGCATTGGAGTTGGAGGAAATCAAAGCCTATATCTATATACACACATATATATATTATATATATCACACTATAGTTGTATGCCTATATATATTTCCTATGACAAGATTCTTTCCTTTCTTTTTTCTTCCTTTCTCTCTTTTTCTCCTTCCTTCTTTTCCCCTCCCTCCCTCCTTCCCTCCCTTCCTTCCTTCCTTCTCTCCTTCCTTCCTTTTTTCCTTCCTTCCTTCCTTCCTTCCTTCTTCTCTTCCTTTCATTCTCACTTGCTTTAAAAATAGCGTATGTTTTTACATTGCAGTGTTTCCTTGAGGCTCTGAAATAGGCAATTTTGGGGCTTTTGGGCCAATCCAAAATCAGTGACTTATTTTTAATGGTTAGAATTATAATTTATTGATAAAAGTATAGCAGAATATGGAGCTCTTTAACTTAATAAACTTAACCCTGTGAGCAAAAGTTGAAGATAGATTGAATATCATTTTTTCTTTGTTTGTTAGTTTTGGGATTCTACCGCTTACATTTCAGTCACACTTTTCCTACTCAATGATTATGTGTTTCCCATAGTTCCAAAACTCCCATTTTTTGAAAATTAGTTATTTCCTGAAGCCTAAACAGGAAAGGGATTGTCATCTTAATTGTGAGGACTCAGATACAAGCTCATCATAAAAATTGAATACTTTAACATTTTTCCCCAGAGAAAACCACTGAGAAAAGCTCTTATTATCTTATTCATCTCTATTTCCTTATCTATATTATTTATCTCTTTGATTTGGTATCACATTACTCTTGAGGGTCCAGGAGCTTTCTAATACCTGCCTTTAAAAGCAATGTTCAAGCTTGGCTAGTACTGCTACATAGATTGAGTAAAGGCCAGTCCAGGTGAGGTCCAGCAGAAGAGGAACACATCGCAGGTCCCTAGAAGCCTAAATCCTTGCATAGACCGGAGGGTAGCCAAGCAAGATACACAGTAGTTTTAAAAAGCCTTAGGTCTATTTATATAATTATGTTTCTTGAATTGATTTGTATGCTCGTAATTTTATTTTGGGGACCTTTTTACAATAACATTGCCTACAGAATAATTTTGCCTGATTATCAATTATGTTTTAAACTTATATTCAAGAACATTTACTGAGCTTCTATTGATTGCATAAGGCTATATTTGGTTCTATAAAAATAATTCAGTAAGTATTTATGTAGCACTAATTATGCAAGACGTTAATAAATACGTTGGAGGTAGGGAGAAATCAATACCTTATAAACCACCAACCTTGTCTTATAGGATTTTATACTCTAGCTTAAAAACTTACAAAGTAATCTTTGCAGGAATAAATAACAATGCAAATCAGTGTAGGTGGGTACTAAAAGTGTGGGACAGAGAAATGCTATGGAAGTTTTAAGAAAAGAGATTATTTATAGTCAGTAGTACTTTACATATGTCAGGATGAGTTTAAATGGCCCATGGAAACCACTTACCATTTTTTCTCTTATGTCTCTTCCCTCTTTTTTTTAAGAGTTAAACTTTACATTTGGACAGCGTGTAGTTTCTATTGCCATCAGGATTCTAGTGTTTTGCACACTAATGACTGTGTGTCCTTAGTGGCCCACATAGAGCTGACACATGCAGTGATGCCCATGGTTTATGTGATGGAACCCATTCACAATGAGGGCTACCAAATCCTTGTTCTGTTTCTTCTTCAAGCTACACATTCTGTCAAAATATCTGGTTTTTGAAATTTTTGGAAGGAGGGAGACCCTAATGAAAGTTATTATTTGTTAACTCTTCTGTGGTTCCTTTTATCTCTGTCTTAATAATCCCATATGAAGGTTTTAGTCGATGTTGGAATGAGCTATGCTATTAAAAACACAAAAGCTATTGTACTGTAGAGCCAAAAAATCTCTGAGACCAATACTTTTAATACAATTGTGATAATAGTTGTTGGGATTTTTTAGTCAAAACCTTTTGACACATTCTCATTTGGTTTTATTAATGTCACTTTGAAATTACTGATCGAGTACCTAAATTGTAGTCTTTAAATACACTAGAAAAAAGCCACAGGATTATTATTTTCTGATATGACATTGGAAGCATATCTGTTAGTTCTTTAAATAAAAAAATTCTTCCCATAAGAGATATGGATAGTTAGGTGAGCAAATTTATCATCCAAACACCATGACCTTTATTGTATCTGTGGTTTCACCACGTTTCTCTGCAATTTGAGATATAGATATAGCAGGAAGCCAAGGCTACATTTAAAATCACTGAAAGAACATTTAAAACCCTTGGGTTTTATCTCATCTGGATGCTCATTAACCTTTTCGTGATAAATTATTGGGTATCTTAATATATAGAATGGTAAATGAAACAAATATCTTGCCTGGTTGCCAAATGTCTTAATTGTGTGTGTATGTGTGTGTGTGTAAATGTGATCATATATGAGAGACAGAGAAAGCAATACATAACAGAGTGTGAGGGCTTTGGAAATATAAAATGTGGCATTATTTCCACAGAGTGAACATAAAGGATTCCAGGGTAATCAAACTAATGAATCTCAAGCATTGTTACTCTCTATTTTTAGGAGACACTTAAAAAAAAGGATTTCATGAAGGTCATTTCCTAAGAATTTTCTAACTACTGAAATAAGTAAGAAATATGTGTGGTGCATTTACTAGTAAGAAGAAAATGCTGGTTAAGGAATATGGTAATATGTAAACATCCACATGTTTTGTAAAGTCAATCAATACATGATAAATATATGATTAACAGTTTATGAATCTTACTAGTTGTGTCTGTTTCTAAATGGCGTCAAAAATCAAATACAAAACAGAAAGCTACAACACATTTAAAATTTGTACTGCTGATTTTATACATTAGTCATGTAATTTTGTTTGCAAAGGGGAAGCATCAAATTTGAAGACAGTCTTGTACATTCAACCCCTTTAAACATTTGAAAAACCTGACATCTGATTCCCAGAAACTTCTGAAATTCCTGTTT
Organism: Homo sapiens; assembly: GCF_000001405.40. Classification (NCBI taxonomy): domain Eukaryota; kingdom Metazoa; phylum Chordata; class Mammalia; order Primates; family Hominidae; genus Homo; species Homo sapiens. Next base: position 77,273,572 of record NC_000002.12, on the reverse strand, counting down.
GTCTTATTATAGGTTTCCTAAATAATAACCCCCACTTATATTCTACCCAAATCCTTGGGTTATTTTTTGAAAGTGTGGTTTAAATGGGTTTGACTATTAGCTTATACTCTTCCTTGTGCTAAATTCATACTAAAATAAAAACAGAATTACATTAATTAAAAATTTTGCCATAGTGATTAAAAATTAAGGTAATAGAGAATACAGGGTAAAGGTTTGTTTTCTTCAGAGTGCTTATTCACTCAATAAAAGAATCTAAACTGTTGAAAGTAAAACAGGTGCTCTGAAAATTATTGGTCTTCTATGTAATTTATGCATTTTTTCCCATTAATAGCATTATCTATTTAACACATCCATTACATATCTTCAGTGTTAATTTAGACAGAAAAAAATGTAGCAACTTCAGAAGGAAATCTTCCATTAAATTAAGGATATTGACTTTAATGGATGTCCCAAATAGACTTGGAAATTAACAGGATGAAAAAACAAGTTGATTAAAGTGGTCCCATTATAATTTGTTATGCCACACAGAATGAAAATATTAAGATGGAATTCACTAAAAAAGTACTGCCATCAAAATTTCTTTGTACTCTAAAATACATGACTTTAAAACTATCAAATTATAGAACATATGTAAAAATATGGCTCTCCACAATTCTGAATAAATCTGTCTTGGTCCATTGTATTGCTATAAAGGAATATGTGAGGCTGAGCACTTTACAAGAAAAGAGGTTAAACTGGCTCATATGCTCCAGTATGTGCAAGAGATCACATGGCAAGAGAGGAAGAAAAAAAGGAGGGTGGTGCCAGGATCTTTTTAATAACCAGCTCTCATGGGATCAAATAGAGTGAGAATTCACTCACTCTGTGACCAAGTGTAAAAATTATTCATGAAGGACCTGCCCCAATGACACAAACAAATCCCACTGGACCCCATCTCCAAGCTCAAGGATTAAATTTCTTCATGAGCTTTAGAGGGGACAAACATCCAAACTATAGCAATCTCTATCTTGAAAATAAAACTTAATATTTAAAAGGCTCACTTTGTTTTAATGGTCAAGAAATTAGAAATGATGATCAATACACTTGTTTAATGACCTCATTTTATGTGAGATCTCCATGTCTTCTCAGGCATGATGAATTGATGCTGCTTTCCCTTCTCCCTTCTTCCTTTCCCAACATCCCACACCTTCAAAAATGGCTATTACTATGTTCATTATATTGCTTGAAATTAATTTTTAGTGATTCATTCTTTGAACCATAACATCTTTCTATTGTTCATGACATCCTTATTAAAGTGCCAATTTGCCTGAGCCATCCACTAAAAAATGGCTCAATAAAAGTCACAAATGGCAAGGTTTATCAATAAAACCCCAAAATTATTACCAAAATCTGTGTAATATATGTTGATAGACGCATGGAGAAAATAAGAGTGTTACAGAGGGAATGATTATAATGCTCACTGAGAAGAAAGGAGAGATGGATGGGTAAGGTTTCAAAAAGAAGTTGGAATATGAGACATGTTGAAGGAGGACTAAGAATTAACCAAGCAAAAAACCATAGGAAAGGGATAGGACATTTTGGGCAAATGAACACAGCAAGTATAATGGCTTGAAAGTGTTAAACAACACGACATAGTCAAAGACACTTAAGTAAAGTCTTATGTTTGAACTACCTGTGCCTGTGGAGTGAGTACGCATGACACATGGTGGGTGGAGGCATATTTTCGTAGGAAATAAGAATGAACAAGAAATCTGCTATTGGATCAGAGAAAAAATTTAATCTTCTGATAAGGAATTTGGCCATTAGCTGAAAGTAAGTGGTAACTAAAACAGGAAGGATGGACATAATCAGAGCAATATAGAAACTTTAATCTGAGTAGCAGCCTGGAAAGTTAATTAGAGGGGGAACAGCAGAAGTCAGAAAGACCCTTTAGGAAGCTATGATATGGTGTAGACTCTAGGTGGCTAAAGAGGTATGAACTAATGATGCAGCACTTTTCTTGGCCCCTCTGCTAGACTCACAGCAGGGGTGCCCCCTCTACTTGGCCCCCCGCACTCAACCTCTTTTGGGAGGGAGCACGTGAGTGAGCGAGTGCAGGATCTGGCTGGCTGCTCCAGGTGCTGGCACAGGAACAAGCTCCATGCAGGACCCACAGCCAGACCAGGCGCAAGCAAGCAAGTGAGAGACCTGGAAGCCCCAGATGGGGTGTTACAGTGCTCCTTTAGTTCCACCTTCTGCAGTCCGATAGATGGTGGTGTATTAGCAGCTTAGTTGGCCCCTAGCCTCATCTCATGGGTTGGCTGCCCTCTGCCAGTGAGGACAAGGGCCTATATGACAGCCTTTTCTGGGTACCCATATTCAGTGGGTCCTGAGCTCTTGTCTGGCGTCCAAGAAGAATGAGGTCACATGGACAGTTGAAGGGTTGTGAAGGCGAAGAATTTTATTGACTGATGAAAATGGCTGTCAGCGGAGAGGGGACCTGCAGAGGGTATGACAAGGGCAGATTGTCTTCTCTGAAGTCAGGTTGTCTCTTCACCGAAGTCAGGCTTTCTCTTCCCTGAAATCAGGCTGTCTCTCCCTCTACCGACTGAGCCTGGGGTCTTCATAGGACTCAGAATGGGGATTGCATGCTGATTGGTTTTTGAATATGCAAAAAAGCTTAAAGCAAAGACACAACTCTAAAGTGGGCACGGCAGTGTAGAAAACCAATTAGAAAAAGGTAGTTACACATGAAATAGGTGAAGGGTGGTGACCCACCAGAGGAAAGTGCACCAAACAGGAAGACACATTCTCAATCTGGTCCAAGGATTTGACTTGTAGCTTGGCTTTCAGGCTTTAAACTGTCTTTGGCTTGGAGATGGGAATTTACCAGAGACATGCCCCTATCTGCCTAGTCATTTGGCTGCCTCGTCACTATCATAAGAGAGGGTGAGGATAGTATCAGAAATGTTAATGGTCAAATAAGAATGAGGAAGTAGAATAGTAACAGAGATTACGAAAGAAGACCTTTGAGTTTCAGGCTTATAAAAAGGAGCAGACATTTTCTCCTAGAAAATACCCTAGTAGGTGTTAATTCCATAGCGCCTTTTACTACACATTTATTGTGATACCAAATTAGAATTATATTTTTCACAGAAAAGAGCATTTGGAGGAGAACCAAGCAAGGGTAACCTTATTTTCACACGAGTCATCATAGAGAGATCCCAATATAAATAATCTCCTTTTAGTGAGTGTAAAGAAAGGGCAAGAGGATACAATTTCACAACCTTCTTTGGCAAACCGAGAGCAAGACCTATTACCTTTTCATTTTTTTCTTCCAATTAAGTCCTAACTTTTCAATTTTCTAGGTCACTTTTCTAAGCTGTCTCTTCCTTTCTTAAAACCAGTGACCCAAATACATAACTTATTAAGGTAGAGGTTTTTACTTTGGCCCAAGCCTCCGTAGAGGGATGTAGATGTATAAGTGCTGCCTTATCAATAAATCCAGACATCTTGCTACAGCTCAGATCTTAAATCATCATCTTTCTACTTTAGTGCATGCCTATGGCTAGAGGACCTCAGCTTCTGTGTCTTTCAGCAATCAAAAAACACACAGCTAAATCAATGTTGGAAGCATGGTCCTCCATGAAAGTGCCTATGTTACTTAGTTACCAGGCAACATAATTCAGAATGTGAGGAACCAGGGATCCTGGAGTTTAGTTCAAGCTCTTTCCAATAAATCACTGTTACCAAGGATAAAACATTGGATTATTTAGTCTCTTTTATTATTTGCTTTTTGTTGAACATTATAATATTCTTATATAAAACATATGCAAAACAAGCATAGTTGAACAAAGGCCCTTGTGCACTGAAAGAAAAAGAACTTAAGAAAAATAATTTAACAAAGATCCTTGTTTATAAATGATCCCTGTATAATCATGCTCTGTATAACTAAAACCTTTTTTTCTTTCATTAAATTATTAGTGATTATCAGCAATTGGTGTATTTAAATTTAATTTGTATTTGTTAAATGGCACTTGCTTAGAGTGTTTAGCAGACAGTTTAATTCAGTAAGTTTTATATAATGACATATAATCTATTGTGTTAAATCAGTGAATATTTGTCATTAACAATGCAATGTGTTAATTGTCTTCTTTTTATCATGTACTTTTGTAATTATCTTATTTCTATGTTTAACTTATTCACAGTAATTTAATGATATTTATTCAACATTTTTTATGTGCCACCATTCTTGAACATTTATGAGTCAATCTAACCAGCTCCAGGCCCTCCTATTGTGTAATATCTACGTAGGGAAATAGATATTTAATCAAATAATCACATAAACATATAAATATATAATCATATATTGTAATAGCTGTTTTGAAAGAAAATGCACAAATAAATACCAGTTTATTAAAAGAAATTCTAAACTAAACATAGAAAAGATGGAAGGTCAAAGAAAATGTCACAGAAAAAATAAAATTTCAGCTGAGATCTAGAAAATTTTTAGAAAGTAAGAAAGAGGGAGAAAGAAGACAATTATAAGGGAATAAATTAGTGTGTGCAAAGGTTCAGTGGTTCTCAAGCTATAGTGTGCATCAGAATCACCTGGAAGGCCTGTGCAAAAAAGGTATTTCTGGGCCCTGCCGTGGAGCTTATGATTTAGCAGACTGGGGCAGGGTACAAGTATTCCCGGAGAGGCATTTCAAACAAATGCCAGAAGTATGCTGTTGTTTCTGGTCCAGAAACCACACTTTGAAAACCACTAGATGACAGAAATTGAAGAAAAGTCATTATGGCTAGTTTAGTGTAACTATGGATACGAGTGATTCAGAATACAGAAAGGTAGGGAGAAGACAGATTACTTAAGCCCTTATAAGATTTTTTTTTGTTTTCATAGAGTTAAAATAAATTGAGTACAACTATTGTATATCAGCTTTTTAAAAAGAGCAACTGGGATAACCTAGTGGACTTTAAGTGAGGAATTGATGTGATCACATCTGTAATTTAAAAAGATCACTTGATATACAGCGTGCAGAATGGATTGGAGGTAAGGCAAGAATGCATGGTGGAAAAGCAGTTAGAAGACTTCCAGGAGTTCAGCTGAGACCAAGGCAGGATGGTAAGAGTGATGATACAAAGACTTAGAGAGACACAGGGGATATTCAGAAGGAATAAATCAATATGGCTTGGTGGTGAATTAAGTATAAAGGAAATGAAGAGGGAAGGGCCAAAAAATGACTAAGAATACTGTCTTCTGCAACTTAGTGTTGCTATTCAGTGAAGAAGATTCCTGGAAAAGGGCCAAGCTGGAGTTGAAGGGAATGAAAGAAGGAGGGGAATACGATGGGTATTGAAGATATTTTGTTATTTTTTTACTGCACATGTCTAGTGGGCATTTGGATATATTTGGACCTGGAGCTCAATTGGAAAATATATGCCAAACACAGAAATTAGAAAGTCACTGACTTATTGATGGAATTTGAAGTCATGGTTATAGATCAGATTATCTAAGGGTAAAGTATAGATTGGGAAGCTGAAAGAGCATAAGTATAAATTTATGAAAGAAAAACGAGACAGTGAAGAAAATGAGCTGTTAAAGGAAGCTGACAGTCAATAGCCAGAGATGTATAAAGGAAAAAAATGTTATAATGCCTAATCATTTTCATAAGGACATTTTTAGTGTTGTTTTTCCCTTCTGAACATGTTTAGGACTTCAATTTAGCCTCAGTGCTCTGACATTTCACCAGCACATACTAAGACCTTTTCTCATTTAAAATTTTTCTATTCTCTTTTCTTTGAAATTCTAATTGTGTGACAGTGTAATCATAAAATGTATAGTCCAAACTAGGATATTTTTGAACTTGAAAGGAGCATTATCAAAAAAAAATATTCTGGAAGAACAGTTTGAAATAGGACTAACCAGGGAGGTAAAGTGGGCTCTAATGGTGTTATGAAGTGAGTGTTTTCTTCCTCTCCAAAACTCATGTTAAAACTTAATCCCGAATACAGTAGTTTTGAGAGAGTGAGGCCTAATGGGAGGTATTCAAGTCATGAGGGCTGTGCCCTCATAAATGTATTAATGCTGCTATAAAAAGAACTTTCAGGAGTGAGTTCACACTCTCTTCTGTTCTTCTGCCATGTGGGGAATAGTGTTTCCCTCCTCCAGAGGATGCAGTATTCAAGGTGGCATCTTAGAAGCAAAGACCAAGACCTAACCAGACAGCAAACCTGCAGGTGCCTTGATCTTATACTAGAGGGCCTCCGGAACCATGAGAAAGAAAGCTCTATTGTTATAAATTACCCAGTCTGTAGTCCTCTATAGCAGTATAAAATTGGACTAAGGCAAGTGGCCTTTCTAGATTAGTAATATGTTGGACCTTCTGGATTAATCCTTTAAATATTCGATTCTATTCTCTTGATTTCAATTGCTTCATTTTCTGCTTTCTGGGGGATTTCTGCAGATAATAAATGAGGCACTAAAAAGCTTATTGGAAAATTTGTATGGGGACATTGTTTTTTCCTTGTGGCTTCAACTGTACAGAGAGCAGGAGGAAAGCAGGGTATTTTTGTTTTTTTGTTTCTGTTTGTTTGGTGGGGAAGGACCCCTTTGATCAAATGTCAGTGTGTCCATATTTTTGCTTATTTCTTTGTTTCCTCAGAACTTGTACAATTATTTAACAACCTTTTATTCTCCAACTCGCTTTCAGGAGCAGGTTGTGAGAAGAGGGAAAGGTCTCTGTGTTGAGCATGTTGACTTACATTTACTCCCTGTTCCAGTCTTAAGCTTCATCCTGCACTCTCTTGTGCCTGAAGTCCTGCAGTCTGAAGCCCCAACAGTTCTGTTGATTTGCAGAACTGTCCTCCTGCTTCCTGCAGTCAGAAACACTGGGCCTTTCAGACATATTTTTAGCACCCACTATTCACTATTACTTCTGCTGCACTGTCTCAGGTGATTGGTGGGACTAATAGGCCCTTTTCTCATCAGAATCCCCTCTGTAGACCTTTGGAATGCAATTTCCTCCACTCTACTAAATCATTTAACACTTTTTTATCTTCTTTTTTCCCCAAAACATCAGTTAAAATATTTTGCTTCTGATATCTGCTCTTTGTTCTTCTTCTTTATTTTCTAATCATTGTGACAATATTTTTTATTCTCTTACTTTCACTTTTGGTATTTGGGAAATGAAAGGATATGATCTCATGCATTTTTTCCACCAAGTTATTATCTCATTTTATCTTTGCCTTTTGAATTTGCATAAACGGTTGAGTTTTACATGCAGAAATTTTACCTACTTCATCAGCCAAGACATCTGAATAATACTCCTTTATTGTGTCTCTCTACTGTCATGTTTTAAAGAGTCTTCCTTTACATCTAGATCAGAGATAAGCAATCTTTTTCCATTCAGACCAATATAGTAATTCTTTAAGGCTTTGTGAGCCATATGATCTCTGCGGTAACTACTCAACTCTGCTATTACAGTACAAAAGTAGCCATCAACAATGTGTAAATGAGTAGGCATGACTGTGTTCCAATAAATCTTCATTTACAAAATCAGGTGGCAGACCAAATTTGGCCTGTGGGCCACAATTTACCAACCTCTGCTCTAGAGTACAGTAATGCTAACTTATGTTTTCAACAAGTAATGTTATGCTTACCTTTTTACATCTAAATCTTATGTCATCTGAAATTTATTTTGTAAGGTAAAATTAGGTCAGAATCTGACTGCATTTTTTTCTAAAATAATCAACTATTCTAATATAACATAGTTTATTATTCATTATGTTTTACAAATGTGTAATTCTAACTTTTTAATATAGTAAAACTTTTATATACTTCCTCCAATTTGAAAAGCATTTTCTCAAGATTTTATATTGATTAAATCTGTTGAAATTACATGTAAAATCTCATAGTACACTTCTTTGTACATATTACTAATGCAACAGTGTCTATATTAGTCCTGTCTTAGTCTGTTTTGTGCTGTTATAACACAATGCCACAGATGGATAATTTATAATAAACAGAAATTTATTTGGCTCATGGTTCTGGAGGCTGGGAAGTTCAAGATCCATGACATCCAGTGAAGGCCTTTTTGCTGTATCATAACTTGGAAGATGGCAGCACAGGGGCAGCGGGAAGGTAGAGAGAAAGAGAGTGAGAGAAAATGCCACGCTCATTCTTTTGTAAGACTCTAACACCCAGAATACTAGCATTAATTTGTTTATGAGGGCAGAGACCTCATGACTGAATTATCTCTTCAAGTTTCCACCTATCAACACTGTTGTATTGGGGATAGCTTACAACATACGAACTTTGGGGACACATTCAAACCATAGCTAACATATTAGTGTACTGATTCCTTCTCAAATATGATAAATAAAGTAGTTAAAATACAACTGAAAATATGGTGAACAAGTAGGAAATAGATAAAATCACCTTTTATAGCCTTGATGCATTTTTCCTCTATTGTATGTGAAGCCTCTTTTTTGTCTGTTTCTTAGCATATTATAGTGACATGATCGCCCTTTTGGTTTAAGGCTTTCTCAACTTACAAAAGCCATTCACTGTGACTTTGCTTGGTGAATGGCTCATTATAATTTCCAAGATCCTGTTGTTTTACCATCTTTGAAAACAAATAAAAATGACACTGCTAAACACTCCACTAAAACAAACTAGATTTATTCTGAAGAGTTCAGTGAACAGCATTTTGAATGAGATCCATAATGGGCTTTTTAATTCAATGAATATAGTCATTTCATAGAGGCAATTCTTATTAGTACAGCAGTATCAAGATGACCATTTCATTCTAATTGTGTTGTGTGTTTATATAAGGGGCCTCATTTTAGGGTTGGTTTGAATAGATTTATATCTAATTATGTCATGACATCTAATACATTTGAAAGGTAAATATTATTGCTTTTCCAAAGACAAATAATCTCAATAAAATAAAATGCTTTTCCCAGTGATTTGCTGTTCTTTTATTTCTACTGAATGAGGTATTTAACATATTGCCTGAATTCTTTAAGTTGTCTTGGATTTCTTTACTTTCTATTATAGACTGAAGTTTGTGTACTCCAAAATGTGTAAGTTGAAGCCCTAACCCCCAGTATGGCTGTAGTTAGACATAGGATCTCTAAAGAAGTCACTGAGGTTAAATGAGTTTATAAGGATGGGGTATGGATCTGATAGGGTAATTATCTTTATACAAAAAGAAACCAGAGCGCTCACTTGCATGCATGGTTGTACTTTCTCTCTCTCTCTCTGTCTCTCTCTCTCCCTCTCTCTCGCTTTCTTAGTGCATAAGCACTGAGGAAAGGCCACATGAGAACAAAGGGTAAAAATGACCACCTACAAGCCAGGAGGAGAGCTCTCACCAGAAACTGACTCTGTCCTTAGATTTCCAGCCTCCAGAACTGAGAGAAATTACCTTTCTGTTGTTGAAGCCACCCATTCTCTGGTATTTTTTATGGATGCGTGAACTCAGTAATACACTTTCCCATATGCAATTCTGAAATAGCAATATTCTGAGTTGCTGTGAGAGGTACACAAGTATTGGATAAAATTCTATTAAAAAAAAAAACTTAAAGAAGTTTCGGTTTAACATATCTTTCTCTAACACGTTAGATCCTTTAATACCTGAAGGTCTTCCTTTGTATAGACACCATCAGGAAAAGGTATCATTAAACATTAGAACACTCCTCAAGAGGAAAATGAGACTTCAGTTTGAATTGTTGGACCATGTGAAATCTAGGTATAAAAACATACAAGCAAGTAACTTTCTTCTATAGGATATAGTAGGGGAAGAGAGAAAAAGCATAACTTTACAGTAAAAGAAGCTTAATTTACACTACATTAGCCAGGGGATTAAGAAGAACATCATCAGTGACATTATTTTAATGGTATGTATCTGTATAGCAGGAAAAACAAAAACTGTTTTCTTCCACAATACTCTTAACACTCACTTAACACTTTACTTCTGATACCAAATGTATGAGTGTTTTCCCCACTTCAACCAATTTTCTGACACCGGCTGGGTGTCCTACCATTCAATTCAATTTTGAAACTATCCATCTGGAGATAGTGTCAGATCCCACAGTTTAAAGACTCAGATTCACAAGATACCCCCACTGCAGATATGAATCAAAGCAGTAGGTCTCCAGATTCCCCACAACATCTGTCCAACTTGGTTACCAATCAGAGGTCCCTATTCCCTGCTTCTCAGGTTCAATCACTTGCTAGAGTGGCTTGCAGAACTCAAAACCACAATTCACCTATTAGATTGCTGGTTTATTGCAAAGGACGTAAATAGGGAACAGCCAGATGGGAGAGATGCAGGGGACAAGGTGTGAAGAAAAGGGAGTGGAATTCCCTGCCCTCTCCAGGTGCATCACTCTCAAGGAACCTCTATGTGTTCAGCAACCCAGAAGCTCTCCAAACCCCATCCTTTTAGGGTTTTTATGGAGGCTTTATTACTTAGGTATGATTGATTAAATCATTGGCCTTAAGTGATTAACTCAACCTTCAGCCCCTGTCTCCTCCCTGGAGGTCTGAGGATGGAGCTGAAAATTGTAACCTTCTAATCACTTGTAATCCTAAGATTCGTTCCCTTGGCAACCAACCTCCCATCACGAGGGTTTTTCAAAAGCTACTTCATTGATATAAACTCTAGTATGGTTGAAAGGTGTTTATTCTGAATAACAAAAGACCTTCCCTTTACCTTTATCACTCTCATCATTTAGGAAATTTTCAGAGCTCTAGGAGATCTGTGCCAGGATTAGGAACAAATACATTATTATATAAGTCGCAATATTGCAGTACTCTTGGTACGATGTGATATCCCTGCCCAAAACCCATAATCATGGGTTTTACCATGAGACAAATATTAACCATGAGTTAACCATGAGACAAATATTAGAAAAACCAAAATTGAAAGACATTTTACAAAATGCCCAATCAGTACCCCTCAAAATTGTAAAGGTCATCAAAGGCAAGTAAAGTCTGAGAGACTCACAGTCTATCAAAGTCTAAGAAAACATGAAAAAAAAATGTTATTCTAGATGGGATCCTAGAACAGAAAAAAAAAATTAGGTAAAAACTAAACAAATGTAAATAAAGTACAGACTTTAATTAAACATAATGTATCCGTGATCACTAGTTATAACAAATGTACCATACTAATGTGAGATGTTAATAATAGGGGAAATAGGAAGGGGTGTCTAGCAGTGATCCCCAACCTTTCTGGCAGCAAGGACTGGTTTTGTGGAAGACAATTTTTCTATGGACTGGGGTGGGGGAATGGTTTTGGGATGCTTCAAGTGCATTACATTTATGGTACAGTTTATTTCTATTATTATTACATTGTAAGATGTAATGAAATAATTATACAACTCCCCATAATGTAGAATGAGTAGGAGCCCTGAACTTGTCTTTCTGCAACTAGACGGTCCCATCTGTAGGTGATGGGAGACACTGACAGATTATGAGGCATTAGGTCTTCATAAGGAGTGTGCAACCTAGATCCTTTGCATGCTCAGTTCACAATAGGGTTCATGCTCCTATGAGAATCTAATGCCACCGCTGATTTGACAGGAGGTGGAGCTCAGGTGGCAATGCTGGGGAATGGCTGTAAATACAGAGGAAGCTTTGCTCAATCACCTGTTGCTCACCTCCTGCTGTGAGGCCTGGTTTCTTACAGGCCATGTACCAGTCCGTAATCCAGGCTGGGTTGGGAACCCATGTTGTATAGGACCTCTACTGTAATGAGATGTTAAGTAAATCAGAAAGTACTAAAAAATTTTAAGTTAAAAATGTGTATACAGGGAACTGTATTTTATTGTTGTTGTTTATTTGATTTTTACACAAATATCAATAGGAGCCATAGACCAGGATGGAGAACCCTCTCTCTCCACCATGATCAGTTATCTTAATGCTGTTAGGCATCCTGTTAGATCCTGGGACCCTTTTCCGGGACCCCAGGTGTATTAGTCAGGAAAGGCTAGGTTTAGCAATTAAAAAAAATAATAAAGACTTCATGCAATCCAGCTTTATTTATTTCTCATGTTTCATTTCCAGTTTGAGACACTAGGGGAATCTTCTTATTCAGGGACCAAGACTGACAAAACTTCACATGACACCACCATCTCGAACAATGTTGTAGTTTCACCAGGATGAGAAAAGATATCATGGATGGTTACAAAACGGCTTTTCACTGCCCTTGTCCAGAAATGTCTAATGCCACTTTTCTTCACAGCCCATTGACTAGAGCATATATGACCGTGTCTAGCTGTGAGAGGACTGGGAAATGTAGGGAAAATAATAGAATATTTGGTGAGTGTAAATTTACCACACATTCATATTTTCTCTTTCTGCACTACGCTTTGGCTTACTTTCATCCAATTTCTTTTTTTTTTATTACTACTCCCAAGCTATTTGAGAACTCTGTTTTTCTGAACTCTGCTTAATATTCTGTGCTGACAATATGCTCAATCCTTTCTCTAGAGGAACTATGAACACCACTGCAGATCTCAATTTTTCACCTATAGGCTACACACAATACTCATGCTTCCTCCAATTTGTGTCTGCCTAAGACTTATCAATGAAAAAAATAGGAAATATGGAAGAAGTATAATATATGTGAATATAGGAGACTATTATTTTGAAGTTATTGCCTTAGCACAAGTTATCCTATGGTTCATCTCCTGGAATCATTACTCTAAAATTGTCGCCAATTCTAGCGTCATACATTCACATAAGGTTCCCAACTGCATTTTGATCAGGCTCGGCGTGACTTTGTTTTCATAAGGAGATTGTTCTCTTGCCTTCTAAATTGGATAATTACAATTTTAACAACCCACTCCAAATGTAAATGCCCAATCACCTATGAAAAATGCTATGTTTTGACAGCATTTATTGCATGTGTGCCTTTGAATTTAGTTGAATTAGCTGTTGCATGCTGGTGCAAACTCAGTCTACATTTACTTTTCTTAATTGCATCAAGAACTAAATGATGGCAAATTAGAATCTCTTTCATAATGTTGTGGTAGTTAATAGCTATTAGGAAAACATATTGTTAACTTGTGGTAAGGAGTGGTTTGGTATCTAAATATTGTTATCCACTTGTATAGTACTGTATTATAAATCACAACTGTTCGTTGATAGCAGCCAATCAACTATCTACACACACACACACACACACACACACACACACACACACACGATTTTTTGGTAGTACTTCCAATTTCTTCAATGATAGGTGAAGTATTAGAGAAAATCTAATGCAGGAAGCTCCTGGAGACTGCCCTATGCACTTTTACTCGTTCATATTTTCTGTATCTTCAACCTCTTCTAAGAAATTTTGGATGGGTTTATTCTTTACCTACATAAGCTGTGCCTTGCCCACATATTTGTAAACCTGAGTATTCTGTACATTTGAGAAATATAACCTCTCTTAAAAATCTAGTAAAGACCTTCTATAATCATCTAACACAGAATTGTATCTTGCTAGTTGCAGAAGAAACCCTATCATCTATTAGACTGGTTATTTTAATTTACATCTAAAACCTCCTGACACTAATTTTCTTTTCACTTCGCAACTCTCCACATAGAATGCACTCTCCTTTCCTTTCTGTGTTTCTCTTACCATTCACAACAATCAGTTGAAGAGACATGACTTTATTTTGACCTACAAGGCTCTTGACATGGGCTGATTTATTGAACCTCTTTGTTCATCAAACGAGTAGGTGTTATATATGGAAGGAATGAAAACTAAGCTGGTTATATCAACACTGTAAAAATTATTTTCTCTTGGCCTTGCATATGATATATCCTCTGTATTGAATCATGCTCACTATCTTAGCTCATTTTTCTCCATTCCTGGATATTCACCTAGACCACTCACTCATCCTTCATATATAACCTTAGGGAACAGTCACTTTGGAAAGGGTGTGCCTACATTTTAACCCTGGGTCTGGTTTCCTACCTATTGAACACCACACTTCCCAAACTTCTTTTATTTTACCATAACTATTTATGTCTATTCATCTGTATCCTTTTTAGATTTCCCACGAAAGTGAGTATGTCTTGATTATTAATGCCTCACCAGTGTAGTGATACATAGTCCTTGAAACATAGATAGCCCTCAAAAATGCTGTTGAATGAATTAAAATTATAAATAATGATGATTTATGACAGCTAATATATATTGAGAAATTGCTATCTGTCAAGCACTCAGCATATTGTGTGCATTGTCTCAATTGACACTCATAACACTTTTTAAGGACAGTATTATTGTTTCCACTTTATGAGTGTTTAAAAGATGTTTTTGAGAGATTAAAAAATTTGCTCAATGTCATACAGCCAGTTACTGGAAGAGTCAGAATTCACATCTAAGTTTACTGAATTCTTAAGCCCATATTATTGACTCAGTATATTCTGTTACTAATATTAGTACTTTAAAAAACACAAATTTTTTTTTAAGTTTTTTATATTTATGTTTGAGCATTCTGATTAGTGTCAAATATCTCCACACTGATTTCTGGTCAATAATGTACACACTTAATTACAGTAATTTTTAAATGTGTTTTGATGTTTCCTAGTAAAAATCCATATTCCCTGCTCCTTCAGGCCTCCTTCTTTAAATATTAAGATATTATACATCTTTGCAATTATCTTATTTTTGTTTTTGTTTTGTTTTAATTTTTGCCTGGTATGTTTTTAAAAATATCACTCTTATATTATTCTAATTAATAGGTGAACTTTATCAGAATTTACTTGTTTCAGCAAAAGTCTCACTGAGATTTCTATTTGAGTTGCGGAACTTGTATTTTTTTTTTAAAAATAAGAATGGTGAGAATATGCAGCTATTCATTTGCCCTATTTCCAAGTTTTTAACAATTTTCCTGAATATAACCAATAATTTAACCATAACAAAAAGGGTTTACGAGTTTACTATCTCAGTGCCATGTTTGTTTTATTGAATTATTTTGTTTTTTTTTCCTAATTTTTAATTTTGAAATAATTACAGATTCACAGGAAGTTGTAAAGATAGTACAGGGAGTTCTCAGGTATTATATATTCAGGGTTCCTCATGGATTATACATTATGTAACTGTAAATGCAACAGCAAATCCAGTAATATGATGGTATTATAAAATGTGATTATAGTTCTATGTCATTTTATTGCATGAGTACATTCATGAAACCACCAATACAAAACACAATCAAGATATAGAGCTATTGCATCCCATAAATATCTCCATTGTGCAATGATCTGTGGTATGGTAACGTGTACTTAACTTTTTGGAAAACTGTCAAGCTATTTTCTACAGTGACTTTGCCATATTACATATTCATTGGCAGTAAAAGGGACATTTTCTTCACATCCTCACCAGCATTTGGTGGTGTCGCTATTTTTACCTTTAGTTATTTTACTAGATGTGTGGTGGTGTTTCTTCGTAGTCTTTTTTTTTTTCTTTTTTTCTTTTCTTTTTATTTTTGAGACAGAGTTTTGGTCTTGTTGCTCAGGCTAGAGTGCAATGGCACTAACTCGGCTCACCACAACTTCTGCCTCCAAGGTTCAAGCAATTTTTCTGCCTCAGCCTCCCCAGTAGCTAAGATTACAGGCATGCACCACCACGCCCAGCTAATTTTTTGTATTTTTAGTAGAGACGGGGTTTCTCCATGTTGGTCAGGCTGGTCTCGAACTCCCGACTGCTTCATTGTCTTAATTTATATTTCCCTTATGGGTATTGCTATTGAATATCTTCCCACATGGTCGTTTGCCATTAATGTGTTCTCTTCAGTAAAATGTCACTTAATGTTTTTCTCCATTTTCTAATTGGATTTGTGTGTGTGTGTGTGTGTGTGTGTGTGTGTTGTATTTTTAAGTTTGTTATAAATTTTTGATCTAAGTTATTTCTCAGCTTTGCAAATATTTTCTCTCGGTCTATAACTTATCTTTTCCTGCTCTTGTCAAGGCTTTCCTAAAGCAAAGGAAAAGTATATAAAAAGTTTTCTAATCTGTGAATATCATGACTTTCCATTTATAAAGATATTTTATTTCATCAGCAGTTGGACTTTCCAGCAAAAAAGTGCTCTGCCTGCTTTATTAAATGTACAACTATGTATTTCCCCTTTTATGAGTGGTTTTAACTGGCAGTGTACTTTTAATTTTGGTTTTCACATATTTATTGATAGCATATTAAAATGCAATTTTTATAAAGTTTATTTTGCACTCTGTGAACTTTTTGAAATCATGTATTTATTCTAGAGGGTTTTTTTTTTGTAGATGATTTTATTTGGTTAATACTTCCAATTCTCTTTAGAATAGCAGTGGTCAGAGTGGATAGCCTTGCCTTATTCCCAGACTTAGGAAAAAGCATTCAGCCTTTCACCATTAACTATGACGTTAGCGGTAGGATTTTTGTAGCCTTTAGAAAAAGTATTATCAAGTTGAAGAAGTTCCCATCTGGTACTAGTTTTCTGAGTTTTTGTCATGAATGAGGGCTGAAATTTGACAAAGCTGTTTTCTGTATCAAGTGATGTTACCACGCAATTTTTCTTCTTTAGCCTATTAATATGGTGGGTTACATTTCTTGATTTTAAAATATTGATCCAGCATTGCATTGCTGGAATAAACCCAAGTTTGTCATGTTCTATACATCTTTTTATATATTACTTGTTAAGGGTTTTTGTGTCTGTTTTTCCTGAGGAACACTGTTTGGTTCCCTCCCTCCCTCCCTTCCTCTCTTTCTTCCTTCCTTCCCTATGGACTTTATCAACTGGTTTTAGTAACAGAATAATATCAGCTACATAAAATGTTCTCAAATTGCATTAGTCTGTTTTCATTCTGCTGATAAAGACATACCTTTGACTGAGTAATTTATAAAAGAAAGAGGTTTTATTGACTCACAGTTTCACATGGCCGGGAGGCCTCACAATCATGGCGGAAGGCAAGGAGAAACAAAGTCATGTCTTAAATATATGTTGGCAGTTGAGAGCTTGTGTAGGGCAACTCTCCTTTATAAAACAATAAGATCTCATGAAACTTACTCACTATCATGGAACAGCTCTGGAAAGATGCACCCCCATGATTCAATTACCTCCCACTGGGTCCCTCCCACAACATGTGGGAATTGTGGGAGCTACAACTCAAGATGAGATTTGGGTGGGGGCATAGCAAAACAATATGAGAAGTCTTCTCTTTTCTTCTGTTTTTTTAGATGAGCTTGTTTAAAATCATTAATTCTTCTTCAAATGTTTGGTATAGTTTACCAACGACACCATTCTAGACTGGAGATTTATTTTTTAGTATTTTAAAATAAACAAATTTCTTAATTGATATTGGGCAAGTTACACTCTCTATTTCAAATTGGCCGAGTAGTGATAATTTGTGCTTTCAATAATTGGTCCATTTTACCTGTGTTGTCAAATTAATTTTTGTGGAATTGTTTGCATCATTCTGTTATTAACCTTCTGATATTTACAGAGACTATAAAGATAACCCCAATATTATTCATGACATTGGTGTTTTTCCTCCTTTGTTCTCTCTCTGTCTCTCTCGGCTGTTAAACTAGAGGTTTATCAATTTTATCAGTTTTCTCAAAGAACCAAATTTTGTTACATTGAATTTCTCTGTTGTTTATTGTTTTTATTTCATTGGTTTTGGCTTCTGTTGTCTCATTATTTTCTTCCTTCTTAATACTTTGGGTTTATTTTGCTTTTCTTTTTCTAGTTCCTTAATGTGGGAATTTAGATTGCTGACTTTAGACTTTTTGGTTAATGCTATAAATTGTTTAATGCTATAAATTTATCTTTCGTCATTGCTTGAGGTACAAACCACATATATTGACATGTAATTTCATTTTTATTCAGTTAAATGTATTATTTTTTCTATTTCCCTTGGGATATTCTATTCGACACATGGATTATTTAGAAGTGTGATTTAATTTCCAAATATTTGTGGATTTTCCTGTTATTGTGCTATTATTGATAGCTACTCTGATGCCATTGCAGTCAGAGTGTATGCTCTGTAAAATTTCAATGTGTTTCAATATTTTGAAGTGTGTTTCATGGTCTAGGATACAATCTATTTGATACATGTTCTGTCAACATATGAAAATAATATGTAATCTCCTGTTGATGGGTAGAGTGACCAATAAATATCAAGTAGATCCTGTAGTTTAATGATAGTGATACTGGTTCTTATATATACTTGCTGAACTTCTGTCTAGTTGTTTATCACTGCTTGAGAGATGGGAGTGGAAGAATTGACTGTAATTGTGCATTAGCCTATTTCTCCTTTCAATCTATCAGTTTTTGCTTCACATATTTTGTATCTCTCTTTGGTGAATGCATATTTAGGCTTAATATCTTTCTGCTGGATTTGCCCTTTTATCGCTATGTAATGACTTTGTCTGTTACTAGTAGTTTTGTTTTCCATGAAGTGTACTTTATATTAATACAGCTATGACTGTTTTCTTTGATTATGCACATATTCTTTATATATACTTTTACTTTTAAACCACATATATCATCATATTTTAAGTGAGTTTCTCATAGACAACATGTAGTAGCATCACATTTTTAAATTCACTTCTTTCATCTCTGTGTTTTGTTTTATTTAGATTATTTACGTTTAATGAATGTAATTATTGATATGTCATCGCTTATGACTGTCCTTTTTTTTTTTTTCTGTTTGCCCTCTCTCTTTCCTATTTCTCTGTTCGCTTTTACTTCTATTCCTGCAGGTTACTTGACCATTGTTTAAAATTCTGTTTTTATTTATCAATAGTGTTTTTAAGTATATCTCCTTGTATAGAATTTTTAAGTATTTTCTCTATGCATGACTTACTAAGGTCTACTGCTATCAACATTTTAATAGCTCAACTGAAGTAGAGAAAACATTTATCCCTTTATTTTATTTTACTCCCCCTTGATTATAAGCTAATTATCTTAAATTTATTCTCTTTACATTTATTGAGAACCGCATTTGGCAGTTAAAATTTTTACTTCTACCATCAAAAATAATATAGAAAACTCAATAGAAAAGTGAAAGATCCATTTTATCTACCCATATTTTTTATTCCTATTTTTCATCCTTCCTTCTTAATATTCCAAGGTTTGTTCCTTTATTAATTCCATTCTGTTTAGAGAATGCCCTAAATCTGTTCTTTTAGGGTAAGTTTGGCAACAGTTCACTTTTGTTTTGTTTTGTTTTACTTTTTTGTTTGTTTTATTTTCCTCCATCAAGAATTGCTGATATTCCTCTCATTTATGAAGGATAGTTTTGCTTGATATAGAATCTAGGATGATAGTTCTTTTCAGGCATTTAAAAAATGTGATACCACTTTCTTTTTGCCTTTATGATTTCTGATGACAAATTTACTGCCATTTGAATGTTTATCCTCTAAAGGTAAGGTACCATTTCTCTCTGCTTTCAATACTTTTTTCTTTCCTTAGTTTTCAGATGCTTACTTTATCTATAGGTATACATATGTGTGTACACCTATATAGTTGTGTGTATATGTATGTATGATGTATGTGTGTGTATATATAAACATACATATATTGTCCTGATTGAGATTTGCTCTTCTTGAATTTGTAAGTTTATATCTTGTCAATTTTGGAAAGTTTTCAGACTGTTTCTTTAACTATCTTTTCAACTCTTCTCTATTTTCTCCTCCCAGGAGTATGAACATGAATGTTAGATCTTTTGTAATCGTCCCACAGATTCCTGAGGCTTTGCTTTCTCCCTCCAGGGTATTTTTTTCTGTTGTTCAGATTGCATAAAATTTTTTTAAAAAATGAAGATTACATACTTTTGATTATACTCTCTTCATATTCTTTTTTATATATTCTATTTCTTCACAAATCCTTCTATTTTATAATTATATCACATCATAATTGCTCATAGAGGAAAATTTATGTTGGACAATTTAAAATGCTTCTCAGATACTTCTCACGTTGACATCTTCTCATTGTTGGCATCTGTTAGTTGTCATTTCCTTTTCAAGTTGAGATTTTTCTGGTTCTCAATATGTCAAGGTATTTTTTAAAAATTAAATTATGAATAACTGCAGGACTGGGTAGGAGACTCTAGATATCATTTAAATATAGTTCAGGGTGGCCTCTCTGAAACAGCTTCAACAGAGGTTAGGAGAGTTCTTCTCATTCGTGCTAGGTTGAAGCCCAGATTCCCTAGTTGGCCTCTATTGACAGCTAGAGTAGAAGAGAGAACCCTCTTTACTACTGAGTGGTGGTAAATTCCTGACTCTCTACTAGGTCCAACCCAGGTAAAAGTAGGGAAGAGTATCTTATAACCCTAAAGTATGAATAAAAGTATGGGATCCTCCCATTTTCAGTGTATGGCTGTTTGATTAATCATTTTATTTATTTATATTTTTTATGTTTGAAAATGGTAGGACTAATAGCCATGTTTTATATTAAGGCCAATGTATTAGGACAAGTAAATAATGCAAGAGACAGAGAAGGTGAGGAGAGTGTAACCTCCCTGGTATTAGCGTGGACACTTGGGAAAACATTGGTCTTCCAGAAACTATGAGATTTGGGAGGCAGGGAGAGAATTATTGGGCACAGGAGAAATTTAAGGCAATTTTACATAGATTTAAAAGCCAGGGATGGAACAACACAACGACCATATGAAGGCATAGGAAGAAGGCAGCCATCTACATGTCTAGGTGAGAGGCATGAGAAGAAGCAATCTTTCCAAGACCTTGAACTTAGACTTCTAACATCCAGAACTTTAAGAGAATAAATTTCTCTTGTTTAAACTCCATGTCATTTCCTCCCCCAAATCCAGGAATGTCCCCATCTCAGAGGCACGCAACGTTTTTCTTAGTCACCACTCTTTTCCCTCCCCATAGTTGTCCGTCTTCTTTTAGAGACAGTGATGCTTTTCTCCTTGCCCTTCCAGTGTGCTTGCACTTTGTTGAAATTTTGGAAGGATCACCTTGAAGATTGGGTTCGTTTTGGTTTGAATTTGTTAAAATGAAATGAGGTAGGAAACAAAAAAGTTTAAATTCACTTTAATTTTCTTTTCTGATTCAGAGGCCCTAAAATCTAAAAAGACTTAGGAGGGTGGTTACATAGAGTCATAGCAGCAAGTATAGCATGGGTCTTCTGTCTCCATTTTGGTTGTGTCACTAAGTTGGTTAGGGCATGGCTCCTGTTCCCGCAGAGGTTAAGTTGACCTTGTTTGTTAGAAAAAAGACAAACTAAAAACCAAACCTCTTTGCCTAGCAAATCTGGCTGCCCCAAGTGTATGTAGGGTACCATATATGCCAATGCAGGATCCCTATACTGTGTCATCTAAGGTATCTGATGACCTTCCCCAAGGCTATAGTTGGATCAAGATTTACACCCCTTACATGCTCCAGCAACTTCCCTATCTCAGGTCTTAGATATTCTAAAGCAAGACCCATTGCAATCTGCTTCACACATTTCTGGTGCCAACTATTGTCTTGAGTTTGGTGAATGACGGATTTGTTGACTTTTCATCAGAACCAATGATATCTTTATCTAAAGTCCTCAAAGTTTCTTGCATACTGTTATCTGTCTGCAAGTCGTAGGGAATATTTTATTTTCAATATTTTTAAATTAACATATTCATGCTTCTGAGCTCCCATTTAGTAGGCTTATGGAAAATCCAATCCTGGGAATTCTCAACCTGTGATCACCACCACCCACCCAAATATCATCAATCTCAGGAAGACAAATTCCTGGGGTTTTATTTAGTGACATGACAGTGAAGAATTTGCCAACAAAATACCATGTATGTGAAGACTAGAACCCCATGCAGCCATTAGCAGTCACAGAGTATAGTGGGTGAGTGCAAGGGCAGTGGTGCTAAGTAGTTCTGGCTCAAATATAGTCTCTACTGTTAGTTCCATGGCCTTGGCTATTATATAACCTCTCTTCATCTCAGATTTCTTCATTTGTAAAATTTAAATTATAATACTTGATATCAAAAGATTTTTGTGGAGATTAGATGAATAAACACAGGTGAAGTTCACAGAGCAGGGATATGATACATAGCTAGCTTTAGACTCACGTTGTTTATTATAACTTCTGAGGTCCTATATTCTCCCTGGGGTGAATTCAAGTACACATATTACTTAGCTTCCTTTTCATCTCAATTCCATTCCCATGTAGTGACTTCTTGTTCTCTTTCTTCCTCCATTTCCCTGGAACTCCTAGCAATCCTCTCTGCTGAGCTTAAAAATCTACAATAGACAAGTGCATTTAGCTTTTTTATGATAATTCAAAATTTGTGGCTAAAAACCCCAAAGCCCATATATATATGTGTGTGTGTATATATATATACACACACACACACACCTATATGTATATATACACATATATACATATATATGTGTGTGTGTGTATATATATACACACACACACATATATATGTATATATACACACATATATATACATATATATGTGTGTATATATATTTTTTTTCTTGAAGACAGAGTTTTGCTCTTGTTGCCCAGGCTGGAGTGCAATGGCACTATCTCGGCTCACTGCAACCTCCACCTCCCAGGTTCAAGGGATTCTCCTGCCTCAGCCTTCCAAATAACTGGGATTACAGGCATGCACCACCATGCCCAGCTGATTTTGCATTTTTAGTAGAGATGGGGTTTCTCCATGTTGGTCAGACTGGTCTCGAACTCCCCACCTCAGGTGATCTGCCCTCCTCAGCCTCCCAAAGTGGTGGGATTACAGGCGTGAGCCATCACGCCCGGCTGCTACTTTTTGAAAATAAGAAGAAGAGGTTAAGTATACAAGGACAATCTGTGAACATTTTCCTGCTGCACACAATGTATGCCTTTGATCATTTCAGTGGGAATATTGGAGAGAAAGAGAAATCAAACCCATGTGCTTAAGCCTTTGCCTTTCTGAAAAGCTTTTATATTTTTCTGTACAATTTGTGTTCATATTTTACTTTACCAATTAATGCATATATGTACATTTAAATATTTATGAAACCACTTAAGAAGACCTGTTTATGTACATATAAATTAGTATATGATTATATTTACATAGTGTATATGTAACGTTTCAGTAGTGTTTTATTTTAATAACTTTATCTTTAGAGAAGTTTTAGATTCACTATAAAATTGGACAGAAGTTACAGAGATTTCCCATATATCCCTCTACTCCATCTATGCATATGTTCCCCTTTTTTCAACATCCTCCACCTAAGTAGTATATTTGTTACAACGGACAAATGTATATTGAAATTCATTATCACACAAAGAAAATCATTATCACGCAAAGTTCATAATTTACATTAGGGTCCACTCTTGGTGCCATTCTATGAATTTTAGCAAATTTATTATGACGTGATAGTTTCACTGCCCTACACATCTTCTGTGCACTGCCATGGTATACCTCCCTCCCTTCTAACTTCTGGCAATTATGATTTTTTTTCACTATCTCCATAATCTTGCTTTTTCCAAAACATCTTGTAGTTAGAATCATACAGTATGTAGCCTTTCAGAATGGTTTCTTTCATGTAATAATTTACATTTAAGTTTCCTTCATGTCTTTTGATGATTTGATAGCTCACTTCTTTTCAGCACTGAATTATATACCATTATATAGATGGACCATAGTTTATTTATCCATTCAACTACTGATGGGTATCTTAGTTGCTTTCAAGTTTTGGCAATTATGAATAAACCTTCTAGAAACATTTTTGTGCAAATTTTTCTGTGGATGTAAGTTTTACACCCTTGGATGAATACAAAAGAGCATGACTGCTAGCTAGGTCATATGGTAAAAGTATGTTAGCTTTGTAAGAAACAGTTAAACTGTCCTCCAAAGTAGCTGTACCATTTTTCATTCCCACCAGCAATAATTGAGAGTTACTGTTCCACCACATTCCTGCCAGCATTTGGTATTATCAGCGCTCTGGATTTTGGCCATTGTAATAGATAGGTGGTGGTATCTTCTTGTTGTTTTAATTTCCATTTTCTTATGACATATAATATGGAATATGGAATATCTGTTTATATGCTTTTTTGCCATCTCTATGTTCTGTTTTTTATTGTTGATATCTAAGAGTTTTTTTTTTAATATTTTCAATAACAATGCATTGTCAGATATGTCTTTTGCAAATATTTTCCTACGGTTTGTGGCTTCTCATTTCATACTCTTGGCAGTGTCCTTGGTGGACCAAAAAATTTATTTCATTTTATTTATTTTATTTTTTTGAGATGGAGTTTTGCTATTGTCACCCAGGCTGGAGTGTAATGGCGTAATATCGGCTCACTGCAACCTCTGCCTCCCAGGTTCAAGCAATTCTCCTGCCTTAGCTTCCTGAGTAGCTGGGATTACAGGCACTCACCACCAAGCCCAGCTAATTTTTGTATTTTTAGTAGAGACGGGGTTTCACCATGTTGGCCAGGCTGGTCTCAAACTACCAACCTCAGGTGATCCACATGCCTCAGCCTCCCAAAGTGCTAGGATTAAAGTCATGAGCCACCGCGCCAGGCCCCCAAATTTTTAATTTTAATGAATTTCAGTTTATCAATTCTATCATGGATCATGCTTGTGGTGTTGTACCTAAAAAGTTATCACCAACCCTAGTTCATCTAAATTTTCTTCTATGTTATTTTTCTAAGAGTTTTATATTTTTTCTTTTATATTTGGGTTTGTGATCCATTTTGAGTAAATTTTTGTAAAGAGTATAAAGTCTCTGTTTAGATTCATTATCTTGTATGTGGGTGTCCTGTTGTTCTGACATCATTTGTTGGAAAGATTGTTCTTCTCCATTATATTGTCTTTGTTCCTTTGTCAAAGATCAGTTGACTATAATTATGTGCGTCTATTTCAGGGTTTTCTGTTCTGTTTCATTGGTCTATTTATCGATTATTTTGCCAGTACCATACTGTCACGATTGCTATAACTCTATGGTAAGTTTTGAAATGAGATAGTGTCAGAACTCCAAATTTGTTCTTCTCCTTCAATATTGTGTTGGCTATTCAGTGTCTTTTATCTGTCTGTATAAACTTTAGAGTTAGTTTGTTTATATCTACAAGATAAGCTTCTGGGATTTTGATTGGCATTACATTGAATTTATATATCATTTGGGAAGAACTGACATCTTGACAATATCAAGTCTTTCTGTCCATAAACATGGAATATCTCTGCATTTATTTAGTTCTTGTTTGATTTTATTAATCAGAATTTGCAGTTTTCTTCACATCTTGTACATGCTTTGTTAGATTTATATCTATTTTATTGTTTCAAAATATACTGATTTTGTGTTCATATTTTAATTTGCAACTGAATATACATACACACATATTAAAAACATATACAAACACACATATACTCACATAAAACACACAATTATTTTGTATTCATATATTATTATAAACATGAATGCATATATATACATTTATATATTCATAAGAACAGCTGAAATCAGTTTATGTGTATATAAATTAATATATACATATTTATGTAACATAATACATGAAAATTTTGCAGTAATTTTTACAGGTTATATCTGAATGTCTAATAATCATTATTCTGGTGTACTAGTATAACCAGCTTACAAAGGAAAACATTCTCTAAGTAATATAAAGTCTTAAAATGATATACTAATAATATATTAATATTATTAATATCATATACCATATTATTAAACATCATTAATATAAACAATGTCATAATTTTAAAATCATCAATTGCATTTACATGAAGAACTAAATATAAAAGTGCAATTGCAAAATACTAATTCACCTCTATTTTTATGTGAAACTTCTTTTATTATAGACATAGGCCTAATAGTTTTTCTTTAGTGTTTCCTAGGCACGTATTATTGGAAGAACAATATGACATTTTTCTGTTGCTCAAAATTTTCTCTCCAACCTCTTAGCAATCACAGATGTTGGCAGAGTAATGAGCACAGGGAGCTGTGGTGAGCAACTAAGTTATGAAAAATAAGAGTCAATTTAGAGTTATTAGGTAGTTTGTAACTTTCAGGTACAGTATCTTCAAAATGGCAATGAATTCAGCAAAGTAGTTCTGTTCTGAGTGCAAGGTATAAAGAACAAATAGGCCTATTATTTCTAAAGCACCTGTCTAGGAGACAACATTACTAGAAACTAGAAAATAGACAGACGGTTTTTTCACGTATGTAACAAAAAAAGAGAAAATGTTTCAGTAAGTCATATGGTAGTGTGGTTTTGTGATCCTTCAATTCACCTACACCAAGTTTTAACTGAATAAAAACTGCAGGTACTCAACTCTATACATTACATATTCCTCACTCCTTGTGAAGTTATATTTTGCTTTCCTTGTATAGTTATTCATATCTTATTAAATCATTCATATCTTATTAAGATGACTGGTGTATTGTCAAGTGTTTACTATAGTACTAAAACAACCTATAACACACTTCTGCACTTCTGTTAAACAAAATGTTATGTGACCTCATTCAATATAATTAATAACAAACAGACCTCATCCTTATTTAGAAAATGAAGTAAAAATTGCATAGATCACAGAGGTGAAAATGTGATTTTGAAAGTATTAAAAATAGTAATTTATGGGTGTAAATATAAAACATTTTTGCAAACACATTTATATATGCTGGCATATTTGCCTCTGGGAATAGTACTATATATTCATCCAGAAGTTTTATATTTTGCTTGATAAAAAAGATAAAACAATGGAAAAATAATGATAATAATATGTCTATATATGCATATATGTATACATGTATATAGGCGTGTCATATGTATATGTATATAGGCATATATGCATATATAGGCATATTATTATCATAACTATACATATGTACACACATCCATATATATATCCATATATACATTGATTATGACATTTGATCATTACACCTACATTGTGAAGTAGGCAGGGAATTTCAGCTGGATTTTCAAGGTGGGAAAATCAGAGGATAATGTCTAAAGAAGTTTTCTAGAATAGAATTGCCTGTGATGATGCAAATGTTCTGTATCTGTGCAGTCCAATTTGGTAGCCTCTAAACCCATGTGGCTATTGAGCATTTAAATTATGTTTCATGTGACTGAGAAATTAAATATTTAATTTAATTTGATTTTAATTTAAATGTTAATATTCACATGTGCCAATTTTGAACAGCACAGATGCACAATACTGTTCATTTATACACTGATTCAATTATTTACCTTTGTAGTGTGTATATATTGGCGAAATGTCACCAGAATTGGACCCATGCCTTCTGAGTAATTTCATCATGCTGATCACACTGTGAAGCTAGTGAAGTACTTTGTCTAATTCCCAATTTATGGGGAAGCAGAGATTAGAAAGCACATTCAGATGGAGCTATCTCCTAAATGCTAAGCAATTAAATTGTAGAAAACAAACTGTTGATCAGCCACTGAACCTAGAGAAATAAATTGTTTTGTCACTTGCAAATGTTTATATCTAGAATCACACACATTTCAAAGTAAAGGAAGCTTTGCTTACTCATCAGTAAAGATGGCTAGTCAAACTGGGATCAGAAAAACCCAGAGAAGATAAGTAACTCAGCTAAGGATTTACAGTGTATTTAGTGGCATTTGAGATTAATGGAATTGGCTAATCATGTTATGTGATTGACTAATGTAGATTCTTGGCAATTGGCAAAATCTCTATTTTCTCCTGCAAGATTCATGCAGTACAAATGTTGCTTCATAGCCCCAGTGTTCACTCTGAAACTGGAGTGAGAATAACCATCTAAAATTGCATCTCTACAAATGACTGAGAAAGCTGTTTCAGTCCTTTTCATTCTTTCCTATTCCACAGCTTCAAAAACCTAAACACACATGCTACATGTAGATGTTAAAAATAACCTCTATTTTCATAAGCTAGATTGAGAGCTAGTTTGCTCTGAGAAAGAAAAAATGCAAGTTGCTTCATGTTGACACTAGAAGGTATCACAAAAAAAAAGTGTTTAAAGTGAATCCTAGCTGTTTTTTGGTTTCTTCAGAAAATTCTGAACATCAATAAACTTTCTCTTCTTCTCTTCTTCTTCTTTTTTTTTTTTTTTTTTTTTGAGGCAGTGTCTTGCTCTGTATCCCAAGTGGGAGTGCCATGATGTTATCACTGCTTACTGCAGCCTTGAACTCCTGGGCTCTAGTGACCCTCCTGTCTCATTTTTGTTTTGTTTTGTTTTGTTTTTTATTTTTTGTAGAGATGAGGTTTCACTATTTTGCCCAGGATAGTCTCAAACTCCTGTACTCAAGCAATCCTCCCACCTCAGCTTCCCAAAGTGCTAGGATTACAGGCATGAGGCACCCGGCCTGGCCATGAACATCAGTAACTTCTAACTTCAAGAACACACTGAGTTGTACATTTAAAGTATTATTTCTATCTGTTTCCTTGCCCTTGTAGATTATTGCCTTCTTAGAACTTTCTCATAATCTGTAAGCACTTCTATTTTTGTCTCTCTCAGTAGCATTTGTCATGTATTAGTTTTCTATGTTGGTACAACAAAACAATCCAGAAATTAGTGGTTTATAAAACCATAATCCTATACTTTAGGTGGGTCAGGAATGTGGGCTTGGCTTGACTGGGTCCTCTGGGTCTCAAAATCTCTCATAAGACTTTAATCAAGGTGTTGACTAGGGCATCGTATCAAGGCTCTACCAGGAAAGTATCTGCTTTCAAAGTTACTTACACGGATGTTGCCAGGATTTGTTTTCTCATGAACTTTGGGCTGAGACCCTTTATTCTTGGCTTCCCTTAGTTCTCTGCCTGTGGGCTTCTTCAAAGGGTAATTAAAAACATTGCAGGTTGTTTCATCAGACTGAGAAAGGGAGGAGCAAAATAGAATGAGAACAAGAGGAAATTCACAGTTTTTTAGCCTAATCTTAAAAATGATTTTCCATAACTTTTGCCACATTTTATTTCTTATGAACTTCTAAGTCTAGCCTACACTCATGGGGGAGGTGATGACATAAGGACATAAGTATCAGGAGGGGGTGGAGGGCATACTTGGGGGCTATTTCTGAAGCTGCCTTCCATAATCTCTATTTTCAGATATCTACCAATCTCCTTAAACATTTTTTTCCCATTCTTCTGGTGCAAAATTATTTTTTAATCTAGGTATAAATGCCTGTTAATGATAATAACATTAGAATAACATTAAATAAAACTGAAAATTAATATGAATGCTTTACACTGTTGGTGGGACTGTAAACTAGTTCAACCATTGTGGAAGTCAGTGTGGCGATTCCTCAGGGATCTAGAACTAGAAATACCATTTAACCCAGCCATCCCATTACTGGGTATATACCCAAAGGACTATAAATCATGCTGCTATAAAGACACATGCACACGTATGTTTATTGCGGCATTATTCACAATAGCAAAGACTTGGAACCAACCCAAATGTCCAACAATGATAGACTGGATTAAGAAAATGTGGCACATCTACACCATGGAATACTATGCAGCCATAAAAAATGATGAGTTCATGTCCTTTGTAGGGACATGGATGAAATTGGAAATCATCATTCTCAGTAAACTATCGCAAGAACAAAAAACCAAACACCGCATATTCTCACTCATAGGTGGGAATTGAACAATGAGATCACATGGACACATGAAGGGGAATATCACACTCTGGGGACTGTGGTGGGGTGGGGGGAGCGGGGAGGGATAGCATTGGGAGATATACCTAAGGCTAGATGACGAGTTAGTGGGTGCAGCGCAGCAGCATGGCACATGTATACATATGTAACTAACCTGCACAATGTGCACATGTACCCTAAAACTTAAAGTATAATAAAAAAAAAGGAAAAAGAAAAAAAAAGGGATATGGTATCAATTATCCCTTTTTAAAAATAAAATTCTAATTTGGAAAAATACGCATAAGAAAATTGACAGTTTAACCATGTCTAGGTGTACAGTTCACTAGTGTTAAGTACATTCACATTGTTGTGCAACCATCTCTACCAACTATCTCTAGAACTCTCTTCAACTTGCAAAACTAAAACTCTATACCCATTAATCAACCCTCATTCTCCCTTTCCCCCAGATGCCGGAAACCACCATTCTACTTTCTATCTCTATAAATTTAACTACTCTAATTACTTTATATAAGTAGAATCAGATAGTATTTATCTTTTTTTTTTATTTTTTTTATTTTTTTTTATTTTGAGACGGAGTTTCGCTCTCGTTGCCCAGGCTGGAGTGCAATGGCACGATCTCGGCTCACCGCAACCTCCGCCTCCCAGGTTCAAGCAATTCTCCTGCCTCAGCCTCCTGAGTAGCTGGGATTACAGGCATGCACCACCACACCCGGCTAATTTTGTATTTTTAGTAGAGATGGGGGTTTCTCCATGTTGAGGCTGTTCTCGAACTCCTGACCTCAGGTGATCCACCCGCCTCGGCCTCCCAAAGTGCTGGGATTACAGGCGTGAGCCACCGTGCCTGGCCGTATTTATCTTTTTTATGACTGGCTTATTTCACTTACCATAATTTCCTCAAGGTTAATCCATGTTGTAGCATGTGTTAGAATTTTTTTAATATTGAATGTTATTTCACTACCTGCATACACTGCATTTTGTTTATCCATTCATCTATCAATAGACGCTTGGGTTGTTTCCACCTTTTGGCTATTCTGAATAATGCTGCTATGAACACGGGTGTATAGATACTTTTTCAAGACCACTCTAACAGTTACTTGTAGGTATATACCTAGAAGTGGAATTCTTGGATTATAGGGTAATTCTACTTTCAAATTTTTGAGGAATTGCCATTTTGTTTTCATAGCAGTTTCATTATTTGGGTCCACCAATAGAGCAAAGGGGTTCTAATTTCTCCACACATCCTCATTAAAATTAGTTATTTTATATTTTTTGTTTGGTTTTAGTTTTTTGCTTTTCTTTTCTTTGGTTTTATTTTGTTTTGGTTTGTTTTTTTGATAGTATCCATCATAATGGGCTGAGATAGTGTCTCATTGTGGTTTTGATTTATATTTCCCTAAAGATTAGTGATGTTGAGCATCTTTTCATGTACTTATTGGTCATTTGTATGTATTTTAGAGAAATGTCTGTTCAAGTTATTTGTCCATTTTGAAAATAAGATTTTTTGTGGTTGAGTTGTAGGAGTTTTTAAAATATATTTTAGATATGAATGTCTTATCGGATATATGATTTGTGAACATGTCCTCCCATTTGGATGGTTGCATTTTCACTCTGTTGATTGTGTCCCTTGATGCACAGGAGTTTTTAATTTTTATGTAATTCAATTTACTTATTTTTGCTTTTATTACCTGTGCTTTTGGTGTCACAGACAGAAATTTATTCCTACTTAATATTGTTAAGATGTCAACATTAACCAAAGAAATCTACATATGCAATGCAATTCTTATCCAAATTCCAATGATTTTGTTTTACAGAAATAGAAAGATTCATCATAAAATTTATATGGAATCTGAAGCAACCCCAAATAACCAAATAATCTTTAAAAGGAAGAACAATGCTGAGGTTTCATATTTCCAGATTTTCAAACTTGTTATAAAGCTATTATAGCAATCAAAACAGTGTGATAATGGCATAAAGACAGATGTATGGACTGACAGAAGAGAATAGAAAACCCAGAAATAAGCCCTTTCACATAGGGTCAATTGATTTTCAACAAGGGGATCAAGATCATTCAATGGGGAAAGAATGGTCTTTTCAACCAGTTGTGTTGGGGAAACTATATTGGACCTAAGACAATATACAAAATCAAACTAAAAATGGACCAAAGATCTAAACATAAGTGCTAAAACTATACAAGTCTTAGAAGAAAATATAGGAGAAAAGATTTATGACATTGGATTGGAGATGTATGTATCTCAATAAAGTGAATATATTAGCGAATATTTATATATTTGCTAATCCCCTTATCTGTGTCTTGTAATTATGTATATTCAAAGATAAAAGGTTTTTTTCCAGAGCTTATTCCATACATTCCATACCTAATCTCTATTCAATAGGTTATTTTCTTTTGCTGGTTATGTGTTTATTGCATTTTACTAAATATGAACTGTTTTGCTGTGAATCCTTTCAATTTGTTTATCTTTATGAAGCTTCCATCAGTAGAAATCATATTGCATTTTTACCCCCTTGTTATGATAGTCAGTTATGCTTATTACTGACTCATTTTAAACTAAATGTTTACATAGAGTGCAAGGTATGCATTGAGATATTTTGCACACGGATATCTAAATTTCCAGCGCCTTTTCTCAAAAAGTCTGTTCTCTTTCCATTCAAATACCTTTGTGCGATCGTCAAACCAATCAACCATTTATATTTAGGTTTGTTTCTAGACCCATGTGTGTGTGTGTGTGTGTGTGTGTGTGTGTGTGTGTGTGTATTTCCAATTCCATGTTTTTGTTTACTCTAGCTTTATTGAAAGTCTTGAAATCAGAAAATCAGGTCATCTGAGTCCTCCAACTTTGTTCTTTGATTTTTCAAAATTGTGTTGTCTTTTCTAGTTCCTTCTTTTTTATACAAATTTAGAATCATCTTCTCAATTTTATTTTTAAAAATTCTAATATGATTTGGTTAAAAATGTATGTATTCTGTAGGTCAATTTGGGGAAAATCAGCATTTTAACAATACTTAGTCTTTCTGTCTATAAGCGTGATCCATATCTTAATTAAAGTAGGTATTCTATAAACTTTTCATTATTGTTTTTTATTATTCAGCATACAGATTTTGTACACATTTTGTTACCTTAATAATTAATGGCATTTCAGTTTTATTGCTATGTTAAATGGTACCATTTTATTATAAATTTCAAATTTTTCGTTGCTAGTATGTAAAAATGCAATACAATTTGATACATTGACCTTTTAACTGGCAACATTGCTAAACTCACATAATAGTGGCGGTAGCATTTTTTAGATTCTTAGGGATTTTTAACATAGACAATTATGTTGTCTTCAAATAAATACCACTGTATTTCTTCTTTATGTATTTCTTTTTCTTGTCTTATTATGCTGGAAAGAACTTCAAGTATGGTATCAAATAAGACTGAGAAAACAACATAGAGTTGACATTTTTATCTTAGAAAAGAGGCCTTTCACTCTTAGGTATGTTAGTATAGCTCTATGGCAAGAAACAATTTTTGAAGATAAAAACCTTTTCTTTCATTTCTAGCTTGCTGAGGAATTAAAGAGTTCTTCAGCAAATACTTAAAATCCATTTATTCTGTAATGAATTGATGTTTAACTTGGCATATGCATATTCTGCATTCGTTGAGATGGTCATATGGTTTTTCTTCTTTACTCTATCACATTGATTGCATCCACTAATTTTGATATATTATGTTTACCTATTTATTCAATTACAAATATTTTCTAATTTCCCTTGTGTCATTTTGTATGGTGTGCTAGTTATTTAGGAGTATTTTTTCATTTCTAAATATATGGAAATTTTATAGATAGTTTTCTGTTATTGACTAGTAATTTAATTTCATTTTGGTCAGAGACACACTTTTTGTTATTACAATTATTGTAAATATTTTAAAGTTTATTTTATGACCCAGAATATGGTCTATCTTGATAGATGTTACATGTGCATGCACTTGAAAAAACTGTGTATTCTGATATTCAGTAGATTGTTCTGTAAACATCAATTAGAATAATTAATGTAATGATTTAATAAGGTGAATAACAAATAATGTTCCTAAGGGCTTCCATGATTATACTGATTTTCTATTTTCTTATTCTATCAATTACTAGATAGAAGTACTGAAGACCTCAACCAAATTTGTGGATTATTTTTTCTGCTTTCAATTCTATCAATTTTCCTCTATAAATTCAAAGCACTACTATTAGGTGCAACAATAGGGTTATTATATCTCCTTGATGGATTGAACTCTTCGTCATTCTGCAATTAACTTTGTTATCCCTAATGATATTCCTATAGTATTAGTATAGCTACTCAAGTTTTCTTTTAGAAGAATACTTGTGAGGTATACTTTTCTTATTTTTTGCTTTGAACCTATCTATAACTTCATATTTAAAACAACTTTCTGTGGACAGCATACAGTTGGGGCTTACTTTTATATCCAATCATCTGACAATCTCTTTCTTAATTGTAGTGTTTAGAACATTTACATTTAGTACTATGTATATGATGGGTTTAAAATCTAGAGCTTGCTAGTAGCTTTCTATTTGTTCAAACTGTTAATATAATTTTTCTTTTTAACTACATGCATTTAGAATGATGAAGTATATTTCTATTATTTCATTTTGACTACAATATTTGCTCCTTATTTATACCTCATTATCACAGTTTATATTGCAAATAATATTAAGCTCCATGTAGTATGCACACTAGTATATTTACTTTTTTCTCTTCTTTTGCACTATTGTTGTCATATACACAATAAACCTACCATATCTTGCTAATATTTTTATTTGGAAATTCAATTACATTTAGAGTGATTACAAGTAAGAATGAAAATATTTGCTCAATTATTTCTATTTTGACCATTTCTAAATCTCTTTCTTTAGTTCAGATTTCTCTTTGATATTATAGTATTTTTTAAATTTTTTTATTTAAAAAAATTGTGGGTACCTTGTAGGTTTATATACTTATGAGGTACATTAAGAATGTCCTTTAGCATTTCTTACAGTGCAGATATAAGTGCTGATAATGAATTATTCTTAGCATTAGTTTGTCCCCAAAATATTTATTTTCATTTAAAGATTTTTTTTCTGAATATAGTACCCTGGTTTGACATTTTGGTTTCTTTCAATACTTTAATAATGCCATTTTTTTGTTTTCTGGTTTGCATAGTTCTTTTATGAGAAGTTTCCTCTAATTCTTACATTTGCTCTTCTGTCTGTATATGTGTTTTTCTGGATGGCTATCTGTAACTTTGACTCTTTAGCTTTGGTTTTAAGGAGTTTGAATACAATGTGTCCAGTATTGTTTTAATTTTTATATTTATTCTACATGTATCTCTCGGCGTGCTGTTTACCCACTCCCAGTGGCAGACTCTTCTTGCTTGTTTACTTTGTGCCTGCTAGTGTGGTTTGAGGAAAGAGGGCAAGGCAACATGGGTAGTTCTCTGTTTTTCTAATCCTCATTTGTGTATTAGGAAGGCACGGTATGCCTGTGTCTTTGAGGTGGTATGTTTCTTTGAGGTGTCCCCTCTCTGTGGCAGACAAACTCTGTTTTGATTTTTTGGTGTTCTTTTAAGGGAAAGTGTCCTGTTCTCCTCCAAAGTTAAGACACTGCCAATGATATTGATATAGTCCCTTTTAAAAATTTTGTACTTATTTTTTAATACATTTTATTTGTATATTAGAGGCTTACAACATGATATTATAGGATACATATAGATCGTAAAATAATTGTTACAGTGAAGCAGATTAACATATCTAGCATCTGATATAATAGCTTTACTTGTGACAAGAACAGCTAAAACCAACTTATTTTTTATTTTAAAAAACCTCATATAATGCCATTTAATTAACTATGGTTATCATGTTTATTAGATGTTCAGACTTGTTCATTCTACATACCTGCTATTTTGTGTCTTTTGACCTACCTGTCTTCATTTCCTCCCCACCCCATACCCATAGCAACCAGTTTATTATCAACCTGTGTGTATGTTTGAGTATATATATAAAGAACCTGGATCCAGAACCAGCCCCATGGCCAGTGGTAGGGTTGTTATTTTATTTTGCTCTTCCTTCAGTCACAGGGGGTCTTTACTTGTGCCCTGAGGCAACAGGGTTTGCTATCTTTTCCTAGGCAGCCTGCATCTTTTGTATAGTAAGGAATGATCTAGTTAGAGCTCTGTGTATTTCCTGCCATAATGGCAGTCCTTTCTCCAGATTTATTCCACCAAACGAGGCTTTCTCCAGGCCCTATGTGATTCTGAATCTTATTAATAAACTTGGTGGAGGATCACGGAGATGAACCTATATGTGGGTGTAAACACCCCCAAAGCTAGCAGAAGGAAATAAATAACTAAATCAAATAACTAAAATCAAATCAGAACTCAATGAAATTGAGACCCAAACTTCCATACAAAGAATCAACAAAGCTGAAAGTTGGTTCTGTGCATGGTTCTGTAAATAAGATTGATAGACTGTTAGATATACTTCAAAAGCAAAAAAGAGAGAATATCAAAATAAGCACAATCAGAAATGACCAATGTGACATTAAAACCAATCCCACAAAAATACAAAAGATCCACAGAAACTATTATCAATACTTCTTTGTATACAAACTAGAAAATCTAAAGGAAATGAGTAAAATCCTGGAAAGACACAAAGACACAATCTCCCAAGCGTGAATCTGGAAGAAATCAAAACCCTGAACAGACTAATATCAAGTTATAAAATTGAAGCAGTAATGAAAAAACCTAGCAACCAAAAAAAAAAAAAATCCCCCAACAAGATGAATTCACAGCCAAATTCTACCAGTTATGCAAAGAAGAACTGGTACCAATTCTACTGTAACTATTCAAAAGAAAAAAAAATCAAGGAGGAGGAGGGAATCCTCCCTAACTTATTCCATGAAGCCAGCATCATCTTGCTACCAAAAGTTGTCAAAGATACAACAAACAAAGAAAACCACAGGCCAATACCCCTGATAAACAAAAACACAAAAATCCTCAACAAAATATGGATGGCAATCCAAATTCAGCAGCATATCAAAAAGCTAATTCACCATGATCTAGTAGACTTAGTACATGTGATGCAAGGTTTCTTTGACATGCAAGTCAGTAAATGTGATTCACCATATAAACAGAATTAAAAACAAAAACCATTTGATCATGTCAACAGATGCAGAAAAAGCTTTCAATAAAATCCAGTATCACTTCATGATAAAAACACTCAACAACTAGACATTGAAGGAACATACCTCAAAATAATAAGAGCCATCTATGACAAACCCACAGCTAATATCACACTGAATGATCAAAACATGGAAGCATTCCCCTTGAGAACTTATATGAGAAAAGGATGCTCATTCTCATCATTCCCATTCAACATCGTACTGGAAGTGGTAGTCAGATCAGTCAGCCAAGAGAAAGAAATAAAAGGCATCCAAATGGAAAAAAAAAATGAAGTGAGGCTATCTCTCTTGGCAAAAAAAAAATATGATTCTGTACCTAGAAAACCCTAAAGATTCCACCAAAATGCTCTTAGAACTAATGTAACAACTTCACTGATGTATCAGAATACACAATCAATGTACAAAAATCAGTGGCATTCCCATACACTAATAACATTCAAGCTGAGAGCCAAATCAAGAATGCAATTACATTTACAATAGCCACACAAAAGTAAAATAGGAAGACATCTAATTAAGGAGATTAAAGATCTCTATAAGGGGAAAAACAAAACACTGTTAAAAAGTATTGTAGATGACACAAACAAATGGAAAAGCATTCCATGTTCATGGATTAGAAGAATCAATGTCATTACAATGACCATACTGCCCAAAGCAATCTACAGATTCAACACTATTCTTATCAAATTACCAACATCATTTTTCACAAAATTAGAAAAAAAAGATTCTAAAATTTATATGGAACGAAAAAGGAATTCAAATAGCCAAAGCAATCCTACTTAAAAACAAAAGTAGAGGCATCACATTACCTGACTTCAAACTGTACTATAGGGCAGGGATACAGTAGCAAAAACAATGTAGAACTGATACTAAAAGCAGACACATAGACCAATCAAAAAGAATGAAGAACCCAGAAATAAAGCTGCACGCCTACAGCCATCTGATCTTCAAAAAAGCAGTCAAAAATAACCAATGAGGAAAGGACTCCCTAGTCAATAAATAATGCTGGGATAGCTGGCTAGCCATATGCAGAAGAATGAAACTGGACCCTTACTTTTCACCATATACAGTAATTAACTCAAGATGGATTAA
The DNA here is from genome assembly GCF_000001405.40 of Homo sapiens. Lineage (NCBI taxonomy): Eukaryota > Metazoa > Chordata > Mammalia > Primates > Hominidae > Homo > Homo sapiens. Next base: position 77,235,664 of record NC_000002.12, on the reverse strand, counting down.
AAATCTAAATGTGAGAACTCCATCTATGAGAATCCCAGAACAAAACCCAAGAAACATTATTCTGGACACCAGCCTTGGAAAATCAGTTATGACTATGTCCTCAAACGTAATTGCAACAAAACAAAAATTGACAGTGGGATCTAATTAAACTAAAGAGGTTTTGTACAGCAAAAGAAACTATCAACAGAGTACCCCCACCAGAACAGATTCACAACTATGCATCAAAAAAGAATCTTGATTCAGAATCTGCAAGGCACTGAAACAAATTAACAAGCAAAAACCAAATAACCCCATTAAAAATGGGCATGAGAAATGAACAGATACTTCTCAGAAGAAGATATATGAGCAGCCAACAAACATGAAAAAATGCTCAGTGTAACTAATCATCAGAGAAATGTAAATTAAAACTACAATCCCAAACCAGTCAGAATGGGTATTATTATAGTAAAAAACCAACAGATGCTGGCCTCACATGCTCATTGTGGCACTATTCACAATAGCAAAGACATGGATTCAACCTATGTGCCCATCAATGTTGGATTGGATACAGAAAATGTGGTACATATCCACCATAGAATGCTATGCAGCCATGTAAAAGAACAAAATAATATCCTTTGCAGCAATATGGATGCAGCTGAAGGCCATTATTTTAAGCAAATTACTGCAATAATGGAAAGCTAAATACTGCCTGTTATCACTTATAAGCAGGAGCAAAACATTGGATACAAGCAGATGTAAAGATGGCAACAATAGACACTGGATGGGGAGGGAGGGTAAGAGGTAAGTGTTGATAAACCAGGTTCATTATCTGAGTGATGAGAAAATTCATAACCCAAACCTCAGAATCACACAATATACCTAGATAACAAACCTGCACTTATACCCCCGAATCTAAATTTTTTAGAAGTTAGAAAACTAATAAAATATTGATGTCCAAGTCCCATCCACCAGAGATTCTTAATTAATTGATCTGAGCAGAGCCCCAGTTATGGGCAATTTTAAAAAATCTGCCCAGGTGGTTTCAATGTGCAGACAAGATTAAATCAGTCATTGCTCTAATAATTCCAAATGATCCTATAAATCTGAGCAATTATATAAAATAACAAATTTTAGCATATAATTACAATATTTGTAAATATATTATAATCAATTTTTAATATACTTGTTAATCCTACCTTTTACAGTGAAACTAAGCAAAGCTACATTTTTTACACTTGTAGACATATATTCTACCATAGGCCACATCCAAACTGTAGTCACAGATTATTCGAAATCATTATAGTGATTCCATTTTGTGAGCTAAGGAGAGAAATCTCTTTTCCAAGGAGTTAAATCAACCCCTTTAGTCTCTTCTATTTTTATGGTTGGGTAGGCTATCAACTGAGATTCATTTGAATGGTCTGCACAAAATATTAAAAATAATGAGGGTGGTTAAAATATTAAGGACATATATCTCGTTTATATGATTTGGGTTTTCATAACCCAATTCAATAGATGTTACCAACACATTGTCAGATACATCTAGTACTGTATATCTGGCACATACGTGCTACTCTAAAAGTGGTCTTTAAGAAATAAGTCAGTGTGAGAGTGGTGGCTCACACCTGTAATCCCAGTATTTTGGGAGGCCGAGGCGGGTGGATCACCTGAGATCAGCCTGGCCAACACGGTGATATCCCGTCTCTACAAAAATGCAAAAATTTGCGGGACATGATGGTGGGTGCCTGTAATCCCAGCTACTCGGGAGGCTGAGGTGGGAGACTCGCTTGAACATGGAGGCAGGGGTGGACGCGGAGGTTGCAGTGAGCCAAGATCGCGCTGTTGCACTCCAGCCTGGGTGACAGCGAGACTCCGTCTCAAAAACAAACAAACAAACAACAACAACAACAACAGCAACAAACAGAAATAAGTCAAATAGTTTCCAGCAATGTTTCATGAATAGGAACTATCCTCTGAGGTTCTGATTTACAAAAATACACTTTAAATAGAATGTTTTCCATTGTTAAGCAATTGAACTATATAGCAAGTTATTAGTGAGAAAAACACTGAAATGTTGTAGTCAAACTGTAAATAAATTGAGATATAGAAAACTTGAAATATAAACCTTCATATGTAGAAAATTAAATAAACAAAATATAGTAATATTTAGAAATAAAAACATCAAAATAATAAATATACATACATAAAAGTGTAATTCCAAGATACCCCAGAATTTACACTATTAAAAAATTAACTGAGAAATGTTATATCTCAATATTATGGAGGTAACTTTAATATTTCAACTTTTCTGTTATAACCCAGTTGGGAGTACAGAGGCTCCTGAGGCCCAGTTCTTCACAGTTTCAAGAAGCAGCTGTAAAACCAGTCTCCCAGCTGGGACTATGCCAAAGAGGATTAAAGAATGAGCAAAAAGGATAGAAATGTGGTAGATTTTAACTTTCTAAAACACTTTTAGCAAGGCCCAATCCTCCAAATATTTCATAAACTCTGGGTTTTCCTACAAAAGGATTTAATTGGAAATACTAATTTGTCATATGATTTGTGACCTTAAAAAGTAGATTTCTTATGTGTGAATCACCCTAGAAAACTCTGACTTCATGGAACTCAAAAATGTCAAGCAATGCAATTTCTTTATCTAACAACTTTTCATCCACTAATTTATATTGCACAAATGTAATTTTCTTTTAAAGATTTTTTTGTTATAGTTTTGCCACATTTTCTAAAGTCAAGTAATTATATTTAACAAATTCATCTGATAATTCCTCTCAGAACTAAAAGATATGTTTTGATTCAAACTGCAAACATATTAATGAAAAATGATATGATCTTAAGATGCAAGTTACTTCCATGTAGAACCATTTATATCAAGGACATTTTAATTTTTTTCTCCTAAAGTTCTAATTTAGTAATAGAAAAATACTCTTACCCATAAGTATTGACTGTTTGCAACAATACGTTCATAGTGCTCTTTATAAAACTTTAAGATTATGTCACATTTATACTATTGGCAAAATAATAGGGAAATTTCAGAGATATCCTCTCCTATCTTTGTTTCATAACCAGAGCAAAGAAGTTCGGATTAAAGTAAACCTTTGTGTCTAAACATTCAGACTTAGGTGCCTGTGGAAGAAGGACCTGGACTTCATTCTGAAGGCACAAGAGAAAATTGTGAGGCTCATAAGAAGCCCAGTCTAGCAAAACAGGGCAATATTTTGTATCATGCTCTGTAGCGCTTGCCTGGAGTTGCCCTGTGGACGTCACACTTTTCAAGAATAACATGGAAAGATACATGTTAAGTAGAATTTAAGGACTCAAACTCTGTTCCTAGGAAGAAATACTAATGTTGTATAAATAATGAATCTCTGTTCTTTAAAATTAAATAATAAAGGAATAAAGATGTTGATGACTTGGGAAAATATGTGAAGAGGAAGGTCCGATCAGAAATCTTTCAGACAATGATATTTACCAACACACTCACAGGCAGAGTAGATTTGACAGGTCTGGGTTTCAGTATTTTTTCCCATTTATGTCTTACCACCCAATGTGTGCCCTCCTGGAACCTACTTTTTTGATACAAGAAGTTGATGTGGAAAACAAAGAGAACAATGCTATGGTTAGTACACATGTAACAACTTTGCTTTGCTAGAATTTATTTGAAAATGTATCTGAACAAAGGAATAATTTGAAGAAAAGCAAAAGGTAAATAAAAAGTAAATTTGAATTAAGTATTTAAAATGACCACTTAGAAAATATAAAAGAATAAATCAGAAAACAGTTTTTCATCCTGGGTGGATCTAAATTAGTAGCTTGCAGTATAAATAAGTCAGAATACCTAACGTTAGAGTCATGTGTTTACATAATACTGAATACTTTCATATATGACTTATTTGAGTGTTCCTCGGTTTCTTTTGTTGCTATTTAATGTTGTCTCTGTTTATACACTACACTGTGAGCTCCATATCAGCACCTGAGAGGATTCCTGCAACACAGTGGGTTCTCAATAATTATTCACTAAATGAATAAAAGAATGAATTTCTCCTCTATATAGGTTAACATATTTTTCTCTATAAATTACCAGATAATAACTGTTAAGCTTTATGGGCTAAATAAGATCTCTATATATGTCCATTTATAAATTAAAATATAAAATATAAATTAAGCTAAAGTATAAAATATATAAAATGTAAAAACTATTTTTAGCCCAAGATCTGTAAAAACAGGCCATGGACTAGATTTAGCCAGATATAGTTTGCTAATCTCTGCTGTATATATTAAACAGATCTTAATGTGATTTATAAGATTCCGTTATAATTTTCTAAGTTCCTTTTCAGTGATACATTATAGCTGACTCTTATGAGCTCAGTGGATCATATTGCCAAACATTGCCTATCTGGTCTTTGTGGTGTGTGCATCTGTGTGTGTGTGCATCTGTGTGTGTGTGCATGTGTGTGTGTGTGCATGTGTACTTCATGGGCCTGTTTATCCTCACGCCATGGGTTTGGCTTCAGTTAAAAAAATAAAACAGAGACTATATTTAAACTTGCCAGATAAAATTTAGACATCCACGTTAAATTCGAAGTTTAGGTAAAAATAAACAAATATTTTAAAATTATAAGCATGTCCCATTCAATATTTGGAAAATACTTATCTGCAAATTATTTTTTATCTGAAATTGAAGCTTCACCGAGCATTTTCTAAATCTGGCAAATCTACTTGTATTTATTTAGAAATCTTTTGAAGAACAATGACAAAATTTCCATTTCAAAATAGAAATTAATTTGTCTATTTTTAATGATAGTTTGTGTTATTTTTTTCTTATTGTTAAAGTGATAACTATTTCTTTTAAAAATGTATATTAAAGATAAGTTCTGTCTCTTTGGCTACGTCAGTCATGCTGTTCATTTAATCTATGTTGACATTATTATTACAACAATAACTGAGGACTTACTCTGTTCTAGGCAGTGAGTTATGTGCTTTATTCAATTTTTCCTCATTTATTATGCATAAAACCCCCGATTACATAGATGAAGAAACTAAGAATCAAAGAGTTAAAAATAAAACATCAACAAAAGTTTTAGGAAAGAATGTCAAAAAGATTATAATTAGCAAGTGATGGGATTGCTATTTCTTCACAATCTTATTTTATATTCAAATTATATCAGGAACCCATCTAATTGGTTATGCAACAGAGTTTTATATCACTACACATTGTCCTTCTAGAAATTATTTATGCCTTTGGAACATTACTAGATCATTATCTCTATATCTTTTTCTCTCTGATGATGTTACTAGTTTACATAGTATTTTTAAGGAGAACAGTTGTGTCTTACTATGTGTATGGTGTATGCCCAACAGTATTTAGCTCAGTCTCATACCTATATGGATTAAAAGTATATTTGGTGAACAATTTACTAGCATTGAATAATTAATAATGGTAGGTTAATAATTAATGATGTGGTTGTTTAGTATAGGTGTTGAAAGAATGCAAAGGATATGACTTGTTTATATTAAAATCTTCTATTTTGAAACTAAAATTAACAGCAAGATACCGAAAACTCCAAAGGGAGTACCTTTTATGTGTCAATAAACAGGTGGCTAGGCACTGAAAAATTAGAGGAATTACAAGAATAACACAGACTTGCTCTCCTGTATTATTTGTTTTTCAGAGAAAGACAGATGACACACACCATAGTATAACATTTCCAGTGGTGGTAAATGCGATGAAGAAATTTAAAGCAAGATAGTGGGTGAAAAGTTCAAGTGGGGGATATATTTTATATAGAAAAAATTTAATGACAATTCTAATAAAGTGATATGTGAACAGATATATGAAGAAAATAAGAAAGCAAGATATTCAGGTATTTAAAAAATATTTCAGGCAGAAGAAACTTCTAGTACAAAACCTGAGCCGCATGTATACTTGAGATATTCCAGGAAGAGACATTACTATTGCTAAGTCTGGCAGGAGATGATGATGCCATAGACTGCAGAGGTAGCGGTGGAGCTGGAGAGCAGCGGTGGGATTCTGAATCTATTTCAGAAGAGTTGTCAACATACTTTTCTCATGGCTTAAATGTGGGGTGTTAGAGAAAGAAAGAGGTCAATAAGGATGCCGGGTAATTCTGATTATGCAGGAAAATGTGGTTGCCATTTAATGATATTGGAAAGACTTGAGACGCAACGTTACAGGTAGTCAAATTTGGATTTATTAAAGTTGAACTAGTAATTTAGTGATCTGATTTTCTCATATATCAAAGAAGGTTAGAAATCATTTGCTTAAGACTCTCGTAGAAAGTTAAGAAATTGTTTGGATAAAGGAATATATGATTTAGAGAAGAGTTTGGGGCTGGAAATACTAAGTTGTTACTCAGTGATTACAGGTGATACCTGAAGTCATAAAACAGGGACCTGGGGAATGAATATAGAAAAGTATAAAGAAGGACCAAAAACTAGGACATTCTAATTTTACAATTTATGAATGCAAGTATCATTAAGCAAAAAAGAATAAGTAGGTAGGAAAATAAACAAGAATGTGATATTTTGGAAATTAATTAAGAAGGGGCTTTAAAGGAGGGAGGGGGCATGATGAATGCTGCCAAATGCTGCTGCTAGGATGAGTGATATAAAGAGAGAGGAGCAATCGCATGATTTGTAAACTTGGAGGTGGTCCAGCACTTTTTCTGGATAGTTTGTGATTTTCATTAAAAAAGAGAAGGGGTCATATGGTCAAAGAGCACATCTACTAATTCTCCTGGTTTACTGGGAGACAGGAGAGGTAACAGATGTGTGGATCCCTCATGCACACTTATTCTAAGGTAATTCCCAGATGTCTAGTAGGGGTGAATATTATATACCATGTGAAGCGGTCTGATTCTTGGCTTTGAAATTTTATGTTGCTTTAAGAAAGCACTAGCTCTTCTCCTGATATGAACAAGGACAGGACACAATAAGAATATGTTTTGACAGAACTTTGGCTGAAAGCCAATCTTGCTAACTCAGCTTTAATGGTTGGAAGTAGCACCAGCTTTTTCCCTGGAGTGATCTGTGGGCTGGAATCCAAGCCTTGGGCTTATAACTGTGTAATGTAGAAAACTGGCAGCAAGATTTCCCACAAACATGAGGAGACATGGTTGGAAAAGCTTCAGACTCTCCACTGGCATGATCAAGAAGGCTGAATCTCAGCTTTGGAGAGGCTTAAGATTAAATGCCTCATTCACTGGAGCTTATGTAATTTTCATGGGACTTCGCCAAACCCATTCCTTTGCTGAGTGACCAGTCTACAGGAGATCAGTCAGGGTCAGGTTAACTCAAGGTGGGACAAAACCAGATTAGATTGGATTCAAGAGAGAAGGGATGAGCTGGGCATAGAATTAAGGAGAATAGATCACACTTACCAATGTAAATATAAATTTATTATGTGGAAAAAATTAAGTTTGTTAGAAATATCATGGATTTGGACAGCACCCAAATAATAATATCTTAATTCTGTTCTAGAACATGAGAAAACATTTAATACATTTGAATCCATTTTTCTCAGATTTTCCCTGCCCAGGTTTGCATTGTGCTATAAGAATTTATAATTGTGTCCTGTTTCAAAACCAAGTTAATATTAGCTTTAACATTAGCTTTAATAATATCTCATTCCCTTTGTATTTTATTTTTCCTGATAACTCGTAGATGATATATTTGTTACAAATCAATAACTTTTTAAATAATAACAGTAAGAAGGAACAAACTAGTCTTATGATATCTCATTTTGTAAGAAAAAATAATAATGTAGACATATGCATAAGAAAAAGGCTGGAAAGTATAACCATATTTTAATGACTAGAAACTATATTTATTAAAACAATCCTGGTTGTAGAATAACTATTTTAAAAAGATAACAGTTATTGCACAACATAATTGATAAATCTAACTGAAAATTAGCCAGACCACACTATATAATCTGTATTTAAAATGTTGTGAAACAAGAAGGAAGCAGATACTGGAAAGAAACTAACAGGTGTAACCCCTACTATGTGCCAGGCCCTAGTAGATTAATTTAATCAAGTCACAAGTCTGGGATACAGCTATAATTAAATTGACCTACTTTTGTCATTGGGCATCTTTGTCTTTGTGATTTTGAAAAAAAATACAACCAAACTCCTTGATTAATTGCCAATTTAAAAATCATAATTGCTTCACCTATCTGTTTTCTTGCTCTTTTGTTTCCTCATGGTTTCTCTCCTGCTCTAAGACTCTTCAGCCTCTTAGAGTCATTTTTGTAGAGATTACATTGAATCATTTATTAAATTGTGTTTTTAAACTTTCAAAATATGCTCATTAGTGCTAAATTTATTTCACTCAGCAAAACCCATTGGCAGTAATATTAAAATAAAATAAACATTGAGTGTGAGCTATGGCAATTTGGAAATTCATAAAAGTGTTATTTTCTTTCCTTTTGTTTCTCAGAGGCTGTGTGTTAAATTCTTAAGGGAGATTGCTGCTAACACTTATAAAACTGAGGTTGGAGCTGCAAAAGTAATGGAGATATTGCTCCATAGTCATGGAGCAACAACTACCATTGCAAACTAGAAAACCAGGTGGCAGTGCTATTAACCCAATCTTAGCTTGTCCCTAGATATGGCTGGGAATAACAGTCAGTGGAGAACATACTTAATTAACTTTCCATCTAGTAGAGTATAAGGCAACATATTGAAAATATAACCTGGAGCACAGAGAGAGAGGTATTGGATGTTGAATTGGGCGACTCAGTTCAGATCTTAGAGGTACACTGTATGCACTCTGTCTAAAACCCATCCTCTTCCTAAAGTCACTCAACTATCAGTACATTTTCCCCTATGCCTCTGCAAAACATCTATTTTCAGAATAGGCTACCCCACTACATTCCTATTTAAGGATTCAATGTATGTCAAAAAGAGGTTTATAGGATGTCTGTTGGACTTGAGAACAAAAATCTACACCTGAAAACAAACGTTTCACTTATTAAGCTCAACAAATACATTTTACTTATTTAATTTTTGAGACAACATTATATAATTTAGTGAACTTTTCTTTAAAAATGATTAAGTGCAATAATTGTTTTAGACACTAGTATATATATATATATATATATATATATATGTATATAATTTGCTCTGTAATAAGCACATCAGTAGAAAATAATGAGAGACAGAAAACAAACACCAACAATGGCAGGATTACATGTTTATGCTTTTTAAATGGGGATATGGAACATAAAAGGACCTTTATATATTTCTATGCTCTCATGACAAAAACATAGACCTATTCTTATATGTAAAAAAGAATAGAAGCTGTTTCTGACCACTCCTAATTTTTACTTTTGCTTTGTGATTCTCTGACCGTACCTGTGCTCATCTTACCCAGAGCAGGAGAGGAGTAGAAGGAAATAATTCTCTGGCAGATATAGGTAATAGGCTGCTTTGTTTGAAACATTTTAAGTGAAATATTGGATAGAGGAATTGTAATTGTTTTTCCAATTTTGTTTTTTATGATTTTTAGGGTTTTCTAAATTATACATAACACATAAACATATTATCCATTAGAAAATAAACAAAATACTTTAAAACAATAATAATTATAAAATATATAACTTTATACATTTTAGACAATATTTTTAATATTAAATAAAACATGTACACATTTTTTACGTTCTTTATTTTTACTACCACGCAGTAAGAATAAATTACTTATCAAATATAATAGCTACTTAACTATTTATTTTCAAACAACAGTTGATGTCATCTTTGTAGAAAAATAACAATATATATAATTGTTTTCTCTTTAAAATATTATATTTGAATGTGCTACTTTATGTAAAAGTAAAGACAAAATGGCAAGGCCACTCAAATCAATTTTCATGTGTATTTTAGTTTTCTTCTCTAGGTAAATTTAAGCTATTTAAGTGCCTGGCTATATTGTGTATTTCATCAACATTCACCACAGAATATATAGGTGTAGGCAAATAATAATTACTCATTTACATACAGTGTAAAACTAAACTGTGTATATGTATTACTAATTAACTCAATTAACATTAGTCGAGAATTGTGAGAGTAACACTATTCCATGTACAGTTCCCACTATTTACCTAACAAGTACTCAATTTAATATTTATGGAGGCACAGAAAAATGGAAAATGAGTTAATATATGTACACATTTTGAGTGCTGGGCACACCGCAAGCACTTTACCAACATCAGCTGTTTTTTTTTTTTCTCACAATTTTGTGTTCATCCGCATACACTAGTTATGGGTCTTTTTTTTTATTTTATTATTATTATACTTTAAGTTTTAGGGTACATGTGCACAACGTGCAGGTTTGTTACATATGTATACATGTGCCATGTTGGTGTGCTGCACCCATTAACTCATCATTTAGCATTAGGTATATCTCCTAATGCTATCCCTCCCCCCTCCCCCCACCCCACAACAGTCCCCGGTGTGTGATGTTCCCCTTCCTGTGTCCATGTGTTCTTATTGTTCAATTCCCACCTATGAGTGAGAACATGCGGTGTTTGCTTTTTGTCCTTGTGATAGTTTGCTGAGAATGATGGTTTCCAGCTTCATCCATGTCCCTACAAAGGGCATGAACTCATCATTTTGTATGGCTGCATAGTATTCCATGGTGTAGATGTGCCACATTTTCTTAATCCAGTCTATCATTGTTGGACATTTGGCTTGGTTCTAAGTCTTTGCTATTGTGAATAGTGCCACAACAAACATACGTGTGCATGTGTCTTTATAGCAGCATGATTTACAATCTTTTGGGTATATACCCAGTAATGGGATGGCTGGGTCAAATGGTATTTCTAGTTCTAGATCCCTGAGAGGAATCACCACACTGACTTCCACAATGGTTGAACTAGTTTACAGTCCCACCAACAGTGTAAAAGTGTTCCTATTTCTCCACATCCTCTCCAGCACCTGTTGTTTCCTGACTTTTTAATGATTGCCATTCTAACTGGTGTGAGATGGTATCTCATTGTGGTTTTGATTTGCATTTCTCTGACCGCCAGTGATGATGAGCATTTTTTTATGTGTTTTTTGGCTGCATAAATGTCTTCTTTTGAGAAATGTCTGTTCTTATCCTTTGCCCACTTTTTGATGGGGTTGTTTGTTTTTCTTCTTGCAAATTTGTTTGAGTTCATTGTAGATTCTGGATATTAGCCCTTTGTCAGATGAGTAGGTTGCAAAAATTTTCTCCCGTTCTGTAGGTTGCCTGTTCGCTCTGATGGTAGTTTCTTTTGCTGTGCAGAAGCTCTTTAGTTTAATTACATCCCATTTGTCATTTTTGGCTTTTGTTGCCATTGCTTCTGGTGTTTTAGACATGAAGTCCTTGCCCATGCCTATGTCCTGAATGGTATTGCCTAGGTTTTCTTCTAGGGTTTTTATGGTTTTAGGTCTAACATGTAAGTCTTTAATCCATCTTGAATTAATTTTTGTATAAGGTGTAAGGAAGGGATCCAGTTTCAGCTTTCTACATATGGCTAGCCAGTTTTCCCAGCACCATTTATTAAATAGGGAATCCTTTCCCCATTGCTTGTTTTTCTCAGGTTTGTCAAAGATCAGATAGTTGTAGATATGCGGCATCATTTCTGAGGGCTCTGTTCTGTTCCATTGGTCTATATCTCTGTTTTGGTACCAGTACCATGCTGTTTTGGTTACTGTAGCCTTGTAGCATAGTTTGAAGTCAGGTAGCGTGATGCCTCCAGCTTTGTTCTTTTGGCTTAGGATTGTCTTGGCAATGCGTGCTCTTTTTTGGTTCCATATGAACTTTGAAGTAGTTTTTTCCAATTCTGTAAAGAAAGTCATTGGTAGCTTGATAGGGATGGCATTGAATCTATCAATTACCTTGGGCAGTATGGCCATTTTCACGATATTGATTCTTCCTACCCATGAGCATGGAATGTTCTTCCATTTGTTTGTATCCTCTTTTATTTCATTGAGTAGTGGTTTGTAGTTCTCCGTGAAGAGGTTCTTCACATCCCTTGTAAGTTGGATTCCTAGGTATTTTATTCTCTTTGAAGCAATTGTGAATGGGAGTTCACTCATGATTTGGCTCTCTGTTTGTCTGTTATTGTTGTATAAGAATGCTTGTGATTTTTGCACATTGATTTTGTATCCTGAGACTTTGCCGAAGTTGCTTATCAGCTTAAGGAGATTTTGGGCTGAGACAATGGGGTTTTCTAGATATACAATCATGTCATCTGCAAACAGGGACAATTTGACTTCCTCTTTTCCTAATTGAATGCCTTTTATTTCCTTCTACTGCCTGATTGCCCTGGCCAGAATGTCCAACACTATGTTGAATAGGAGTGGTGAGAGAGGCCATCCCTGTCTTGTGCCAGTTTTCAAAGGGAATGCTTCCAGTTTTTGTGCATTCAGTATGATACTGGCTGTGGGTTTGTCATAGATAACTCTTATATTTTTGAGATACACCCCATCAATACCTAATTTATTGAGAGTTTTTAGCATGAAGCGTTGTTGAATTTTTTCAAAGGCCTTTTCTGCATCTATTGGTATAATTGTGTGGTTTTTTTTCTTTGGTTCTGTTGATATGCTGGATTATGTTTATTGATTTTCGTATGTTGAACCAGCCTTGCATCCCAGAGATGAAGCCCACTTGATCATGGTGGATAAGCTTTTTGATATGTTGCTGGATTCAGTTTGCCAGTATTTTATTGAGGATTTTTGCATCAATGTTCATCAGGGATATTGGTCTAAAATTCTCGTTTTTTATTGTGTCTCTGCCAGGCTTTGGTATCAGGATGATGCTGACCTCATAAAATGAGTTAGGGAGGATTCCCTCTTTTTCTATTGATTGGAATAGTTTCAGAAGGAATAGTACCAGCTCCTCCTTCTACCTCTGGTAGAATTCGGCTGTGAATCCATCTGGTCCTGGAATTTTTTTGGTTGGTAAGCTATTAATTATTGCCTCAATTTCGGAGCCTGTTATTGGTCTATTCAAAGATTCAACTTCTTCCTGGTTTAGTCTTGGAAGAGTGTATGTGTTGAGGAATTTATCCATTTCTTCTAGATTTTCTACTTTATTCCTGTAGAGGTGTTTAGAGTATTCTCTGATGATAGTTTGTAGTTCTGTGGGATTGGCGGTGATATCCTCTTTGTCATATTTTATTGCATCTAATTGATTCTTCTCTCTTTTCTTCTTTATTAACCTTGCTAGCAGTCTATCAATTTTGTTGATCTTTTCAAAAAACCAGCTCCTGGATTCATTGATTTTTTGAAGGGTTTTTTGTGTCTCTATTTCCTTCAGTTCTGCTCTGACCTTAGTTATTTCTTGCCTTCTGCTAGCTTTTGAATGTGTTTGCTCTTGCTTCTCTAGTTATTTTAATTGTGATGTTAGGGTGTCAATTTTAGATCTTTCCTGCTTTCTCTTGTGGGCATTCGGTGCTATAAATTTCCCTCTACATACTGCTTTGAATGTGTCCCAGAGATTCTGGTATGTTATGTCTTTGTTCTCATTGGTTTCAAAGAACATCTTTGTTTCTGCCTTCATTTCCTTATGTACCCAGTAGTCATTCAGGAGCAGGTTGTTCTGTTTCCATGTAGTTGAGCGGTTTTGAGTGAGTTTCTTAATCCTGAGTTCTAGTTTGATTGCACTGTGGTCTGAGAGACAGTTTGTTATAATTTCTGTTCTTTCACATTTGCTGAGGAGTGCCTTACTTCCAACTATATGGTCAATTTTGGAATAAGTGTGGTGTGGTGCTGAAAAGAATGTATATTCTGTTGATTTGGGGTGGAGAGTTCTGTAGATGTCTATTAGGTCTGCTTGGTGCAGAGCTGAGTTCAATTCCTGGATAGCCCTGTTAACTTTCTGTCTCATTGATCTGTCTAATGTTGACAGTGGGGTGTTAAAGTCTCCCATTATTATTGTGTGGGAGTCTAAGTCTCTTTGTAGGTCACTCAGGACTTGCTTTATGAATCTGGGTGCTCCTGTATTGGGTGCATATATATTTAGGATAGTTAGCTCTTCTTGTTGAATTGATCCCTTTACCATTATGTAATGGCCTTCTTTGTCTCTTTTGATCTTTGTTGGTTTAAAGTCTGTTTTATCAGAGAGTAGGATTGCAACCCCTGCCTTTTTTTGTTTTCCATTTGCTTGGTAGATCTTCCTCCACCCCTTTATTTTGAGCCTATGTGTGTCTCTGCATGTGAGATGGGTTTCCTGAATACAGCACACTGATGGGTCTTGACTCTTTATCCAATTTGCCAGTCTGTGTCTTTTATTTGGAGCACTTAGCCCATTTACATTTAAGGTTAGTATTGTTATGTGTGAATTTGATCCTGTCATGATGATGTTAGCTGGTTATTTTGCTCGTTAGTTGATGCAGTTTCTTCCTAGCCTTGATGGTCTTTGCAATTTGGCATGTTTTTGCAGTGGCTGGTACCAGTTGTTCCTTTCCATGTTTAGTGCTTCCTTCAGGAGCTCTTTTAGGGCAGGCCTGGTGGTGACAAAATATCTCAGCATTTGCTTGTCTGTAAAGTATTTTATTTCTCCTTCACTTATGAAGCTTAGTTTGGCTGGATATGAAATTCTGGGTTGAAAATTCTTTTCTTTAAGAATGTTGAATATTGGCCCCCACTCTCTTCTGGCTTGTAGAATTTCTGCCAAGAGATCAGCTGTTAGTCTGATGGGCTTCCCTTTGTGGGTAAGCTGACTTTTCTCTCTGGCTGCCCTTAACATTTTTTCCTTCATTTCAACTTTGGTGAATCTGACAATTAGGTGTTTTGGAGTTGGTCTTCTCAAGGAGTATCTTTGTGGCGTTCTCTGTATTTCCTGAATTTGAATGTTGGCCTGCCTTGCTAGATTGGGGAAGTTCTCTTGGATAATATCCTGCAGAGTGTTTTCCAACTTGGTTCCATTCTCCCCATCACTTTCAGGTACAGCAATCAGATGTAGTTTTGGTCTTTTCACATAGTCCCATATTTCTTGGAGGCTTTGTTGATTTCTTTTTATTCTTTTTTCTCTAAACTTCACTTCTCACTTCATTTCATTCATTTCATCTTCCATCACTGATACCCTTTCTTCCAGTTGATCACATCGGTTACTGAGGCTTGTGCATTCATCATGTAGTTCTGGTGCTGTGGTTTTCAGCTCCAACAGGTCCTTTAAGGACTTCTCTGCATTGGTTATTCTAGTTATCCATTCGTCTAATTTTTTTCAACGTTTTTAACTTCTTTGCCATTGGTTCGAACTTCCTCCTTTAGCTCGGAGTAGTTTGATCTTCGGAAGCCTTCTTCTCTCAACTCGTAGAAGTCATTCTGCGTCCAGCTTTGTTCCGTTGCTGGTGAGGAGCTGCATTCCTTTGGAGGAGGAGAGGTGCTCTGATTTTTAGAGTTTCCGGTTTTTCTGCTCTGTTTTTTCCCCATCTTTGTGGTTTTGTCTACCTTTGGTCTTTGATGACAGTGACGTACAGATGGGTTTTTGGTGTGGATGTCCTTTCTGTTTGTTAGTTTTCCTTCTAACAGTCAGGACCCTCAGCTGCACGTCTGTTGGAGTTTGCTGGAGGTCCACTCCAGACCCTGTTTGCCTGGGTATCAGCAGCGGTGGTTGCAGAACAGCAGATATTGGTGAACCACAAATGCTGCTGCCTGATCATTCCTCTGGAAGTTTTGTCTCAGAGGAGTATCCGGCCGTGTGAAATGTCAGTCCACCCCTACTGGGGGGTGCCTCCCAGTTAGGCTACTCGGGGGTCAGGGACCCACTTGAGGAGGCAGTCTGCCTGTTCTCAGATCTCAAGCTGTGTGCTGGGAGAACCATTACTCTCTTCAAAGCTGTCAGACAGGGACATTTAAGTCTGCAGAGGTTATTGCTGTGTTTTGATTGTCTATGCCCTGCCCCCAGAGGTCAACATTAGCTGTTATTGCCACCAAAGTGACCTCCCTGAAGTTGCACAGCTGCTGCGTAAAAGAATGGCGGGAATCCTCAGGTTCTTTTCTGCCAAACATCTCTTTCCATCATGCCCTGATTCCAAGATGCAAAAATGTCAGGGAAGTCTTTACACTGTGGTAAAGGTCTTCCCAAAACTTTTATTAGTCTGATTGTAGAGATGAGAAATATCAGCCTCCTCTTAGAAGTTATCCGTACTGTAAACAAGGGTACCGATATTTGTTTACCATATGCCCCACCTGTTAAATCGTGTTTCTGTTTTTTTTCCTGTATGTTTCCTGATATGAAGGAGTGCTCTAGAAATTCAGACTTCTGGGGGAAGGGATTTGAGGCCTTCTGGTGTTTTTTGTTTCAGTGACTCAACAGGCTGTACTCTTTGGTCAATAATTCAGATGATGATCAGTACAAACCCCTTATATAGGCAAAGTAGATGCAAACATAACCAGATGGTGCAAAAGTTGTTTCTCTATGTTTCTTCAATTGCTTTTCTCACAGGATTAGGTCTCCGAAATCCATATTCATGGAAGAATTTATAGTTGAAGCTCTCCCCCTACTCAAATATTTCAAGTAGATGTCAGGCTAAACATTGCAGGATTGTTCTTGCCTCTTTTATGACATTTCAGTAGGGAAAAATCAATTTTAACCCTGCCTATTTATTTATCAAGAAAGAATTTTGTAGCAAAAGTCTGATTTTAATATTTCTCACAGGGATTTCAATACTCTGTCATTCCAGTGTACTCTGGCAGCGCCTAGCACGTATCATGACATATTTTGTTTCATTTATTTACGTTTTCATCTACCTCATTTTACTTTGAGCCCCTTGAGGGCTGAGACCCAATCTTTTTTGTTTTAATTTTTTTTGTAACCTCAGCATCAACAATGCTCAGTCTGGGTCTGGCACTTATTTATTCAATGAAGGCATCACAAAGTTTGCACAAATGGAGCTGCAAAATTCACCTTATTAAAGCTTACTATATTGTTGCTCAGGTGAAGCTGGATATGCAGCATTAGATACCTCAAGACTATGTTAGGAGAAATCTTCAATAATGCCACCAAGGAAGGATCATAGTCTTGTGTTTTCAAATATTTGAGAGAAATTCTCCAACTCTTTCTCAACTTTGAAACTATTTGGCTTTCATTAAATATTGGTGAGACATTAAAACCATTTCCAATATCCCAGGAACAATAAATAAATAAATAAATAAATAAATAAATAAATAAATAAAGCAGAACATGGAGTGGAAGTATATGGCATTAAGAGAGATGGGATTTATGGGGTAAGAAATAGCCAACTTTTTCTTCTCTACTCTTGTTGTTTCTTCCTTGCAGAAAACTTGCATCAAAGATAAAAAAAGTCTGAAATAAGCTATCATAACATAACCAAAATAACTCAACTTTGAACAATTAGGTTTTTTTGTAGAAAAAAAGAGACCTCAGCTGGGTGCAGTGGCTCACACCTACAGTCCCAGCATGTTGGGAGGCAGAGGTGGGCAGATCGCCTGAGGTGGGGAGTTCGAGACCAGCCTGACCAACATGAAGAAACCCCATCTCTACTAAAAATACAAAATTAGTCAGGCATGGCGGCACATGCCTGTAATCCCAGCTACTGGGGAGGCTGAGGCAGAAGAATTGTTTGAACCTGAGACGGGGAGGTTGTAGTGAGCTGAGACCATGCCACTGCACTCCAGCCTGGGCAATAGGGCAATAAGAGTGAAACTCTGTCTCAAAAAAAATAAAATAAAAAAAAATAAAGCTCAGTTTTGTTTAATGAATATTTATTGAAACTTTTTCTGTGCTAGGTACTGCACAATGAGTGTAGTAGCCAACAAAGAAGACATAGTCTTTTAATATAATAACATACACATTGTGTTTATTTTGGAATCAAGGTATATAAGATATGAATGTTCCATGCTCTCAGTACAATCAAGAGTAAAGCAGATTGCTACATCAAAATGAGATTGGCAAAAACTATGCTAAAAGAATTAATTTTTAGGTACTGCAGATAGAAAGACTTATGACTTATCTGTAATTGGTATGCAAGAACTTAGAAAATAAAGAAACCATCTCAAAACAGAAGTGATGGGACATGGAACATTTCAGCAACACAGCAAATGGAGCAGAACCAACATGACCCCCAAACAAACAGCCATGTTTGCATTGACACTTCTAGCTATAGCTTAAGTGAGGAGTAATCTGAACCCAGTTCTACAAACACAATTTATATTATTGGTATATTATCTTTTTAAATTAAAGGCTTAGTATATATATATATATATATATATATATATTTCATTTGGAGATATAGCCCAAATCATTAATTAATTAATTAATATAATTAATTAATATAATTAAATTAATAAATTAATATAATTAATTAATATAATTAAATTAATAACCAGACACAAGCCAAGTAGGTATTATTAAATGTTAATATCTCTAGTAGGTTAACCTCAAAATTCTGCTGCCTAGAGTAAACAGATTAGGTAAACAGAACTCTCTACAAAAGGATAAAATGGTTGTCAACAATAGTTGTACATCAAAGTTACCTGAAGAATTTTTAAGAAGAGAAAGATATAAGTGCCTGGGTACCAGTTCTAAAGATTTCTGAAATTCTAAATCACTGGCCTAGGATGTGCCCTCCCTTTTTTTTTTTTTTTTGACAGAGTCTCACTCTGTCGCCCAGGCTGCAGTGCAGTGGCGCAATCTCGGCTCACCGCAACCTCTGCCTCCCAGGTTCACGCCATTCTCCTGCCTCAGCCTCCCGAGTAGCTGGGACTACAGGTGCCCTCCACCACGCCCGGCTAATTTTTTGTATTTTTAGTAAGAGATGGGGTTTCACCGTGTTAGCCAGGATGGTCTTGATCTCCTGACCTCATGATCTGCCTGCCTCGGCCTCCCAAAGTGCTGGGATTACAGGCATGAGCCACCGCGCCCAGCCTTTTCAAAAACCTCTCTAAGTGATACAGATGCACAACTAAGTCTGAAAGCCGCCGAAATATGCTCTTCCTAGCAAGGTTTATTCTATGTTAATGTCACATGTTACCCTTTCTATTGAAAAACACAAATTTAGGTGACTCAGTTCTAACTGCTTAGGTGAACAAGCTATCTTCAGGGGAGAAATTTTAAGTAAATATTGCTACTTATAAATATATACTGTATTTCTTATTTATTTATTTATTTATTTTGAGATGGATTCTCACTCTGTCAGCAGGCTGGAGTACAGTGAGCTGAGATTGGTGTTTCACCATATTGGCCAGGATGGTCTTGATCTCTTGACCTCGTGATCCGCCCACCTCGGCCTCCCAAAGTGCTGGGATTACAGGCGTGAGCTACCGCGCCCGGCCCAAATACTGTATTTCTTAAAGCAAGCACATTATTATTCCTTCTAAAATACTTTATTAGACTTGCCTTCGAATCACTATATGCACAAAAATTATGAACACTCATTTATTTTAAGATATTTGGGATGGCTTTGCAACCAAGTTTACCCTAGTTTTCCATTTTGTATTCTGGCAATGGTGTCAAGTATATTTCACCTGACTGTCCAGAAGATTTTTACTACCCTTTTGACATCCTAGTGATGCTTTACAAATATTTTCTAGTGTATTCAAGTATTAGTTGTATTGCTGGGTGGGGGGGCAGTTAATGTATCATAGTCCTCAGCTTTTCTACAAAAAATAGAAGGCACCCCTCTTTCTTCTTAGACCAGCTCTAACGTTCTGCAGGTAGCACAGCAAAGAATAGGAACAGGTATCAAATGATGTGGAGGAGGCAGCTCTTACTGACCCAGAATTTTTCAATGTTGCCATTAGCAATAATGATTCTAAAAAGAAATAATACTTATAAACATATACTCATTATTACAGACTTCACTAATTAAGACTGAGACGTTAAAATCTCTGAGGTTTTACTCTAATTGACATTGTTCAGCAGTGGCAATTAAAATCAGCCATTCCAAAGAAACCAGACTGACCGAAGTTCAATTAAACTTTAAAAGAAAGGAAACTCTGGGTGTTTAGCCAGTTCTGAAGCACGTCCCTACTATGATGAATAAAATAGTGCCTCAGAGTCACTTCAAATAAAATTGATAAGAGCTAAGCATTAAAGTTTCACCCCAAAAATAAGTCTTCAATATATTTTTGCCCTAAGTATGATAGAATAAGCCAATTTGTATTTAATGAGGAGATACCAAGAATAGTTAAAGAAAAAAAAATAGGTCATAATTCTCCCCTGTTAAAGATACAGTGTTAGACTACCTCCTAATTAGCCCATGACATTTTCTTAAAGGCAAGTGATGAATCTAGGCATACAAGTGTCCAATTGTACCACATAACTTTGAAGTGCATTTTGGGACAATGTACTCTTCTCATTAATGAAGCATCTAAAACACCTTTTTACTAGGTAAAGGCCACAGGTTTTAAGTGTGACTTGCTTTTACCCTGACCTCATTCCCTTCGAAATCTTCTTCCATAATCATTTTTTCTTTCCTTCCTCTTTTCTAGGATTTTTGTCTCTCATAAATGTGTCTTTTGATCATTACATAATTAATTATAGTTAAAATGTAAAGGTTCTCATATTGTTAAATGAAGAAAGATTATTCTTAAAATATAGATTGTACTTAATTGATCATCAAAGTAACAGCCATCAAAAATTGACTACAGTAAGCCACATCTGGGAATATATGGCTAGTCCTTATCCTCTTACTGAAAAGAGACACTTGGAATGTTACTAGGTATAGCATAAGACAATTAACTTACATTGGAACTTTGATTTTATTTAAGCTAAAGAAGGCGGACTCTAAATTATTAAGAAAAAGTTTATTATGATACCCCACAGAAAACTATATCACTCTGGAATAAATATGAGAGAACTGCCTTTTTAGGATACCAAACACCAGAACATCTGTTTAATTCAAGGAAAAACTATATTCCATTAGAATTATAAATAAATATTTTTTTTCAGAGACGAGTTAACAGATGGCTGGAGATGATTGTCCATATTAACAAGTTAGCAATGGTAAAAAAAAAAAGATTTATATAAAAATAGTATTTTTGCCACTTATCTCTTCTTCCTATTGTACTTAAGGAAAGGTTTAATAATACAAGCATTATATGTAACATGAAAAACTATGAACTCAATAAATTAAATCTTTTCATAGCTCTTTTTTATATTGAAAATGTCAAAATAAGTTAGCATATCAGAGCCTATTTAAGGAGGCCTCAGTTATGTTCTGCCATTGTACAGAATAATTATCACTGCACTGAAGACAAACTAATAAAGTAACAATAACCTCATTTACTGTGAACCTTCTGTGCATCTGACACGAAGCTGGGCAGCAGTATATTATCTAATAACTCTAGCAATACTGCACAGAAATGTTATCATCCCTTTTGTAAAAGTAGAGAATCCAGATGACTTAACCCCAAGCAATTAATAAGTAATATGCAGAGTTAGGATAAGAACACAGGTCTCTCTTGTTCCCAAGTGACAACTTTGTCCCGTGCATTCATTTTATTGGTCTTTGTTTCTATGACTTCATTTGCATGTTAGAATTATATTGTGATATTGCTTCCACATAAGATCATGTACTCTCAAGTAAAGGCAAAATGGAATGAATTCTTTATTGCCAGAACAAAATCAGGTTTTCATTTAGACTCAATGTTTAAGCTCATTAGGAGACCTTGATCATTCCACAGGAGAACTGTGAGTCCCTAATATTTCAGTTTCTTCTAGGGCTCAGGATACAGTGTTTTTTTTTTCTTTTGTTTGTTTGTTTTGATTTTTTTTAATGCAGGAGCTGAATGCCTAATTGGCATTTTGGTTCCACATTTATTCCATATCTCTTCCTTATCTGCTCTACTACTGAGATAAAGTGAAGCACTCTTCTTCCTGCTGGAGTCTCAGCAAACAAAGGATCAATTACACCGTCCCAAGGCTGCCAAGTCTCTCTAGCATCTCTGAAAGGAAGGGAGCTGGCATATTAGAGAAGAGATTAGTGTAACCTATCCCATTAGCTCCACATGGACTTCTGACAGTCCTAAAGTTGGATGTTATAGACCTCAGTCACCCACTGTGCAAAGATAGCTCATGAAGAAGCAGAGAAGTCTTTCTTATCTTTTGTTGTTGGAAAATAATGTAGGGCTTGTTTTTCAAATCCTTGTGCAGTATAATGATGGTAGCTAACATTATTGAAAGTGTACTGTGTACCAGGTACTTCTCTATGTAATATATGTGTGTATGTATACATATACATATTTATGTATACTTAATCAATGACATTTCTATGAGGGGTTATTATTACCATGCCCATTTTATAAGATGAGGAATCTAAGGCCCATAGGGGTTAAGTGACATGACCACATGACACAACAAGTAGTAGAGGAGCTGGTTGCGATTAAGATCCAGTTTATCTAACTCCAGGGTTCTGGAGTCTGCACTGCCATGAAATTTGCTGTCAACTTGGCAATGTTCCCCAGCAGCCTCACAAGACCACACTTCCCTACTTTACAGCTGACATGCTGATGGTATTTAAAAGAAAATGAAAATTATATGTAAGAACATCATTCTTGACAGAATGACCTACCAGTCTCTTTTGTTTCCTGGTAACATTTACGGTTGTTAACTGCTGTCTAGGAAAATTACTATTCCACCAATTCAGAACAATTAACTTAACTTTGAATAGAAGATTGATTGGTGACCTTGAAACAAAATTTTGACAGATAAAAATCTTCAAAGAGTATATAGTCTGTATTTCTAATGAAGTACAGTGAAGTTCATTATGTGATCAGTGGGTACAAAGAAATAAGACTTTATGTGCAGAAATTACATCTCATTCCTAAAATGTTTCATTTCTCCTTAGTTTCAAGAACTAAGTGCACAAAATAAATACGATATCTTTTATTTAACTAAGAAAATGATTGTATAAACAATTGTATTAGAGGTAAATTTGCCTAATGTAATGCATACATTAACTGCCTCAGAGGTTTTGCGTCAGACACAGCTTGGTATAAAGTGAGGAGCAAATAATTTCAAATAAAGTAATAGATTAAAGTTCTCAAACTAGTGCAATAATTTGTCGGTTATTTGGTGTAAGACAGTTCATCTAAATTTCTATACCACCATTTGTTTATCTCTAAATGAAGACTATATATATAGAGAGAGAATATATATATATATATTCTCAAGATTAACTCATGATATATACATATATATATACACGAGATTAACTCTCTCGCTCTCTCTCTCTCTCTCTCTATATATATATATATATAATTATTCCACTAATTCAGAACAATTAACTTTGAATAGAAGATTGATTGGTGACCTTGAAACAAAATTCATATATATATATGACACTATATATATATATATATCATGAGTTAATCTTGAGAATTACACAAATTATAAACCACTTTGTATTAATTTAGTAATAGTTCCAAAATTCTATAGTGCTTAACATTTCTCAGAAACTCTATCAAAATATGTTATTTCATTAATAACATAGTATTTTGTTAACTAATCAACTTTAAGTAATGTTTTTTTCTAAATATTCGAAACCTAGATATGTCATTTTGTCATTTCAGCAATGCTCAATAGTATGTTTTTCCTTGCATTTAAGTAGTCTCCCACATCCCATGCACATTTTAACGTACATTGTGATGAGGAAAAAGGAGGTATATTAACCCTGAAATCCATCACAATATGCATAACATGCTCAGGTGCCATTGGGACTAACACACATATTACTCATTGTTTTTAATCCACAAAGAGCTTATTATCAAGTGGGAAAAACATTCATGAAAAATTAATAAAGAATATAGTACACAGTAAAATTTTAATTGCATGGGAAAATTAAGAAATATAGCTATATATAATAATGTAATAATTAAATTTTATATTACATTCAGCATAAGGTAAAAATTGGTGAAATATTTGAATTATCTGATATTTCGCTTAAAATCTTCAGCAAATTCTAAAGTATCAAGAGACATGGCTATGGGAAGGGAGTCTTTCTGATGGCTTCACTGGCATTAAATTGATCATGGGTAGTAAAAATGAATGAATTTACCTATCCATATTTTCCTGAAAAGGGTAGTGATAGGCTTACAACAACCATTGTCATAATAATAACTGAAACTAGCAAGAAATATATACTCTTAATATATTATTGATAAGGATCCTAAGTATTTGATTTTCCTTAAAATACTTTGTTTGCAAAATAAAGTTATGGGTGGATTGGAAGTTGGGCCAATCACTTGCCCATTTGCTCTCAGATTTGTTTCCCTTTCTCTGTTCTCTCACCCAGCGGCTTCCTATTAGTTTTCTCTAATGTAAGCACCAGCAGGAGGCTGTGATTAGGAGGCTAGGAGAAGCCAAAGCATTTCTAATTCTCTCTCTCTGCTTTAAGCAGTATCTGCTTCTCTTTCATCATTTCAGCACTTGCTGAGTGTCCCCTTATCTGTCCTTCCAGCTCCTCCAGGATGGCCTTAGCACTAGTTTCTGGTAATAATAGTTTCTCTTTGTCCTCACAACTGTAGAGTTTAGGACAATTTCTATAGTTGCTTATAATTTCATTGCCCTCCTCCCCTTTCCTAGTGTTTAGCTTTTTCAACACTTCTCTATCTATTTCCCCATATTGAATTATTTTATGTAATTACCTGGGTTCTGTTTTCCTGGATGGGCCTTGAACACCACAGGGGTACAGGGGAGCTTTTTTCTGTTGGAGTCATTAGCGTACAGTGACTACACTTTCACATCCATTACACATTCCAGGTAATGGGCGGGCTACCACATCCATCTCCCGTTGCTCAGCAGAGCTTCCTGTACTCACCTGACACTACAGACAGTACACTCTGCCTCTGTTCATGCTCCATATGTGTCTCTCTTGCAGCTACAGATTTGGTGAACTTGCCTGATAGAAGAAGATTTTTAAAATTATTTTGGAAAATTATTAGCTGAATGGCCTCAGGTGGAACTTCAAACAGGCTCTCAATTTCTTTGGTAACTTCAAACACATCACCAGACCCTGAAAACGCAGTGGGAAAAATGGCACACAAAATTAGGAGTCAAACTGAATTTGATTGGAGCTTTATTTCCACCACGAATCAGCTGTTTGGCCCACGGTGATGGCAACAGAGACAGGTAAAGATTGTGGGGAATTAAATGGATATAAAATGGATATAAAGATTATTCATGAATATGACACAGAGACAGAAAAGGAAAACAAAATGATGTGTGCATTATTGGAAAGATGAATGTATACAAAATTTTTGTTTTTACTTCCTAAACTATTTTTAATGTTGCCATGTGACTTGTCTTAGGAATTTTAATTTATTTTAAAGGATTTTATTCTTTTCAGGTGTTAACTAGCTAAAGGAAAGCTTTATAGGGTGGGGAAGAGGAAATGGAAAAGGATAACTTCTAGAACTGTAAGTTTCTAGAAAAGGCAGGAAGGATTTTGTGTTGTGAGATAAGAAGCAGAAATGTTATTTCCAATGGGATGAAAAAGAGACATCATGAGGCCCAGACATGATCAGGTACAAGCTAACGCTATTTTGCTCTTGGTTTCTCCTTCAAATGCCTAGTCAATTCCTTGGCGTGTCAGAAATCAGCAGCAGCAACATTATTAATTATTTCTGTAAATAAAATAGGTCTTGGTATAATTGTAATTGTAATGCATTGATGTAGTGTCTGACATCCTAGTGAAAAGTGTAATGCTCAGTAAATCTAGGCAGAGAGCTTTATAATTGTATTCTGTGTTGGGAACAGAAATATTTGAACCCAGGAGTCAAAGAGTTACTCTTTGAAAAAGCAAGAATTGTAGAACGTGAAGTAGATTTAATAGGGCTTTACTTTTTTAGTCCTGCTGAGTTACTATTATCCAAAATACACAAAAGCTGTTTTCACTTTGTTCACAGTTTCTCCTAATGGCTTTTGCCAGATAAAACTATTTTCTATGTGTGATTATTCAGGTCAGAGCATTGTTTCAATGCAATTGTTTTGTTGCCTTTTATGCCTTTTAGAAAATGGCATAAGAAAATTATATAGTTCACTAGAAACCTTGCATTGTATTTTTTGGCTAAATAAATCATATGCAGGTATATGGGCAGGTTGACAACATGTGTGAGTGTTCCAACAAATGAATTTTTATTTGAATTGTAACATTGTCGATAATACCTACCTCTAAAACATTATCTGTGATTTGAAGGACATTGACCCCACTACTGCAACCAAGAATTGCAATTTTTGTGCTTTTGCAGTGCGACTGGTATAAATTGGTTGGTTTTTTGTTTTTTTTTTTTTCTTACAAAAGCCACTCAAACACATCACTTTTCTCTGAATGCCAATTAGGAGCTAACACTGTGGTCCATATGTCTTCACATTAAAATCACCTTTGTAACTTTCCCCAAATTCTGATGCCCAGTCCTCAGTTGCTGGTAATTATGATTTAGTACTTAGGCATGGAGCCCTAGCATTAGTATGTTTTCATGTACAGCTTGCTTGTGAATTTTTGTTGTAGAAAGAGCAAAACAAAATGAAAAGCAAGGTATAATTTCTCTCCTAGGTTGAGTTTATAATCTTGATAACCATTCAAAGTCTTAATTACTTAAGTCCTCTCGGAAATTGGAATGGAGGGAGCCATGTGAGGAGAGAGCGCTGGTGATAGGACAGCTTGGGTAGTTTAGACAATAGAAAGGGAGGGGAAGGCTGAGTGAAGGTTAGATAAGGGGTGAAATTTCACCTGGTAAAATTAATTGTAAGTGAGTACTGAATCACAGAATTACTTATATGTCTAAAACCTGCTGGTATCTTTTACAATTCTATTTTATTTACATGTGTGGTACAAATAGCCAACTGGGTTAATTCACATCAAGATATAATTATTTTAGTATATTATGCAAATATAAGTACCGTTCCAGCTCCTATAAACACTTCCAGGCCCTTGAGCTCAGCATTTTGTAATGAACTATCAACTTGCTTATGGCTTGATTTTCTAGTCTAAACCTCTGGTCTCACACTTCTCACACTGGCAATCTCAAGCAGTCATTTTCCCCAAGTCCCCTGACTCAACTCTCTCTCCATCCTCAGAAAACCTCACCTCATACATTCATATATATGTGTGACTTCATATATATGTGTGACATACATATTACACATATATATGTGTGACACCCCAACTCCTTCTCCAACAGTTGACCAGCCTCCACCCACAGGCTTCCCTTCTTCCCTTTTCTCACTCAGTGAGTGGAAGTATCATTCCTCCTACCATCTTCACATGTGCTCTGGATCTTCACTCCTGTCTGCCTTCTTGTATATAGAAGAAATTCCTTCTTCAAATAATTATGTTTACCTTTCAAAGCCTTGTTGAAACTTCATTTTATAAAGGAGGCTTCCTATGACTTACATTCTTCTCTTTCTGTGTGCGAGAAAGGGAGGAAGAGGGGGCTAAAGTCCCTTATAGCATCTAGTTCCTATGTCTAACACGTGATTGTTGATTCAATTGTTTGTCTTCCCCACTATATTCTATACCCCTTAAAAGAAGCCACCTTGGGGGGTGCGTGGTGGCTCATGCCTGTAATCTCAGCACTTTGGGAGGCCAAGGTGGGAGGATCACCTGAGGTCAAGAGTTCAAGAGCAGCCTGGCCAACATGGTGAAACCCTGTCTCTACTAAAAATACGAAAATTAGCTGAGCATGGTGGCAGGTGCCTGTGATCCCAGCTACTTGGGAGGCTGAGGCAGGAGAATCTCTTGAACCCAGGAGGCAGAGGTTGCAGGGAGCCAAGATAACAGCATTGCACTCCAGCCTGGGTGAAAAAAGCAAGACTACATCTCACAAAAAAAAAAAAAAAAAAAAAAAAAAAGCCACTTTCCCTTATTCAACTTTCATTTACCAGTATCTGGTATGGAACAGAGTATACAAAAACTCTTCCATCCCAATGGAAAAAACAGAATATAATTTATTTTGAAATAAGTGATGGAACATATCATACATAGTTTATTTATGAGTTGAAAATATTAAGGAGAACCTAGAGACCAGCTAAAATCTACATACCATCCAGAATTGTCAGTGATTGTTATAGGCATTTAAAGGTGGTAGCATAACGAGACATCAAGGAGACCTACTTGCAAAGCTTTGTATGAATTTATAACAAATGGCCAAATGCTGTGAGCTCAACTCTGCAATGAACAATAAGTCACAGCCAGGTTGAGAGTCAGCATCAATTATAAGCTCACTCTGATGACATGCTACAAGGAGAACAGAAGGTAATGTCTAAGTGTGTCCCAGAGTTTTCTGGTAAGAAAACAAAATGAAATCAGGAGAAATATATATGTGTATATAAATATGTGTGTGTGTATATATATATATATATATATATACACATATATGAAATTAGGAAAAACATAAACACATACATGTGTATATATACGTATATATATACACACACATATACATATATGTGTACTTCATATATGTGTATAAATACGTATATATATATACACATATGTGTATATATTTTTCCTGGTTTCATTTTGTTTTTTGTTTGTTATCAATTGAAATTTTCTATATATATATATATATATATAAATATAAAATATATGTGAGTTTCTTTAAATTTCAGTTGGTTACAAACAAAAGAAAGAAGAATAAGTCACATTTTGGAGGGAATGTTTCAGGCTCTGAAGAGACATTGTATGAAATTATCCATGAATAACTTTGCCACCTTTGTGAGATGATTTGAATGTTGGTGCTACATAAGATGGAGTTATTGTAGGAGATTTTTCTGAAGTTTGGTAATTTTGGGTTCTAGTTTATATTAGCTGTTTTTGATGTGAAATGTGACCCACGCTGCCTTAATTAAGGTTGTTTTTATTGCTCTGTCAACAAAATCATTTAGAGGATTTTGGAGAATAGAGAACAATTAAATTAAAATTTATAAGTTTTGTGCTGGGCACAGTGGCTCACACCTGTAGTCCCAGCACTTTGGGAGGCCAAAGTAGATGGATTACTTGAGGCCAGAATTTCGAGACCAGCCTGGCCAACATGTTGAAACCCCATCTCTACTAAAAATGCAAAAATTAGCTGGGCATGGTCGCGTGCTCTGCAGTCCCAGCTACTCGGGAGGCTGAGGCATGAGAATCTCTTGAACCCGGGAGGCGGAGGTTATAGTGAGCAGAGATTGGGCCACTGCACTCCAGCCTGGGTGACTGTGCGAGACTCTGTCTCAAAAAAAATCTTTTTTGAGGCAAAGCATGGTGGCTTACATCTGTAATCCCAGCACTTTAGGAGGCCGAGGTGGGTGGATCACTTGAGGTCAGGAGTTCAAGACCAGCCTCAGCCTCGCCAACATGGTGAAACCATGTTACCACTAAAAATACAAAAATTAGCTGGACTTGGTGGCATGTGCTTGTGGTCCCAGGTACTCAGGAGGCTGAGGCACAAAAATCGCTTGAACCCAGGACGCAGAGGTTACAGGGAGCAAAGATTGCACCACCTCATTCCAGCCTGGGCAACAGAGTGAGACCCTGTTTCAAAAAAAAAAAAAAAAATAGAATTTTGAAATTACAGTGTATTGGCAAAGAAGACAGCTAGGCATGGTGGCTCATGCCTGTCATCTCAGCACTTTAGAAGGCCAAGGTAGTTGGGGTCGCTTGAGCCCAGGAACTCAAGAACAGCCTGGGCAACATAGTGATACCCTGCCTCTACAAAAAGTAAGGTAAAATAAATTTGCCAGGGGTGGTGGTGCATGTCTGTAGTCTCATGTACTGGGGAGGCTGAGGTGGGAGGATCACTTGAGCTTTGGAGGTAGAGGCTGCAGTGGGCCGAGTTCCTGCCACTGCACTCCAGCCTGGGTGACAGAGTGAGACCTTGTCTCTAAAACAAAAAGAGACACAATCTTTAGCAAATGATTATTAATGATGTCTGAAGTTGATATAAAATGTGCTCATTCAGCAATCATAATATAATGGGTACATTCTCCTCATGATAGTCATGATTTTTCGAATAACCTAAACCTGCTCGAAAACTTCGTGGATTTCCATTAGAATCAGAATAATATACAGACTGTGAATGTGCTCTAAGTCCAAAGGCCCTGGATTGTCCTTCCTCTCTGACCTCTCTTCACTCCATTCTCCCTCTTCCTCTTTGTGCTCTGGCCTCCGTAGCTCTCCTGGACACTTGCACAGGCCACATACATCTGCTTCAGAGAGTCTTCATGTGTTGTGTGTCATTACTTTTTCCTGGAATGACATCCTCCCAGATCTTAGTAGTGCCAGCTCTTCTCATTGTTCCTATCTGAAAGATGCCATGTCCTCAGGCCATCTATGAAATCTAATTGAAGAAAACCCCAGTCATTACCTCCCAGTCCTCTGCATTCCATTACCCAATATTATTTTCTTCCACGGTACATTCCAATATCTGATATCGTCCTATTTTCTTGGTTTCTGATTTGTTTTCTTTCTTTCTCCCTTGACTATAATCTCCATGAAAACAAAACAAAACTAAAAACAAAGCTGTATTTATCATGTTCACTGGGGCATCCCCCAAATCTAAGATAAGTGGTACTCAAATATCTTCATATAAATACATCATTAAGTGTTGCACTACATGTGTATGTTGCCTTCTTCCGGCACTGGAAAATGTTCATACCCTTCCAACGGATAAGTAATCACACTTATGATTTCCAAAAATAGGGAGTTATAAATCTTTCAAATTAATTCTGTAACTGTATAATAGCAACAGCCTTATACTTTCACTTGGTAATACTTCCACATTAGATCATAGTTGAAAAATTATCACCCCTTTTCTGGATGATGCTGATTTTATATCTGATGGGTTTAATTACTACATTCTTACCTGAGTTGAGAGTGGGTGGGTTGGTATACCAAGTCAATTGATAGATTAATTTATCCAGCGAGTATTTATCGAGCCCTTCCTATCTGCTTAGTGCTATGCCTGGTGTAGGACATAAGTTGAAGAGGCTGCTACCTTCATGGAGTTTGCAGATTACTAATATATACAGACCACACAATCAAACTTTTTAACAATGAATCACAGAAAGTGTTATGATTTGGGAATGGCAGAATATCATGGCATACAAAGCTGGAATGCTTGACTCAAGATAGCATGATAGGGAAGACTTCCTGAAGAAACAGCATCAAACCTGAGACTGGAAAGATACATAGGCATTAGTCAGGAGAAGTTAAGTATCCACCTGGCCTAATTCCCCAACTAGAATAGTTTCTGGAACCCAGCCTTTAAAATGCTTCATTCTATTTGATTCAGTGTTAAAAAGTTGGTTTGCTTCCAAATGTAGTCCATCTAGTTGCTGCCATCATCATCATTATCACCATCATCATCATTGTCATCATCATCAGTATTTATTCAGTGAAGAGTTACCTTTAAAAACGTTACATGATTTAGTCAAGAAATTTTCATAACAACCTTAGCAGTAAGCACTAAGCTTATATTTTCTTTATACATGAGCAAGTGAAGCTCACAGTATTTCACCCTGGCCCACCCAGCTACTCAGTGCTATGTGCTTCTGTTCTCTGCTGCTCCCTGTGATGTTTGCACTGGACTCAGTTTGCTTGGGAGATGCAATCTTTGGTTCATAACATGGGTAACATGTCAATGTAGACAAAGGGTGACCTATGCTGCATAGTTTAATGCCCAGGTCTCCTGGCCTGACACTGACATTGTGGATCCTAGATCATTTCAGATAATGGCAACAGACACTAAACAATGCAACATCGTTTCAGGTCTAGGATTGCTATAGCGACTTACTCTGTGACCTAAAAGAAGGAAAATGAACTTTACCTCAGACTTCTAGACTGAAATCCACAACACTGCCTTGAGTTTTAATTCTCTTATAGATATCTCGTGGAACAGTATGTTTCTTTAACTTAACCTTGCAATAGAACATTTTGAACAAAAAGTTTCTTGACACAGAGGTGTTACCATGCACTGGCTGTACCTAAAATATTCATCTGCTCTGAAGAATATCCATTGCCTCTGAACAACACTTCTGCACTTGACTCTTTTCTATACACTCTCCAGAGCTTAAAGGCTTTATCATTAAGGTAAACTAATAGTTGTATTTGCTAAACCCACATTCTGATGATCAGAAACACACACTTATGGCTGTCTGTCTGGCTTGGCTCAGTCTTGAGTTTTTACCTTCACAGTAGCAGTGGGTTCCTGGATCCTTATCTTTAAGATGGGCCCTACTGCCAAATTCCAACACCAATCTTTACCTAAGGCAGTCAGTAGTAAACAAGCCCAGTGACTACTGGGATTCAGTGTCAAGTTGTATGTGCTGCTCTTCCGAAAGTGACCATGTGACCCAGTTCTTGAAATCCTTTTCTTTCATTAATTACCATCCCCTGTCCATCTCCAGGAGTCAAGGTTGTATAACTTAGGGTTTGTTTGGACGCTTGTTTTTGCCGTTTAGGGACCCGTCTATTCCTTTTCTGAGAATGGAGACCTGTTTTTGTCTTGTCAGCCTCTCTCTGGGGACCTCATAGGAAATTGGGTAAAAAAGTAAATGTTCAAAGTTCTCACTGCTAAGGAACTCAGTTAGGGACTGCATATATATACACACACATATGTATATATGTGTGTGTATATATATATATTTACTCCTCTGTAAGAACCTGTTGCTACTTGAAGATCTTTTGCAAAATTATCAAATTCACATAATTATCAAGACCAGTAGGTAGTCTTAATGTGCGAAACCAGCCAGGTGGGGAATACGGTCACCTGAGGGCCTTCCAAAGCACTCAAAGCTACTCCTTTAGATTTCACTCTGGCTGTGTTTGAACATGATCCTCCTGTTCCCATACATTCTACTTTTCCTTAGAAGATGAAAATTTGCTTTTTAGGCAAAGTCTCCAATTTTGAAGAACTGGTAACTAATCCAGAAATAATAAAAACCAATACTGAGAAGACAAAATATAACATGAAACAAACAAATAAAAGTGATAACTGTAACAGCTTCCTGGAACTGGCCTAAGACCTTTAGCTTATACAAAAAGCTGACATAACTCCAGTAATATTCATCTAGTATAGCACAGTGAGTTACAAAGCTTGGATAACTTCTTGTGTTTACAGCACCCTGGTATGTGGATCTAAAGTTAGGCCTCAGCCTTCTTAGGCTCGACTTTCTGGAAAAAAAAAAATTATCCAAATTCCAATGTAAAATGGCAATCTAGTCTGGTTGATCACTTCCAAAGAAGTAACTGAAAGCCGTGGACATTTATAGACATATACGTTAAAGCGTGTAGTATTACTTATAGGAGCATTGATGCTGCTGCTACTTCTAATAATAATTGGTAGTAATATTATACATTAGGAGTTTTTTCAGACTTGGAAATGTCAGGGCCATAAACTCCGGATTGATGTGTCTGGGTTTTTTCCTATTTCAGCTAATCTGATTAATTTCCATATAAAGATAATATAATCATCAGCAGAAATGGTGATTTTAAAGCATACCTAGGGAAAAATGAACCATCCAGGACTCCCAAAGAAATTTGATAAGTTTACACAAATCACTTTTGCCAATATCTGGGGCCACTTTTATTTCTAACACTCTTTCACTGTTACTGACAACATTCCTGGTATCCTCTCACCTGACAGCAGCTGTCATTATAAAAATTGCCAAGCCAATTCAGAGAGCACCTGCACAATGCCGGGGACTTAAACTTTTAACAACCTTCAAGAAAGCCTAGACTCATTACCACCTCTTGTCAGCTTGTACATGAGCTCATCTTTTAGTTGCAAAAGTTGGCAGATTAGAAGATTATATATGACAGATCTGAAATAGCATCGATGACATCCTTCCCTGTAGTGTCTGTGAAAAGAAGCATTATGAAAAATCACATTTAGAAATTTGATAAGTACTCTACAAATTGAAGGAGGTTAGGTTCATGGCTATTTATAATCTATTTCATTTGTCATTAATAAAAATCCCAGCAAGCTGTGATTTTTAAATATTATAAAGATATCAGAAATGCTATGGAATGTTACCCCTTGGCACATATTGATTTTTTGCTCTTATGACTTTTTAAAATTTATTTCCCTAGGTATATTAAAAGAACACTAACCTTTTCTTTTGAGTATAGTCTTTTCTACTTGAAAAACTATCTCTTCTTTCTTTGCATTCTGTTTCTGAAGTTGGATTATGCTTTCTTATATAGACATCTCTCTGTCACAGCTTCTGAAAATGTTTTGTCAACCAAACTATTGTTTTTAAGTAATAATTATTTCCTTTTCCAAAAATTCAATGAATTAATTTTATATGAAACAGAAACAGAACTGAATTTCCAGAGATAAACATCATATAACCAAAGTTAGCATATGGAATTTAACTAACTCTAGGCAAAAGCAAGGAAATATAACAGTTTGCTTTTCTTGGGTACTCCTATAGTACATTACTCCCATTTTTGTTTCTGAAATTATAAAATATACTTTGCAGTCTCCTCTTACTGTGTGGCTAACCTGTAAGAATCCAGATTATCAACCAACAGATAAGACTTCTATTTAAAGGTTTTTAATTTCTTTCTTTTCCTTTGCTATATTATTGTTCATACTTTGAATATTTCCTATTTTTTAACTCATTGATTCTAAGTCATGACAGTATAAAGGAGAATCCCCTCCTGAAATCATTGTTTTGATGAAAGGCAAAGGTGTTGTATATTTACACCATAACTGGCTTACGTACACTTGCCTTGTCCGATTTAAAAGGGACTTTGCCGCAGGTTTTCTATTCTAGGCACACAAATGATTTTGGCTAGTGGTGGGCATGAGTAGGCAGTTGTGGCAGGTGGAGTTCAGAATTCCAAACTCATATTTTGCAAGTGGTAAGTCATAAATTACTTAGGATTCTATGCAGCTCTCCTTTACTGGTTTAATGAGGTAAAGGAGAACAGTCATCATATTAAATTATGTCAGTTTTTCTGGGAACAGGTGACAGAACAAATCATTTCAAACTCCCTCATTCTACATACTAAGAATCCACTGAGGACTATAACTGCTGACCTTTGTAGCAGTGAGCTGTAGCTTGTGAAAAAAATAATGAGTGAAGATTATATTTTACTGAACATTTTTACCCTAGCCAAAATGATTCTTACCAACACTCACCCCTATAAAATATTTCTCTAAGAACATGCATATTGTCCATTAAAAAGAGCTTCCCAATATAGACATTCTTATTTTTCATAAACATTTTAGAATGTTAATTGCTTTGTTCAGAACTGAATTGAAGAAGAGTTTATATTTGACATATGTATGCATATATATGCATAACAATTATGCATCTCCATATATATGCACACATATATAAATGTATTTAAATGTTTTTGTCAACTGATGTCTATATCAGGCTACAGAAAAATTAAACTTTTGATTTGAAAGTTACATTAGTAAGAGAGCTAACATTTTATTATGTTTCTTTCAAGTTTCTGGGACATTCACACTAAACTCACTACTTTTAAATTTCATGTTTCCTTAGATCTCAAATCAGCATTTGTTATTTGCTAA
Source organism: Homo sapiens (assembly GCF_000001405.40). Classification (NCBI taxonomy): domain Eukaryota; kingdom Metazoa; phylum Chordata; class Mammalia; order Primates; family Hominidae; genus Homo; species Homo sapiens. The sequence goes on along the minus strand of NC_000002.12, from coordinate 77,200,190 downwards.
AGAATATTTCAGGGACCATTAATCACAAGAGATGCCTAATAAAAGAAATAGGGGTTCCATGGCCAAGTATGTTGGGAAACACTGTTATTCCTTCTAAAAGAAATGTATGATTCTATTTTTATAGTAAATGTTCTAAAACACATGTTTAACTTTGTTTAATCTAGTATTCCCCACACGTTTGATTTATAAAATTGAAGATTCTGTGTCTAGGTAATTCTTAGCAACTTTTGTTGAAACAAAAGTTAGCAAAAGTTTTGAGCTTTTTATGGAAATGTATTATGTATCTATATGTGGTTGCTTCAAATGCCTTTGATTTCTAACTTTCTCTTGGTTATGGCATGTGACACTTCCATTTATCTTGGGCATGGCATTCTTGAAACAGATTTATGTTTACTAGTAATTAATTATAATGAAGAAGCCTTCTTTTTAAACAGCATGCTATAATTGTTCCTTGTCTTTTAAGTGTACTAACATGACAGCATAGAATGTTCATGATAAAATTTTTGTCACTTCAGTTAGCTGTATCTGAACAGACACTATGAAGATTCTTGTAACTAAATGTTTGCAATTTAAAACAGTTTTCCTAATATGACTCATAGACTACTGGAATGGAAAGTGAGATCTAGAGATCATCTGGTCTCAATACATTTTTTTTCCTCTTGTATACAAAGGAAACAAAACAAAACAAAACAGAGAAAAATGACAAATCCAAAATTAGAACCTTTAAGGGAAGATAGAATCTACCAATAAGAGGGCATTATAGCAAAATGGTTAAGCTCACAGACTCTGGAGCCAATATATCTAAGATCAATTCCTGATTTTACTAGTTATGAGCCATTTGATTTGGGGCAATTCTTGACCCTTTATAGTTTTAATTCCCTCATGTGTAAATGAGTTTAGGGTGGTTTGGGCCAAGTAAGTTAAATTATCTAAAACTTGATTACCTGGTGCATAGTAAGAGTTGGTTCCTTTTTCTTTTTTAAATACTGTTATTAAGATTGAAGTCTGTGTTTTAGCTAAATGTGTTCAGAGAACAATTTATTTAATGTCCCTATAGAGATTACTTGCATTTTATAAATTAGCATTCAATAAGTATTATCAGAAAAACACAGGAAAGTTTGTGATCAAGGCTCCAAAGTGCTAAAACAGATCTACAGATACCAAGGACACAGAGGAATTCAGAAGTTGGAGATGTCACTCTGTGGTAGGATCCAAAGACACAAGGGGTAACAGGCCACTGGAGTCCTTGATCCTGCAGCATTTACAGTCTGCGGAAGGTAGTGGTCACAAGTAATAAGAAAATAATATATGCAGGCAACATGATGAGCACTAAGAATGTAGTAGTTAGGATAGCTAGTGAGAGATTGCTCTGGCTCTGTTTGCCTAAGTAGGCAAGGAGGACTACATTAGCAGAAGGCTCTGTAGAGGAGGTAAATTTGTCCTGGAGGTGAAGAGTGAAGGCCAGCTAGCAGCTTGGAAAATGTCAGTGATTGAAAGCAAGTAGCTAAGTTCACTGATTTTTATAGCTATATTATTCTTAAAAGCAAGTCTGGTTTATAAATTCTGTACCAAATATATCTAGGTTTTTCATGCTCTCTAAACTTTCATTCCTTTATCTCCAAATAGAAAATGTTCAACTTCAATTGATGGAATCACAATTAATCTTAATTTTAACGGTCTTTCTGATGATAAGGGAAGGGTTAGAATCATTCAAACAGCTTGACTACATTGTACTTAAAATGATTAGAGGCTAACATATTTATGATTTCTGAGCCAATAACATTGTCTAATGTGAAATCTTAGAATGCTTCCCAATGTCTAGATCTTCTTCCTTTGACACAATGAGAAAGGACAGAACTCCCAGCCCTACTGTGATGATTTGGGGCTCTGTTCTGGCCAGTAAGTGGTGGAAGGTATGACATGTGTCACGCCCAGGTCAGAGCACTGGATCATTTGCAGGATTCTTCAGAGGCCCCTTCCCACTGAGGCAGTGAATAGGAGGCTATAAAGATGAAACCTCAGTCGCCCAAGGTCTTGTAGAACATGCAGTGATCAAAGCAGCCCTCAGTGCAGAAGTTGCATGAAGACGAAATAGAAGTTTGTTGTTTAAACTACTGAGGTTTTGAGAATTTTACTATACTGCAACATGACCTAGTCTAGCCTAACTGATATTCATATTTATCAACATAAAGTCGTGCATGTGTGTGTGTTTATTTCTTTGTCTCTTAAGCAGGAAAAAGAAAACTAAAATGAAAATATAATTCAAAACAGTTTTTCCCCTGGTTGATATAATACATGCAAAGAGACAAAAATGGAACCTTCTCTATGCCTTTGCAAGGAATCAAGTTTTCAGTAAGTCAAAGAAAATATATTAATCTTAGGTCAGTCTGTCACTCTGTATCATAATGATAAATTAGGCAAATGAGTGAGGAGAGTAGGGTACGGCATAAGATATCCTCACTATATAGATAGAATGACCGAAGGTCAGCTAAAAGGGCTTAATTTCTCAAGGTTGCAAAATCATAAAAATATGCCTCCCAACTCATTTACACTTTCAATATGTGAATTATAATACAAAACTTTACAGAATAGTATTTTAGGTGTATAATAGATTGACCTCAATTCTTTCAAATAATAACTTATTATGTTAGTTATATTAACTTGTTAGAATAGAAAGTTGTAAGATGTACTTTTTCTTTGTCTAATAATCTCTAAAATCAGCAATCTGAAATAATAGTAAGAGATGCTGCTCCTCATTTCAAATAATACAGATATATGGGAAAATAATGGCAATTTTACTATCATATTTTACTTTTTTGTATGTGTAGATTATAAGGCTAATTTTCTCATAAAGTAAGTTCACTAATATATCTTACTATGTTAACCTTCATATTTCCTGCATGTCCTCAATATTCACAAAAATAATTTTCCAGGAGCACACTTATTTTGGGATGCCTTAATTTATTCATAGTACATTTAATTAACTAGTTTATGATTTATTACTTAATCTATCCTCAGTACAAAGATTAAGATTAGGAAAGAGGCAAGAATGCCTACTATTTGTATGACTACTCAACAATGTACGAGTCTACAAATTTAAGATGTTGTAATTTAAAATAGATGAGTCTATTGAAATCAATGGAGAAAAAAACACCTACTTTCCTAACAGATTTAGTAATGAAACTCACAGAGCCAACAGAAGAAGTCCAAGAAAGTTATAGGATTAGAAGAAAAAATTGGTAAGCACTTGAAACTGGAAAAAAATTAAAAAAACATAACATGGTGCTAGAGCTATTTCTTAGGCCATCCTGACATTTCAACAAATTATTTTTAAAATGGTTTATTTCCCATACTTATATTGTTCTTGGTACTAAACACAATTATTTCCTTTTAAATTTAATAGATCTTAGATTCAACTTAAAGTTTTTTATTTTATTTAATTTATTATTTGAGAAAGGATCTCACTGTGTCATCCAAACTGGATTGCAGTGGCACGTTCTCAGCTCACTTCAACCTCCACCTCCTGGATTTAAAGGATTCTCCTGCCTCAGCCTACTAAGCTGGGAATACAGGTGCCTGCTACCATACCCGGCTAATTTTTGTATTTTTAGTAAAGGTGAGGTTTCGCCATATTGGCCAGGAGGATCTTGAACTCCTGACCTTAAGTGATCTGCTGCCCTCCACCTCCCACAGTGCTGGGATTACATGGGATTACAGGCATGAGCCATGGTGAACTGCCTAAAGTTATTAAATAGTAATTTTTTCTTTTGTTTACTTCTGGGTCCTATTTTGATGTCCTATGATATTCAATGTTCTCATAGTGCCCTTTAGTTTCTGAGTCATTTCAAATAACTAGAAGAATACTGAATGTACTCAACGTGAATAAATGATAAATGTTTAAGAATAGATAGATATGCCTATTACCCTGATCTTATCACTAACCTATATCTTGCAACATCACTCTGCATTCCATGAATTTGTACAATTATTGTGCCAAACTAAGAAAGTAAATTCAAAAAGGAAAAAAGCATATAAATTTCTCTTCACTTCCACCGTCTTATTAAATGACAATAACCAAACAAATATACCATTATTTCTAATGTACTAATAAATGTTAAACATCTTCTTCTTCCAAGGTAATATATTTGGGTTTTAATTGGATCATTGGAGGGCAATAATGAGAAGGATTAGTTTCTTCTTGTCAGGAAAGATTAATAGCTTACTTACACATACGGACCTTTCTCTGTGTAGATTCAATCTTCAAGATCCGTTTTAAATACTACCTCTTCTATGAAGCCTTTTCCTTCTGTACAGTGACCACACACCCTTGTTTGAACCTTGGGACTCATCATAATTAATAGCACCCCCTATCCTCTCAAAACAGAATTTCACATTCTATATGGATGATTAATTATGTGGTCATACTCCTACCCTAGAAATTAAAAAATTAGAATCACAGATAATCTTATTTTTTGTATTACCACTCTACATTATTAATGCTTATATTTTAGAATTTGTTTAGTTTGCAATTTGACTGCCATGGTTTCATGATTTTATATATCTACATAATATATCTTTATCATGTTAGCTTAAAGACAAATATTTACCATTATACATATTTACAACTTTACTTGCATACAGATACAGTGCAGTAAAGGTATTTGATAAATTTTGAATAAACTATTGACTTTAGTTTCAAAGATAGTTCTTTGTAGTAGGTGATAAGTTTTCCTACTTGTTAAAGTTTATTAAATATACGTGTAATGGTCTTGTTTATTCAAGCTATAAGTGCTTAGGTTTTAAAATTCTCTATAAATCATCCCTCCAGAAATCACTTGTTGCATATTTCTATGAAACAGTGCCAAAGAAAAATCTATAAATATTTATAATGTTAATAATTTATTAAGAATTTTAAATTATGAGTCAATCTAAATATATTTTAGTGGCATGTCATTATAGCAAATACAATGGGAGAAAATTTTAATTCCCCTCACCAATCAACCTCTTAAATTATATAGATATGTTTATTTTAAATAATTCAAAAAAATGGATTCTTATATAGTAAATACATGAAACCAAAGGGATATTGTTGAATTCACTGTTCTAAATCCTCTGTTTTAAAATTAATGATATATCAAGGGATCTTTTGCATCAGAGACTATCAAATATTTTAATAACTTCAGCATCTTAAAGAAAACACCATGAATATTTCAATATTTTTATCTTATAACTATGTTATAATTGACATTCTTACAAAATAAATTTCCTTGTTTTTTTTTTCTTTTAATATAAATGCATCTAGTGCTGTGATGTGAGTACCTTTAGCTGTAAGTGAAAGAAAACCCAAATATGATATTGGGTTATTGTCTGTGGTAACTTGGTGTCATCACAGCCCCCATCTTCCCTCTTCTGTAGATACAGAAGAGCAGGATCCTGCTCATGTTACCCAGGTCCTGTTACCCATAGGTTAGGGGTCAGAGTCTGCTAATAAGAGGTGTTTTGCAAGATTTATAAGGCTTAAGAGAAAGACATCTTTTTTTTCCTCTGGAGGCAGTTGTAGCCAGATGAGACAGGAGATTCACAGTAACTTACCAGCAAGCTCTTAAGAATATCATGATTTTCTGTTGATGTTTGAGTACTTGATAGAAACTTCTAGAGATTTTTGAGAATTGTAGCATCTTCCATGTGAATCTGAGGAAACTCCCACTTCAGCTTTACAAGTTGAGATGTTCAGTGGTGGCTTTCTGGATCTCCATTCTTTCACATGTCGAAGTGTGTTCATAATTCCCATATTAAATGCTTCACACCTGAAATACATAGAGTGGTTTCTGTCATCAAATCCTAACTGATACACCAATTAAAAAGGCCTAAATCAAATGGACTTTTGCTTTCTCACATAAGAGTTGTGAAGATAGGTGTGTTCTAGAGGTATTTATTTCAGAAGATTGATGACATCATCAAAGACCCAGTTTTCTTTATTTTCTTCTCTGCCATACTCAAGATATAGTCATATTTTCTTAGACTGGCTCCTCTCTTCAGCACAACTCCAAGACCTGGGCAAGAAGGCCCTTATGACACAAGCATCACTCGGCCCCAGGGAAGCATTCCGTTATGTTTCTCAATAACCATCAAAGCAAAAGATGACTATAACTGAATACTGGAAGATGTATGGGTGATGCCATTGTCTATTTCAGAACTATGAAACTGCAAGTAACAGCTGAAAGAGAAGTAAATTAACCCGTTAAATTCCTTTCTCTTAGAAAGCATAAGCTTTCTGACATAGTCACTTCCCAAAAGGGATGAGTCTCCATTTTGTTGCCTCTCTGTGTGATCCGGATATAAACGCAGGTCAGTGTGTCCTAAAAGTGTGCAGCAGTTGCACATGGTGACTGAAAAATATATATTTTTTTCCTGAGATGGAGTTTCACTCTTATTGCCCAGGCCGGAGTGCAATGCCCGCCTCCTGGCTTCAAGCGATTCTCTTGCCTGAGTAACTGAGATTACAAGCATGTGCCACCATGCCCGGCTAATTTTTGTATTTTTTGTAGAGACGGGGTTTCACCATGTTGGCCAGGCTGGTCTCGAACTCCTGATCTCAGGTGATCTGCCCGCCTCGGCTTCCCAAAGTGCTGGGATTACAGGCGTGAGCCACTACGCCCGGCCGAAAAATATTTTATAATGTTAAAAAAAAAAAGAGCAAGGCATATCAATTTTTATACAGACAACTAGATGGATTCTTAAATACAAGAATTGTGAATTACTTTATTTCATAAAATGTATTTAACAATATTTAAATTTTTTCAACAATAAAATTTAAATGTTAGCTATATTTAGATAATTTAAATACAGTCATGCATTTCTTAACACCTGGACTATTGTCTGAGAAATGCTTTGTTTGGTGATTTTGTTGTGCAAACATCATATGGTATTCTTAAACAATCATAGTTGGCATGGCCTGCTACACACCTAGACTATATGGTCTAGCCTATTGCTCCTATGCTGCAAACCTGTACAGCCTGTTACTGTATTAAATACTGTAGGCAATTGTAATAAAATTGTAAGTACTTGCGTATCCAAGCATTACAAAGGTAATGCATTGAATCACAAAGGCACAATGGCTATGTCACTAAGCAGTAGACATTTTTCAGTTCTATTATAATCTTACGGGACCACCATTAGATATGTGATTTTTCCTTGACAGAAACGTCCTTATGCAGCATATGACTTATTGTCAAAGACAAGAAAAAAAAATGCACCTGCCAGAAATTTGACTGAAAATCAGAAGACTTCTCTTTTCCATGCACGGCTTATAGTTTGTGCTACTGTGCTAATAGTGATATTCTTTCGAAAAATTCTAATATTGTACATGATGCTTTCTGAATCTACCCAAATGTGAAATATCTTATGAAGCACACAGTAAATTTCAACTTAAGATCACATCTGGACACACAATACTAATGCCATCCAAATTCAGTAAAAACAATTTGATTTAATGTAGATAAGATACAAAACTACTAGAAGCAAATTGTTTTGGGGAGAAAATTAAATTAATTTGGAAATTGTGCAGTCTACAGTTATTTGGAATGATTTACCAAAAAAATAGGTTTAGTGTGGTTACTTTAAAAAAGGTTAAAATTATTTTTACATTTTTTAGAAAAATTATTTTTCTCAATTTCAAAAGAAGAGTGATTCAGTCAACTATCACACTGCTATTTTCAATTTTTTTCTTTATTTCTTTAGATAGTATGCCATACTAATTTTTTTTTAAATTAGGAAGTACCCGATGTTGTTTCATGAGAAAGTAAAAATTAGCAATAATATAATTGCTCATTATGGTAAAATTCAAAAATAACAAACTAAACTGAGACAAGAAAGTTTGCCTAAGTTAACATTCTGGTCAATAAAATGCATGTATAGCAAAAATCTTGATTCAAACAATGTAGCTCTTTATTTTGCTGAAATTGAGGAAAGATTCATAAATATATGGAATTAAAAATGTAGGTTTTAAACAGAATGCCTTTATTTTATTATTCTCACAAGCATGGCAACCCACGAACACACAGAATCAGCATTATAAATTTAATTCAATTGTCATTGATTTTTTGCCAATTTTTAGTTATGTGAAATTGTAGCTTTACATACATATATTTGGAAAGTTTATCTATTGTGGGTGGGAGGTATACTATGTCTTATTTACTAGTTGGATGTCTTTATTCTGACCTTTTCAGTGTTTAAATGTACCGTATGCAGACCTTTATTTGTATTATTATCCTTGTCCTGTAAAGTTTAGGGGTGGAGCTATATTGTGATTATAGTTCCAGGTGGCAGAGAATCAGAAAAAGTTATGTTTACCTAAGTTAGGTTTATCTATGTAACAAGCCAGCACACCTTGAACATGTACTCCAGTACTAAAAATTTAAAAACAAAAAATCTTGTCTCAAAATTTTCTCAACAAATCTTCCATATGATAATTTATTTATTCATATTTTTTACTTCTTTCTAAGTCAGCTAAGACAAATTGCATGTTATTTAGAAAAATTTTCATTTTTTACATATTCTTTAATTTAGCATATATAGTGTTTCTTATAATGGTAATCTTTTTAATATTTATAAATAGAGTTTTAATTTAAAATTTTAATTGGTATTAGTGACTTTTATCCTAAGGAAACTTGTCAAATACTGCTTTTTTGTTTTTAATTAATTTCAAATTACACTTTTATATTGCCTTCTACCTTATATATATTTTTAAATAAAGTTTGAGAAACAAATATTAAGAATTTTTATTTTTTATTGAGACAGTTTTTATGTAGTCATCAGATTAGGCCTTTGATGACATTTTATAAATTTCCATATACTGTGTTCTTGTTATTTTTGATTTATTAGCCTTATTTAAGATTTTGTTTCTTTTCTGATTGAGAAGTTATCTAGGAGTGTGTTTTGAAAGAAACACTTCGGGTGTTTTTTTAATCATGAATTTAAACTGGTATTACTCATTTCTGTTTGTGGGAGTTCAAAGAATATGTCCTATGTGTACATTTGAAAGTTTACTGAGACTTTGCTCTCTTACATAATCATGTTTTTAAAAACTTACAGTGCTAGAAATGCTGTAGTTTCTATTTTCCAGATAGAAAGTTTGCTATAATTATATTAAGTCAAACGTATTAGATTGGTGCAAAATTAATTGCAGTTAATTTCACACCAACCTAATATTGATTAAACTCAGTAGCATAACAAAGAGAACTTCCTTTAGAAAGCATTTTAGGAACATTACTTGTTCCATACTACATTAGGAATGTATCTGCTACACACTGCCATAGTATCCTTTAATTCCTCCACATAACACTTATTAGGCTAAGTACAGTTTATGTATATATTATTTTTTCCATAACTTCAGTGAGCCCACATATTCTGTTTGCTTTGTATGCATTTACAAATTTTGTATTGTGTGTGCATGTAGAGTATATATTTGTAGCAATTAGTACACTATCACATGACAGTCAACCATATTTTTAATGAAAGAATGCATGGCCAGCTGACTGGATGAATAGTTCAATGTGCTAATATTCCTAGTTTAAAAGAAAATGCTCTGTTGGCTGGGTGCGGTGGTGCACGTCTGTAATCCAAGCACTTTGGGAAGCCGAGGTGGGCAGATCACCTGAGGTCAGGAGTTCGAGACCAGCCTGGCCAACATGGCAAAACCCCGTTTCTACTAAAAATACAAAAAAAAATTTAGCTGGGTGTGGTGGCAGGCACCTGTTATCCCAGCTACTTGGGAGGCTGAGGCAAGAGAATTGCTTGAACTGGGAGGCGGAGGTTGCAGTGAGCCAAGATCGTGCCGTTGCTCTCCAGCCTGGGTGACAACAGTGAAACTCCGTCTCAAAAAAAAAAAAAAAAAAAAAGATGAAAATGCTCTGTTTAGAACAACCTGGGATGCAAAAATATTAGTTATGGGCCCCATCTCCAACCAATATACAAATGAATTGATAGAAAGATTAATAATGATAATCAAGTTTCTAAGAATAAAATCTTATTGAATGATTGATAAACTAGACCCAAAAAGAAAAAGAAAAATGACCTGCAGGTGATAAGAGTGAGTCAATGGCTCAAGGAGTTATTGGAAAATGAGAATAAATTTTAGGCATAAATAGCACTTAAAACACAGGAAAGAGATGAATTAAAGTTAGAATTTTCCATATTGTATCTCATTTAACTATTTCTCTGAAACTCAAAATACATTTGTTGCCTCCCTTGATTCAGAAAAATTAGTCAAGTATAAAGTATTTATACATTTATTAAAAGCTAGTCAGTTATATATGTGTATACATACATAGATATTGTTTATGTATATAGTTATAAGTAGTTATGTATATAACTATATGTATAGTCAGATGTGTGTATATATAAATGTGTGTGTGTGTGTATATGTATATATACATATAAAGTATATATAAAGTATAAAGTAAGTTCAGGCTTCTATAACAAATTAGCATAGACTAGTGACTTAAACAACACACATTTAGCTCTCACAGTTCTGAAGACTGGAAGTGTAAGATCACGGTGCCGGCATGGTTGGGTTCTGATGATGACTGTCTTTTGGGTGGCAGATTTCCAGCTCCTCAAATCCTCATCTGACAGAAAGAGAGCTAGAGCCTCTCTGGAGTTTCTTTTATAAGAGCACTAATCCCACTCATAAGGGCTCCATCCTTATGACTTAATTAATTCTCAGAGGCCCCACCTTCTAATAACATCACATTGGGGTTAGGATCTCAGTATAGGAAGTTTAGAGGGACACAAACCTTTAGTCCATAACAAGGGCTTTAAGAACATCTAAATGAAAAAGGCACAAAAGCAATTTAATGAAGAACTGCTGAGGATGCAATCAATCCACTTTCTTTCAACCATCCTTGTTATATGGTCTGTTATAGACAATGTCTTGACTTGAGCATTTGAGGGCAAATATTTGTAAGTTATTTATTGAAATTGTTTAGATGATTTAAATATATCTAGAGAGCTTGGTAGGTTTTACTTTTTATTCATTACTAAAAGCACTTTATTTCATTTGATCAAAAGTTTTTTTTTTATTTGAAATTTGTTTGCTATAGAGAGATTTTAATTGTTGGAAAATTATAAAAATTAATTTGGATTTAAATCCACCATCTTCCACTTATTAGCTGTTTAAAATTGGCTTCCATGTTCATAAAATGAAGAAATTACTACTATCAACCAAACAAGATGGGATGCAAGACTGAGATAGAGAAGCTGGTAGTGGTGATTTTAAAAAGTGGACAACTTTAAGACATATTTTGGAAACAAAAATGATCGAACTCACTGGTGGATTAGAATTAGAGGCAGAAGGCAAGGATTTCCCCATGCTTCCGACTTGAGCACCTGGTGTAATAGAAGGGTCAAGAGCATTGCAAATGGGAGGGCAGAGCAGACCAGTATTGCCAAGACATTCTATTGAAAAGATGGCTGAATGTGCAGAGAGAATTAAGCACACACATTAGATGTTATCGTCTCCATCCCACTGGATGGGGGCCATCCTTCAAGTGTGGCGGAAGAGGTTGCAGTGTGGATGGATCATATTTGGGTGTGGATGAAGCATCTAAAGGAAGATGCCAATAAAAGAATGAATATTTGGGTCTGGTGCCTAGAAATGTCGGCTGCAACAGAAATATACATGTAGAAGGTATTAGTAGGAGGAAGAACCAAATCATTTTTTAAACGGTGATCAAATATTTAGGAGGGAAAACAATGATATGTTTCATTAATGAAACTAGGAGTAGAGAATGTGAAGGAAAAATTAACAAAGTCAAATGAAATGAGTAGAGAAAAAGGAAAGTAGCCAGAGCAACCTTTGGAGCAAGGAAGAATTTGTTTTGCATCATTTTCCCCATAGAGGGGAAATATCGTATGTCATTAGCAAATAAAGGTGGAGTAGAAAACAAGAGATGAGTGTAGTCTCTAAGAAGGTAAGAAGGAATGAGCCTTAGACCACATGTAGAAATATTGGTCTTTGATAGGATAGAGCAACTTGCTTCCTTTGTCACAGAAAGGAAGTGAGAACAGTGATGGTATAGCAGTTTAAAGTTACAGGGAGTAAACAGTCAATATATTCAAAGTCATCACACTAATTTTTAAGAACTAAAAGCTAAATGTAAAATTGGTATGTAGTATAATTTAAATCTAATGAAAGCTACTTAAAAAGATAACAAAATATAGAACAATATCTACAGTAAAATAGTATTTGTAACAGTTGTGTTTTAACATAACATTCTGTATTTATATATTTTCATAGGAAGTATCCATTATTATTTTTTCATAAGAAAAAATAAAATGATTTAATTTTTTGTCCCTTGATTTTTCTCTAAAAGCTTTTAATCTGCATGCTTGTGTAAAGAATATATTTTTTATTTTTGTTTATACCCAGTTCAGTGATTAGGCTAAAATCACCACTGCTTTCAGGATGAGAAATTTTGAAACATAAAATAAAAAATAAGGAACTGTTTAAAAGAAAAAGCCAGAATAGATATCTTTTTTTGTATTTTGTTTTTTGTTTTTTTATTATTATACTTTAAGTTTTAGGGTACATGTACACAACGTGCAGGTTTGTTACATATGTATACACGTGCCATGTTGGTGTGCTGCACCCATTAACTCGTCATTTAGCATTAGGTATATCTCCTAATGCTATCCCTCCTCCCTCCCCCCACCCCACAACAGTCCCCTGTGTGTGATGTTCCCCTTCCTGTGTCCATGTGTTCTCATTGTAATATGACTTTTATATAGGCAGGCTCAGGCTCTTCCACCTTGATTCTGTGGAAGTGATTTGCTGAAGAAGTGTTCTCAGGAGAAAACCTGTGATACAGTGAGGGCACAGAATAAGGCAGGCAAAGAGGCCAAGCAAAGATGTGATTTGGCTGAAATCGAGGTTCAACACATGCTCACAAGGAACTTTGTAGCATCAATGGCACCACAGTAGTTTCACCTCAAGGCAAAAGGATGGGGCTTTTATCCAAACATCCAGACATTGGCTACAGACTTCCTTTCCTCCCATTTCTGAATATGGTGGCCCTGTTGTAGAAAAAGTGCCTTGCTGGGCATTGTAGCAGCCATAGATGGGTGCATGTGCAGTAAATGAGATTTGTGTGAGGCAGCTGCACTTGTACTGCAATGGATAATGGAAAAATCCATGTCCTAGGGCACCAAAAGAATTAGTATCTAGCCCTAGTTCGTCTTTTAATCAGGACAGTAATAATTTTTTCTTATCTTCACCAAAATGTAAATTATTTTTCAAGAAGTTTCTGTGTGATGACTCCAAAACATACCGGCAGCTTCTTGGGGTTTGGTCTGAAGATTCGTTGTAGTATGAGGAAACCAAGCTTCTCTCAACTCTTAGCTGGACCCCAATTATTATTTGCTCAGTATAAATCTCTCCATAAATGAGTTGAAGGAATCATATAATTGAAACCCAAATATCATAGAAGCATCACACAGGGAAGAAGTTGCTTCATGCCAATACGTTTTCATCCTAAATAATTATTTCCTTTTTATGACATTATATGACATTTTAATTGTATTTAATTTTGTTGTTGCTTCTGCAATCTCATTATTTTATTTTTTATTTTTTGAGAAATACAGTGCTTTCTATGTGGACATTGGCAAGTTCACTAATTCTGTTTTTCATTTGGCAAACACTTATTAAGTGCTTATTCTATATAAGGTAATGAATGAAACAAACAAAAGACACAAATCCCACTACCCAGGAGCATAAAATCCAGCAAGATGACTGAGACATGTGCATCATGCATTTCAACCAAATATCTCCCCTGATAAGAATCACTGGACAGATGCTGGTTATATTTGTTAATGAGAGAGGAAGTCACTCCTGGTGATCTCTGAGAGCTTCGTGGAGGTCACATCTTACAGCACTAGACCTAATAAATGGCATCAAAGAGCAGAAAGATTGGATGTGGACATCTCAGGGGCACAGACTTGAATGTGCAAAGGAAGCGAGGTGGGAAGTCCCAATTTAAGTTCCTGAGAACTAGTTTGATAGAAATTCATGGAAATGAAAGTGGATATGATATTAAAGATGAAAAACAATGAATATATTAGATCCGTTCTGCCACTCTGTAGCTTTGTTATGTTAAATATATTACCTGATTTTCTGTGTCAGGTCTTCATTTACAAACTCATCTATTAATTACTACATGCTGAACACTGTACCAAAGGGTTCACAAACATAATCTCACATAATCCTCATGTTAAACACGTAAGGCGAGTTATTATTTTACAGATGAGCCCACTGAAGTTAAAGAGTTTTAGTGACTTTCCTAAAGTCACACCTTTGCCAAATGACTGAACAGTAATTCAAACTAGGCCTGTTTGACCTTAGTTTTCATGAACCTAAATATGGCAAGATACTACAAACCATTTGTCCTGACTAATTCTCAGGGGATAGTGTAGGTTTAAAAGATGCATGTGGCTTATGGGCAACTAACTACTCTTGAATAAGCAACAATCTTTCCTGTAATTTAAAGTTTGATTCTTGTTTATACTTTAGTTTGACTTATCCATCTTAACCATGAACGCTGACCCTCATAATTATTCCAAATATGCACACAGACCTTGCTTGCTGTGTGACCTTGGTCACTTCCTTAGTTTTCTGCTGTATAGGTAAAGTAAAATATAAATTATACTCTTGCAGTTGTGTGAGAAGGGAGTGATATATAAGTAAACGCCCTTGTAGCCATTTACTTCTAGATCCAATAGAGTGATAAATGCATGCATCTGGTGGATGGAGACCAAAATATGACCTTTATCACTGATAGAGCTGTTTTGAAAATCAACTTTGATCTATGGCCAAGTGGGATTGCTAACATTTCATCCGAAGAACGACACTGGACAATTGTAGATTTTCTCTACCAGGAGCAGCACCCTTATCACAAGACAGACAGCAGACCAGAACATGTGGAATTGAGTACAGGGTGTCTTCTAAGCTTGCTGCAGCTGAGCTGAACATGCTTAGTTTCTTCTCCAAAGATTACTAAATAGATAATACATATCTCTTCCCACTGTAGAAAATGAGTGAATGGCAGAGTGAGTGATGGTGATGGGTAAAGGCCAGAAGTATTAATTTTGGTCCATGATTTTCATTCCTGGCTGTACAACATGTAGAGATGATACTATACAATATGTAGAGACCTCAACAAAGAGTTTCTTTAATTACTTTGGTCTGTGGCTCAGGCACTAGCATTTCTTCCACATGAAAATAAAGAACATGGGGAATAAATGTTTCTCCAAATCAACGCTATCTTATTTTCAAAATACATTGTAAGAAGTAAAAAAGATACCAGAGTATCTTTCTGGTTTTTAGTTTTAATAGCATAGGACCAAATATTTGAACGTTCTTTCTGATTAAAATAACTTTCCACTTTTATATAAAGAGATACAAATTTAACATTTATGTAGATATCAGTTTTTCTGAATTGTGCTTGTTTTATTTATGGCTGGGAGGGATCAGAGGCGAATAGAGTAATATGGCATGATGACCCAGAACCTATCTAAGGACAAACTCGAACTCCTTTGGGAAAGGCTTTATGTAGAATCCTTATTATTTGAATATTATTGTTGGCATTGCCAGTGACATTTGCAGAGCAGGGCAGGAACAATAATTCCACTTCTTTTGAATTTTTTAAAATCGAGTACTCAATGATATTCTCATTTCAATACCATTTTTTATAGGGAATCGGTACTCAGTTTTCAATTAGCTGTTTCTGTGGGTATTTTTGTAGGAGGTAAGGAATGGGCATGAGCCTAGTTGCTGCCACTTCCTTCCCTGTGAGACTTAAAAATATCCAAGAAAAATATTGAAACCTTTGGGCATTAATATTTAATATAATTTTAGTACTTCATTAGACTGTAGTTGTAGAAGTGATTTTACGTTCTTATTTTGGTATAGAATTCCTTTTAATATGTTTTCATATATTTCATTAAAAATATTGTTGAAATATTTTATACTTTAGTTATACTTTATTTTTCTGAACTTTACTAGATATATTCTGATTATTTTTTCTACATGTACTTTTATTATTATCTTTTTGTATTATACTTTTAAGTTTTAGGGTACATGTGCACAATGTGCAGGTTTATTACATATGTATACATATGCCATGTTGGTGTGCTGCACCCATTAACTCCTCATTTAGCATTAGGTATATCTCCTAATTCTATCCATTCCCCCTCTCCCCAACCCACGACAGGCCCCGGTGTGTGATGTTCCCCTTCCCGTGTCCATGTGTTCTCATTGTTCAATTCCCACCTATGAGTCAGAACATGTGGTGTTTGGTTTTTTGTCCTTGCAATAGGTTGCTGAGAATGATGGTTTCCAGCTTCATCCATGTCCCTACAAAGGACATGAACTCATTGCTTTTTTATGGCTGCATAGTATTCCATGGTGTAGATGTGCCACATTTTCTTA
Organism: Homo sapiens; assembly: GCF_000001405.40. Lineage (NCBI taxonomy): Eukaryota > Metazoa > Chordata > Mammalia > Primates > Hominidae > Homo > Homo sapiens. The sequence continues at coordinate 77,183,707 of NC_000002.12, read as the reverse complement.
ATCCAGTCTATCATTGTTGGATATTTGGCTTGGTTCCAAGTCTTTGCTATTGTGAATAGTGCCACAATAAACATACGTGTGCATGTATCTTTATAGCAGCATGATTTATAATCCTTTGGGTATATACCCAGTAATGGGATGGCTGGGTCACATGGTAATTCTATTTCTAGATCCCTGAGGAATTGCCACACTGACTTCCACAATGGTTGAACTAGTTTACAGTCCCACCAACAGTGTAAAAGTATTCCTATTTCTCCACATCCTCTCCAGCACCTGTTGTTTCCTGACTTTTTAATGATCGCCATTCTAACTGGTGTGAGATGGTATCTCTTTGTGGTTTTGATTTGCATTTCTCTGATGGTCAGTGATGATGAGCATTTTTTCATGTGTCGTTTGGCTGCATAAATGTCTTATTTTGTGAAGTGTCTGTTCATATCCTTCACCCACGTTTTGATGGGGTTGTTTTTTTGTTGTAAATTTGTTGGAGTTCATTGTAGATTCTGGATATTAGCCCTTTGTCAGATGAGTAGATTGCAAAAATTTTCTCCCATTCTGTAGGTTGCCTGTTCACTCTGATAGTAGTTTCTTTTGCTGTGCAGAAGCTCTTTAGTTTAATTAGATCCCATTTGTCAATTTTGGCTTTTGTTGCCATTGCTTTTGGCGTTTTAGTCATGAAGTCCTTGCCCATGCCTATGTCCTGAATGGTATTGCCTAGGTTTTCTTCTAGGGCTTTTATGGTTTTAGGTCTAACATGTAAGTCTTTAATCCATCTTGAATTAATTTTTGTATAAGGTGTAAGGAAGGGATCCAGTTTCAGCTTTCTACATATGGCTAGCCAGTTTTCCCAGCACCATTTATTAAATAGGGAATCCTTTCCCCATTTCTTGTTTTTGTCTGGTTTGTCACAGCCAATATCATACTGAATGGGCAAAAACTGGAAGCATTCCCTTTGAAAACTGGCGCAAGGCAGGGATGCCCTCTCTCACCACTCCTATTCAACATAGTGTTGGAAGTTCTGGCCAGGGCAATCAGGCAGGAGAATTCAATTAGAAAAAGAGGAAGTCAAATTGTCCCTGTTTGCATATGACATGATTGTATATCTAGAAAACCCCATCGTCTCAGCCCAAAATCTCCTTAAGCTATTATGTTTTTTTTAATTTTACTTTAAGTTCCAGGATACATGTGCAGAATGTGCAGGTTTGTTACAGAGGTATATGTGTGCCGTGGTGGTTTGCTGCACCTATTGATCCATCATCTAGATTCTCTCCCCTCACCCCCAACTTCCAACAGGCCCCAGTGTGTGTTGTTACCTTTCCTGTGTCCATGTGTTCTCATTGTTCAACTCCCACTTGTGAGTGTTGAAAACATGCAGTGTTTGCTTTTCTGTTCCTGTCTTAGTTTGCTGAGGATGATGGCTTCCAGCTTCATCCATTTCCCTGTAAAGGACACGATCTCATTCCTTTTTATGGCTGCATAGTATTCCATGGTGTATATATACCACATTTTCTTTATCCAGTCTATCATTGATGGGCATTTAGGTTGATTCCATGTCTTTGCTTTTGTGAATAGTGCTGCAATAAATATATGTGTGCATGTATCTTTATAGTAGAATGATTTATAATCCTTTGGGTATATACCCAGTAATGGGATTGCTAGGTCAAATGGCATTTCTGGTTCTAGTTCCTTGAGGAATTGCCACACTGTCTTCCACAACTGTTGAACTAATTTACATTGCCACCAACAGTGTAAAAGCATTCCTATTTCTCCACAGACTCACCAGCATCTATTGTTTCTTGACTTTTTAATAATCACCATTTCTACTGGCATGAGATGGTATCTCATTGTGGTTTTGATTTGCATTTCTCTAGTGATCAGTGAGGTTGAGCTTTTTTTCATTCTATGTGTACTTCGAAATAATTTTGTTAAATTGCCTTTCCTCCCCTCCTAAACATCTACTGCTTTTTTTTGCATCATCATAAATTTATTAGTTAAGATAGGGAGAATTAACTGCTTCCTACTTAATAATACTAACAAGTTATCAATCTGTTCTTATTCAATTTTATTTGCTTGTGTTTAAATTACCACTTCATTTTTGAAAACTCTATGGTTGGGTAACTTATCTTTTTGTTGTTTATTTTTATAGTAATTTTACTTTTATACCTAAAATCTTGTATTCCTTTTTTGTTGTATTGGCAGGATGGCACTTATTTCCTAAGGGTACCAGTGTCCTTCCTTTGAATCAATTCTAAGTCATTTGTTGCTTTTTGCTCCACAATATTCAGTCAAATGCAAATCCTTAGACCTGGGATGGGAATGCTCTGTGTAGCTTCTGGTACCTGGACCACTTCTCTAAGTCTTTAGTGATACTGAGATTTGCTCAGCTCTCCTTCATTCTCCTTTCCCTCATGTACTTCACCCTCAGACATGAAACTGGTATTCCAAAATAGAATTGTCCATGGGTCTTTTGGACACCATTTTTGTTATATCCATGTGGTATTTTCCTTCGAGCAGCCAGTCACAGACCCTGACCTCATCCCAGTCTTACCTGTAGTATTGTTTACAGACACTTCTCAAAACATTTGTCTAGTTTATGTCATCCTTTGCTAGAATCAATTTCTACTCATTATTATATTTCTTTGGTAAAGTCATTTGTAAGTATGGACTCAAACCATAGTTTCAATTTATAATGTATATTTATTTTTCTAAATCTTTTAAAGAAAAAAGATTAGAAAGCTTTATTAGAGTGAAATATACCTCTAATGGTAGAATTTATATAATATATGTAAGTGTACTGAAAGATTGTATAATTCAATGTTTATCATTCATGCCTTATCCTGAGAGTATGCATACAACGTCTGAAGAGATTGGAACACAATGTTCTGTAACCTTCCAGATTCACGATTTCTCCTTTCAAATGTTTTTGTGGTATCTCTTTCACATAGCTCTTATGACAAGTAGATATCATCAATTCACAGTACAGTGGCATAGATGAGACAATCAGAATTTCTTTTCAAATACAAATGGAAATGAAATAGGCATATAATCAACATGATGATATTAAAAAGTAATTTTCATGATTTTACACAAACTCTCTAAGGAAAGGAAATGATAATGAAAGGTATATTTTATTGATGTGAAGGTTTTACATGAATTTCTCAACAGGTCTATGATATAGGAAGAACTAAATCTCCATTTTATTGTTGCAGTAATTAAGGCAAAGAGAAGGACTTATACAGGTCACAAAAATAATTAGTGGCAGAGCCAGTATTTAAACACAGGTCATTAGAGTGCACAGTTGTAAAATTGTACTCTTTAAAGTATACAAAATATAGATAGGAAAGGGAGGCTGGGGAGAGAGAAATATTAGACAGACCAGCAGGGATGTCATAAGATTTAGTTTGCTATGTACCAGTATTCCCTATTTTTGAAAGATAGGCTGTCTTACAAGAAAACTGTACTGGGACTCAGGGACTCAGAATATCTCTCTGGTGCTGTCAAAGTTGTAATTCCTGTTGTTTGAAAGAGACTATAGTAGTCCATCAAGGTTCCCAGAAAACTCTTTTTACATTACAGCAAAATATTTACATTGCCTCTGACAAGTTTTCTGATTCTAACTTCTTATACATTGATATCCAACACAAGATCAAATCTTATAAGCAATTCTAATAAAGTGCCTTTTTATTTTGCCCTCCACTTTCTAATAATTTTTATTCAGCTCTTGAATATAAGCCACCTTGAGTTCTTTAAAAGAAAAACATTGAATTCTATTATAACTTTATACAATACACTTATGTATTTCTGATTAACTATGTTGTTTCTTGGTGAATTTTTACTTTTGTTTTTCTAAAGGTCAGAGAAATTTGCGATTTAAAGAATTCAGTTTCTAGTCTATGGTCATGATGCTTTTCAATTTTGACTATATTAAGACCTGCATCCTGGATGTAAGGTGATTATGCTGATAAGAAATCAGTCTTGTCTTAGTAATAAAACAAGTTGGCTCTTATTCTCATCTTTTTTCCTCCAGCTGAAGCCCGAATCAACCTTATTAGGACAGTTTTATGGTCTAATTTTTTTAATAGAGTAAAATCTGACATAAATCAGTGGAAAATCGAACATTAAACCCCTAAACCTTAAGTGACTTACTCTCATCCACACAGTCTTCTTGAAATACTGACGAACGACAAGTAATTACTTACTCAATGTAATGCCTGTCAGTCAACTGAACAAACGATTACTAAACCTCACATAATATTATTCAGCAAAAGCCCAAGCAACACACAAGGGAAAAAGTTAAATATTTCAAGAACCTCTGACTCAGGACATCTGTAAGTACATTTATTCTGACTTTGTTCATTGACTTTTTTTACTTACTGTTAGGTACAATGCCAAATTAGATTTCCTAAAATGGAGTGATCCTAGCTGCTACCATCATATTTCAGGGAATTTGCTTGCTGACGTGTTAATTCTGCTTATAAAATAGTAAGAGTTTTAGGCTTGGCATTCAAAGATCTAAGTTTTGCTTCTTTACCACTTATTGACTGGGGCATCCATAGATTTCCTGTAGCACTTCTGTGCCTTAGTGATGCATGTCCTACCTCCATAACTGAGTTTTAAAAACATTTTGTATTACGCAAAAATGCTCATAGAAAGGGTTTTTAAAATACAGATTATAGAAGCTAAAATACAATGATTTGACTAATATTGAATCCATAGATATTATCTACATATGTGTATGTATATTGATATCTACATTCATTTATTAATATTTGAGAGGCTATAAAAAAGTTCACACTACTGGTATGAATGTAAGTTGGCCACACCTTTTTTGAGAGCAATTTGACAATATGAATCACGTTTTAAAATTATACCTTTTGGTGCAAATATTTTTCTCTAGAATTTGATATTAGGGAAATAACTAAGACCTTGCTGTAAAGTTTAGGTAAAAAAAGTCAATGCCAAAATGTGTTTGCAATAATAAAACATTAGGAACAATTGATTGATAATACCATTTTATAGCTACATAAGAAAAGTTTTTACACACATTAAAAGAATATATGAAATAGGGAAACAGTAAAGAAAAAAGTATTATTTGTTGTTGTTGTTGTTGTTGTTGTTTGTTTTTGAGATGGAGTCTCACTCTGTTGCCCAGGCTGGAGTGCAGTGGCGCGATCTTGACTCACTGCAACCTCCACCTCCTGCGTTCAAGCGATTCTCCTGCCTCAGCCTCCCAAGTAGCTAGGAATACAGGCACGCGCCACCACGCCTGGCTAATTTTTGTTTTTTCGGTAGAGACGGGGTTTCACCATGTTGGCCAGGCTGGTCTCGAACTCCTGACCTCGTGACCTGCCCACCTTGGCTTCCTAAAGTGCTGGGATTACAGGCATGAGCCACCGCGCCCAGCAGAAATAAAGTTTTAAATGTATACCCAGAATTATTTCAAATTTATACATATTGTTCACCAAAGTATTGAAAATAGTTATCTCTGAGCAGAATAATTCCAGGTAGTTTTTATATTTTCCTACATGCAATTTCTACATTTTATATTCAGATTAACAATTAAATAAGAAAATATTTATTCATTACAATATAGTCTAAAGATACAGCAGTTAATAATAGCTGACATCTTTTGAGCACTTGCTGTATGTCAGGCACTCTTCTAAGCATGAAGAAGAGTATGAAGGAGGTCATTGTTGACATAGTAATAATACCAGCACAAATAAGCATAGAAAGAATATCTCTCCTTTGGATCTCTCACTGTAATAAAAGTTCCCCAAAAGGAATTGTGTTGCTTAAAACTGACAGCAGATCTTCTCATGAGTTTTGGAGACATCTGACTGGAAGGGAACCATAAAGAAGGTCTGGGGAAAGGCCTGGTAGCATCAGCTGAGTCAACTGCCTTCCAGTATGAAGAGGGGCTGTACTCACAAGTGTTGCAGCTAATTTAGCTGAAAAGAATCAAGTCCTTAAGAAATCACTCAGTCATAATGTCACCTGGAGCCTGTGGTGCTTATTTGAAAGTGTGGATTCCAATCATGAAAATTATTTAGTCAGTGGAGATCATAAGAAAGCATTCTGACTTGGCAGTTTTCTCTTAGAGAACCACCTCTTCATGACTATGGGTAGACTGAAGAATGAAAATGCTTTTGTAGAAGACATAGGTTTCTGCACCTTGGTAACTTTTAAGAGACTGGAGAAAACTTTGAAGCTTTCTGAATATAGAAGACACCTCAGGATGGAGCATGGTGGGAAGATGAGGCAGTTTGTGAAACATATCCATGGATTCCCTCCTCACATTTTGGATACAGAGAATGATTTTTCTAAACGTGGTCCTAAGACACATTCTAAGAGACATGAAAAATAATCTGCTACTGTCTATTTGTTCATCATGAATCTAGTGCAGATGACTATGGCTTGCGAGTGTCACAGGGTGAACCCCAAAACTGGGGTTCAGCCCAGGAGACCATGTGGGTTCTTGGCTTCGCATAGGAAGGAATTCAAGAGCAGTGAACAGAATTAAGTGAAAACAAGTTTATTAAGAAAGTAAAAGAATAAAAGTGTGGCTACTCCATAGGTAGAGCAGCCCCTAGGGCTGCTGGTTGGCTATTTTTGTGGTTATTTCTTGATCATATGCTAAATAGTGAATTATTAATATGTATGAGTTTCTTAGGAAAGGGGTAGGGAATTCCTGGAATTGAGGGTTGTTCCCTTTTTCAGACCATATGTGATAATTTCTGGAAGCTGCCGTGGGACTGGTGGGAGTTTCTTTATTATATTAATGTATTATAATTAGCATATAACGACCAGTGAGCACAAGCAGATGTCACTTTTGTGGCCATCTTTGTTTTGGCAGGTTTTGACTGGCTTCTTCACCTCATCCTGTTTCACCAGTGGGGTCTTAGCGATTGGTTTCTGGTAAAACAAGTCCTGCCAGATTCCTATCTCAGGAGCAACAGAATGCCTAAAATATAAAACCAATATGTAAAATCAGTTTCCTAAATTCCTAAATTTGTCACACAGTAGATAAAAGAGTTTATTATTTTTTATCATCTTGATCCTGACAATCCAACTGCAAAATGATCTAAATGATCTAAATTGTTTGTTCCTCACGCCATCACCCTCCTGCTGCCTGATTATTGATTTGATCATTAGCATCATTTCCAGAGGAATTGTCAGGAAAAAAAGAAAGAGATTGAAACTGCATCTAGCAGATTTTGTTTCCTTGTGATGGTTAAGAACCACTAGAGCAATGCCTACATTATAAGATGATGAGCTTGTCCTGGTTAGCACAGGACTGACTTAGTTTTAGACTATAAGTCGTATACCATGGGAGCCTTCTAAGTCTCAGGCAAACTGAAATCATTGGTCATCCTAATTTGACAATCTGTATAAATCCTTAACGGAGGTCAGAAATGGCATCTAAAGTGATGGGTGACCAGTATGAAGAGGCATTGATAAACTGAACAGTAGTCTCACACATCTGGAAACATTAACCTGATTGCTGACTTTATATTTATTTATATCAAATCACATAAGGCTGCTTTAATCTCATCAAATAACTTTATTCACACAAACATCCCTAATTTACAAAGCCTCAAGCATTCATACACATTAAGGGGATCTCCGGTGTTCGAAAGAACTTAAATATAATGAATTATATCAACCCAAGTAACCAAATAGAAACTTGTTCACATGTAGGCCCTACATTACCAGCTTCTGTGCAAAATTAAAAAAAAAAAAAAAAGACGGGAGTAGCGGGCGCAGTGGCTCATGCCTGTAATCCCAGCACTTTGAGAGACTGAGGCAGGCAGATCACTTGAGGTCAGGAGTTCGAGACCAGCCTGGCCAACATGGTAAAACCCGTCTCTGCTAAATATACAAAATTAGCCAGGTGTGGTTGTTGAGGTGATCAGAACCAACATCGGGTGTGGGGGTGACAAAGTCTGGCAGAGTCAAAGGATTGAGAAAAAGACAGTTTAAGAAGTAAAGTAGGACCAAGGGGCTATCATGATGGTGGAGGCTGCAAAGGCCCTGAACTCTGGGGGCCCATGGTATTTTTTGGTAATCCAACAAAGAAACAGGTGGTGAGAAGGTGGAGGTCAAAAGGTCACGTTGCATCAAGTACATGATTTACAGCTGTGATAGTTTAGCATTTGCTCTGCTGCTTGAGATAATGGAGAGCAGGTTCTTTTAACTCAAGATACAATCAATCCTAGGAGAGCAAGGAGCAAGGAGCCAGCAAGTCTAGACACATTCCAGAGCCACGAGCCCTGGATTCTATCCAAGCCAAGAGGGATTTTATGCCCTGGGCTTAGATTATGGTGCGTCAGGGTAGCCTTCCACCCTTTAGCACAGAGCTTGGAGTTCCAAAGGCCACGAGGGGTTTTAGACCTTGGATCCTGGAAATGTTCCAAGACTCTTTTACATTATGTCAGACATGCAAGCCCTGCCTCAGCTTCTCCCGAGACTCAGCTTTTCCCAACAGTGGTGGTGCACACCTGTAATCCTAGCTATTCTGGAGGCTGAGGCATGAGAATCGCTTGAACCCAGGAGGTGGAGGTTGCAGTGAGCAGAGATAGGGTCACTGTACTCCAGCCTGTGTGAAGGAGTGTGACTGTGTCAAAAAAAAAAAAAAAGAAAAAAGAAATAAAGAAAAATAGATTTCTTAACTAGCATTTGAAACTAACTTTGTGCTTGGCTTAAAACCTCCCTCACATTCACGTCTGTTCCACATAAATGTTTAAGAAGTTATTGAAATGTACTTCCCTGCTCTAGTGAAAAGAAGCTCCGGGCACAAAAGATTTCTTTAAATGACTCCTGTGGCCTCTCCTAAAAGGTGAGAATTGAACAATGAGAACACATGGACACAGGAAGGGGAACATCACACACCAGGGCCTGTTGTGGGGTGGGGCGAGGGGGGAGGGATAGCATTAGGTGATATACCTAATGTTAAATGACAAGTTAATGGGTGCAGCACACCAACATGGCACATGTATACATATGTAACAAACCTGCACGTTGTGCACATGTACCCTAAAACTTAAAGTATAAAAAAAACAAACAAAAAAAACAACCAGGCAGCCTCCCTCCTTATTCCCTCTGCAATCTTAAAGGGCCCTCCAGCAGGCAATGGTAGGAGAAAAATTTCTTGGTGATGACTGCATATGCTAACATTGGCCAATTCTATGTAACAACTACCGGTTACCCTTTGAGGGCATTTCTCCACACAGAGGCCCCTGCTACACTCAAAGCCTTGGTAGAACAGGAGCAGAGATACACCTGTGCTGTCTCAAAGCCTATGCTACAGCCTAGTATGACAGAATGGCAGAGCCAACATCTCTGTACTTCTGCCTCCAAAACCCAGTGGCCTGAAAAGCTGAATAATGTCCGTGTGGCTCTTTTAAGGTTGCCAGGCCTGAGGAGATGCTCAGCATCTATGTCTATTTGGGGGCTACCAGACAGGCCTAGGAGGGAAACAAATCAAGGGGAGGGATAATCTGAGCCTTACCTAGAATAAGAACCACCAGTGTCCTAGTTGTGGGAGGAGGAGGAGTGCACGGGCAGGATTGATAGTGGGAGGTGCATTTGGTGGGCAGGGCTGGATGGGGTGATATGGAGCCAGGCAAGGGCAGAGTTAGGGTCCCTCCTTAGGGGGTGGCAGCACAACTCCTGCTTTTTTAAGCTTCCAAAAGATACTCCAAGGCTAAAACCCAGACATCCATCCTATTAAGATATGTCTTCTAAGTAGGTAAACAGCCAACAGCTTAAAAAGAAAGAAGATTCTGGCAATGCCAGCTCTTTTCCTTCTTTTAGAAAAAGGTTCAAGCAAAGATAATAATAGTACTGCTCCAAACACTGGTTTTCTAGGATAGGAAACAACTGATATATGAAGGAGCTAAGGATCTTGGGGGAAGGGGCTGATGGAACAGGGGAATGTGTGGGGGCGTGGAGGCTGTGAGAAGGTGCCTGTAGTCCCACTTACTCAGGAGGCTGAGGCAGGAGGATTTTTGAAGCCCAGGAGTTTTAGGCTGCAGTGAGCTATTACTGCTGACTTTAAACATCTGAGAAAGTTTTATATCACAGAAGAAGGTGGCAATATGTCACTACAGGACAGTATACAGTGGAAGGAGAGTGACGTAGATTTTTGGTTTAATTTAATAAAGACCGTTCAAATCACCCTATCTGTCAACCACCCGTGACTCCCAATCTTCAGGGCTCAGGCAGGTAACTTCCATTTTTAAAGTGAGATCCCTAAGCAGAGGCTAAATATATGTCAGGAAAATTACAGAAGATGTTAGAAATGAGAGTCAGATCCTATGATCCCTTCTAAACAGACATTCTATAATTCTATGAGGAGATCAAAAATAAAAGAGTAAATGGAAGCCTTCTTTCTCTGAGTTTAAACTGAACTCTTGAGATGGTATTTTACTGATTTTTCATTCACTCAACAATATTAATTTGTAATCATTATGATCTGACCAAAGAAAATGAAATCATGGCCGAATTCAATTTCAGATTCTGTAAGGTCAATTAGGATTCTGCCACCTAATCCCTGGGTTTATTTACATTTATTTTTATGATAAACTTTTCACTCATATTAATCAAGATCGTATCTTCCTTTTGCTGTATCATCCTTTATTAAACAACTTGTCCATCATGCCCATCATTGGCAGCTGATTATTGCATCCCTTGCTTTACTGAGACATTGAGAATATCTACAGGGGAATCCCATGTTTGTTGTCCTTTTTATCTGAACATACTTATCTTTTAATTTTATCTTCTCAGCCTTTGTTGAGAAGCATAAAAATGTAGCATGACATGGAAATAAACCTTCTTTATGTTAAGCCACGGATATTTGGGGGTTTTTACTAAGCTGTAACCCCACTTATTCTCAGTGATACATCACAGGGGGATTATGACTAAGGTAGATTAGAAATAATATCACACAGATATTTGTCACGCAGAGATCATTTCTGAGAATTTCCGTCTATGCGTTTTTTTGGGAGAGAGTAAGCATATTTTCATTGTGTGATGATAATTAGGTAAAAGAATGCTATTGTTTGTATGTTGTAGTTTAGCACTTTATTTATTTATTTTTATTTTTTTTTTTATGTTTTTGAGACGAAGTCTCACTCTGTCACCCTGGCTGGAGTGCAGTGGCACGACTTGGCTCACTGCAACCTCCACCTCACAAATTCAAGCAATTTTCCTGCCTCAGCCTCCGGAGTAGCTGAGATTACAGGCATGACCCACCACGTCTGGCTAGTTTTGTATTTTTACTAGAGACGGGGTTTCACCATATTGGCCAGGCTAGTCTCGAACTCCTGATCTCGTGATCTACCCACCTCGGCCTCCCAAAGTGCTGGGATTACAGGCGTGAGCCACCACGCCTGGCCAGTTTAGCCCTTTAAATGAATATAGTAGCATATATATGGATTCTGAGTAAACAAAGGGGTACATTGTGGTGAATATGTATTCCCAACATTTCATCAATAGTACTCTATTCTGCAACCTCTTCTGGAATTCTTGAACTACATTTTTCAGAATCTCTTATATTTATGGCTTATTTTAGATTTTTATCAGTGAAGAATATTTCTTAAAATTTGAAAGTATAAGAGAAGGAAATTGTAAGGAAGTTGCAGGCAGATATCTAGGATAACATCAAATTTTGAAAATTGATAGCTGAGGTTGATCGCAGCGACACTATGTGAGATTTCAAATTTCATTTGGCTACTATGTGAGTACATATGATTCATTCATGTATAACTGTGACTCCTCTGAATTGTACAACCCTTACAAAGTTTGTGCAAACCTGTGATTTGCTGTATGAAAATCTTCCCCTTTGGAATATCTAGAGTGGCCTTTGTTTTGCTGACATAATTCTAATTATATAAAGAGCAATGCCTTTCATGACTTTTTCTTTTATAAAAATATTTATAAGCCATTTAAAAAATACAGTTGCCTTGAAATACTAACTTAGACAATTATCTTCATTTAAAGGTAATAAATATTAACTTTTTTTGGTTTGTATATATTTTAATTTAAAATATAAATAAAAATATTTCTGATCATATAAATATATGACCTATATCTTATATTTATATGCATACTTAAGCTCTTAAAAACATAAACCAGGCCAGTCGCCGTGACTCACACCTGTAATCCCAGCTCTTTGGGAGGCCGAGGCGGGTGGATCACTTGAGGTCAGGAGTTCGAGACCAGCCAGGCCAACATGGTGAAACCCCATCTCTACTAAAAATACAAAGATAAGCCTGGTGTGGTGGCGGCCTCTTGTAATCCCAGCTACTTGGGAGGTTGAGGCAGGAGAATTGCTTGATCCCAGGAGGTGGAGGTTGCAGTGAGCTGAGATTGCACCACTTCACTCCTGCCTGGGCGTCAGAGGTAGACTCCATCTCAAAAAACAAACAAGCAAGCAAGCAAACAAACAACAACAGAAAAAAAACATAAAGCAAATTGTCAGATTGTCATGATTCTAGAGAAGTAAACTAGCATGCTAAATCTCGTTGCTTTCCAAGGGAAACCAAGCATTGATTTGCACAAAAATTATCTCCCAAACTTATTTCCTCATTAAGCTGGTACCGTCAAAAGATAGCAACATTAGTAAGTAAGGTTTACATATATATGTATGTGTGTGTGTACTAAAGCATACACATATATGTATATATTAGCTATGCATATAATATATATACATATATAAAGCTAATATATATGTGTACTTTAGTATACGTACATATAATACATATAATACATAAATATAGCTTTATGTATGTACATAACATACCTACACATATAATATATGGGTATGTGAAGTTTTACACACAAATTAAATAAAGTATATATATATATATAAGGTTTTATACAAACATACATACATACCCTTTTTTTGAGTGACATAGAAAAAACTAAGAAAGAAATTCCTATGATCATTTATAAATATAGTGATAAAACATTTGGTTTAGGAACTGATTCACATTACCTGCTTGGCTCCAAAACCATGTGCAAAAACAGAAGTTTAAAGATGCTTTTCTGCCAAATATCTGCCAGAAATAACTTTAAACTCTCTTTGGAAAAATGACCATGTATTAGTTTTCCGTGACTCCAAAAACAAGTTACTACAAACATAATGTCTTAAAACAATACAACACATATTTATTATCTAAGATCTCCATTGGTGAGAAGTCTCACCCAGGTTTCTCTAGACTACAATCAAGGTGTCACCAGCATTGTGTTACTTTCTGGGGACTCTATGGGAAAATCTATTTCGTGATCATTGGTGTTACTGGCAGAATCTAGTTCCTTATGGTTGTAGGATTTAGATCTGCATTTTCTTGCTGATTTTTACATAAAGTTTATTTCCAGCTTCTAGAGGTTGCTGCATTCCTCAGCTCATATCCGCTTTCTTCCATCTTCAAAGCTAGAAAGGTTAGGTTGAGTTTTTCTCACATACATCTCTTTAATCTACTCTTCTGCCTTCCTCTTCCCACTCTTAAGGACTCACATGATTAGACTGGACCCACCTATATAATATAGGATCATATCTCGTCTCTAACACCCTAACCCTAATCACAACTGTGAAGTCCCTTTTATCACATAAGGTAGCATATTTGCAGGTTCCAAAGATTAGGACCCCAACATCTTAGAGGACTATCATTTGGTTGAACACATGCCCCATTGCCATATAAAACTCAATGAATTCACACAGATAATTTTCTAGAAGTTCAAAGTTGCAAACAGACATAACAAATACGTAACCATGAGTGATAGCAGCAACAACGCACAACAAACTTAGACCTAAAAAAACTTTACACAAATTGAAGAAGAGGATTAAAATGCTGAAAGAAACATAAAAAGTATGGGAAATGTCTTAGTCTACTTTGTGTTACTATAACAGATTACCACAGACTGGGTAATTTTTAATGAACAGAGACTTATGTGGCTTACAGTTTTGGAGGATGGACGTCCAGGGACATGGCACTGGCACCTGGCAAGGGTTTACATGCTGATGTATTATTTTATGGCATAAGGAAAAAGGGCAGGCAAGTATTCAAGAGAGAAAGAGAATGGGGGTCAAATTTCATTGTTTTATCAAGAACCCACTTCCACAATAATTAACCCAGTCTCAGGAGAGGAGCATTAACCCATCCGTGAAAGCAGAATCCTCATGGCCTAATCACTTCTTAACAGACCCAACTCTTCATACCATCACAATGTCAATGAAATTTCAACATAAATTTTGGAGGGGACATTCAAACCATAGCAGGAAGTACATCTAAGGAGAAAAAGACTGTGAAAATAATCCACCAAAAATTTTAAATGAACAAAATGGAATTTCTAAAAAAATTCAAAAATAGAAATGTTCAGTCATTAAGATTTTCTATATATATAATTATGTTCACAAAAACTGACAATTTGACTTCCTCTTTTCTAATTTGGATGCCTTTCATTTATTTCCCTTGCCTGATTGCTCCGGCTAGGACTGCCAGTACTATATTAAATAAGAATGGTGAAAGTAGGCATCCTTGTTTTTTCCAGTTCTTATAGGAAAGGCGTTCAGCTTTTCCCCATTTAATATTTTAGCTGCGGATTTGTCATATATGATCTTGACTATGCTGAAGTATATTTCTTCTATGCCTACTTTTTCAGAGTTTTTTATCATAAAAGGATATTGAATTATATCAAATGCTTTTCTGGATATGTTAAAATGATTATATGGTTTTTGTCCTTCATTATGTTGATAGGATATATCATATATATTAACTTGCATATGTTAAACCATCCTTGCATCCCTGGGATAAATTTCACTTGATTATGGTGGAGTATTATCTTTTGCAGAAACATGGATAGAAGTGAAGTTCATTATGTTAAGTGAAGTAAGCCAAGCACAGAATGACAAATATCACATGTTCTCATTCATACGTGGGGACTGAAAAGTTTACCACATGGAGTTAGAGAGTAGAATGATGCTTTTCAAAAGGTGGGAAGGATGAATGGGGGTGAAGAGAGGTTGGTTAATGAGTACAAACATACAGTTGGAAGTAATAAGTTCTTATGTTTGATAGAAAAGTAGAATGACTATAATTAACAATCATTTCTCATATATTTCAAAATATCTAAAAGATTTGAAATATATTTCCTAACACAAAGAAAGGAAAACATTTTTGAGGTGATTGACATCCTAAACATCCTGATTCAATCATTACACATTGTACATATATATCAAAATATCACCTACACCCCATAAATATGTATAATTATTATGTATAAATAAGAAAGCAGCTAACAAAAAACTAGAAATGTAAAAGAGATAATAAGTAGCAGAGGATTTGTAGAAAAGGAGAGACACAGCACACAGGAAAATATAGCTAAAAAATTACCCAATATACAGGTAAAAATATTTTCTAAAATATGTTAGAAAAATAAAGATACATAGAGAATGGAAGGAAAAATATGACATTTGTATACTTTGAGTTCTAGAAAAAAGAGAAGGAATAATACATGAAATCTTTTTATAAATTACAGAACATATGAATGCTCAAGTTGAGAGAGATCACCGGATTCCATTTAGAATTAAACCACATGCACACATAAATACACATATGCACACAAACACCCAAAGTAAGGGTATTGCAAAAACTAATAAATATAAATTTATCTTAAATTCAGTCGGAGCGGAAAAAACAGATTCCCTATAATAAAACAATAATTTTACTGGTAGAAGAACTCTTTTTTCTTTATTATCATTATACTTTAAGTTCTAGGGTACATGTGCACAACGTACAGGTATATTACATATGTATACATGTGCTATGTTGGTCTGGTGCACCCATTAACTTGTCATTTACATTAGGTATATCTCCTAACGCTATCCCTCCCACCTTCCCCCATCCCATGACAGGCCCAGTGTGTGATGTTCCCCATCCTGTGTCCAAATGTTCTCATTGTTTAATTCCCACCTATGAGTGAGAACATGCAGTGTTTGGTTTTCTGTCCTTGTGATAGTTTGCTCAGAATGACGGTTTCCAGCTTCATCCATGTCCCTACAAAGGGCATGAACTCATCATTTTTTATGGCTGCATAGTATTCCGTGGTGTATATATGCCACATTTTCTTAATCCAGTCTATCATTGATGGACATTTGGGTTGGTTCCAAGTCTTTGCTATTGTGAACAGTGCCTCAATAAACATACGTATGCATGTGTCTTTATAGCAGCATGATTTATAATCCTTTGGGTATATACCCAGTAATGGGATGGCTGGGTCAAATGGCATTTATAGTTCTAGATCCTTGACGAATCTCCACACTGTCTTCCACAATGGTTGAACTAGTTTACAGTCCTACCAACAGTGTAATAGTGTTCCCATTTCTCCATATCGTCTCCAGCACCTGTTGTTTCCTGACTTTTTAATGATCACCATTCTAACTGATGTGAAATGGTATCTCATTGTGGTTTTGATTTGCATTTGTCTGATGGCCGGTGATGATGAGCATTTTTTCATGAGTCTGTTAGCTGCATAAATGTCTTTTTTGAGAAGTGTCTCTTCATATCCTTTGCCCACTTGTTGATGGGGTTGTTTTTTTCTTGTAAATTTGTTTAAGTTTTTTGTAGGTTCTGGGTATTAGCCCTTTGTCAGATGCGTAGATTGTAAAAATTTTCTCCCATTCTGTAGGTTGCCTCTTCACTCTGATGGTAGTTTCCTTTGCTGTGTAGAAGCTCTTTAGTTTAATTAGATCCCATTTGTCAATTTTGGCTTTCGTTGCCATTGCTTTTGGTGTTTTAGTCATGAAGTCCTTGCCCATGCCTATGTCCTGAATGGTATTGCCTAGGTTTTCTTCTAGGGTTTTTATGGTTTTAGGTGTAACATTTAAGTCTTTAATCCATCTTGAATTAATTTTTGTATAAGGTGTAAGGAAGGGATCCAGTTTCAGCTTTCTACATATGGCTAGCCAGTTTTCCCAGTACCATTTATTAAATAGGGAATCATTTCCCCATTGCTTGTTTTTGTCAGGTTTGTCAAAGATCAGATGGTTGTAGGTGTGTGATATTATTTCTGAGGGCTCTATTCTGTTCCATTGGTCTATATCTCTGTTTTGGTACCAGTGCCATGCTGTTTTGGTTACTGTAGCCTTGTAATATAGTTTGAAGTCAGGTAGCATAATGCCTCCAGCTTTGTTCTTGTGGCTTAGTATTGTCTTGGCAATGCGGGCTCTTTTTTGCTTCCATATGAACTTTAAAGTAGTTTTTTCCAACTCTGTGAAGAAAGTCATTGGTAGCTTGATGGGGATGACATTGAATCTATAATTATCTTGGACAGTGTGGACATTTGCACAATAATTCATTCTTCCTATCCATGAGCATGGAATGTTCTTCCATTTGTTTGTGTCCTCTTATTTCATTGAGCAGTGGTTTTCAATTCTCCTTGAAGAGGTCCTTCACATCCCTTGCAAGTTGCATTCCCAGGTATTTTATTCTCTTTGAAGCATTGTGAATGGGAGTTCACTCATGATTTGGCTCTCTGTTTGTCTGTCATTGGTGTATAGGAATGCTTGTGATTTTTGCACATTAATTTTATATCCTGAGACTTTGCTGAAGTTGCTTATCAGCTTAAGATTTTGGGCTAAGACGATGGAGTTTTCTACATATACAATCATGTCATCTGCAAACAGGGACAATTTGACTTCCTCTTTTCCTAATTGAATTCCCTCTATTTCTTTCTCCTGCCTGATTGACTTGGCCAGAACTTCCAACATTATGTTGACTAGGAGTGGTGAGAGAGGGCATCCCTGTCTTGGGCCAGTTTTCAAAGGGAATGCTTCCAGTTTTTGCCCATTCAGTATGATATTGGCTGTGGGTTTGTCATAAATAGCTCTTATTATTTTGAGATAACGTCCCATCAATACCTAATTTATTGAGAGGTTTTAGCACGAAGGGCTGTTGAATTTTGTTGAAGGCCTTTTCTGCATCTATTGAGATAATCATGTGGTTTTTGTCTTTGGTTCTGTTTATACACTGTATTACGTTTATTGATTTGCATATGTTCAACCAGCCTTGCATCCCAGGGATGAAGCCCACTTGATCATGGTGGA
The DNA here is from genome assembly GCF_000001405.40 of Homo sapiens. Lineage (NCBI taxonomy): Eukaryota > Metazoa > Chordata > Mammalia > Primates > Hominidae > Homo > Homo sapiens. Next base: position 77,165,604 of record NC_000002.12, on the reverse strand, counting down.
TAAGCTTTTCGATGTGCTGCTGGATTCAGTTTGCCAGTATTTTACTGAGGATTTTTGCATCAATGTTCATTAGGGATATTGGTCTAAAATTCTCTTTTTATTGTGTCTCTGCCAGGCTTTTGTATCAGGATGAATCTGCCTCATAAAATGAGTTAGGAAGGATTCCCTCTTTTTCTACTGATTGGAATAGTTTCAGAAGGAGTGGCACCAGCTCCTCTTTGTACCTCTGGTAGAATTTGGCTGTGAATCTGTCGGTCCTGGACTTTTTTTGGTTGGTAAGCTATTAATTATTGCCTCAATTTCAGAGCCGGTTATTGGTCTATTCGGGGATTCAACTTCATCCTGGTTTAGTCTTGGGAGGGTGTGTGTGTCCAGGAATTTATCCACTTTTTCTAGATTTTCTGGTTTATTTGCATAGAGATGTTTATAGTATTCTCTGATAGTATTTCTTATTTCTGTGTGATCAGTGGTGATATCCCCTTTATCATTTTTTATTGCATCTATTTGATTCTTCTCTATTTTCTTCTTTATTAGTCTTGCTAGCAGTCTACCAATTTTGTTGATCTTTTCAAAAAAAGAGCTCCTTGATTCACTGATTTTTGAAGGGTTTTTTGTGTCTCTGTCTCCTTCAGTTCTGCTCTAATCTTAGTTATTTCTTGCCTTCTGCTAGCTTTTGAATGTGTTTGCTCTTGCTTCTCTAGTTCTTTTAATTGTGATGTTAGGGTGTCAATTTTAGATCTTTTCTGCTTTCTCTTGTGGGCATTTGGTGCTATAAATTTCCCTCTACACACTGCTTTAAATGTGTCCCAGAGATTTTGGCATGTTGTGTCTTTGTTCTCACTGGTTTCAAAGAACATCTTTATTTCTGCCCGCATTTTGTTATTTAACCAGTAGTCATTCAGGAGCAGGTTGTTCAGTTTCTATGCAGTTGAGCGGTTTTGAGTGGGTTTCTTAATCCTGAGTTCTAGTTTGATTGCACTGTGGTCTGAGAGACAGTTTGTTATAATTTCTGTTCTTTTTCATTTGCTGAGGAGTGCTTTCTTTACTTCCAACTATGTGGGCAATTTTGGAATAAGTGTGGTGTGGTGCTGAGAAGAATGTATATTCTGTTGATTTGGGGTGGAGAGTTCTGTAGATGTCTATTAGGTCTGCTTGGTGCAGAGCTGAATTCAATTCCTGGGTATCCTTGTTAACTTTCTGTCTGTTGATCTGTCTAATGTTGACAGTAGGGTGTTAAAGTCTCTCATTATTATTGTATGGGAGTCTAAGTCCTTTGTAGGTGTCTAAGGACTTGCTTTATGAATCTGGGTGCTCCTGTATTGGGTACATATTTGTTTAGGATAGTTAGCTCTTCTTGTTGAATTGATCCCTTTACCATTATGTAATGACCTGCTTTGTCTCTTTTGATCTTTGTTGGTTTAAAGTCTGTTTTATCAGAGACTAGGATTGCAACCCCTGCTTTTGTTTTGTTTTCCATTTGCTTGGTAGATTTTCCTCCATCCCTTTATTTTGAGCCTATGTGTGTCTCTGCATGTGAGATGGGTCTCCTGAATACAGCACACTGATGGGTGTTGACTGCTTATCCAATTTGCCAGTCTGTGTCTTTTGATTGGAGCCTTTAGCCCATTTACATTTAAGGTTAATATTATTATGTGTGAATTTGATCCTATCATTATGATGTTAGCTGGTTATTTTGCTCATTAATTGATGCAGTTTCTTCCTAGCATTGAAGGTCTTTACAATTTGGCATGTTTTTGCAGTGGCTGGTACTGATTGTTCCTTTCCATGTTTAGTGCTTTCTTCAGGAGCTCTTGTAAGGCAAGCCTGGTGGTGACAAAATCTCTCAGCATTTGCTCTTCTGTAAAGGGTTTTATTTATCCTTCACTTATGAAGCTTAGTTTGGCTCGATATGAAATTCTGGGTTGAAAATTCTTTTCTTTAAGAATGTTGAATATTGGCCCCCACTCTCTTCTGTAACAGATCCGCTGTTAGTCTGATGGGCTTCCTTTTATGGGTAACCCAAACTTTTTCTCTGGCTGCCCTTAACATTTTTTCCTTCACGTCATCTTTGGTAAATCTGACAATTACGTGTCTTGGAGTTGCTCTTCTCGAGGAGTATCTTTGTGGAGTTCTCTATATTTCCTGAATTTGAATGTTGGCCTGCCTTGTTAGGTTGGGAAGTTATCCTGGATAATATCCTGCAGAGTGTTTTCCAACTTGGTTCCATTATCCCCATCACTTTCAGGTACACCAATCAGACGTAGATTTGTTCTTTCCACATAGTCCCATATTTCTTGGAGGGTTTGTTCATTTTTCTTACTCTTTTTTCTCTAAACTTCTCTTCTCACCTCATTTCATTCATTCCATCTTCAGTCACTGATTCCTTTTCTTCCACTTGATCGAATAGGCTACCGAAGCTTGTGCATGTGTCACATAGTTCTCGTGCCATGGTTTTCAGCTCCATCAGGTTATTTAAGGTCTTCTCTATGCTGTTTATTCTCGTTAGCCATTTGTCTAATCTTTTTTCAAGGGTTTTAACTTCTTTGTGATGGGTTCCAAGATCCTCCTTTAGCTCACAGAAGTTTGTTATTACCTATTGTCTAAAGACTTCTTCTCTCAACTCATCAAAGTCATTCTCCTTCCAGCTTTGTTCTGTTGCTGGTGAGGAGCTGCATTCCTTTGGAGGAGAAGAGGTGCTCTGATTTTTAAAATTTTCAGCTTTTCTGCTCTGGTTTCTCCCATCTTTGTGGTTTAATCTACCTTTAGTCTTTGATGATGGTGACATACAGATGGGGTTTTGGTGTGGATGTCCTTTCTGTTTGTTAGTTTTCCTTCTAACAGTCAGGACCCTCACCTGCAGGTCTGTTGGAGTTTGCTGGAGGTCCACTCCAGACCCTGTTTGCCTGGGTATCACCAGTGGAGGCTGCCAAACAGAAAATATTGTGGAATGGCAAATGTTGCTGCCTGATCCTTCATCTGGAAGCTTCATCTCAGAGGGACACCAGGCCATATGAGGGGTCAGTCGGTCCCTACTGGGAGGTGCCTCCCAGTTAGGCTACTCGAGGGTCAGGGACCCACTTGAGGAGGCAGTCTGTCCATCTCAGATCTCAAACTCTGTGCTGGGAGAACCATTACTCTCTTCAAAGCTGTCAGACAGGGACGTTTAAATCTGAAGAAGTTTCTGCTGCCTTTTGTTCAGCTATGCCCTGCCCCCAGAGGTGGAGTCTACAGAAGTAGGGCAGGCCTCCTTGGGCTGTGTTGGGCTCCACCCAATTCGAGATTCCTGGCCACTTTGTTTACCTACTGAAGCCTCAGCAATGGCAGACGCCCCACCCCCAGCCTTGCTGCCACCTTGCAGTTTAATCTCAGACTGCTGTACTAGCAGTGAGCGAGGCTCCGTGGGTGTGGGATCCTCTGAGCCAGGCATGGGATATAATCTCCTGGGGTGCCATTTGCTAAGACCATTGGAAAAGCACAGTATTAGGGTGGTAGTGTCCTGATTTTCCAGGTACCGCCTGTCATGGCTTCCCTTGTCTAGGAAAGGGAATTCCCGCTCTGTGGGCTACACCCACTGTCTGACAAGCCTCAGTGAGATGAACCCGGTACCTCAATTGCAAATGCAGAAATCACTCGTCTTCTGTGTTGCTCACGCTGGGAGCTGTAGACTGGAGCTATTCCTATTCAGCCATCTTGGAGCCTCCATGAAGAACTCTTAATTGGTCAACTAATTGCACTAGACAATTAATTAACCTCAAAATACTAGAGTTTTAATCATTTGCATTGGAACTCAGTGAAATAATATTTTACTAAAGAAGAAAATAAATAAGACATTTTCACAGAAAAAAAAATTAAGAGTTTACCTACAGACCCTCTCTAAAATACTGCAAAAAATTTCACAGTTGACCACTGAACAACATGGGTTTGAACTGCACGTATCCACTTATATGTGGATGTTTTTCCAATATATTGGAAATTTTTTTTTGGAGATTGGCAACAATTTGAAAAAACTCACAGACAAAATGCCTAGAACATTTATTATTAAGGAAGAAAAGCTGTTACCACCTGACCAGGTTTTTGCCTGCTGCCAAGATAGAGCCAAACACTGAGACAACAAGTATCACTATAAAGAAGAGTTTAATTATCACAAGGCAACCGAACCAGGAGGATGGGAGATACTGCTCAAAGCCACCTCGCTGAGGCATCAGAAGCTGGGTTTTAAAAGAATGATTTGACTGGCAGAGGCATAGGGAATGGATGCTGTGTTAGGGCTGAATCAGTTCCTGAGAAAGGAGGTGAGTCACAATACCAGTCAAGTCAGTTCCGTTGGATCACTGGTTGGGTTGGCGTCAGTCCACTCACAGACCAAGGTAGAAAACTATCTCAAAGACCAGTCTTAGGTTTCACAATAGCATTTGTGACTGCTGGTTACTATGGCAAGCAAGATGGGAAAAAATGCTGGGTTATCGTTTAACTATGCCTATAGCTTAGCAGAAAAGTCTGTGGAAGGTGAGGTCCCTGCTTGTCATAGCTGCCTGGCGCCCTGTTGGTCATCTAACTTCTGGAAGTCATCGAGGGGGTCTGCATGATCTAAGGATCATTTTTCTTTAAAAGTAAAAACAAATTCCTTAATCTTTCATGTAGGCTGCCATGGAACTAGGACAGGAAGATAATCAGTTATTAGTGACTGTCATTTGTCACATATCATATAATGACTATGTGCAAGCAATCATGCATGGATAAGGAAAAAATCAGACAGAAAGGAAAATATCTTAGCAAAATTCAGGCACCTAACATAATTGTAATCGTGTGGCCTCCTTTAATTTTATGAGGGCAGTTTCAAAGCAAGCACCAGGATTTAAGGCAGGAAAGAGTAGGCCAACTCCACTGTTTTTTTGCAAGTGTAGACTGGTCTATGATCAAGACTACTCTTATTTTTAAGCCTTAAAGGAAATAAATAAAGCACAAGCTGTCAGTCTTCATTGTACAATAAAAAGCCTTGGACAATGAGACCCTTTTATCTGGATTGCATCCATCCATGCTTTGTCCCTGAAGTGAGGAAATCTCTTGTCAGTAAAGGACTGCCTTTTAAAGTTTTTTTTTTTAAATATTAAACAATGTCCTTTGGCTATATGGAATCTATAAGTTCAACACTAAAATACTGAAGTGATTTACATGCCCCCAAACACAGCATCTCTAATTTAGCCTCTAGATCAGAAGATCATAAGGACCTTTATGGCTCACTACTCACAAAATTGTATGGAAAGTGTTGTCAATGCTCTGGAAGAGAGCCCCAGCAGAGAGAACATCATGAAAGTCTGGAATGATTACAACATTGGAAATGCCATGATTGTTATATAAAAGTCTGTGAAAGCCATCAAGCCAGAAATGAAAACTTTCTGTTGGAGAAAACTGTGTCCAGATGTTGTGCAGAACTTCACAGGATTTTCAACACAGCCAATCAAGGAATTCATTGAAGAGACTGTGGACATGGCAAAAAAGGTGAGGGCTGAAAGGTTTGAAGATATGCATCTTGGAGAAATTCAAGAGTGAATAGACACCACACCAGAGTGATTAATGGAAGATGACTTGATGAAGATAAATGCTTCCAAACCAGTGTAAGACAGGGGAAGAAGACATAGAAGCAGTGCCAGAAAACAATTGACATTACACAATCTGAATTGTGTTAGATTGATTCTGTCACAATCAGATGGATTGATTCTGTCTTGCATGATATAAGCACTAAAACTAAAGCAAATGGTGGAAGAAGGATTGTTACCATACAGAAACATTTTTAGAGAAATTTTAAAAAGCAAAAAAGTCATACAGAAATCATGATGTACTTCCATAGAGTTCCCTAAGTGTGCCTGCTTCTCTTGCCTCCTCTTCCACCTTTTCTACCTCTTCCCCCTCTGCCCACCCTGAGACTGCAAGACCAAACCCTCCTATTTCTCCTCCTCCTCAGCCTACTCAATGTAAAAATGACAAGAATGAAGACCTTTGTGATGATCCCCTTTCATTTAATGAATAGTAAATATATATTCTCTTCCTTATGATTTCCTTTTTTTTTCTTTTTTTTTTTTTCCATTATACTTTAAGTCCTAGGGTACATGTGCACAACATGCAGGTTTGTTACATATGTATATGTGTGCCATGTTGGTGTGCTGCACCCATTAATTCGTCATTTACATTAGGTATATCTCCTAATGCTATCCCTCCTCCCTCTCCCCAACCAACGATTTTCTTAATAACACTTTCTTTTTTACAGCTTACTGTGTTGAAAAAATGCAGTATGTAATACATACACAAAATGTTCATCAACTGACTGTTTATCTCAGTAAGATTTCTGGTCAACAGGTGGCTATTAGTGGTTATGTTTTTGGGAAGTCAAAATTTATTCATGGATTTTTGAATACATTGGAGTTAGCACCGCTAAATCACCTGTTGGTGAAGTGTCAGCTGTTCTTCCAAATAAGATACTTTATTCCACAAGAAAATATCTGCAAAGATGAACGGTTCATGTAGAAAAATAATAAAATGTCATCAAATTTAGCAACTGTTAAAATCAAAACAGTGATATAAAGTCTGGTTTAGTGGTTAAAATATTAAGCTATGTTATGGGGAAATATAACAAGCATATGAATCAAGAATATTCACGGAGTGAAAGCGTTCTGAGATACCTATATTTTGCAGAAGACAGGTGATAATTGTTATATCGTATGTAATTAATTATAAAGTTAAATACCTATGTTAATGTTTATTATTGTACAATTATAAAATAGAAATATAATGTATAGTTCTGCACTTAATAGAAAAAAAAACGAAAAAAGCACTTAGATTACTAAAAGACAAGCAGGGAGAAAAAATTAGGACAAGTTTCAACTTTTGTACTTTCTAGTACAAAATAAGATAGAAAAGAATCCAAATGTATGTAAAACAACAAAATATAAATAGACAAACTGCTTGTCTTAATAGCAAAATTTATCAGACTATATGAAAAATATAGTCCAGCTACATTTGATTTGTAAGATAAATGTAAAACATAAGAAAACAGAATATTGCAAAAAAAAGGTAAAAAAATAGGCAGTGCCCATGAAATACATAACAAAACACAAGTGCTGTCACTGTTTGATACAAAACAGGATTTGAAATGTAACAGGCAACATTCCAAATATATTGATAAAGTGTTTATTTCCCCAAAAAGATAAAATAATTTCAAACAAATATGCATCTAAGAACATAGTTTTTAACCACATATGTAAAATTTGATACATCTGTGATGAGAAATTGAGAAATCCACACTCCTAGTGGGAAATACAAAATTAAATCTCTATATTTTTTGACATTTTTATTGTAAAATAAGACAAAAGGAAAGCACACAGAACAGACATACAACTTAGTGAATTATTATAAAGCAAACGCCCTTGCAACCACCACACAGTTCGAGAGAGAAGTTGGCCAGAAGCCTCTCTCCATACCTCCTCCCTCCCTCTCCATAAGTAATCACTATTCTGACATTTACAATAATATTTCCCCTGTGTTTCTTTATTGTTTTTTCACCAAGAACACATTCCTAGACACAATCATTTAGTCAGACCCATTTTTGTTAACTTGACGCCTTTTGAATGTTTTTTAATTCAGAAGTTCTCTCCCACCCATCCCTTTCTTTTTGTTGTAATTTATCTGTTGAAGAACTCACTCGAGCTGTTTGACCTGTAGTTTCACAGTCTGGAGTCTGCTGATGGCATGCTCATAATATAGCTCATGTTCCTCTGTCCCTGAGTTTCCTGCAAATAGCCCATTGCATCTAGAGTCCTGATCACACTCAGGTTCAATCGTTTCAGCAAGACCTCAAGTGGTGGGGTTTTCTTCCATAAGGATCACAAACATAAATATCTTAATAATGAAAAGAAGATGTAGATAAAAATTCCATAGGAAGATAGGAATTTTACATTATAGGTTTATTTCTAGTCAAGTGCAGAATGTTACTCCTTTCTCTGACCGCAAGTATATCAAGTTAAATATCAGTATCAAAAAAAACTATACTCATACGTTTAAGAAAAGTTTCTCTTTTATAAAATTATCAAATATTATAAGCAATAATGAAATAGAAATATTAATTTTAAAGTCAGAAACAAGAAAAACAAGTCCATAATCAAGATGTCTATACAACATCAAATTTATGTGTATTTATATTTTTAGTTTTAAAATGTTATCTTCTTGGCCTTTAATGTCCATATTCTACTGAGCTTATTCTAACTAATGCAATTCTTTGCCCAGTTTTTGACACCTTACTGATATGATGATTCCCCTCCTCATAATTACCTTCCTTCTTCACTTTCTCCCTTCCCCATTTATAAAAACTGTACTACAGTTTACATCTTGTTATGCAGCAGTGAACAAGCAAAACCTTTGCTTTTAGCCAACATTTGATCATTTCTCTTTTAATGCATTAATGTGATGACTCTGTGTTACTAGGATTTCTAATGTTAAGTAATGCCTCCTTGGATATATCTTTTAGTTTATGAATTAAACTAAATTAAAATGTTAAGGGTTTGTTTAATAACTTGTATATTTAATAACAATTGTTATTACTGTTTGATAACAAATATTAAAGGTTAGTTGAATAGTAACAAAGGTTATTATGAAATATTTCAAAAGTAAAAAATGTTAAAAAGCAAAAGGCCCACTAAACACCTTGAGAAAAAAAAAAATAAAAGCTTTAGTAAGAAGTTGAGCCAGGCCCTGTAGCTCACATCTATAGTCCCATCACTTTGGGAGGCGGAGGTGGCAGAATTGCGTGGGCTAGGGAGGCCAGCTTGCAGTGAGTCATCATTATGCCACTGCACTCTAGCCTGGGTGACAGGGTAAGACCTTGTCTCAAAAAAAAAAAAAAAAAAGTTGAAGGCTCATTGTATCTTTCTTTAAATCCCATTTTTCTACCTCACCCCGAATTTCATGTTCAAATGCATTTGTTGGCACTGATATTGCACATGTATTTCTAAATTATATATGGTGTTGTTTTGGATGTTTTTAGTCTTATGTTATTGGCATCATTCTGAATATATCATTTATTATTATTTCTTTAAACTTAATGTCCCTTTTACTACATAAAGCTCTGATTGATTCATTTTTCATTTTCATCCCAATTCCCATGCTTGAATATACTATAATTTATTGAATCATTTTCCTGTGGATGAATCTTAATTTCAAATACTTCATATTTCATTTTATTTCTAGAAATTCTGTTTTTCAAATATGACTTTTTTCTGTTTTTTTTTGTATTGTGTCTTTTACTTATGTTTGTTGTTTTACATATATTTCTTTAATTATTTTAAATTCTTATAGCTTTTATTCTGTTATTTCATAGTTGTGCTTCTATTTGCTAAATAGTAAATATACTCTCTCTTAGAGTTTTCATGGTGTTTATAAATTATAATTCTTTTTAACTGAGTGCTCCTGTTTAATGCAGCCTTCCCTGTTTTCACATAAATATACCTTTCAGAGTACTTTATTTACTAGTGAGGGAGTCTGGGTTTCTATATCTTTCTCTTTTAATTTTTTTAAAATAAATTAAATTGACACATTTAAATTGTACATATTTATGGGGTACAATCTGATGTTTCAGCACATACCTATGTTGAAAATTGATTCAGTCAGGTTAATTCATATATCTATTACCTCAGGCATTTATCATTTATCTGTGGTGAGAAACTTAAAAGGTTCCCTGTTAGCTGTTATGTGATAGATATTTTTTACTGTTAACCATAGTCACTCTACTCTGCAATACAATAGAACAACCAAATGTATTTCTGTTATTAAACTGTAACTTTGGACCATTTAACCAACCTCTTCCCATCCTCCCCCTCCCGTAACCTTCCAGAGTCACTGGTAACCAACATTCTCTGCTTGGTTTCAGGTTCCACTTTGGTGCTCTCTTTGATATCTTTCTTCATTCCTGTCTGCTAGGAAGGTCTTTCTCCCCCACACCCTGCTCCTGATTAGTTATGTATTATAAGTTATGTGTTAAAAGATATATATATATATAATATTATTCAAAGTTTCTATGTGTTTATAACAGAATTTGCAATCTTGATTTATCTCAACCTTTGTATTTTCTGAAAATGTTTAAAGTATTTTATCATTTGTTTGATTCTATCCCTGGTGATGTCTCATATGATATAAATGCAGACTGGATTAGGAAATACATGCTTTATATTTCGATCATTTCAGTGTAAGTAGGTATAATTAAAAATTCTATTTTTTTCTTTATAATCCAATGACTATCAGTATCTTACTTTACCTTTGGCTTATATATAATTTAGTAAGGAAAAAAATCCTTCATTTTTATAAAAATTTAACAATTATCTGTGAATATCATATAAAAAATAGAAAATAAAAATTAAATATTTATATGCAGGCTTTTTATTCTCTTTCACTGTATTTAAAATCAAAATGTACTTTGTGTATTACATTGCTGCCATGCAACTGTTTATTTTTTTAAACTTAGCAAGTAGTTAAGAATGACCTCTGATGTGAATTGACATAGCTTTGCATGATCACTATTAACAGATTCCTAGAGTGCCTATTATGTGGATTTATACTAAAATTGACAGTTAGTAGTGCAAGGGCCGGTACAAATCATATCTTCTTTAATTCTAATGACAGCATTCTGATAAAGATACCATTGTTAATTCCACTTTAAAGGGTCAGAAACAGAGTTAGAGTGCTTAAGCAATTTATACAAGAAAATAATACTAGAAAGCTTCAGAGTCATGAAATGAATCAGGCTCTTTGACTCATAAAGCCCATGCATGCCCTAACTGTACAGAGACCCATCAACATTCATGTAACTAATCTCCTATTCTTCATTTATGTTTTCATATTTCGTATTTTCCTTTGGCTATAATAAAGAATTTTATGCTAAATATTCTTAAGTATAAATGTAAATTACCTTTGTAAATGTACCTATCATCTCAGCGTAAATTCTGAGAATCTAGATTATTAGATTAAAAGATTTTTTATTGCTTTTTATTCATTTTGGAAAATTACTATCTATAAATACTTTACTAATATGTATACTTGTTTCAGCAGTTTTAGAAAGTGCCCATTTTCCTATGTCCATGCCTATACTAGTTATAATTAGCCTTTTTCTTCTTTGCTAATTGTCAGTGGAAATGCTAAAATCTATAAATCATTAAACACATAGTGATTTGCATTATTTGATTCCTTGTGAGGTGGACCATGTCTTCTATTACTCAGCTGCATTTTATAAAATTCTTCTCTTTATTGAGTACTCAAATGCACAGAAATTTGGCAGGGAAAGAAAAAAACTCTGAATAGTTTGCCTCTAAGGTGGACTACAGAGCATATTTAGCCAAAGTCTATAATTGTTAGACATGGAAACTAGAAAGAGAAGAAGCTAAATGGATTCACCAATGTCACAACTTCTATTGGAGCACCAGGAAATAAATTCAAGCATCCGCAAAGCCAATTAAGAACACTTTGCACTGTCCCACAAATTCTCTTCATTTGGTATTGATGGACATTGATTAGACTTCTAGTAATTGAGATGTTTGTAATTCAAAAATACTAAGAGCAGTACTCAGTTATCCTAAACACCTGTGAAATAATTCTGAACATTCTAAAATATTTCTTATATCTTACAACATATTTGATGTGATAAAATAAATTAGATGTCAACTATGGACCAGTATAAGCTTTTAATAATTAAAAGTTTCTTTTTCACTAGGGACAAAAGTTACACTCTTTAAATCAAGAGGATAAGTATTTTTCCTGACAAGGCTTCACAGTGCTTGATTGAGATTTTCAGATGTATATATATGAGTTGACAGTTTGCATTTGCTATGTTTTCCCCTAGGTAAAAATCTAAAAGCATTCATAACTTTTAGTGTTAATGAGAGCAGAACCTATTAGCCCTAAAAATGCCCTTTTTGCTCTAAGGAATATTTTACCTGAAAAGTGATATAAAAACATATCTCATCATGAAATAAAAACTCAGCTTTTCAAATAAGGCATGTGGCCCTTTAAGTTGAGGCATAATAAAAGAAAGCAATTCTACATTTCTTTTCATGGTAATAACTGTATTTATCTTGGTTTTTATAAGAGGGAGAAAATGACTCACTTTATTTTTTGCATTAAATTTGCATGTGTTAGTATTTCTTAGATTTTTAAACTTGGGAGCTTTGCAAAATACTCAGAGAGCTAACTTCACTGAAGATTGTGTATCTAGGAAGAAAGGCAGCTTTGCCTTTGAGTATGTGACAAAGTATTACAGAAAACGTGGGCAGGAAAGCATTCTCCTCACATCTACAGACAACACAGTTGCAGCACACAGATGACTATTAAGTACATAGCACTAATCTGACACACCTCAGTACCTCGTTAGGAGGCTCAGTATTGGTTTTAATAGGGAAGAGGTCCTATGTGAGCATTAAAGGTGCTAATTAGTCACCTTGGTGCAGAATGGACAGCAGAGGAAATCTTACAATAAATATCTGTAAGTAGGGTGGAGATGAAGGATATAAGATCTCAGAAGGAATATGCTTTTTTTTCTTTTTAGAGTTCTATTGCACAGCATGGTGAATATAGTTAATTATAGAATATTACATTTCAAAATTAGTAAGTGAGTTAATTTCAAATGTTCTCACTGCAAAAAATCTTAAGAATTTGAAGTGATGGATATGTTAACTAGCTTGATTTAAATATTCCACATTGTACTTAAAATTATAACATCTCTTTGTACCTCATACATTTATATAACTGTAAATTGTCAATTTACAATAAAAAGGGTGGGGGTTAAATAGAAGAAAAATGATGAATACTTAGCACCTATTGTGTTGTTACTCAATTATTATACATGCTTCTCAGGTATTCGCTCATTTAGTTCACACAGAAAACCCTTGAAGTATAATTACTATCTCTATTTAGTGAATGAAGAAACTAAGATACAAAAAAGTGGCCGGGCGTGGTAGCTCACACCTGTAATCCCAGCACTTTGGGAGGCCGAGGCAGGCAGATCATGAGGTCAGGAGATCAAGACCATTGTGGCTAACACGGTGAAACCCCGTCTGTACTAAAAACACAAAAAATTAGCCCGGCGTGGTGGCACACACCTGTAGTCCCAGCTACTTGGGAGGCTGAGGCAGGAGAATCGCTTGAACCCAGGAGGCAGAGGTTGCAGTGAGCCGAGATTGTGCCATGACACTACAGCCTGGGCAACACAGCGAGACTCCATCTGAAAAAAAAAGATACAAAAAAGTGAAGATATGTGTTCAAACTCCCACATCAAGTGGGTAGTGCACCTTGAAAATGTAGCTCCAACACAAGTACTCTTAATGTCATTCTCTCTGCCCTCTCTTGGGGTCAAATGGCAGGCCCCACACAATGTCCATGAGACAGTAGTTCACATCCTTTGCAGGCCCCAATCACACAACTTTTGTGAATTCCTTTCATAATTACCAGAAGGCGTTAGGTGGTGAAGGTGGCATAAAGCCAGTCATCAATTTAAAAAATTAATCAGAGAAACCTGAGCTACATCTAACTTTTAATATTCTTCTTTGCAGTTTTTTGTGCTGGTTAAATTTTTCATCCTTCTTGCCTACATGTGTATTTCCTTGAGATACTCAATTTGGTAAAATTCCTTTAAAAGCAAGGACATTATGCTGTAAATTTCTTCATGTTTAGAAACATTAAGGTGGATACATACTAAAGGACATGAAAATAAGAAAGTAGTGAGAAATATTTTTTTAAAAAAATGTTTGATCTGCATTATAGTCAACAACAACAACAACAACAACAAACAAGATCTTTCTGTTCCCTAAACTTACACACAATGCCTAGGTCTATTCCAATCTTCTTTTCCCTAAAGGATGTTTTAAAAAGAACATGAAATGCAATCTTTGTTTTTCTGTGACTGACTGACTTGATTTAGTTTAATGTTCTCTGTGTTCATCCATGCTGTCGCAAACAGCAGGATTTTCCTCTTTAAGGCTGAATAATATTCCACTGTATGTTTATACCACATTTTCTTTATCCATTCAACTGTTGATGAACACTTGGGTTGTTCCACATTTTGGCTATTATGAATAATGCTACAATGAACCTCTTTGAGAACCTGATTCCAGTATTTTTGGAAATATAACCAAAAGTGGATTTGTTAGATAATATTGCATTATTCCAATTATATGAGGCATCTATCATGGTCAAACTTATAGAATTAGTAAATACAATAGGGGTTGCCAGGGGATTGAGATTGTGGGGGAATGGGGAGTTATTGTTCAATGAGTATAAAGTTTCAACAATGCCAGATGAATAAATTCGAGGAGTCTACTGTACAACATAGTACTTACCATTAACAATATGGTATTGTGTACTCCAGAATTTAATAGGGTAGATCTCATGTTAAGTATTCTTACTACACATACACACATATACACATACATACACACACACACACACACACACACATACACGGACGTAGTCTAGTCTATTACCTTGATTGTGGTGATGATTTCACAGGTATTTGCACATGTCCAAACTTACCAAATCATACACAGTAAATATGCGAACAGTTTTTCGTATACCAATTATTTCTCAGTAAAACTTAAAAAACAGTGCATGAATGTGTTCAACCTGTTGAATAAATGGAAGGTGAGAAGAGAAGAAAACTAATTTTAAATTAATGATGGAGAAATACACCAACAAATAAAGACTATGGCAAGGGAAGAAAATATAGCAGCTGAGAATTGATAATGGTAGGGATAGTATGACAGTAATTGGGCATTAGCAATATTATTTTAATTTATTTTTAATAATATAAACAATGGTACACAATGTGCAAAGGAAAATAATATCCAACCACCTCTGCTCCTGAGCCACCCAGGCTGTTCTTTTAACAGACAACCATTGTGCTTAGTTTTTTGCATATTCTTCCTCAATTATTTACGGAGAATATTATATATGTGTGAATATATATCATATATGTCTTATAGATTGGTTTAGTAAATGCAAAATGTAGTATCAACTGATAATAGGCATAGTTCACTAAAAATGAGATCTTAAAATGAATGAGGGCTTCTGGACCTTTCTCATAAATGTAGTCAGTCAATCGGTGTCTCTCTTCTTAGTTGAACTCCCATTCTGAAATAGGCTAACAGTATAGCAGATACAGTATTTCATTCAGAGGATTATGGAATCTTCATTTTCTTTGCAAATAATTCTCCTTGTTAAAAAGAAAAAAGAGAGAAAAGAGAGAAAGGATAAAACAGTATAGAATTTTCTTGGTGACATTGTAGCCTGGCATTTTTGTATTCTATTTTAAGAACAGAAAAATGCAAAGTGAAAAGCAAATTCTATTTATTTAATAGTCCTTTAATTATAATCTTAGTATCCTATTTTTAGCTTAATAAACTCCTATTATGATTTTTTTTTCAGTTTTGCACAGCCTAACCTAACAACCGACCTCTGCTTCTTTATTTAAGGTTCAAATTCTGTATCAAAGTATTTGCTCTTCTATTCTTTACTAAATAGATAACTTCCAAGAGTCAGCTAGAAACAGTAGTCATGTACAAATTAATGAGGAATAAGTACACATTTTCAGCCTTGCCTAGAGAAACAAACATCCCAAGAGGACCACACTGATTATCTTTATTAAGTCAGTAATGTATGTAAGTGAGCTATGTGGGCTCCTGGGCAAAACCAAGGAGAGAGCTCTATCAGAGCAGGAGGGAGAGTGAGGCAGAGAATGATTGGAGTGGCCACCTGGGAGTCTGAGTTCAGTGAGGTGTGAGATGCTGACAGGTAGACACTCAGTGCTCACCAGTGAGGCACGCAGCCCCTAATGAATCTATGTCTCTGCCAAGGCACATTCAGAACTTCTCACATGCATCTTCCTTCATACTGACAATTTTCCCTGAGTAGTGTAAGTCTCAGAAAAGCCTGATATGTCAGAAACCAATCTCCTTAATAAAAACTCAAACAGCTTTTTTATGCCCCTTGACAAAGTGTTTTCCACATTTTTCACAGATCACATACATTAGCAAGTATTGTTTTAGCATCCACAATAGGACACACTTCTTGAATACAGAAGCTCTTAACATAAAGAGAACCTCGGGAGCCTTTGCTTCTTCTTCTTTAATAGACCAAGGAATCTGTGAAATTAATGAAGCTTTAGATGAATGCTGTCCAATAGAAGTATAATGGGAGACATAAATATGAGCCACATGTGGAATTTTATGTTTTCAGTAGCAACAACATACAAATTAAAAAAAAACTGATAAAATAAAATTTAATATTTTATTTAGCTCAATATGTCTAAAATATTGTATTTTAGTATGCAATTGGTAAAAAAGGTCATTGAGATATTTTATTTTTTATATTAAAATTTTAAAATCCAGTGGTATTGTTTTGTTTTGTTTTTTAACTTGTAGGACATCTCAATTCAGCTACAGATCAAATGCTCAATGGCCATGTGCGTCTAGTGGTCACAGTACTTACTAATACAGGTCTTGATTCTTGGCATAGAAAATCATGGTGTGAATATAGACAAAGATAGTTTCACATAAAATTCTAGGGAGTTTTTGGACTGCAGATTAAGATTTTCTATTTACATAACTAAGGGTTATTTTTAGGAGGATTTTATGTGAGGAAACGAAATATCTTTAAAGGGGCATAGAGTAAAAATCTTGCCACATTTAGTCAACCATATGAGAACTAAAGGCAGAGAGTTTTAAGGATTTCTGCTGCGAGGTTCTTCTTCTTTACTTCCTAACTTTTGTTTCCTCATTGAATTATAAATACACACAATCCTTGATAGGAGTTCACCAACAGCTTTTGAACTGCTGTAACTACTCAAATAAAACTGCTTCCTGAGCCATCTGAAAACTGCTTTCTACAATCAATTGTAAGGGCTTTCTATTCCCTTTTTTAAAATTATTTCTGTTTTCAAATTTACCTTCCCCTCCTGTTCTCTGGCATACTTTTTCATTCTTTGTTTGCCTAACTCCTTTGTTACAGAAGATGCAACAAGTTAAGGGTTGGCTTCATTTATAATGTTCAAATGCAACAAAGTGTCATATATAAAAGTAAATTGGCTAATGTAGGGTTTGTGTTTGGGGCAATGCCAACTAGTTGTATATCTAGTTATTGGGGGAAAAAAAGAATGATGAAATTTGGAGAGGTTAAATTTCTCGCATTCTTAGTATAGCAGTTAAATGAAAGTCCCCAACTCAATTGAGTTCTCATACCAGTTCTCATTTTAGCTCTCTATTCATTTCCCTTAAGCATTTTAAGATATGCCAAATCATTCCCCTTTTGCAAGACACCCAAGGCATTCTCAAAGTGCATTTGCCAAGCTGAAATCAACAGCAATCCAAGGAAAAGCTAATTACCTATGTTCATGAAGTAAAAGTTAGAAAGGAAGGTAGACACTATAAAGTAAGTGGCTGCAGGCCAAGAGAGGAGGGTATGAGTTGGGTGCCAAAGCATGTTAGCATGTAGTAAAAATGCCCAAAAAACATCACTGTTATTGAGGGCTTTGATCATATAAATTAGGGGAAATATTCCATAGTAATAAGATTTGCAAATTTTTTCCATTATGGATAGTAAATTGAATAATTTTTACATCTCCAATTGCTGCATGAAATAAGCTTCATTTGACTAAACATCCATAAACCCTCAATGCTTAAAAAATAAGACACAAAAAGGTCAAAAACATATTGTATCCGTAAGGTAGCTTAGTCTTTTTCATGTTATTTACATATTTGGCATAATCTCTAGTAAATGCCTCCTTAACAATTAGCCCAATTCATATCAATGATCTTTTTATTTATGTTTTTGAATTTCTCAGTTTACATTTTTGAATGTTCTCAATTACATCCAAGGGGGAGTTTTAAATGAAGCCATCAATGCTTGCTTGCAAATGACTTTTCTTTTAATAATGTTTGCAGCAGTATGACGGAGTCACTGGACAGAATTTGGAAAAAAATAACAAAGAGCTTCAGTGGTATTTGGGGAAGTATAGAAGAGAAAAACTTGTGTGGATGAAAATGCAAACCCAAGTTAAGGGTGTCTTGGTAATAGGACAGAAACGTGATGGCATAATGTACATGACAGATCTTTTCTAATCACTTGAAAATAAACCCCTTGGAGTCCACAGAGAAACACTGTGCCATTAATTCTGCTCTGCTCTCTTGCACACTAACAGTTCCTGTCCTAATTAAATGTGCTCCTGGAACATATGTTTTATTGTCTGAGCTGAGTCATTACATTTGATACACTCATGAGTCCTGTCACCTAGGCAAGGGAAATCCCTCTTGGAGGTTTATATCTGCATCAATGTCTTCCTTAAGCGAAGAGCACTTGAGTGTTGTACTGTATTAGCAATGAACTGCAGGTCTAAATATAAGAACTAACAACATTGAAACCATTCTTTTAAGCTTTGTATGCTTAGAGATTTAGTGGAAAAGAAATATACAAGTAGAAAAAAATTAGCTTAATCCTACCTACCCTGATTTTTATGCAGCATTCCTAATTGTCTCTGGGAAAGATGTATATTTTAAAATGAAAAATTTTATTATTTTTATAAAATCAGATTTGCCAGTTAATGATGAGTACATTCATTATTAAATTAATTTGAATTGCTTTGTCAGATAAACTAGCTCCCTCTAAATTCTTTTTCTGTTTAAAATGAGGCATAACTCAAGTAATTTTTGATAAGAAAGAAGAATGAGGGAAAGAGAAGAGATCCTTAATTCTTCCAACTGTCTGCATAAGTTGCTTCACTGTGAAAATGAAATTATTTAAGATTAATTTAACTGCTTGGAGATTTGAATTTTTTACCATCACCCTAAAATAGAATGTGTCCATTAGAGTGAAATAGCAAAATGTTAGTGAAACATATGTTTAATTTTCTGGAATATCTGCATTTCACCTCATATAAATCTGTGACTTTTAATGGAAATAGGAAAGAATTTGGCAACAATGAAAAAAGAAAATTTTAATTCTAGTTATTCCCGGCTTAAAATTTCAGAGCTTTTCATTGTTTGATAATTTTCAAAGACTCAGTTGAAGCAAGACCTTTAGTTTCATAGATTTCTTTATAGTGCAATGTTTCAGCTTGGTTTAACTTTTTAGCTGTAAAAGTTAAAACAGAATGAACCTAGTATCATATTTCTAGTGTCTCTGTTCTCCATAGAACTAAAGATAAGGAAAGTAATGAATCTTGAAAAAATTTGAGAGCAGGAGTTGAAATTAAGATTGTTGGAAATACAGTGTTAGAAAATAATTTTTGTAAATAGCCTTGTTAAAATGAGACATAAAACCTGTCATGACTATAATTCTGTTCCCCGTCTTTACATTCTCAATTGTAACAGAATAATATGGAGAAAAGGACCTTATATCCCTAGGAACAAAACTGTTCAATGTTACAGTGCTTAGACATTAATTCTAAAAGTTGGGTTTAAGAGAAACAAAAGAATAAATATACACTGAAAGAAGAGGTAAAATATATATCATCAACAGAGAGGGTCTGAATATGGATTTTAAGAGGCCAAATTTTTAACATTGTTTACCCAACCTGAAGCAGGTGGAGGTCTATGGATGAAAGGTGGCATACTGAATGAGCTGTTACAGTGATGGAATTTGACAAATTTTGATCTTAAATTTTTTTTCGAAAGAATAATAATCTTTGAAACACATGCTCAGAATATATTTTTAAAAAAGCTCTCAAGCTATTATTGCCTTCTGCCACTTAAGCATATATACAATTTTTATTTTTATTTTATTTATTTATTTATTTATTTATTTATTTTTTGAGACGGAGCCTCGCTTTGTCACCCAGGCTGGAGTGTAGTGGCATGATCTCTGCTCACTGCAAGCTCCGCCTCCCGGGTTCACGCCATTCTCCTGCCTCAGCCTCCCGAGTAGCTGGGACTACAGGTGCCCGCCACCATGCCCAGCTAATTTTTTTTTTTTGTATTTTTAGTAGAGACAGGGTTTCACCATGTTAGCCAGGATGGTCTCGATCTCCCGGCCTCATGATCTGCCCGCCTTGGCCTCGCAAAGTGCTGGGATTACAAGCATGAGCTACCATGCCCAGCCACATACAACTTTTAAGAGAAAAACTCCAATGACTAGAAGATTTTAATTCGTTCAAATATTGTTTCTGTATTTCATTCACTGCTTTTGTTATAAAATGATCATATATAATCAAAATTATAAAATATATACGATGAAAAAATAAAAGGGCTTTCCTGTGTTTAATTTTTTCAACTTTTGTATTTATTTTATATACTTTTACTATTTCATCTATGTATATGTGTATATATATATACACATATAGATATATATATCTATGAGATATACACACACACACACACACACATACATATCTGTCAAATGCTCTACCCTTTACTTTTGGAGTTTTTCCTTGTATAAATGTGGTATCTATTTTAGCTTGCTACTCTATGTCTGTTATCTATGTATCTTCCTATTCATGTTGTCATTCTTTCATACTGAATTTAATACATTTTAACTTGCTGTTCAATTCCATAAATTGGTTTCTTATGTTTAGTGTGCTGCCCATGACTTGCATTATTTCATTTTTAAAAATTTCTCCAACTGTGTTTTTATCCAAGCATACATTTCTAATTTCACCTTTTCCCCAGTTCATAAATCCAGTGTCCTCTCACATCTTGAGAGTAACAATTTTCTAGTGGTCCTTACAACAGTTCTGTCAATATATTTGCTCTTGTTGTTCAGAGGTGTCTTGTTTTAAAAAATTGCTGAATCTCTTTATTTGGCTAGTGCTTTTTTTTTCTCTTTGATCAACCTTACATATGATAGTCTATAGGCTATCACACAGCTCAGGAGCTAGGAGGAATTCTATCACATTTATGACTCTCTTCTAATATTTTATATTGGCATAAATAGGGAAGAGAAAAGGTTAGACCTTCTGAAGTTTTATTTTTCTAGTGCAGAGGTCCTTTAGCCTCCATTTGCAGAGTAGAGTTGAGCTACAAATGGAGGCAGCTGTGGCAGATAGCTTCGTCTGTGGACCAGTGTGTTTTTCTTCCGTGTAATTCATAGCTGCTTCTGTTTCCTTCTCTCATGAATGTGTATTCTCAGCAGAAAATGTTTTTATTTTTGACCCCACTTTTTTTTTTTGACCCCATGCAGCAGCCTTGTTATGCCCTGAGTCAGTGTGTTAAGCACTGTGATGTGCTTCCCAGGTTTCCGTTCAAGAAAAGGTCTGTGGCCTTGGTCGTGAAGAGTGTGGTTAGCAAGCAGTTTTCAGGTATTAGTTCCTCCAGGAATTGCCTTAATTACACAGAGTGACTGTTCTCAAGGCCACAGCACTTCCCAAGAAGATCCATATTCAATGACTGACTGGTGTAAGATCATAAAGGCCTGACCATCTTGGCTCCCTTTAGGACAACTCAGAAATAGCATTCTAGCTCCAGAGCTTCCCACTGGGTTGGCTAAAGTCATAATTGGGCCTTCATCACAGCTCAACTTCTCCTGCATAATTTGCTGTCCTTCTCATCTCCTCCACAGATAATGTCCTCAAGAGACATTTCCTAATAAATATTATAAATATTAATCTCTGTCTCTCAATCTGCTTCCAGGGAAAACCCGTCCCCCAAAAATAAGTTATATGTGATGACTACAGTGTATTTTGTCTGTGTGTAAACTCATTAACTTTGTGAATTACAGAAGACACAGGCAGTATCAGGACTTGGCCCCAAATGATTGTCCAAGTCTACCTGCAACTGCTAGATATAATCTTACAGTTGGCAATAAAAATCCTCTAGTGATTTTGCCCATTTATTTTACTACTGGGCTCTTACTTTGCATATTATGAATAATGAGTTGATTGGTGTTTCTCTCAATCTAGGCTCTTCATATGCATATCTTGCAGAAATTCTGAAATGCTTTTGGCTTGCAGATGATACAGTTTTTCTAGTTTTTCACACTTTTATTGTTTGTCTCTCTATTTTTGTTTACCATTATTTTCACTGAAATTTTGGAGAGACAAAGTAATTTATTAGCATAAGCACAGATCACAATATTGAAACAGATTCCCTAATATATTCTTGATATCATCTTTTACCACTACCAAGAAAGAAAGTAAAGTGGAGCACTGAAATTTATTAAAACAAAAATGATCAACTATTGCAGTACCTTTTCTATATGCGCTAATGGTATTTGAATATCAAATTAAGATGAAATTATCTTAAAGTCACCTTGATTATAAAGATCTACTACTTCAAATAATAACTGCCCCAAATTTTCTAATTATGTTTGCTTTACTCAAAATAATTACAATCAAAATTAAGAGCTTAGATTTAAAAGTTATCCAATCTGGATATGAATTCTGGATCTTTTGCATACTAACTTCAAGATGTCCAACTGTAAAATGGAGATAAGAATAGCCTCATAGGATAATGGTAATAATTATGAGAAATAATGTATGTAATACTTTTAATCCAGTCCATAATACAGATAAGCATTTGATAAATGGCTTGTGTTGCCATTTTGTGATTATTGGGGGTGTTCATCTTTGTGTCTCATTTTGTTTAAATGTGAGAACAGATAATTCAAATATAGGAAGAATGCAATCCTTTAACGAAGCACAACTCCCTGAACTAAAAACTTAGATTCATACATGGCTTTGTCACAAGAGGAGTAACCTTGGGAAATTTTTTTTACATCACTGTTACTCAGGTTTCTTATGTGTAAGTGCAAATTACAAAAAAGCAAACCCGTGCATTACAATCTTTAGAGATTACGTGTTATGAGAATCAGATTGGAGAATATATTTGACACTGTCTTGAAAACATGTTAGTATTGTAGACATACAGAGTATCATCTTCAGCATTCTAATGTGTTTTCCTGATTTTTGTAAAAGTTCTCATCATATGATTCTGAGGTCAATCATGGTCTTGTTATTATATTAATACTGATTTGTCTTGCATATTTATGGGGGATAAGCATATAGAATGTCATAGTTACTAATATTTGAATTCAATAATTATTAATATATTTGGGATGTTACATTTAAAAATCATCTTATATACATCGAATCAATAGAACTATCAAGTTTTTCTTTAGTGACCCTTTGAGATAAGTGTGTGTGTGTGTGTGTGTGTGTGTGTATGTGTGTGTGGTAACAAGCAGCAGCAAAAAGGTGAATGGCTCATTAGGTTTTCGATCTAGTCTAGTCCTTGGACTAAACATCCCAGGAAACCATGGAAACAAGAACAAGAATTCAGTCACATGCTACAACAACACAGAGGTTTTTCAGCCTTCTAAAAAATCTTCCAAAATCTTTGTGGTGAACAAGGTGAAAAACAATTTGATGTTGTAAATGTTCTAATACATTCAAGGGAGTTAATTGCAAATGTTCTTCTGATCACCGAGGAAGACTTTTAGAAACCATTTTCCAGAATGTCAAGCTTGTGGCTAAACTATAAAACCTACAGCTGTTAGTGAAGAGAACACTTATTACTTGTGCTCTGTCTATACTGACAAGCAATCTGTTGGTAACTAAAGATTTTTCAGTCTATTTCAGCACTGAGTCTAGCACTGCTCATAAATGTGAATTCTAGTCATGAATGCAACAGGCCAGAAAGAACAGAATCAAGAAGAAGACTTGGGTGTTGAAGCCCTTGGCTCATATTGTCTCTCTATTATCTACTTATGATGTAATTTCTGTGAGTGTCTGTTTTCTTAACTGTTGATTGGTGATACTTATATCCTTACAGCTGTCATGCCATAATATAAACCATTGGGTGATATATATAGTGGTCAAAAAATAAAAGTTTATAATGACAATACCAAAATTGGGAGCCAGTAACAAATGTCATGGTTTTAGCAACTCATTTCAGAAAATAAAAACTTAGGAGTCCTCTACCTACATTGAATGTCTAGCTCATAGTTTGGAATGATAGAGTTAAACCATTTTTTTAATACTTTAATTTCTAGGGTACATGTGCACAACGTGCAGGTTTGTTACATATGTACACATGCGCCATGTTGGTGTGCTGCACCCATTAACTCATCATTTACATTAGGTATATCTGCTAATGCTATCCCTCCACCCTCCCCCCACCCCATGACAGGCCACGGTGTGTGATGTTCCCCCTCCTGTGTCCAAGTGTTCTCATTGTTCAATTCCCACCTGTGAGTGAGAACACGCAGTGTTTGGTTTTTTGTCCTTGTGATAGTTTGCTGAGAATGATGGTTTCCAGCTTCATCCATGTCCCTACAGAGGACACGAACTCATCCTTTTTATGGCTGCATAGTATTCCATGGTGTATATATGCCACATTTTCTTAATCCAGTCTATCACTGATGGACATTTGGGTTGGTTACAAGTATTTGTTATTGTGAATAGTGCCACAATAAACATACGTGTACATGTGTCTTTACAGCAGCATGATTTATAATCCTTTGGGTATATACCCAGTAATGGGATGGCTGGGTCAAATGGTATTTCTAGTTCTAGATCCTTGAGGAATTGCCACACTGTCTTCCACAATGGTTGAACTAGTTTACAGTCCCACCAACAGTGTAAAACTGTTCCTATTTCTCCACATCCTCTCCAGCACCTGTTGTTTCCTGACTTTTTAATGATCACCATTCTAACTGGTGTGAGATGGTATCTCACTGTGGTTTTGATTTTCATTTCTCTGATGGCCAGTGATGATGAGCATTTTTTCATGTGTCTGTTGGCTGCATAAATGTCTTCTTTTGAGAAGTATCTGTTCATATCCTTCACCCACTTTTTGATGGGGTTGTTTTTTTCTTGTAAATCTGTTGGAGTTCATTGCAGATTCTGGATATTAGCCCTTTGTCAGAGAAGTAGCTTGCAAAAATTTTCTCCCATTCTGTAGGTTGCCTGTTCACTGTGATGGTAGTTTCTTTTGCTGTGCAGAAGCTCTTTAGTTTAATTAGATCCCATTTGTCAATTTTGGCTTTTGTTGCCATTGCTTTTGGTGTTTTAGTCATGAAGTCCTTGCCCATGCCTATGTCCTGAATGGTATTGCCTAGGTTTTCTTCTAGGGTTTTTATGGTTTTAGGTGTAACATGTAAGTCTTTAATCCATCTTGAATTAATTTTTGTATAAGGTGTAAGGAAGGGATCCAGTTTCAGCTTTCTACATATGGCTAGCCAGTTTTCCCAGCACCATTTATTAATTAGGGAATCCTTTTCCCATTCCTTGTTTTTATCAGGTTTGTCAAAGATCAGATGGTTGTAGATGTGTGGTATTATTTCTGAAGGCTCTGTTCTGTTCCACTGGTCTATATCTTTGTTTTGGTACCAGTACCATGCTGTTTTGGTTACTATAGCATTTTAGTATAGTTTGAAGTCAGGTAGCATGATGCCTCCAGCTTTGTTCTTTTGGTTTAGGATTGTCTTGGCAATGAGGGCCCTTTTTTGGTTCCATATGAACTTTAAAGTAGCTTTTTCCAATTCTGCAAAGAGAGTCATTGGTAGCTTGATGGGGATGGCATTGAATCTATAAATTACCTTGGGCAGTATGGCCATTTTCAGGATATTGATTCTTTGTATCCAAAATCATGGAATGTTCTTCGATTTTTTGGGGTCCTCTTTTATTTCATTGAGAAGTGGTTTGTAGTTCTCCTTGAAGAGGTCCTTCACATCCCTTGTAAGTTGGATTCCTAGGTATTTTATTCTCTTTGAAGCAATTGTGAATGGGAGTTCACTCATCATTTGGCTCTCTGTTTGTCTGTTATTGGTGTATATGAATGCTTGTGATTTTTGCACATTGATTTTGTATCCTGAGACTTTGCTGAAGTTGCTTATCCACTTAAGGAGATTTGGGGCTGAGACGATAGGGTTTTCTAAATATATAATCATATCATCTACAAACAGGGACAATTTGACTTCCTCTTTTCCTAATTTTATACCCTTTATTTCTCCTGCCTGATTGCCCTGGCCAAAACTTCCAACACTATGTTGAATAGGAGTAGTGAGAGAGGGCATCCCTGTCTTGTGCCAGTTTTCAATGGAAATGCTTCCAGTTTTTGCCCATTCAGTATGATATTGGCTGTGGGTTTGTCATAAATAGCTCTTATTATTTTGAGATACGCCCCATCAATACCTACCTAATTTATTGAGAGTTTTTAGCATGAAGGCTGTTGAATTTTGTCAAAGTCCTTTTCCGCATCTATTGAGATAATCATGTGGCTTTTGTCTTTCGTTCTGTTGATATGCTGGATTATGTTTATTGATTTTCGTATGTTGAACCAGCCTTGCATCCCAGGGATGAGGCCCACTATATCATGGTGGATAAGCTTTTTGATGCGCTGCTGGATCTGGTTTGCCAGTATTTTATTGAGGATTTTTGCATCAATGTTCATCAGGGATATTGGTCTAAAATTCTCTTTTTTTTGTTGTGTCTCTGTCAGCCTTTGGTATCAGGACGATGCTGGCCTCATAAAATGTGTTAGGGAGGATTCCTTCTTTTTCTATTGATTGGAATAGTTTCAGAAGAAATGGTACCAGCTCCTCCTTGTACCTCTGGTAGAATTTGTCTGTGAATCCATCTGGCCCTGGACTTTTTTTGGTTGGTAGACTATTAATTATTGCCTCAATTTCAGAGCCTATTATTGGTCTATTCAAGGATTCAACTTCTTCCTGGTTTAGTCTTGGGAGTATATATGTGTCCAGGAATTTATCCATTTCTTCTAGATTTTCTAGTTTATTTGCATAAAGGTGTGTATAGTATTCTTTGATGGTAATTTATATTTCTGTGGGATCGGTGGTGATATCCCCTTTATCATTTTTTATTGCGTCTATTTGATTCTTCTCTCTTTTCTTCTTTATTAGTCTTGCTAGTGGTCTATCAATTTTGTTGATCTTTTCAAAAAACGAGCTCATTGATTCATTGATTTTTTGAAGGGTTTTTTATATCTCTATCTCCTTCAGTTCTGCTCTGATCTTAGTTATTTCTTGCCTTCTGCTAGCTTTTGAATGTGTTTGCTCTTGCTTCTTTAGCTCTTTTTAATTGTGATGTTAAGTTGTCAATTTTAGATGTTTCCTGCTTTTTCTTGTGGGCATTTGGTGCTATAAATTTCCCTCTACACACTGTTTAAATGTGTCCCAGAGATTCTGGTATGTTGTGTCTTTGTTCTTGTTGGTTTCAAACAACATCTTTATTTCTGCCTTCATTTCGTTATGTACCCAGTAGTCATTCAGGAGCAGGTTTTTCTGTTTCCATGTAGTTGAGTGGTTTTGAATGGGTTTCTTAATCCTGAGTTCTAGTTTGATTGCACTGTGGTCTGAGAGACAGTTTGTTATAATTTCTGTTCTTTTACATTTGCTGAGGAGTGCTTTACTTCCAACTATGTGGTCAATTTTGGAATAAGTGCGATGTGCTGAGAAGAATGTATATTCTGTTGATTTGGGGTACAGAGTTCTGTAGATGTCTATTAGTTCCACTTGGTGCAGAGCTGAATTCAATTCCTGGATATCCTTGTTAACTTTCTGTCTCATTGATCTGTCTAATGTTGACAGTAGGGTGTTAAAGTCTCCCATTATTATTGTGTGGGAGTCTAAGTCTGTTGGTAGTTCTCTAAGGACTTGCTTTATGAATCTGGGTGCTCCTGTATTGGGTGCATATATATTTAGGATAGTTAGCTCTTCCTGTTGAATTGATCCCCTCACCATTATGTAATGGCCTTCTTTGTCTCTTTTGATCTCTGTTGGTTTAAAGTCTGTTTTATCAGAGACTAGGATTGCAAATCCTGCCTTTTTTTGTTTTAAATTTGCTTGGTAGATCTTCCTCCATCCCTTTATTTTGAGCCTATGTGTGTCCCTGCGTGTGACATGGGTCTCCTGAATACAGCACACTGATGGGTCTTGACTCTTTTTCCAATTTGCCAGTCTGTGTCTTTTGATTGGAGAATTTAGTCCATTTACATTTAAGGTTAATATTGTTATGTGTGAATTTGATCCTGTCATTATGATGTTAGCTGGTTATTTTGCTTGTTAGTTGATGCAGTTTCTTCCTAGCCTTGATGGTCTTTACAATTTGGCATGTTTTTGCAGTGGCTGGTACTGATTGTTCCTTTCCATGTTTAGCGCTTCCTTCAGGTGCTCCTGTAGGGCAGGCCTGGTGGTGACAAAATCTCTCAGCATTTGCTCTTCTGTAAAGGATTTTATTTCTCCTTCACTTACGAAGCTTAGTTTGGCTGGATATGAAATTCTGGGTTGAAAATTGTTTTCTTTAAGAATGCTGAATATTGGCCCCCACTCTTTCTGGCTTGTAGAGTTTCTGCCAAGAGATCTGCTGTGAGTCTGATGGGCTTCTGTTTGTGGATAACCCAAGCTTTCTTTCTGGCTGCCCTTAACATTTTTTCCTTCATTTCATCTTTGGTGAATTGACAATTGTGTGTCTTGGAGTTGCTCTTCTTGAGGAGTATCTTTGTGGTACTCTATGTATTTCCTGAATTTGAATGTTGACCTGCCTTGGTAGGTTGGGGAAGTTCTCCTGGATAATATCTTGCAGAGTGTTTTCCACCTTGGTTCCATTCTCCCTGTCACTTTCAGGTACACCAATCAGACGTAGATTTGGTCTTTTCACATAGTCCCATATTTCTTGGAGGCTTTGTTCATTTCTTTTGACTCTTTTTTCTCTAAACTTCTCTTCTCACTTCATTTCATTCATTTGATCTTCAATCACTCATACCCTTTCTTCCAGTTGATCGAATCGGCTACTGAAGCTTGTGCATTCATCACATAGTTCGTGTGCCATTGTTTTCAGCTCCCTCAGGTCATTTAAGGACTTCTCTACACTGGTTATTCTAGTTAGCCATTCATCTAATCTTTTTTCAAGGTTTTTAGCTTCTTTGCCATGGTTTCGAACTTTCTCCTTTAGCTCGGAGAAATTTGATCCTCTGAAGGCTTCTTCTCTCAACTCATAAAAGTCATTCTCTATCCAGCTTTGTTCTTTTCCTAGCGAGGAGCTGCGTTCCTTTGGAAGGGGAGAGGCGCTCTGATTTTTAGAATTTTCAGCTTTTCTGATCTGTTTTTTCCCCATCTTTTTGGTTTTACTACCTTTGGTCTTTGATGATGGTGACATACAGATGGGGTTTTGGTGTGGATGTCCTTTCTGTTTGTTAGTTTTCCTTCTAACAGTCATGACCCTCAGATGCAGGTCTGGTGGAGTTTGCTGGAGGTCCACTCCAGACCCTGTTTGCCTGGGTATCAGCAGCGGAGGCTGCAGAACAGCAAATATTGTTGAACAGCAAAAGTTGTTGCCTGATCGTTCTTCTGGAAGCTTTGTCTCAGAGGGGTACCCAGCCATGTGAGGTGTCAATCTGCCCCTACTGGAGGGTGCCTCCCAGTTAGGCTACTCAGGGGTCAGGGACCCACTTGAGGAGGCAGTCTGTCCATTCTCAGATCTCAAACTCCATGCTGGGAGAACCACTACTCTCTTCAAAGCTCAGTTGGAAATGCAGAAATCACCCATCTTCTGCGTCACTCAGGCTGGGAGCTGTAGACTGAAGCTGTTCCTATTCGGCCATCTTGGAACCGCCGCCATGTTAAACCTTTTAATACCCTTTTTTTTTCCTAAATTGGGTATTTAGGTATTAATGTTTGATAGTAATATGAAAACAATTTATAAAGTAATGTTTTGAATGCTGTTAATTACATTTGAGACTGTAAAAAAAATGTAAAAATTTATTTATTTATTCATTTTACTTATTACATTCTTCTTACATTGAATTGCTATATATTTCCTTGTGGTTTTCACATTTGTAGTAGTTAGTTTCAGGGGTCTAGCTTTCAAGATATTTTTTAAGCCTTCAAAGTCAATGTTTCAAAATAAATTCAAGAACATTCACAACAGTAGACTTCCTTATACTCAATTTTTCATTGAGAACTTTCAGAAGTTCTCCATAGCTTTCTGGTTCATGGCACATTCATGAGAAGTTTGTAAAATGAAATGAAGTAAAGAAATTAGAATGAGTCATTGTAATAAGTAAATATTGCATTTACTTTCTCGATCAAATCCTCCTATATTTTATTGTATACATAGCACTGTCACTGATAACATTGATATTTAATCCAAACATTGCTGGGAAGTTTAGGATCCAAGAAGACCCTAAGTAATTCTGTGAAGAGTTTGTTCTCATTAGGGTGGAGAACTCCTCACTGATAACTCTGTACCTGTACCCTGGTTATGATGAAAACAGAAGGGGGCATGGGCATGTGCCAATGTGCCATTTAACATAATGAATGTCCCTCAGTGGAGGAGTTCCTCAGCTCTCTGAGAAGGAACACGTGAGTCTGCCGCATGCAGAGAACCCTCTGGAGTCATTTAATGCTATTCAACCTATGAGTAGTGATGTAAGCCTCACATCTTGGCCATTTCCTGCGAAGGAACTGATTCTGTGGAGTTGGAAGGATGCTGATCTGATCCCAGGTTTTCAGAATTTTGGACTGAATGTTTTCATCCGTCCATATGTAGTTGCTGCTGTTGTTGTTTTACCTATAATTTTATTCAGAGTCAATTCATGATTTCTATTTGTAGTTCCTATCTGATAAATTTTACTGATGCCTCAGAAGGTATTGGGTGTTCTTAAGGATTTTATCCTCTTTCTAAATAACTAAAATTACCATTTACTATTAGCTGATTTTGTCTGCAGATGAGCACATTGAATCTTTTCATTGGAAGCTGAGCATAGATGTGGCAAATAAAAGATTTATTTATGTCTTTTTAATTTACTTTGTGATTGGCTACTTAAATGATGAAAAAAGATATCCCCCCTTTTTTTGCACATGAAAGACCTATAGCATTTGGAATATTATCCAGGTTCTGTTCCAGTAAGATTTCAGGATATGGTATTTTTAGTCATGATATTTTCAAGTCTACAGAAACAATAGACAGGAAAGTAAGAACTAAAATAGTAAAAAATATTAAAGTTTGAAAATAAAAGGAAAGCTCACTGTGTTTTTTAGTTATAAGAAATCAGACATAGTCATGTGAAAACTGAAGCATTAAGTCCAGTTCTTTGGTGTTTCTTAATAGAAAAACTAAATCCATAAATAGAGAAAATGCATTTAACATATTTTTAAAATAATTATCTCCAGAATCCTGAACTTCTTGTTGCTAATATAAAGTTAATAAAAACAATTTTCATAATGGAAAAAAGTGTATAAATATGTTGGACAGAGTCATCAACCTCAAAACAATCATCCCAGGCTAGGCAATGTGTCTTAGTCTAAAAGCAACCTTCTAGGCTACTTTTAGAATATCCTTGTTATTAACAAGTCACGGCACTAGAAGACCTAAGTTTTATGTAAATTTAATCTGGCCAATTTGAAAGACCTAGCACCTTTCTTTAGAACAAAAATGTGTTAGTTTCCATCTTTATTAAAGTCAGCTCTTGATTATAGAAATTTTTGGATTTGCAGTATGAAATATATACATATATATCATATATGTATTGATAAAATACAGATAAGTAGATATGGATGTGTTTTGTGTTATTTATATGTAATAGAATCTTTTCAAGTGCTTTTTAATCCTTGCTAATTTTCAATGTTAGTTACCAAGGAAGAGTGTACCTACATTAATTTTTGGATTTGACAGAACTAACTTTTAAAATTTCTTATTATTTTTTCGAATAATGAATGGTTTATAATTTCTCCAGTATGCATATGGAAAACACAATAGAACAAACTTTTGTTCAATCACAAATTTTGTTTAGTCACATACATTTATTCCAACTGACTGCGGAAACTCATGCCTGAAGAGTCAAGGTGACATTCAATGGCGTCATAGCAACACATACAGTGAGGAGGCAGCTATTTTTGTGCTACTTTTTTCATGAAACTCTCAGAACCAGGTTGTATGTATATCCATGCAGATAAGTTATTTATTTCATCCAACATCGAAATATAATTTAGTATGACACAACTACACAGCTGATTTTTTTAAGCCTGTGATATTGAAAACAAAAACACCTTCAATCATTAACCTAGTAGTGGATGAAGTCCAAATGGTATCTTATTCAATTATCACTTATTAAAAATTAATCCACCTTAACATGAAACTGACCCTTGAAGTAACTCATTCTTATTTTTTAAAAAAGTTAATTGGACAAATTTTTGTCTTATATTTCTTTGGCAAGTATAATCCATTATCTGCAGATATGACTAGCAGATTTAGGCATAGACAGCAAAACTTAAATAATTTTCCAGGAAAAAAAAGAGTGAATAAAAATACAGTAAATTGAGAAAAATAATGAAGAGGTGCATCAGTTGTGTCATGTCAGACTAAGTGTTCTCAATATTTACCTCAGTTACTGCTGAGCTAGCATGTCTCTGTTGTAGATAATTGAAAAGTTGACAACACTAGCATAGCTTTATTTCTAAACAAATAAAACTCAACAAAGGCATAATTTAAGCTCACAATGCTTCTTATGACCATTGGCTATGCTCAAAAACTTGAAGTAAATTTTCTGGGCAGCTGCCACATTCACTCCAGGACTGGTTCAGTTCTGATAGATATTTACTGGGAAATAGATTTACCTGGGCAGATATTAATATCTATAATATATATCTATAATAGAAATGTCACGTAGTAGCAGTGTAATGTCTATACCAACCTGCATTTTATCTATCTTCTTCCTCCTCCACTTCCCTCCCAATGTTCTACACCTACTCCTTCTTCTTCCCTTTCCCTTTCTGTCTCTTATTTTCCTTAAAACTATGCTTCTGAGTCTGTGTTGATCTGAATGTCTCCCATAATTCATGTGTTAAAACTTAAGAGCCAAATTACTAAGAGGAGGGGACTTTAGGAGCTGATTCATTGATGAAGGCTTTGCCCTCGTGAATGGGTTTTAAGCTCTTTGTAAAACACACTTCACATAGCATTCTGCCCTTTTTGCTCTTCTGCTCTTTCACCATGTGAGGACACAGCACGTGTCCCCTCTGGAGGATGCAACATTCAAGGTGCCATTCCAGGAGCAGAGACTGGGTCCTCACCAAACACTGAACCTGCTAGCTTTTTGATCTTGGCTTTCCCAGCCTCTAGATCTCTGAGAAATAAAATTTTATTCTCTATAAATTACAAATTTTGATACCTGCACTACCATGCTAACTGTAGCACTTGACACAATGGCAAAAATATGGAACCAACCTAAGTGTCCATCAATAGATGAATGGATAAAAATATGTGGTATATATACACACAATGAAGTACTATTTAATCATAAAAAAGAATAAAATTAAGTCATTTGCAGCAACATGAATGGAAATGAAAGTCAGTATGCTAAGTGAAATAAGCCAGACACAGAAAGACAGATATCACATGTTCTAACTCGTAAGTGGCAGCTAAAAAAGTTGATTTTATGAAGGTAGGGAGTAGAATGATAGTTACCAGAGGCTGGAAAGACTGTATGGGTTGAGGAAGGAATAAAGAGTTCATGGGTACAAATGTACAGTTAGATAGAATAATTTCTAATTTTTGATAGCAGAGCAAGATGACTATAATTAACAATAATGTAACACGTATTTCAAAATAGCTGGAAGACTAAATATTCCCAACACACAGAAATGATAAATACTTGAGGTTATGGATACCCTAAATACTCTGACTTTATCATTATACATTCTAATCATGTAACAAAATATCACATGTACCCCATAAATATGTACAAGTATTATGTGTCATTAAAAATAAATTTAAAAAATTCCCAAATTGTGTTATTTTGTTACAGCAGCTCAAACAGAGTAAGACACAGTCCTTCAGGAATGCTTCCTCCTAAGTATTTACTAGTCAGGTATATTCACAGG
The DNA here is from genome assembly GCF_000001405.40 of Homo sapiens. NCBI lineage: Eukaryota > Metazoa > Chordata > Mammalia > Primates > Hominidae > Homo > Homo sapiens. The sequence goes on along the minus strand of NC_000002.12, from coordinate 77,131,752 downwards.
AAGTTTATTGAAAAGGGGAGGCTTTAGATCTTACCTTTACAAATAGCATTCTAAATTCTTCCCCATTGTCCTGAGCCATAATTTCCCCCATAGTGTAAAGCCCCAGAGTAGCCTTATCTTTGACAAAATGAAATAATAGAGAAATTTGGGTTTGGCTCTTTCCCACCTTCCTATGCAATATATTACTCTTGTAATTGTGTTCTGATAACACACACCATACGAACATTAGAACCACAGTTTTGGTTCAGGTAAGATCCCAAACACATGTGTTTATATTACTGAGCAAAAGACAGGCTAACTCCATCAATTCTGTTTTATGAATTTAACACAACAGATTATCAGAGCCAATTAGTCAGTGATGGAAACACTCGTGCTTAAAAGACTTGGAATTTCAGGAGAGCTGATATTTCTTTCTAGCTTTCACATTTAGAAGGGAAGGGCCTTTGTTTAGTCTCTCGTCTCAAATGGGAATAACACTAATACCTACCCCATAAGTTTCTGTTATGATTAAATGCCTATAAATCATTTACTTGCGGCTTTGTTTAGCACACATTCAGATATCAGTCTTCCTCTATTGTGTTATACGTACGAAAATAAAATAATAATAAAAATAGAACCAGGCCGGGCGCGGTGGCTGACGCCTGTAATCCCAGCACTTTGGGAGGCCGAGGCGGGCGGATCACGAGGTCAGGATATCGAGACCATCCCGGCTAAAACGGTGAAACCCCGTCTCTACTAAAAATACAAAAAATTAGCCGGGCGTAGTGGCGGGCGCCTGTAGTCCCAGCTACTTGGGAGGCTGAGGCAGGAGAATGGCGTGAACCCGGGAGGCGGAGCTTGCAGTGAGCCAAGATCCCGCCACTGCACTCCAGCCTGGGCGACAGAGCGAGACTCCGTCTCAAAAAAAAAAAAAAAAAAAAAAAAAAAATAGAACAAATAATTGGCCGGGCACGGTGGCTCACACTTGTAATCCCAGCACTTTGGGAGGCCGAGGTGGGCGGATCATGAGGTCAGGAGATTGAGACCATCCTGGCTAACACGGTGAAACCCCGTCTCTACTAAAAATACAAAAAATTAGCACAGAGTGGTGGCCGGCGCCTGTAGTCCCAGCTACTCTGTAGGCTGAGGCAGGAGAATGGTGTGAACCCGGGAGGCGGAGCTTGCAGTGAGCCGAGATTCTGCCACTGCACTCCAGCCTGGGCAACAGAGCGAGAGTCCATCTCAAAAAAATAAAAATAAAAATAATTATTTATTATAGTATATGTCTGACAAACAAAAATAATAACATTAGTTTTACTATGGAAATTTCTTCAAAAATACTCCATAGTGTACAAATAATAATTAAGTAAAGAAAATAAAGCTGTCTGCCACACCCTTAAACAATCCAAATAATGACATGGAAAACTAATAATGTTCCACCATTCTGGAGGAAAGAATATTGCCTTCTGGATAACCTGAACAATTGAGTAATGCCTACTTGTTAATAAAGTTGCGTTTTCATGGAGTGAATAATACATGCAATTATACTTATACTTTTTGTGTGAAGTTCAATGTTTTTCTCTAACTAACTTCCCTAGTAATAGATTTATTACAAAGCACTGGGATGCATTAAAAATGTTATGGCAAATAACTCATATTCTTTGCCCTGAGCCACACTTCAAACATCTTTGTTCTTTTCCTTAGTCTTTGGATACTAAACATAGATTAAGCCTAGTATGTCACAAGACTAAAAGCTGCATTAATAATTATTTTCAGAAACAGATTAAAAGTTACTCAAGAAAAAAATGCTTGTTTTTATTCGTATTTTTAGGCACGTCACTCTCTCACACACTCTTGAATATGAAGAACTAATGAGCCCTCTATTATGTTTTTCCTAACATTACAGTTATGTGCTATACTCCCAAAGTTATACCTTATGTGATAGAGAGTCAGATTAAGTAATAATGAGGTAGACAAATTTAGGGAAACAGATTGTCTTAAGGAGAATTTAATAGTGAACACACCATCTGGGTCTGAAACAGGATGAATGAAAAGGCTTCTGAATGTTTGTTCTAGAACACTCATGATTGAAGACTTATAGATAAAGCATCTGAGACCTGTTTCTCATTTACATCATTCTCATTTGTAAAGTAGAGGCAAATATCTTAATGAAACTAGAAAATGGGATGCATTTACTGATATAAACAATATGTGATGCTTAAAGCCACTGATGAGGATGAAATGAAGCATATTTTTAGAGTTTCTGATAACTCCCTTTTCTGAAGACAAAGTGATTAGTAGATTCAAATAATTTGTGTAAAGATCATACAGCAAGACATACTCTAATGAATATGAACCTCCAAAGTGTAATATTAGTAGAACTTTTTGGAGGAAGACTCTGTGACAGATGGTATCATAACTGTAACTGCTTAGGCTGTGGCAGTTTGAATTGTAATATTTAACATTTCAAAAAGCTTGAAATCATTGATTACCACTCTGGGTTGCTAATAGTCACTTTCATTAGGCAATGCCTTACACCAAAGAAAAAAACTAATGGGTCTCGCTTCATAGCAGACAGTAACAATACTGATGTAGTCAGTCACTTACTTGACATATACATGAGTTCATGGTGCTACCATGTTCATATAAAGATTTGCCTGGAAGCTTTGTGTAAGAGACTCCAAAAGACAAAGGAGATTCAAAGAGAAAAATGTGTATTATTTGATTGGAAATACCTGTTTGCAAGGACTTGGTGGAAAATAAAACATGACATGAATAAAAATATGAGAAACATAAATTTTAGTACACTTTTCAAATATAAAAATGTCAGCGTAGATGGGGTGTGGTAGCTTATGCCTATAATCCCATCACTTTGGGAGGCCACGACAGGTGGATCACCTGAGGTCAGGAGTTTGAGACCAGCCTGAGCAACATGGTGAAACTCCATCTCTGCTAAAAATACAAAAATTAGCCGGGCATGGTGGTGGGCGCCTGTAATCCCAGCTACTTGGGAGGCTGAGGGAGGAGAATCGCTTGAACCCGGGAGGCGGAGGTAGCAGCAAGCTGAGATCACGCCATTGCACTCCAGCCTCCAGCCTGGGGGACAAGAGTGAGATTTCGTCTCATCAGCATAATTCTTCTTTCTTATTATAATGCACAATGAAAACTTTCTTTTGATGATAAGAGGAAAAATAGGGTTGGAAAGATTTTGTATAGTTTTACTAGATGGGACTTACCGTTGTGAATACTGAGGTAGCATTGCTTATTGTGTCAGAGTCTGACTGTCACAAATACATAGGCCCAGGTACATCAATGGAAAAAGTTTTAGTTTTAAATTTGATGGGACATTTCTCTATCTATCTATCTATCTATCTATCTGTTACAGAATTTCAAAATTTTGGCCCTATCATTGTTATCTTATGCTTCTAAATCCAGATATCAAATTCCAAGTAAAGAAAACAGTCAAATCATACCAACTGCTTTAAAATGACATTTTATGTCATGAACTTTCTAATTTCCATTTTTTTCCCTTACGTCATCTGTATTATCCCAAAATTTAGTGCTTGAAACAACACTTATTTTATTTGTTTCTGAGGCTTAAAAACATTTGTTTTGTTTTGTTTTTTTTTTTGAGACAGAGTCTCGCTCTGTCACCCAGACTGGAGTGCAGTGGCGCGATCTTGGCTCACTGCAACCTCTGCCTCCTGGGTTCAAGCAATTCTCCTGCCTCAGCCTCCTGAGTAGCTGGGATTACAGGCGTGCGCCACTACGCCTGGCAAATTTTTGTATTTTTAGTAGAGACAGGGTTTCACCATGTTGCTCAGGCAGGTCTCGAACTCCTGACCTCATGATCCGCCCGCCTTGGCCTCCCAAAGTGCTGGGATTACAGGCGTGAGCCACTGCACCTGGCCGGCTTAAAAAACATTTGTTTCTGAGGCTTAAGAATCTAAGGGCTATTTAGCTATGTGATTCGAGCTGTCTAACTTTCCATCAGGGATACTACTGTCTTTGAGTACTTAACTGGGGTTGCAGAGTTGACTCCAAGACCATGCATGTGTTTTTTTCAGGAGACTTGTTCTTGTCACAACTGGGCCATTGGTAAGACTGCTTATAATATTTCTTTCAAAACAGTAAGTGATGACAAAGAGTGGTTAGAGGGAGAGAGAGAGAAGAGAGAGAGGGGATTACCAAGATGGAAGCTGCAGTCATTTCTAATCTCAAATGTGCCATATCATCATTTTTATAATATTCTGTGGGTCATGTAGACCAATTTTGGTACAGTGTGGAAGGAACCTACAGATAGTGTGAATATCAAAAGCCAAGGATCATTGAGGGCTATCTTGGAAATTAGCTATCAGATCATTTACTAGTTTATTGATTCATGTGATTTATGCAATTAAATTTAAATGAGTATTTTAAATTAATTTATTCCCTGAATGTCTGTTAAGTGCATACCAGGAGCCATATGAAAATTACAAGACAGCCATGTAACAGAGTATTTAAAAGTATGTGAGAAAAGCTACAGCTGTTTTGGGCTCAAAATCCTATGAAAGCACTAACGCTTGGGTGACCAGAAAAGACAAACATCTGAGAAAAACAGACATTTGAGTAAGTGACATCTAAACTGAGGAAGAATAAATAAAATAAAAATTTTAGAAATGAAAACAAGAAACTATGACATATCACATAAGTGTTTTCAGTATATTTAGAGGATAAAAAAATATTAAGCATGGGAATGGGAGGGAGAAGTATTTGTACATGAAGACAGTATAGCAACCTTCCCAAAGCCAGAGGAAGAATTAAAAATAAATTCCAGGACCTTTCACAAATCCTTGGCTTTGCATAATGTAATTCTCAGCTGCTCTCTGAAAAGTAGAAAAAAATAATGGTGGGTAAATATCTTTGAACCCAAAGGAATGCAACCCTCTCCTGAAAAAAGCCAGTGATGTGCACATCTTGCAGGGATTGAATGCTTGATTTTCCTTTGATCTTGCTGAAAACTTTCGTATACTTTGTTCTTCCACTTCCAGGTGTTTCTAAATCAACCCCCTAGGACTCCATTAATACCATCAAACCTTTCCAGGAATGACCTGACAAGACCCCTATGTCACTTCCCATTTCTCTTTACAACGCATATTTCACTTGTAGGATGAGAGAAATCCATATAAAGTGAGTTTAAAGAATTGATTTCCCATGAAGGGAACCTGTCTTTCTTAAATAGTCTCTGTTGTAATGGAATCACCATTATACGTAGCTTTGGGATGCTGGATGCAGAACTTTTTTCCTCTCATTGCACAGGGTGAAATATATCACACTAGAGGCAAAGAGAAGATACAATAAATGATACAGAAACCTAGAACACCTTCCAAAGCTTTTCTCTACTTCTCCTTGCTTTATACCCCATAACCTCAACATGAAATTCCTGTATATATTTCTTTATTAATTTGTCATATTTAGTGATGCTTAAATATAAATGTATAACTTTCTCCAATTTTTGGTCTGTCTCTTAGAATATTATTTATAATGTATTCCTTTATTGGACTATGTCATCAAGTTTTAAATAAACAATAATCAAGGCAAGTTAGTTTTACAACATAAAGGTACAGTGTGCTTTGAAAAAAATAATTGAGTGGGGGTAAACAAATAAGAATTTCATAAATTAATTTTCTTGAGACTGTAACAGTTATTTTAATATCTTATTGCAGAAAATGCATTTATTTCACTTCTACCCTATATATATAAAGTGCACATATGTACATGACCCAGAACTTATATATATATGTATGGTCAGTCTAGTATATGTCTATATATACACACATACTGCATATATATATATACACATACATAGTATATATATATATATATATTCAACGCATATATATTTACACATATGTGCACACACATTTATGTGTGTGTGTAATATGCAATCCCTTACTTATTACTAAATTTAGGGCTCTGTTACTAACTTCAAATGAAATTTTTATGATGCACAACTGTTTTTCAAATTCAATAAATTAGGAATGGTATCTAAATTTTCTAGTGGTGAGGTTAAATTTGTTTATATTTTGATATATTTCTCAAATCACATGCACACACTAAGGACATAAGAGAATGCATGCACTTTGGTTTTAATTGTGGAGACAAAAAGCACAATTAGATAACAACGACCATGCTAAGAAGCATCTTAAAAATGGTAAACTTATTAGCACAGAACAAGATGGTCCTCGTTTACTTTTATTGCCTTAGTGTAATTATCCTAATGACAAAGGAGGTTTGACTTGAGCGTTTAGGATGGAAAAAGGTAGGAGACTAACAACAATGCGTGGTCTATCAAATGCATGCCAGTCTTCACACACTCCAATGACAAAAGTGAGAAAGTTGGCCCTAGTAAGGACTGTACTCATGTGCACCTCTATCTGTGATGGAAACCTTTCTAGAATATCTTTTTCATCAGATGTCATATACAATTATAGAAAGAGTGTTTACAAAATCTTTAAACATCATCTAAGAACGAAGGACAATTATTTCACAGATGACGTCCTAAATATGGATTTCTTTTGTGAAGACAGAAGCTTGTGATCCACTAAGACAGCTAGAACTCCAGCAGATGTGTGTGGCCAAAAATTTTAGAAGAAAATTCTACTACAGTCTATCCATGTTGGCACTGGAAATCATTTTGGATCTTTTTCAATCAGTTTTCCATCTCAATTAAAAATAGTAATTTATTTTTATGACTTTTATGGAACTATGATTCAAAAATAGAGAAAGAAGCAACTGACACACTTGATGCTTTTTCAAAACATGTCCTGCTTAACTAGGCTCAGAATGCTGTGAAAGCTACACATCTCTGTATGCTTATTCCTGTTTCCTGAAGACATATCTGCAGTGCACGTGGGACCACAGACACGGTTTTGAAAAGTCAGCACAATGTTAAGTATTGACCTGAAGAAGATGGATATCATGGACTACATCACAGCCCCAAACACCATATTCCACAGAATATCTTGCTGCCATGCTCCATTGTCTGGAAAACACGCGACGCACATCATGCTGATGGCTAGAGGAATACAAAACTGAATCAAAAATATTATTATTCCCTTCAAGGACTGGAAATATTGAGAATGACTCCAATATTGCCAATTTAATCAAAGGTTGACAAGAAGTTACAGAAGTAGCATGAATCATCTGGTGTGATGATGTGACTTTGATACCAAGAGACATCCACCTTACCTTGTTGAAAACTTTCATTTAGCACAAAAATTGGCTCATTGACAGTAAGTTTTCTTTAAAACTTCTGAACTCGTGCTGCTCTGTGCCAAAATTTACAACCAATTTTGTCTTGAATTTGGCGGGAGGGGGGCTAAAATACCGCTTTGTCTGTGTCTTCAGTGTCACAGCCTAGAGAAAGTCATGTCATTTTGATTCTGTTTTGACATTGTCCTGTGTGTATTTAACTTGGTTCCTGTTCTTGTTGCTCTGTATAAGCCCCAGGCCACTTCCACATTCTATCAGTCTCTTTGCTCCTTTCTTCATCGTCGTCCTAATGTTTTTGGATCTCTTTGTTTTTTTGCCCCAGTTGCTCCAGATATAGGACTCAGAATTGAGCTTGTCCATTCCTCCTATGATTAAATTTTTTTCCTTTTCTAATCTCTATGGCTTTATTTTCCTTGAAGTTAGACATCCCCAAGGCTATGACTAGAAAAATGAGTAGATCACTACTTCACTCACAAACACACATTACTGATCCTTAGCTTCTTACGCTGTCTACATTAGCCCATAGTGGAAACATTTCCTTGGCTCACCAACTTCTGCATTTTCCTTATTTCCACTGTCTAACCATCCTTGCAATGGCATGTAAAGTGTGATATTTTCTTATATCCTCCCAACGTCCCAGGAAGATGAGCTAGGAATTCTGTCACTTACTGTCAAGGCCAAGGATAATGGGAGAAGCCTTATGTTTGTGTAGTTATGCCTTTTGAGTTTAAATGGAATACTAGTGTATATGTCATGGAAATCATTTGTAGTGCCATCCAATATGCATTAATATAACAAATATTAACTTCTGATGTGAAAACAAAATTTAAAAAGCAAAGAAATAAAATGATATAAATTAAGAATTTTTAAAAGAGAAAAAACCTCCTTTTTATTAAAATGTCACTCAAAAAAGCGATTTTTTTCCTTCTTTCTCTCTGTGTTAAAAATGATAGTTAAGGCCAAGATTATATATTGGTTTTATGAATCTTTGCTATTTTAGGTTCTTAACATCACTGTTATTTGCAAAGGCATAGTCCCACAAAAATACAGTTGAATACATAAACATGGGGGAAATATAGCAACATTGTCATTTAGTTTTCTACATAGTTCAGTTGGGGTTTCCTCTGTTTTTACGTAATTAAGGCTGTAAGCCAGAAAAGAGGAAGAAATATTATTTAATTAAATGGAGTTCAATAGGAAAGTTGATATACTTTAGTGTAAAGATATAAAAAGCATGCCAAACTCAAGTTAAAAGACTGAATTATGAATTAAATTTCTCTCTCTCTCTCTCTCTCTCTCTCTCTCTGTGAGACTGAAGCTGAACACAAAGGAACTTTTTTTTGGCTTGTTCATTTGCTTATGTATTTTTCTTGCGTCAACTGATCTATTTCCTTTCATGATTGGTTCCCACTATGGAAATTAATTTAGGCATTCAGTGTTAGAAAAAAAATAAAACTTTTTTTTGCATATTTGAATTGATCCTAATCATTTTTCTTTGTTCTTAACACATTGAGCCATGCCAGTAATTTTTATTATAGAGTCTCATCATTTTCTGACTCTTGGAGGAGATATGTGTAAAACTTGACGTGTCCTAAATAAATAAAAGCCTTGAGGAAATCAGAGCCTGCTGAATCACTTGCAGAGATAAAATAACACATATAGTATTTTCAAGCTTCATTATTTCTCACTCATTATATATTGTGGAATTTCTTAGTTTTGCCTCTCCTTCAGTTTATTGTCCCATATTTTTTGGGAGAAGCTTTTTATTTGCATGATGTTCTGTAATTTATTTTTTAACTTGGTGAGCAGGCAGTCCCATGAGGAAAAAAATTTATGGTGAATAGCAGAGCTTTAGAATATTAACATCCAATTGCCTAATATCAGACTTTCTGAGCCACACATATGCAGATTGCAGAAATGGTGTGTGCATGTCCAAAATATATCATTTCAAAGATTATATATATGTGTATGTGTGTGTGTATATCTATTGTGTATATATATTATATATATGTGTGTGTATATATAGTATATATAGTATTTATGTGTGTATATATATGATTATATATGTGTATAATATGTATATCTATACACACACATATATATGTTTACATCTGGTGAATTCTGCAACATGTAGGTTTTCTTGAAGTAAGATAATTAAAAGAATAACAAAAGACAAAAATGTAGGATCATGTAACATTAGAACTCATTATTTTTAATTTTATGCTATACAAATATTCTTAATGTACTTGATGTTGCACTAAGGTCATAATCTGACTTACATATAGTATTAGATTTAAACAGTACATATTGAACTCAATTTAATAATTTTACTCAGGAAATGTTTGTGTGGTTGCCATTTATGAAACTTGATTGTTTAATATATCTAGCTGTTAGTATAAATGTTGTTAAAAGAAGTTTTCTAATATTTAATCATTCATAAAGTAATACATACTGGGTAGAATAATATTTATATATAAACATGTAAACATTGTTCATGTCTATGTCTTCTAAAACAACAATAGCAGTGGCAACCTAGGAAGTAATTGCTAATAATGATATTATAAATTTCTGCAAAATTACAAAATAACATTCAGAATAATTTCCAGACATTAATTTAAATCAGATTTATGATAAGTTATTACACTTGAAGATCCCACATTGCAATGGGAGGTCACCACACAGTGGTCTAAATCATTGCTTATCTTTCTCAAAAAGACGGTAACCTTAAATATCATCTCACTTGTTTGTTTTTACCAGATGGTAGAAAAGCGATTGGCTAATGTCATCTACCTAGGGAAATTGGACTACAGTCAAACTTCAAATTACGAAAGTCCAGTTAGCCATTCTGAATCCCTGGTTGTACAATAACATTTATGCTGCTTTATTTGTGATAATTTATTTGCACCAAAGCCATTTCTTATTTTCTGAACTATTTCAGTTTTATATATTTCATGGCATAAAAATCATCTATGTGTGTAAATAATACCTATCTACATTGTAAATTCAAACTTTGTGGTATTCCAGAGCAGTCAAATTTTAGATATGTGTTTTTAAATGTGAAGCATAACAATTAATATGTCTTATCTTAATACTTTGTTATTGCCTTAAAATGAGAAGTGCAACACTATTTATCCTTTGTTTGGGAAGAGGTAATTTATTATGCTATGTTCTTGTCTAAGTGCAGTTCAGATTCATTGAAAACATGTTCGTACTGATGTCATCTTTATAACAATGAAAAGCTGAGGATAAAAATCATTAGATATAGTTTTGTCTTTCAAATCCAGATATTTACTCTCATGTAAAACAAAATTTAGGATAATAGAGCTGTTGGAAGCATTAAATGAAATGTTGCATTCCTAATTTGCCTTTCGCATTTGTTTTTCTCCCTATTCCCCCAAAAAACTAATTCTTTTATCTAGACATGAGAGCTTGTTGTTAAAACTCCATTTCTTGTCTTATTCATCCTCTCGTCATTATCTTCCAAACAGTACCTCTGCACACACATAGCCCGTACACAGATACGTAGATCTACTGTGTTTCTTTTTTCAAGGTTTGCTTTAAAATCATTCCAAACACTCAGGGTTCTGCATTGAATGACTGTAGACTGCTGTATAAAGCCAAATTAAATTATATGTTCTCAGATTGTCAGAGAACAAGAAATGTTGGTAGAAAAAGGCTCTCCTCCACTGACACAAATACCATGCATCAGTGAAGTGAATGCAATATTTGGCTCTATCAGAGATGTCAAAGATATTTTTTCAATGTGGAGATTTTGTTTTTCTACCAAGATAAATATTGTCCTTTATAAAAATATATGTATTTTCAGCACTGTCAAGATATTTCTCAGTGGACTTGAGTCTAAGAAAGTGAGTTACAAAAGAAATGCTTCAGTCTGATTAGGAAGTATGCATCAGAAGCGTGAAATTACTTTAGTGACCTAGAAAATTAGTAAAGTATTTGAAAACCTTATGTAGCTTATTTCTGAATTCTTTAAAATGACTATTATAATATTTCCCTTTATATTATTGAACTCATGGCTTCAATAATTTATTTTCTCAAATTGCTTTCTTCAATCTTGAATAAAGCAAATCTTTTGAAATTCTCACTATCACCCTTCATCTCAATTTTTGCCCAAGTTCCAGACTGAGTTTAACTGTAGTATGTCTCCCGTTAGCAATCTATGTGATAATTTTCTAAATCATTTACAAAGTCATTTGAGAAACTTGAAGAATCACGTGGATGATAGATTTTCTGTTGGTTGAATATCTAGATGGTTCCCCATGTATTCCCGCTCTCTGGAAACTACTGATGAGTTCTAAGCACAAGAGATGTGAAATCAATCTGGACTGAAGCTTCCAAAAAAAACCATTTTCCAATCTTATAGCTCCTACCTTCCTTTCGAATGATGATTGTGAAGGCCAGAATAGTGATGGTATTTTCATAAGACAGAAATATCCTGGATCACTGAGTCACTACATGAAAGCTATCCTAGAGATCTGCCCAACCAGTAGCACAGTTTCCACGAGCAAAGCATAGGTATTTATGTGTTAGGGCATTGAGACTCAGAGGGTTATGTGTTACCTCAGCATACACGTAGGTTATCCTATTAATATACACTCTTCAGATACAATACATCCTAGACCAATTAACCCAGAATATCTTCACATTTCAGTTCCAGTCAGATCTAAAGAGTAGAAACGAAGCATGGAAGAGAGGAGTAAGTTACCCAGAATAGTGATATGTAGTGATATATATGTAATATGATATGTATGTAATTCTATGTATGTAAGCCACATTTCATTTGAAATGAAGCAGACTTATATCATTGGCTAGCTCTTTTTTACGATTCTCTAAATGATTTTGTTATCATTTGAATTTGTTTATAGGAAGTAAGCTCCAAGGGGCAGAAATCTCTCTTCATTGCTCTATCTTCAGTATCTCTCTTAGTATTTGTAGTACAGTAGGCACAACAAACATGACTTGCATAAATGGTTATTTGATAGCTATGCCTAAGAGAAAATTTCCTGGGACAGTGGTTGGGTTGAATTTTTATCTTAATTGCTCTTAGATACCTTCAGTAAAGATTCTTAACACCCAAGGAAGAAATTTTTGCTCCCAAACTGCAATGTGAGGAAACTTACTCAACTGGGAGAAAATTGTACCTTAACAAATTCTTAGAGAAAGATCAACACTCTTTTTAAACTAATAAATCAACGTCAATGAAGCAGTGTCTGTGCATGACAAATTTAGAAGCAGCAGAAGGAAAAGGAAGAAAGTAGACTCAAGAAATTCAAGAAAAGAGAAGATGGAAGTTAGAGTGGGGATGGGGGTGGTAGGTATACCACTAACAAAAGAGAGCATACATTGTATAGATAACTGGATGAGTTGGATTCATTGAAATTGTGGATTCTTCATAACATTTTTTGAAAGTGATGAACCTTCAAAAATTGGCTGGATATACACAAATTAAAATAATGGTAATCTTTTCTTACATTAACACTCTCTAGGTTGTGAGTACTATGCCAGGTGTGTTCTGCATAGAGTAATCCCATGCCTGGCTAGCTTTGGACATCTTGGTTTACATATGTTATCGCAGCATAATTATTAATTGCTCCCTTTCACAAAGTATCCTGATTAGAACAAAAATGTATATGGTCTACTCAGCTTTATAAGATTTTTTCACTTGATCTTTAAAGAATCTCCATGCCATTATTATTCCTATTTTTTGAAAGGTGAAAAATGGATGCCTAAAAATTTGAATAACTTGTCTCGGGCTCTCAAATGATTAATGAATAACAAATCAAGTAGCATGTCTCCATAATGTTTGTTCTTAATCTCTAAGGCTTGCTGCTTTCCTCTTCCCAGAAACATGTCTATTGCATTCAGGGATGATCATTCATTCACCTTGATAGACTCAATTTTAGTAGATTCAGCAATTATGCTTTAGCAAAATAGTCTCAGAAATAACTTTGTATAATGATACCTCAGCACTGTTGCATGCTCCATCCATCATTGGAAGATCTTGGGCATTAATAATAAGCAAGCATGACTGAAAGAAACTATGTGTCCCCGTCAACTCTTAAATCTCAGCAAATAATAAAAAATGAATTAGTGGCTTATCAGCTGCACTGATGCTAATAATGAGTATATCATTTTCCTTTGTGAAAAAAGTAGATACTTTTCTGAGTTTTGGCATTGTCTTTTTTTTCTCGATATTATGTCAGTATTAGCACTCAATGTTTGTAAGCCCAAAGTAAAATGTATTAAAGTTTGGAAGTTTGGCTTTTTTTCCCAAACAACGTGGCATGAAATGAGCCTTACTCTCAGTGGTGACGTCTCTACAAAAAAATCTACCAATTTCTAGTAGTGACAGCATTTGACAAAAGCTCTGGCCTTATAGAAATAAATGAAGTCAGTGTGATGAAGAGGCAGATTTCCTGAAGACAACAAATTTAATTCTTGTTATAGCATAAATTTCTAAATTTAGTGTACTTGGGAAATAGTTATTTACTTGTGAAATAAGCTATATATTTTGATAGTAATTTGCAGTGCACATTCACTGTGATGCTTGAATTTTGCAGATGGAGACCAAGTTATTCTATAATACAGGAATTCCATCTCCTCAAACAGCAGGAGGACAAATAAAGCCAATGAACTATTGAAATCTTAAAGCAGAAATAAGCTCCAGCACCTAGAGCAGGTCCAGGACCCATAAATGTTTTTAGGATGTCTGAGTAAATGAAGTCTCTTATGAGATTAAAAATAAACCATAAAAAGCTGTCCATATATATTTGTGTGTATACAATTTGTGAATTTCTTATATAATTAAACCTTAAAAAAATTAAATCAGCTGATTTTATTTGTTGCACGAATTTAAGTGCATAAATAAATGTTTATTTGACAATTTTATTTATTTATTGGTCATTTCTAACACAGAGGAACAAAAAGTTTTTAGATATTTGCCATGCCCATATGGAGCAGATAGGTTTTGGGGAAAAAAAAGAAAAGTAAGAAACAAGGATGGCACTTGAGTAAATGTTAACCTGGGGGTAAAATAATCACTGGATATTAGATATAATAAATAATGGATTTCTTCAATTTTTATAAGTAAAAATAGAGGTATATACCATATATTCATAAAACATGTAAGAGATAATATTTAAATACCTGTTCTAAGTTTTACAGCAAAAATCCTGTGACTTTTTGCTATCTATTTTTCTAAAATTTTATATTTCAAAAACTATTTTCTATTTTCCTTTTTGTTAATTACAATTATAGATATTTGAAAACATATGTCAAAATAGTCAAAAATAAATCTAATGTCCATCAACTAATGAATGATTCATAAACCATACAAAAGAATACCATTTAGCAATTAAAAGGAATAAACTTATGAAAACATGCTGTAAAATGGATAAACTTCATAACTATCATGCTCAGTGAAAGTTACTCAAAATATGAATCACATATTATTGATCCCATTTATATGACATGTCCAGAAAAGGCAAATCTATGAAGACAGGAAGTAGTTGGCCTGGGGCAGGGATGTGTGCATGTGTGTGTGTATATGTCTGTGTGTGTATTAACAGTTTATGTTCATGTCAAGAATATGCTTAAAGTGATTGATATTGATTGTTGCACAACTTGGTAAATTTACTACAACATCATTGAGTTGTACACTTCTTACTTGAAATGGACAAATTATATATGTAAAAATATTGATTGCTTTTGAAAACAGAAAGGGAGGTTGTTTGAGTGTATGGGGGAGTAGAAAGAAACTGTATTTGGGAAAAAATGGAAAAAAATAAAAGTAAGAGTCCTTACAATATGGAAAAATAAAGAGTGCTGAATCTTGTCAGGCTCTGGATGACTGTTTTTAGTCACTGGATTTCTCCCTATAATGTGAACAAATGTTAGCTTGTCGGGCTACACACAAGCAAAAGGATATGAAGCATAGTTGATTATGTTCATTGTGGTTAGAAAATGAGAAATCTAAAATATTAGTTTGCTAAAAATAACCAGTAAGCTTTTATGACTAACCCTTCTTAAACTGCAATGATTTTATTACTGCAGTAATTATATATTCAATAAATCATTGGGTTCTTTATTCTTATATGTTTCTCTACATACAATGTTTAAATGTTCAATTTGAGTGAGTTCTTATATTTCTGTTAAAGATATTAGAGGATAAATTTAGTGTTATAGGTTGACTATATTATGTAAGTTCTTTTTGAATTTTCTTTTTTTTTTTCAAACTCAAATACTATGATTTATTGCGTTTAATTACACCACCTTTGGTTGTTCATTCAGAATTCAGTATATTAATTCCAAACAAAGAGAAATAATCCCTACTTAAATGAAAGGTATAAGGCTCCTAAACGTTGACACTACAAATCAAGCAAGGCAAGACTCTTAAATTGAGTTATCCAAATGCAAGTGCCTAAACCCATTTTGCTCCAGTCCTATGTATCTCTGCTTTCAGTCAAGGGAGCACTGATTTTCAGGGAGGACATACCTAGTCAAAAAGAACACTCCCCAAGCAGACAAGGTTCAGGAAGTACAACACTGAAGAAGATCTGGTTGGAAAGCTAGACTGAAGCAGATAAACTGGGGGAATAGGAAAAACAGATGATTGTTACATAGAGATCTCTAGTATGGAAAGCACAAATGTTGAATTTAGGTCTAGGTGGAAAGCAAAATCCATCTGTCCTTCATGTTGTAAAGTGTCAAGGAAGTCTATAGATATCAAAAATTTGAAGTAAGCTATAATATTTTATTTTGAAGAATTTCTCACATAATTGTCAATCTATATACTTTGTCCTACATGATTCAACAGGCGAAATTTTCCAATGAGTCTAAAAAATCATCTTGCTACCAAGTTCCACTTTGTTATACTTAGGACTTGTGTTTTGCTTTCTGTTGAGGGAAGTCAGGGACCCCGAACGGAGGGACCGGCTGGAGGCAAGGCAGAAGAACATAAATTGTGAAGATTTCATGTACATTTATCAGTTCCCCAAATTAATACTTTTATAATTTCTTAGGCCTGTCTTTACTTTAATCTCTTAATCCTGTTATCTTCGTAAGCTGAGAATGTGTGTCACCTCAGGACCACTATTGCACAAATTGATTGTAGAACATGTGTGTTCGAACAATATGAAATCTAATTGTCAAACATGTGTTTGAACAATATGAAACCAGTGCACCCTGAAAAAGAACAGGATAACAGCGATTTTCAGGGAACAAGGGAAGATAACCATAAGGTCTGACTGCCTGCGGGGTCGAGCAGAATAGAGCCATATTTTTCTTCTTGCAGGGAACCTATAAACGGACATGCAAGTAGGAGAAATATCACTGAATTCTTTTCCCAGCAAGGAATATTAATAATTGAGACCCTGGGGAAGGAATGCATTCCTGGGGTTAGGTCTATAGACGGCTGCTCTGGGAGTGTCTGTCTTATGCAGTTGAGATAAGTACTGAAATACGCCCTGGTCTCCTGCAGTACCCTCAGGCTTACCAGGATTGGGAAATTCCAGCCTGGTAAATTGTAGTCAGACTGGTTGTCTGCTCTTGAACCCTGTTTCCTGTTAAGATGTTTATCAAGACAATGCATGCACAGCGGGACATAGACCCTCATCAGTAATTCTAATTTTGCCTTGCCTCGTGATCTTTATTGCCCTTTGGAGCACGTGATCTTTGTGACTTACTCGCTGTTCATACACCCCCTCCCCTTTTAAAATCCCTAATAAAAACTTGCTGGTTTTGCAGCTCGGGGTCACCATCATGGTCCTACCAATATGTGATGACACCCCCGGAGGCCCAGCTGTAAAATTTCTCTCTTTGTACTCTTTCTTTTTATTTCTCAGACTGGCCGACACTTAGGGAAAATAGAAAGAACCTACGTTGAAATATTGGGGGCTGGTTCCCCTGATATCTGGCATGCCAACATGGTTTTTCTTTTTCCTAAGTGCATGTGGGAACCTGATTCCCTCTGGTAGGTGCAGAGAAATGTTCGTCTGTCTGGTCCACAGAAATGATTGTTCTACTCCCTGACAACTGGTGAGTAGTCTGTGTACTGTCTGGGTTAACTACGGGTCACAGGGAGTCTAAACATCATGCTCATCTCTGCTATATTAAACTCCTGTTAAAACAAGGAGGTATTCGGGTACCGATGGAAAATATGTTACCGTATTCAGGGCAGTGGAAGAACACTGTCCTTGGTTTCCTGAAAAAGGAACCTTAAGTGTAGAACAATGGGATAGTGTTGGTGCAAAATTCCAGGAACTGGTCCCTACAGGGAATTATGTTCCCATCACTGTGTGGGGTGATTGGGCCTTGGTACGTGCCATCCTGATGACATAGCAATCCCGTGACCCCCTGCAGTTACTACAGTTTTCTGAATCTGGAGACCCTCTACCTCTTCCTCAGCTTTCTTCTCCCACGGGGCCTTCGTTATCTGATCAGCCTCTCCCTTCGCCTACTCCTCCCCCACCTGATGATGTTGAGAATTCAATATCTAATTCTGGTGACTTTGGCTTAACATTACCCCCTGGTGATCTTATTTTATTTCCCGAAGAGCCGCTACTTGCAGCTTCCGCGGCCCCGAATAGGACAGCCCTGGGCCATATATATGCTAATTCTTCCCTCTTCAAACCTTTGCAGCATTTGCCTCTGGAGTCAGCTAATGGCTCCGGGGCCAAACTACAATTCACCTATAATTCTGCAGGCCCTTCCCCCTCCTCTGCAGCCCCTCGCCCTCCTGTCGTTTCAGTTCCTCAACCGGTCACTTTGCCATCCACTCAGGCTGCTTCTCTGTACCCTTCTTCACACATGGATACCAGTAATCACCAGTGCACTTCTGCCTCTTCTGCTCCCCCAATGCCCCTTTCTCACACTCTCATACCGGTCCGACCTCCTCAACCTTAGTTTCCCTTATCTACACATGCTTTTCCTGTCACTTCTATGCTGACTCCGTCTCAGGTGCCTACTCTTGAAACTTCAATGCAACTCTTATTACGCCAACACAAGGAAACAAGTGGATTAGAGGCATGGGCTTGTCCGGTCACGCTAGAACCTCATAATGCTCAAGGTGTACAAATGCGTCGCTATGCGCCGCTCAATCTTACCTTTTTAAAAGAATTCAAGGATGCTTGTACTCAGTATGGTCCTACTTCTCCTTGTGTTAAAATGGTATTACAGACTTTTTGTACTGAGGTCATTTTGCTTCCTTTAGACTGGGACCTTTTGGCAAAAGCTGTTCTAACCCCATCTCAGCATTTACAATTCCGTACCTGGTGGTCAGAGGAGGCCCGTCTGCAGGCTCAGCTAAATCGGGCTGATGGCATTCTAATTACTCAGGCTCAGCTCACAGGCTCCGATGACTTCTCTGATATTTATGCCCAATTAGGCTTTGATGCTGTTACCACGGAACAAGTAACAAAGGTGTGTATGAGAGCTTGGGATAAATTACGCACCCCAGGCCAAGCTCCTACTGTTAAACAAGGTCACAATGAATTATACCCTGATTTTTTAGCTAAATTACAAGACGGGGTTGAAAAATCTGTCTCGGATGAGCATGCTCAAGAAATTCTCCCTCGTATGTTAGCTTTTGAGAATGCGAACCATGAGTGTAAAATGGCCATGCGTTCCGTCCAGCAACAAAATGTACCTGATCAGGAGGTGTTGCCTGCATATATTAAAGCTTGTGAAGACATTGGATCAGAGACCCACAAAGCCGTTCTGTGGGCATGGGCCATAAAGGACAGCAATCAAACTGGCTCGACTGATCCTTTCTTTCAAGGTACTTTGGTAGGATGATTGTGGTCATCTGAGTTCTCTGATTTATGTATGCTTTATCTCTATCTAGCAGAAATTACCTCAAAAAAAAAAGCTTATTATACTCCATTTCTGTAAAAAAAAAAAATCCCTCCTTGCTTAAACCTTTCATAAGTGATTCTCACCTGAAAAATCAATAAAATGTTTGGGATAATATTGAAAACCTATTACAGATTTATTAATTGCAGAAGCAATATAAAAGATAAAATTACTCTTACTTTCAAGAATTTTCAGTATATTGCCCATGCCTAGAGATGTATTAAAATGGTCATTTTAAAGAAATAGGGTAATAAGAGACTACATATTTTGTCACCTTATACTCCACTTATAATCTCAGTAGAAACTGGTGGCTTAAATTCTTTCTTGGTTATTCAAGAAAATAAAGAGCCAGTTTAAATTCCACTTGAAAGAAAAACATAAACAAATAGAAGTAAACAGTGGTAGTCACTCAAGTTAACATTTACTAAAAGTCAGTTTTCATATGATTACATTGCAGACCTCTGGATATCTAATCACATCTTGAGGTTAGTCAGAAGGCTCCTGGTTGCCTTAGAAATAGCCCCAGATTTCCCAGGGTAATTTTCACCTCCTCTATTATCCATCCTCCTGCCTCACACATTTTCTAAATTACACATGTAAGATTAAAGGTTCAATGTAGAAAATCTCTCAGTACAGTAGTCCCTCCTTGCACTTGCAGGCTACTTTTCACAACCCCCAGTCGATGCCTGAAACTATGGGCATTCCTAAATTCTATGTATACTATGCACACATTTCTTTTTCTTTCTTCATTATTTCACAGATAGAAAGTTTGTTCTTACCATAGATTTTAGCAACTTTAGCATACAATTTTTTTTTCTTCTGCAGTCAAAAACGTCCACCTTTTTACTTAAAGAAAGTAATTTCCAGCTTTACTTCAGCATGTCAAATTGCCAGCATCACTACTCTTGCACTCTAGGGCCATTAGTAAGTTAAATAAGGGTTACTTGAACACAAGCACTGCAATAAGACAGCTACTAAGCAACTAAGGGCAGGTAGCATAGACACCATGGAGACCCTGGACACAGGAAATCTTAAGGACCAAGTAGGATGGGGTAGGACAGCACAGGAGTGAGAGAGACTTTGTCACCCTACTCATAACAGTGTGCAATTTAAAACTAATGAACTGTTTATTTCTGGAATCTTTTATTTAATATTTTCGCACTTTGGTTGACCTGGGTAACTGAAACCTTGGAAAGTGAACCTGTGATAAGAGGGAATTATTGGCCAGGCGCGGTGGCTCATACTTGTAACACCAGCACTTTGGGAGGCCGAGGCGGGCGGATCACGAGGTCAGTAGATGGAGACCATCCTGGCCAACAATTGAAACCCTGTTTCTAATAAAATACAAAAAAAAAAAAAAAAAAATAGCCAGGTGTGGTGACACACACCTGTAGTCCCAGCTACTCGGCAGCCTGAGGCAGGGAAATTGCTTGAACCCTTGAACCCGGGAGGCAGAGGTTGCAGTGAGCCAAGATCCTGCCACTGCACTCTAGCCTGGGCAACAGAGCAAGACTCCATCTCAAAACAAAACAAAACAAAACAAAAAACAGGGAATTACTGTACTTCCTTTCACTCATGAGCCAATCCAAATAGCCACTTCTTGCTTCTCAATTCCTTGTTTAAATTTTGTGTCTTCTAACTCAAAAACTGAGACCATGTTTATACCAAAAGACAGCCTTTATTTTTAATAATTTTATTCTAAGTACAAAAGCAAAAGCTTAGTGTAGAAACAATTTTAAAATATTGCCAAGTACAGAAGGCAATTTAAAAGTATTCACAATTCACTGCCAGAGATAACAATCTTAATATCTTAAGGCTATATCTTTAATAATATTTCAACAAAATTATATTCAAACTGTATATAACAGTGTGAGCTGTTTTTGAAATATCAATGTACCTTAGACACCTATCTATGCTTTTATACAGATGTATTTTTATAGTAAAATTATTAATAATTGCATACTACTTCAATATTGCATGGTATATTTCACAAGTCCATTCTTGTTAAGGGTCAGACATATTTCTGATTTCAATATGAACAAATAAAATGTTCTTGTCAAAAAACATTTGCACACAACTTCAACAAAATTATATATAGATGAGAAATTCTTGGTGCAAAAGATAAAGTAAAAATCCATTTTTAAAGTGTTAATGTATAATACCCAAATTATGTTTGCATAAATTTCAACTTCCATTAACAATCCTTACTAATGGATTCAATTTTATTCTCCCTAAATAATATCTTACAGGAGAAACTTTAGCAAGGTTGTGTTAGTGGGTTTTGATTTTTACCTGCCTGAAGATGTTATTGTATTTTATTTGGTTCTGTAATGGTTTTTATACAGTGGTTTTGCTGAACATAAATTCTAGGTTGCCAACTAGTTTCAGCCAGT
This sequence comes from Homo sapiens, assembly GCF_000001405.40. Taxonomy (NCBI): domain Eukaryota; kingdom Metazoa; phylum Chordata; class Mammalia; order Primates; family Hominidae; genus Homo; species Homo sapiens. The sequence goes on along the minus strand of NC_000002.12, from coordinate 77,110,255 downwards.
ATTTTAAATAGTCCAGTTGTCTGTTTTCAGGTAAGTGATTTGTTTCCACCTTTTAATATCACTCATTATTTTGATGTTCTGAAGGTTCACTCCAATGTGTTAGGTTTAGATTTCACTTTTTTATCCTGCTTACATCTTCCTGTGATGTCTGTGTCTAAGGATTCATGCCTTTCAACAATTTTGAGAAATGTGAAGCCATACATTTTTGCATTTTTCTCTTCCTTGTATTCTCTTTTTTTCTTGAATTGTAATAAGATTTGTATTTTCTTTCCTTGTCTTTTATATTTTTTTAATCTCTTCAGCTGATTGTGCTGCACTGTGGGTAATTTATTCACATCTGTCTTTCAATTTATTTGTCTTCTGTTCTTTAAGACATTTGTCTATAATTTTAGTTATTATATTTTTCAGTTCTAAATGTTCTCTTATTTCATTTTTCCAATTGTGCTGGACTTTTTTGTGTTGTTATGTTTTGAGCCTTCTTCCTATCTTAAGAATTTTATGCATGTTTTTAGGTTATATTTTAATCTGGTTATCTATTTTTTTTAATTCTATGTTACTATTTTTTGGTCCTACTGTCTTGTATTTACAATGATCATTTTTCTCATGTGCTTTGATATTTTTTATTTTAAGTTGATGCTTGGCCCAATTATTTGTTAGAATGTGTCTCCCACACAAAAATTTTATTTTGCTTTTGTGAAGTATCCTGGGATACTTTAACCTGGAACTGCTTTGTTCTTTATAGGAATGAGGATTCCAAGACCATGTGGGTTGCATAAATTCAGTCTCCAAATCAATATGCCAACAGATCAAAGATTGTTAGCTCTTCAGAGAAACTTTATATTTCTATCCAGAATCTAGGAGAAGGGAAATAACTCTTTCTACTTTAATTATCTTTTAGCCTTCCTCCTAATTTTCTAATTGAAACTTCATTTTTTTTCACATTCCAACTATTTACAAGTTTTACAGTGTTCAAGCTCATGTAACTCAAAATCTTATTCCTTACCCTGGTAGTTCTAAGACATTATTCCTGAATTTGGTAGTCATTAAAATCCAAACAATTTTGAAGTCCTTTGGCTATCATGATGACTAGAGCAAAACAAAACAAACAAAAACCCAACATGGCAAATAAAGTGTCAATGTGTATTTAAAGTATAGTTTCACTTTCTGTTACCTTGGGGAATTCATTGCCTTTATTGTACGCTTCAGCACTAGGCTTAATATAATATCTCTTTTATTTATTTTAGTGTATATGTTTTGGAGAAATTCATTTTACTTTATCTGGTCTGCTATGTTAACAGAAATTAAAGTTTTAAATAATTTTACTTTAGGTCTTTTCTAGAATTGTTAAAATTAGTGGAGAAGTTTTTATTCTTTAATGTTTTTGGTTTATGTATAAAGAATGTTTGTCACTTTGGGAGGCCGAGGCGGGCGGATCACGAGGTCAGGAGATCGAGACCATCCCGGCTAAAACGGTGAAACCCCGTCTCTACTAAAAATACAAAAAATTAGCCGGGCGTGGTGGCGGGCGCCTGTAGTCCCAGCTACTTGGGAGGCTGAGGCAGGAGAATGGCGTGAACCCGGGAGGCGGAGCTTGCAGTGAGCCCAGATCCCGCCACTGCACTCCAGCCTGGGCGACAGAGCGAGACTCCGTCTCAAAAAAAAAGAAAAAAAAAAAAAGAATGTTTGTGTTCTTTAAAAAATTAAATAACTATTTCTTAAAATAGAACACAATAATACAACTGAAGAAGTTATTTAAGAAATTAAAATATATATATTCTATAGTTTTTGCAGTTTATTTTTAAATTTGAAAATTTAAATTATTATAAAACACTGTCCATATTATTGATATTTTTGTATTATCATAAAATTGTAGGAACTTTCTTATACAATGTTCTTTATAAGATTGATAATACAATGACTTCTTCTTGTTCTCGTTCTCCTTCTACTCCTTCTCCTTTTCTTCCTCCCCCACTGCCTCCTCTTTCTCTTTCTTTTTGTTTACTACTCCTGCATACAATGAATTATCATTTGCTTTTTTAGTATGCTAATGATGGTATATTTTGTGGCCTTTGCAATATCTGAGCTCTTGCATTCAGTAATTCCTATTCATTTTCTTTTTCTCCCTAATTTAAATATTTTTCCAAGTCTTTCTTCCACTTGATTTCTCTGGGTTCACTTACTGGTTGTTTTTTCACAGAGTTTAATATGCAATAAATTCAGTTTTTTTAATGAATTTTGAAATGTAAATACTTCCACAGCCATGAACATTGTTCTGAGCAAAACTTCATCATATCTAATATTTAGTATGTAGTGTTACCTTGTTATTTTCTAAACAACTTATAATGGCAAGTTATTTTCATTCTAAACCAAGAGCTATACAGAATAGCTTTAAATCTTGTTATTTTCTTTTCTTTCTTTCTTTTTTTTTTTTTTTTTTGAGTTGGATTTTCACTCTTGTTGCCCAGACTGGAGTGCAACTGTGTGATCTTGGCTCACTGCAAACTCTGCCTCCCGGGTTCAAGCAATTCTCCTGCCTCAGCCTCCCAAGTAGCTAGGATTACAGGCATGCATCACCACGCCAGGCTAATTTTGTATTTTTAGTAGAGATGGGGTTTCTCCATGTTGGTTAGGCTGGTCTCGAACTCCCAACCTCAAGTGATCCACCCACCTCGGCCTCCCGAAGTGCTGGGATTACAGGTGTGAGCCACCATGCCCGGCCTAGTTATTTTTAATCACTTGCTATATGTTCAATGTGGTCACAGAATAGGCTATTGCTCTCCTATATTTTGAAACATATTGTGGTTTCATTTTTCCAAGAAAGAAAAAAGTATATATGTGTATATATTTCAAAAAAGATAATCTTCTTTTACCATATAAAAGATTCTCTGACGTTCTCCTAAGTATTTATTTTTAACACCTATACATGATTTAATCAAGCATATTTTTTGCAATATATAAAGGTAATATAGTTCATTGTTTATTGTGCCAAAGATAAGAGTTATTAAATGTGTTTTCTTTTTAATGTTGCTACATTATGTGTTAATATCTACATTAATAGTCCTTAAAAGTTAGAAATTTAGCATCCAAAGACTTTCCTATTGTCTTTTCTTAACTTCCAATTGTTAGTGAAATATTATAGACACGTATATCTAGATTAACATGTTTTAAAATGTTTTACTTATCTTTCAAGATGTGATGCAGTACTTCATGAATATCTTACAAAAATTGCTGAGAAAAATGTACATTATGTGGCTTATATTTCTCAAAAATATTAATTTTCTTACATATAGTTTCTTTTTTTTATCAGATAGATGTATATGCAGGTTTCTAGTTCTGAATCTCTACATGTCTAAGAATCTTTTTCTTTCCTTGACCAACATCACTGGATTTAGTAATCTAAGGAAAAAATTCATTTCCTTATAATTCTTTAGCTATTGTCCACTTACCCTCATTATTATTATTATTATCATTAATATTGGCAACTTAGAAACTTAACGGCAGCCTCTTGGAATTCCCTTCCTTATAGATACGTATTTTGTTATATATTTTGTTTGTGTTTTGCTAAATAAGAAAACATTTTAAGCTAGAATTTTTCTATCCTTGTAATTCTAACATATCCATTATTTTACCCACCATTTGGGTGTCTATCTCACTACAAGTGTTTATATCTTTTTTAGCCTTATAAATATTTTTCTCTTCATTAAGTTTTTTTTTAATATGTGTTACTTAATTCCAGTATTTCTATCCCTCAAAGATATATCAGCCAAATGCCAACAGGATAAAAAGTAAGTGCAGAGGTAATGCTTACAGCAGAGAAGGTAAAATTTATGACAACATGTGATACAAATGAATATATGGTTTTGATTTAATTAAATAAGTGCCACAAGGACTATGTGTGAAATGCTAATCTAAATTCTGTAGATGTAACATAAACAGGACACACTAATCTCTGCTCTCCAGAAGGTTATATGTTACTATCATGAAAAAGACAAGGAACCAATACCTACATTTTAAAGAGATTGTTTTATATAATAGTGAAGTTGTCATGAAAATCATTTAGAGTGTCATGATAAGAAAACTTGCAAAATTTGTTTAAATTAAGAGGTCAGGGAAGGCCTCTTTAAAAAGTGATATTTAATCTGAGATATTAATCATCAAAAGAAGGCAGCCTGCTGAGAGTGGGAGAAAATCACTCTGAGAAAAATAGAAAGCTGGTGCAAAGGCCCCAGGATAGAATCAAGATGAGGAATAGGAAGAAGGTGAGTGTAGTTGGAGATGGTGAATTTCATGGAGAAAGTTGTTTCAAAGTATGACAGGAACTAATTGAGTAAGAAATTATAAATTGAAGATTAATTTTCAGTTTGTTATATTTAAAAAATAATTTATCTTGTAAGATTTCAAGCATGTTCAAAGACAGGACAGTACAATGAAACCTCATGTATCATTATTTTAAAGAATTTTCAAAACAGGCAAACTTATTTCATCTATGATCCCATTCAATCCCTCTTTTTATTTTGTAGGAAATCACAGATATTTTGTCATTATTTCTGTAAATATTTTAGTATGTTTTCTTATATAGTATAGACTCTTTTTTTTATTATACTTTAAGTTTTAGGGTACATGTGCACAACGTGCAGGTTAGTTACGTATGTATACACGTGCCATGTTGGTGTGCTGCACCCAGTAACTCGTCATTTAACATTAGGTATATCTCCAAATGCTATCCCTCCCCCCTCCCCCCACCCCACAACAGGCCCCGGTGTGTGATGTTCCCCTTCCTGTGTCCATGTGTTCTCATTGTTCAATTCCCACCTACCTATGAGTCAGAACATGCGGTGTTTGGTTTTTTGTCCTTGAGATAGTTTGCTGAGAATGATGGTTTCCAGCTTCATCCATGTCCCTATAAAGGGCATGAACTCATCATTTGTCCAACAATGATAGACTGGATTCTTTTTTTAATAACCAAAATAACAGTATCATCTACACAAAATAATTTCTTTTTAAATCCACAAATCTCCAGACGTTGCTGTTTTCTATTGCGTCATAACATTTTAAAGGTTTGTTGTTGGTGTTTTTTGTTGTTGTTATACTCAGCATCCAAATAATATTCACATATTGGGACTTATTGGCATATTTCTAAATGTTCTCTTAATCTAAATGGTTTCCCCTTTGCTTTTCTCCTCATGATTTTTTTTTTCTTTTATTTTCATTTTTTTAGTTAGCTCATTGAAGAATTCTCAAACGTTATTGGGGTAGGGTAGGTCAGAGTGGCTTTTCTTGAACTCTCTTGCCATTTTTTGAAATGTTTAACAATCTTGTAGTTTCAGACAGTCTGGCTCCCTCCTTATCTTATCTGATTTTCCTCCTGGGTTTCTTCCATACATGACTGGATTCTGTATCCTGCAGTTTCTGCTCAGTATGGGGCCTTGCCCTGAAGTGAACAATGAGTGGTTGAAACTTTCACTTTGGTACCCTGGCGCTCACCTCTGAATTGGACTGCACTGAATAAACCCTGCTCGATTTCAGCGGGTGTCCTCAAATTGGCGCCACCAAGTGTTCCAGTGGGGACGTCTTAACTGTTTGAGGAGGTTTCAATATTCAGGTCTGTCGGATCTTGTGCTTCCTTCTGCACAAATGCTTATCTGTCTGGGTCTTTAGCACTTAGTATTTTTTCACCATCTGATCATATTTTGAGGTTTGTGGCGAGTTTTATTGTAGCTATTTTGTATGAGGGTTGGAGGTTTTTCTCTCCTAGTTGTCCTAAAGGAATACCTACAAAAATTAAAATCTATATCACCACTGCCTTCAAATTTCTGCCTTGTATTCTTACAAAGGGAAGCTATTTGGGGATTCTGGTGGGAAAGTGGCATGAGCTAACTTACATTTTAAAATGGTCACTCTGACCACCACGTGGAGAGTGAATTGACGAGGGACAGAAACAGAAGCAGGAAGGCCTGGAAGGAGGTGTTCACATCAGTTCAGGTAAGAGAAAATAACTGGGCCATTGAGGCAGAGGTGGAGGAAGAGACTGAAGATGACACAGACTCAAAGATAAAGGTAGGCAGTGTGGGCTGATGAATTATTGATAGGATTGAAGAGACAAGATAAATGACTTGTAGATTTTGGCCTTGAGCAACTGAAGGAAGGTGGTGTGAACTAAGATGAGAAAGTCTATAGGAGGAGAAGGTTTGAAAAATAGAAATAAAGAATTTTTCTTTGATCTTGTTAGTAATGTCTATTAGATATTCAAGTAAAATGACCAAATAGTCAGTTGAATGATTGAGTTTGAAATCCAGGGACAGATCAGAACTGAGATCCGACTGATTTATTATTTCTCTTTGTCTTCATTGAATTCTTTTTATTTAAATTCTAGGAGAATAGGCTTTCTTCTTGGTGAGAATGCCTTGAGTTAATTGAGTTTCCTGCAGTTTGTGGTCTGCCATTTATTGTACTGGCTCCACTGTATTTATAAACAGGGCAACCTTTCCCTTTGAATCAATTTTTCCTGTCTTCAAGTATTGCTTTACAGAACTACCTAATCTTTTATTTTATGTATGCCTATGTATATATACATATATGTGATATATATATCTATATATATATATATACACTCATGTATATAACACTCTCCTGAATTACATTGAAAATGCCAACTAAAAACAACATGCAATTTTAGCTTTTCACATTGCAAATTTATTTCTAAGAGGATATTGGTATAGAGTTCAAAACTTGGTCCGCTTTTTTTCATCTGCCAAATCTATTAACATGCTCAGCGAACAAGTGCTTTCTCATTCTTACAGATGGATGGCTGTTTTTCACACTATGGGGAATTCTTTTGGAGATTGCATTGAGTTGTTTTAATCTTTTATGACAAAAGAGATGGAAAAATTTGGATTTGTTTGGCAGTTTAAATCTTAGGTTGCCTGTGCAATGTCTCTCATATCTGTTGTATCTTTGAGGCCAAAATGTTTCTTTTATTTTCTGCGGTAAACATATTTTTATTGGTATTTTCCTTCTTCAAATGTCATAGCCTCCCTTGTTAGCAGCTTCTTATGGCAGTGCCTTCTACCTCTGAACCACAGTCTGCTGCTGTCTCTGCCCCCAAATGAAACCTGGAATGGATGCTATGATACAATGCCTTATCTGTGAGAATTGTTGCACCTGAGGTAATATGTGAAATCAATATTGGGGCCCAACTTTGTTCAATATAAATGGGGTCATATTTGCCCTTCAATCTCGTGTCTACCATTTTGGCAAACTTCAGCTATTAAAGTCCCAAAGAGTATATATGGTAGGCTTTCCATGTCACATGGTCTCTGACACAGAGACTCACCTCAATCTTTTTATTAATAGTACAAAAGCAGCCATAAACAATATATAGATGAATGAGTGTGACTATATTTAAATAAGACTTTATTAGCAAAAGCAGACACCAAACTGGTTTGTCTCACCAGTCAGCTCGTTGACCCCTATTATGTGATAATATTGAGGTTCACGGGAAAGCATTTTCTTTGCATTGAGAATTTCATGAGTCAGCCCAATAACTCCAGAGTTTCTTATTGTTGATAGCCCTTTCTTCAGTCTTTTTCCTGCACTTAAAATCTTACAGAAGAGTTTCTTGGCTTGAAACTAACTGTAATTGTCACCTGCCCTATGATGGTATTATATATCTTTGATCAATTGAAAAAGTTTTATAAAACAGGAGATTTAAATACGTGGGAATATTCCCCCATTTGAAACATATTTGACTCAGTTCTAGTCAGGTAGATGGGCTAAATGTTTTCAACAAGGGAATCTGTTTTCCTTAATGGTGGAAGTTTGAAAGAGCAGAAAAAGAACTCTGAAGTAACCTAGACATTCATCACAGCAGGAAGCAGCCGAAGTGGGAATACGTGGAATTAACAAACCTAAGAGCAGTAAGGTGGGAATCCACTAGTACAGTGCTTGGATGTGGAAGCAGAGGAATGGGGAAGCAACACGTAAGAGGTGCTTAGACTTCTGTGGAAAGAGCAGGGCCTGACTGGTACCTAGAACCACATGAGGGTGCGGGGTTGTGGTGGAGAAACATCTCAGTGGGTGGGAGTCTGCAGTCTGATTAGTATTCCAATTGTCAGAAAGATATAAGAAACTGGAGATTTGAGTATAGAAAGAAGCTGCAGGCTGGAGCCAGTTGCCCAATGTTGCTGAAACAGCACACACAGATAGTAACTGGGAAACAGGAAGAAAGTCCCTTTGTTTGTCCTGCAATATCCGCTTAGTTCCTGCAGTTATCTTAGTGGAAGAGAATGCCAATGGACTAAGCGAATGTGGGAAACGTTTTTTTGAAGACTCATGTAGCAAGGATGTTCTAATGTAAAGACAGGCTTACGAAAAACTGGGAATAGAATAGCAAAAGCTTAGCAGCAACATGATTAAACAAACTGAAAATATTAATGTACAAACAAGATTATTAAAAACAGTGGTGATGAACTTGATTTTAGTTCACCTTGGGTCTTTAGAGTTAACATATTCAGTTTCCAAATTAGTCTAAATGACTAGCTGATAACGTTATCTGAATCCATATGTGGAAATTTTCTTTTGAGTAAATCAGAATTCCTATGTGAAAGTTAAAAAATAAATAAATAAAGATGGGCTTTGGACTGCCAGGCAATAGGTAAATAAAGAGCATAACTAGATTTAGAAATGTTTCCTTAAAATTTTATTAGGCTAACTATGATGTTCAGGTGTCAGGTGGAGGTGCAGGAAATGCCATATTTGGATATATTGCTTGGCATAATATATACAGAAATCTAAAAACTTTACTCCTAAGCTAATAGCATTACTCAGTTTTGGTGGTAGTTGCTTAATCTTCACCCCCCTCATTTTGTATGTACGCACTCTGTTTTGATAAACCCAACTTTCATATAAGAAGGACTTCTGGTATAGAGAATATAATTATTCCTCAGATTTTAAGGAGATATATATGCATGTCTTTCGTTTTAAAGCAAATGCTTTATTTACCAACCCTATAAATTATTTTTCCCATTTATTCATGTAATATTTCCAATGTCTTCTATGCATATGATATTGTGCAAGATCCTAGGAAGATCTAAAATATTTTTGTATATAGTCTATAGATGGTAAGATTAACTAAAAAAGTCAGTACTACGTCCCAGCACTTTGGGAGGCCGAGGCGGGTGGATCACGAGGTCAGGAGATCAAGACCATCCTGGCCAATGTGGTGAAACCCCGTCTCTACTAAAAAATACAAAATTTAGCTGGGCATGGTGGTGGGTGCCTGTAATCCCAGCTACTTGGGAGGCTGAGGCAGAATAATTGCTTGAACTCGGGAAGCAGAGGTTGCAGTGAGCCGAGATCGCACCACTGCACTCCAGAGTAAGACTCTGTCACAAAAAAAAAAAAAAAAAAAGAATCAGAGCTACTTTAATAGAAGCTTACATTGAACATATTTCTGTATGATCTCTTAGTGATTAAAAAGGTTTTTGATGACTACCATACCATTATTATATTTAACAAAGTAAAACAAAAATATTTTAATATCACCCAATACCCAGTCCATATTCTTTTTTCCTGATTGCCTCAATGATTTTTCCCAATATTTAATTTATTTTAAACCAATTTAAATATGGCTGCCCATTGGTTTCATTGTTCTACTTGTGAAGAGGCTTTTAAGAAACCCTACCTTTTATTTTTTAAAGAATCCAGGTTATGTGTCCTGTAGAATGTGCCACATTCTCAATTTGGCTGATTGCTTCCTTGTGGTGAAGTTTAACCCAACCTTCTATCATTGGTGTTTCCTGTAAGCTAGTATTAGAGCTAAAGGTATGATTCAACTCGGAGGCAATGCGCTCCATCGTTGAAGCAAGAACACTTCATCAGTGATGCTATTTCCTATTATGTTGTATGAAATTTTTACATTGTTAGTTGCTGAGAATAGAGAAACAGCATGAAGTCTAGTTTCTGGAGAAGTATGTCAAGGTATTATGAGTGTTATCTGATGAAGTGTTTAATGACGTAAAATAAATTTCTCAACCCAAGTTGGTTTAAATTCCTGAAAAAATGATGGATACTCTCTCTTCTATCGCAGTCAACATTATCAATGCAAATGTGACAAAACAGTGGAATGAGGCTGACAAGGAGGTTAATGTGTAAATGATGCAGAAATGACAGAAAATTCATTTCATGTTACTTAAAGGACCAAGAGGACACCAAAAATGAGAAAAATCAATCAGTAGCTTAGAGAAAGGAAAGAACAATTTGTAGAAAAGAATTCTGCTATTAAAAAAACTGTTATTAATACTTTGTTTTTGACTCCAGAAAGTTATACACCTGCACTTTCACACTCCACACTCACAAAAAATACATAAGTGACAGTGAATAATATATTATTATTTTATTTTTAAAATTATGTTCAAGAATGATGTTTAGGTAATTTTTATTATATTCAAATACTTTGAAGATTAATATGCAATTTCCATAGCTTCCAGTTAGTAATCATTATCAACCCAAACAATTGTTTCTTCAGCTTCTCCACATAAACAGACATTCACACATGTTGGTCTGATTGTTCTCCCTATTACTTAACATTCAGTATAAATTGTTTCTCATCCACAAAAACGATAAATAACATTCATCTATCCAATATACACCTAATAAAATAAAACATTATAAGCTCTATTGAAGTTGTCCTAGATACCACTGCCAACTGCATCCCATTCTCTTTTTTCTGAATGTAATTATTTTCTGGAGTTTGCTTAAGATTATTAACATATCTTATATATGTTAATATAAACACACACACACCCAAATATATATAGTCTCCTTAAACCATGTATAATATTGATATGCAAATTTTAATAGACACAAAGATAAAGTCAGAATATATTCATTGTATTGCAACTTTTGGGTCTAATCATGTTTTTGTGAGATGTATTTATTTTGACATTTATAGGTCTAATTCATTCATTTTCAATGCTATACAATAGACAATCATGAAAACATAGTACAGTTAATGTTTTCATTATTCTATAGAGGAATAGTACTTTGTATATGATAATTAATACTATTTTAGATGTCATATGTATGAGAATTCATACCGTTGTGAACATTCTTGTATCAATCTCCTTGAGCAAAATTTCTATAGCTAAAAGGATAGTGTCTATAGCTAGGAGTTTATGTATTACTAGATAATGCTAAATTATTCCCTAGTGTTTTTAATGAATTTAAATTACCATCAAAATGTATAATTTTCCATGGTTCCACTTACTCCCCATTATTTGACACTTTCAGACTTTTATATTATTGCCAACCTAATAGATGTGAAATGGAGTCTCATCATGGTTTTAATGTTAATTTCTCTATTAGTGGACTTAAATATTTTTCCTTTTTTATTGACTTTTATAATTTCCCCTTTATGAATTGTCTTTTCATATCTTTTGATAATTTCTCATTGATTTGTCTTTATCTTATTGATTTGTAGTCTTGACATATTCTGGAAACTAATCTTTTGTGAGTAATATGTGTTACATAGATTATATCTCTTAGTGATTTGTATAGTCATTTTATTGTAGAATTATTTGAGTCACAGAAGTCTTTAAATATGATCAATTTTATCAGTCTTTTAAATTAGTGGTTTGTATTCTTTATGTCTTATGGAAGCAATATTTCCTTAGCAAGAGGCCCTGTGAATAAGCTCTAATATTTATTCCTACCAATTTTAAAGTTGAATTTTTATATTTAGGTTTTTAACTACAACTATAAATTTTGTCTCTAGTAGGAGGTAGATATCTAATTTATTTTTTCTTATGAGGATTGCCTTTTCCCAGGAATCATCCTTGAAGAGCCCATCTTGTCCCAAAGACTCCAGTGTCATCTGTGTTACATATTAAGGCCTCATACCTGTTTATCTATTTTTATCGACTATCAGTTACCTTCCCTTGGACTATTTGTCCATATTTATGTCAATACCACATGTATGATTACCACACTGGTGTAATGATGAGACAGGATAAGTTCTCCCAAGTTGATTTTTACAGTTAACTTGACTAATCGTGGCCGCCTTCTTCCACAAAATTTTTTTTTAAATGGCATCAAGTTCTAGGTTTAGAATGAAGTTTTCTATCTTTTGGAGATTTCTATTTATTTGCAAGTGTGAATAATAAGTTTCATTTTTATGTAAAAATGTATCTTTCTGAGTCTTCAAATTTATCATCACAATGTTGTTCATAATATTTCCCAATTAAGTTTTAAATCTTTATTGGGTCTATAATTTTATCGCCTTATTTTCCTTATCATTTTTATCTTTTTATTCTCATATAATCATAAATACTCTCTCCAGAGCTTGTAGATTTTAATAATCTATTTAAACAATAACCATTGTCTTTAATGATCCTCCCTATTGTGCCTTGTTTTCTATGTCATTAATTACCACTCCTATCTTTATTTCATTTTACATTTTTGTGTCACATTGTTCTCTTTTAATTCTTTAATTCAAATGCTTGGATAATTGATTTTCACACATGTTTTTCCCCACAACAATGAACATCAGATTTTAACAATTTAGTTTTAGTACCAATTAGCTTAAATCATGAATTTGTATGTTACATTTATTATTTGAGTTTTATTTTCTAATTTCCAATATGACTTCTCTTTTAATTCATGAGTGCTTTAGAAACATATTTTTAACTGTCCTAATATTTTAGTCATTTTTGTTATTTCTTTCTATTTATTATATCTTGTTCAGTGACTGTGATCTGTAAAACATGAAATCTTGAAATTTGTTAAACATGATTTTACGGATTGGCACAAGCTTAATTTCATTGGAGTGGAAGAAGAATGTGTATTTTCAAACTACCAAATGCAAAGTTTTGTAAATATCCCCAAGTAAGTTGTGATAGTGACATATTCAAAATGTTATCAATCTTACAATAATTTCATTAACATTACTTAAAGATCTGTATTGAAATTCCAAAATAATGGGGGATGGGTCAGTAGCTTTTGTCTGAATTATAATTATTAATAATTTGAATATTATGCCAGTATCATAAATAAGCACATGAAACATAAGAATTACAATATCTTCCAGGTGTCATTTTTATCATTATATAAAAATTCTCTTCATATCTATTATATTATTAACCCTGGGGTAAATTTTAATCTGATAATACTATTGTCCTACCAGCTTGTCATTGATTAGTATTAACCTGGCATGTATTTTTCCTTTGCTTTCAAATGTTCTATAACCTTACACTTTTGTTGTGTTCATTATAAATAAAATAATATGTATATATGTTAGCATATGGATTTTTTTATTTTGAATGGAGCTTGAAAAATGACAATTCTTTAACTGAAGAGTTTCATCCAATTACCTTAAGTTGATAGCTGATATATCTGAAAGTGTTTCTTCCATTTAATATGGACACTCTATTTCTCCTGATTTTTTAAGCTTTATTTTTGTGTTTTTAATTATTCCTCCTTTTGAATTGATTACAAATTTATTCATTTTTCCCAATAATAGAAGCTATGTTGTCAATGTGTAGTACTTTTAGTTACTATTAACATGCTAATATTCATACTGATTTCACAATACCTTTATCTATTCTCTATATTCTCAAATCAATTCAGAAAATGTACAGTATTCTAGATTTTATCACTTTTTACTTTTATATCATGTCATAATCAGACATTATTTAACTCTCATTTTGTCTTTTATTCTCGACTTTTAATATAGACATTTTATTATTGTTTTGTACTTTTGACATTTTATATTTATTCATATTTTAATTTATTAATTTACTCACTATTCTTTTCTTACATATCAAACTTCTGAGTTTTTTTCTTTACTCCTGAAAAGCCACCTTTTAGATCCTTTACTGAAAATTTATTAGTAGTAAGCTCCTTTTGTTTGAATATATCCTTATTTTACCCTCATAACTGAATGATACATGAACATATTTAAATTACGACAGTTTTTTCCAAAATTTTGAAGGCATTATTCCACAATTTTTTATTCTATTATTGCTTTGAGAAATCTTCTGATTTTCAATTTTGCAGTTCTCAATTTTTAGTCACTATCTTTAAAAAATTAATTTATTAATTTTTAATTAAAAAATGATTATATTTATGGGGTATAATATGATGATTTGATCTATGCATACATTGTAAAAAGATTCAGTTAAGCCAATTAACATATCCATCTCCTCTGCCACTTATTTCATTTTTGTCATGAGAACATTAAAACCTCTTTTTTTAAGCAATTTTGAAGTATAGAATACATTATTATTAACTCTGGTCACCATGCAGTCAAAAAGATTAATAAAACTTATTCCTATAGTCCAAGACTTTGTACTATCCGATAAACATCTCTTTCTCCATCAATCCCTTTCTCACAGCCAGTTGCATTCATGTTGTCAAATGACAGAATCTCTTTTTAAGGCTGTATAGAGGCCAGGCACAGTGGCTTACACCTATAATCCCAGCACTTTGGGAGGCCAAGGCGGGTGGATCTGACCTGAAGGTCAGGAGTCGGAGACCAGCCTGGCCAAAATGGAAAAACCCTGTCTCTACTAAAAAATACAAAAATTAGCCGGGCGTGGTGGCTAACTGAGCCTGCAGTCTCAGTTACTTGGGAGGCTGAGGCACGAGAATCATTTGAACCGGGGAGGGGGAGGTTGCAGTGAGCCAAGATCATGCCACTGTACTCCAGCCTGGGAGACAGAGCGAGACTCTGTCTAAAAAAAAAAAAAAAAGTTTGCATATGGTATTTCATATTTTGGTTATTATGAATAATGTTACCATGAACATGGGAGTGCAGATATCTCTTTGACATATTAATTTCACTTCTTTTGGATATATACTAAAAGTGGGATTGCTGGATCATATGGTAATTTGAGTTTTAGTGTTTTGAGGAGCCTGCATACCATATTCCACAATGGCTGTACTAATTTACATTCTCAACGAGAAGATACAGAGGTTCCTCCACATCCCTGCCAAAACTTGCTATCATTTGTCTTTTTGATAGTAGACATTCTAACTTTGTCACTAATGAGGTAGTATCTCACTGTGGTTTTAATTTGCATTTTCCTGATCATTAGTTTTCATATATCTGTTGGATATTTTTATCTCTTCTGTTGAGAAATGTCTGTTCAGATCCTTTGCTCACTTTTAAATTAGGTTATTGCTATTTAATTGTTTGAGTTTCTTACATATTTTGGATACTAGCCTCTTATCAGTTTTATGATTTGCAAATATTTCTCCCAATCTATGGTTGTCTCTTCACCCTGTTAATTGTTTTGCTTTACAGAAGCTTTTAGGTTGGTACAATCTAGTTTGTCTATTTTTGCTTTTGTTGCTTGTGCTTTTGGGGTCACATTTAAATAATTGTTGTCCAGACCAATGTCATGGAGCTTTTCCCCTGTTTTCTTCTAGCAGCTTTGCAATTTGGGGTCTTACATGTAAGTCTTTCATCCCATGTTGAGTTGATTTTTGTATATGATGTGACCGAAGTATCCAATTTCATTCTTTTGATTCTGGATATCCAGTTTTTCTAACACCATTTATTAAAGAGACTAACCTTGACCCAATGTGTGTTTGGGAGAATGCTGTAAAAAATCAATTGACCACAAATACTTGGGTTTGTTTATTTCTGGGCTTTCTGTCCTGTTCCACTGGTAGATGTATCTATATTTATGGCTGTATCATACTATTTCTATTACAATAGCATTATAATATATTTTAATATCAGGGAGTGTTATACTCTCTGCTTGTTATTTTTGCTCAATATTGCTTTGGCTATGTGGGGTCTTTCCTGGTTCCATACAAATTTCAGGATTTTTTTTCTATTTCTCTAAAAAAATACTAGAATTTTGATAGAAATTGCATTGAATCTGTAGATCTCTTCTGAAATTATAGACATTTTAACAATATAAACTTTTAAAATCCATAAATGTGGGATAGCATTCCATTTATTTATGTCTTCTTTAATTTATTCTGTCAGTGTTTTATAGTTGATTGTACAGCTCTTTCAGCTCCTTGCTTAAATTTACTCCTATGTATTTTATATTTTGTGTTGCTATTATACATGGAATGTTTTTAAATTGCTTTTTTTGTTGGTGGTGTATAAAATGCTACTGATTTTTGTATCTTTACCAAAATTATTAGTTCTCATAGTTTTCTGTGAAGTTGTTAGGGTTTTCTACCTCTAAGATTGTCATCAGCAAACAGAAACAATCCGAAAAGAGTCAGCGAAGGGAGATAGGGGTGGGGCAGTTTTATAGGATTTGGGTAGGTAAAGGAAAATTGCAGTCAAAGCGGGTTTGTTCTCTGGCGGGCAGGAGTGGGGGTCGCAAGGTGCTCAGTGGGGGTGTTTTTTGAGCCAGGATGAGCCAGGAAAAGGACTTTCACAAGGTAATGTCATCACTTAAGGCAAGGACCGGCCATTTACACTTCTTTTGTGGTGGAATGTCATCAGTTAAGGCGGGGCAGGGCATATTCACTTCTTTTGTGATTCTTCAGTTACTTCAGGCCATCTGGGCGTATATGTGCAAGTCACAGGGGATGCGATGGCTTGGCTTGGGCTCAGAGGCCTGACATTCCTGTCTTCTTATATTAATAAGAAAAATAAAACAAAATAGTGTTGAAGTGTTGGGGCAGCGAAAATTTTTGGGGGGATGGTATGGAGAGAGAATGGGCGATGTTTCTCAGGGCTGCTTCAAGCGGGATTAGGGGTGGTGTGGGAATGTAGAGAGGGAGAGATTAAGCTGAAGGGAAGTCTTGTGTAAGGGGTGATATTGTGGGGATGTTAGAAGAAACATTTGTCGTATAGAATGATTGGTCATGGCCTGGATACGGTTTTGGATGAATTGAGAAACTAAATAGAATAACAGAAGGAGAAAAACAGGTATAAAAGGTCTAAGAATTGGGACGACTCAGGACATCTGATTAGAGAGTGCCTAAGGAGATTCAGCATAGTCCTGCCAGCAAAGATTATTTATTTACTTCAAGAGTTAAGAGTGGCAGTTTGGGGATAGCCCCAGGAGATATCAGCTGTGATGGCTTGGAAAAACAGTGTAAACCGGCAGTGTAAACAAGAGCAGGGCATGTATGAGTAGTTGAGAACGGTGAATAGGAGTATGACTAGACAGAAGATAGTGGGGATGACAAGTTTTTTGGGGCACAGTCTAAGTTGGTCTGGTGTCTGGAATGAGACTGGGGCCTAATAAAAGGAGCGTCTATAAAGGAGCTTAAATGGGCTGTACCCTGTAGCATTCTGAGGACAGGCCTGAATTCTGAGAAGGGAAAAGTATTGTCCAGTCCTTTTTAAGTTGGTGGCTGAGCTTGGTGAGGTGTGTTTTTAAAAGACCTTTAGTCCATTCTACTTTTCTTGAAGATGGAGGATCGTAAGGGATATAAAGGTTTCGCTGAATACTAAGAGCCTGAAAAACTGCTTGGCTGATTTGACTAATAAAGGCTCATCTGTTATCAGACTGTATTGAGGTGGGAAGGCTAAACTGAGGAATTATGTCTGACAGAATGGAAGAAATGACTGCGGTGGCCTTCTCAGACCCTGTAGGAAAGGCCTGTACCTATCCAGTGAAAGTATCTACCTAGACTAAGAGGTATTTTAGTTTTCTGACTCGGGGCATGTTGAGTAAAGCTGATTTGCCAGTCCTGGGTGGGGGCAAATCCTCGAGCTTGATGTGTAGGGAAAGGAGGGGGCCTGAATAATCCCTGAGGAGTAGTAGAATAGCAGATGGAACACTGAGAAGTTATTTCCTTGAGGATAGATTTCCACGAGGGAAAGGAAATGAGAGGTTCTAAGAGGCAGGCTAGTGGCTTGTACTATAGCATAACCTGCCTTTGCTGGTGTGTGGCAATTAGGCCTGGTGGAACCACCATCAATAAATCAAGTGTGATCAGGGTGAGGAACAGGAAAGAAGGAAATTTGGGGAAATGGGGTGAATGTCAGGTGGATCACAGAGATACAGTCATGGGGGTCAGGTGTGGTATCAGGAATAATGTGGGAGGCCGGATTGAAGTCTGGGTCAGGAACAACAGTAATTGTGGGACTTAACAAAGAGTGAGTACAGCTGAAGGAGCCGGGAAGCAGAAAGTATATGCGTCAGGTATGAGGAAGAAAATAGATTTTGGAAGTTATGAGAACTGTAGAGAGTGAGTTGAGCACAGTTTGTGATTTTGAGGGCCTTTAAAAGTATTAAAGCAGTGGCAGCCGCTGCACGCAGACATGAGGGCTGGGCTAAAACAGTAAGGTCAAGTTGTTTGGACAGAAAGGCTACAGGGTGTGGTCCTGGTTCTTGTGTAAGAATTCTGACCGCGCTAACCATGCCCAGGAAGGAAAGGAGTTGTTGTTTTGTAGAAGGTGCTTGGGTTTGAGAGATCAGTTGGACACGATTGGCAGGGAGAGCACGTGTGTTTTTATGAGAATTATGCCAAGATAGGTAACAGATGAGGAAGAAATTTGGGCTTGATTGAAGTAATGGGGGCTGTCTGTGAAGCTTTGCGGCAGGCAGTACAGCCTAGGTAATTTGCTGAGCTTGATGGGTGTCAGGGTCAGTCCAAGTGAAAGCGAAGAGAGGCTGGGATTAAGGGTGCAAAGGAATAGTAAAGAAAGCATGTTTGAGATCCAGAACAGAATAATGGGTTGTAGAGGCAGGTATTGAGGATAGGAGAGTATATGGGTTTGGCACCACGGGGTGGACAGGCAAAACAATTTGGTTGATAAGGCGCAGATCCTGAACTAACTTGTAAGGCTTGTCTGGTTTTAGGACTGGTAAAATGGGGGAATTGTAAGTAGAGTTTATAGATTTTAAAAGGCCATGCTGTAGCAGGCGAGTGATAACAGGCTTTAATCTTTTTAAAGTGTGCTTCGGGATGGGATATTGGCGTTGAGTGGGGTAAGGGTGATTAGGTTTTAATGAGATGGTAAGGGGTGCATGATCGGTCGCCAAGGAGGGAGTAGAGGTATCTTATACTTGTGGGTTAAGGTGGGGGGATACAAGAGGAGGACGCAAAGGAGGCTCTTGATTGGGAAGAAGGGCGGCAATGAGATATAGCTGTAGTCCAGGAATAGTCAGGGAAGCAGATAATTTAGTTAAAGTGTCTCAGCCTAATAAGGGAACTGGGCAGGTGGGGATAACTAAAAAGGAGTGCTTATAAGAGTATTGTCTCAGCTGGCACCAGAGTTGGGGAGTTTTAAGAGGTTTAGAAGCCTGGCCGTCAATACCCACAACAGTTCTGGAGGCAAGGGAAACAGGCCCTTGAAAAGAAGGTAATGTGGAGCGGGTAGCCTCCGTATTGATTAAGAAGGGGATGGGCTTACCTTCCACTGTGAGAGTTACCTGAAGCTCGGCGTCCGTGATGGTCTAGGGGGCTGCCGAGGCAATCGGGCAGCGTCAGTCTTCAGCTGCTAAGCCGAGGAGGAGTCAGTCAGAGAGCCTTGGGCCAGAGTTCCAGGGGCTCTGGGAGTGGCTGCCAGGTAAGTTGAACAGTCCGATTTCCAGTGGGGTCTGGCACAAATGGGACATGACTTAGGAGGAATCCTGGGCTGCAGACATTCCTTGGCCTGGTGGTCAGATTTCTGGCACTTGTAGCAAGCTCCTGGGGGAGGAGGTTCTGGAGGAAGGTCTGGCCACTGCGGTTCAGGCGTTTGGAAGTTCTTGTGTGCTGGAGATGTGGCTGGGGTTTGTCTCATAGTGGAGGGAAGGAATTGTAACTTTTTTCTATTATTGCACACCTTGAAGGCGAGGTTAATTAAATCCTGTTGTGGGGTTTGAGGGCCAGAATTTAATTTTTGGAGTTTTATTTAATGTCGGGAGCAGATTGGGTAATAAAATGTATTTTGAGAATAAGACGACCTTTTGACCTTTTAGGGTCTAGGGCTGTAAAGTGTCTCAGGGTTGCTGTCAAACGAGTCATGAACTGGGCTGGATTTTTATATTTGATGAGAAAGAGCCTAAACGCTTCTGATTTGGGATAAAGAAAAAGGAGCATTAACCTTGACTATGCCTTTAGCACCAGCCACCTTTTTAAGAGTAAATTGCTGGGCAGGACGGGGAGGGCTAGTCACGGAACGAAACTGTAAGCCAGACCAGGTGTGAGGAGGGGAGGTGATAAAAAGATTATAGGGTGGAGGAGCAGAGGCGGAGGAAGAATTGGGACCTAGCTCAGCCTGGCGAGGAGCAGCCTGGGGAGCAAGGGAGAGGTCAGGTGGGTCTGTAGAAAAGGAAGATAACAAAGACTCAGCGATGCTTGGGGTTAGTACTGAGGGGACAGATGGGAGGGAAAGAAGGAAGATTTGGGATGAGTTGCACTGGGCACAGAGACTAGGAAGGGACTGATGTGTAAAAGAATGCCTGGACATCAGGCACCTCAGACCGTTTGCCTATTTTACGACAAGAATTATTTAGATATTGCAGGATGGAAAAATTCAAAGTGCCATTTTCTGGCTATTTGGAACTACTGTCGAGTTTGTATTGGGGTCAAGCGGCATTGCAGAAGAAAATAAGGCATTTAGGTTTTAGGTCAGGTGTGAGTTGAAGAGGTTTTAAGTTTTTGAGAACACAGGCCAGGGGAGTAGAAGGAGGAATGGAGGGTGGAAGGTTCCCATAGTGAAGGAAGCAAGCCTAGAGAAAAGAGAGAGTAGAGAAACAGAGGGAAGGGGTTCGGGGGTTCTTACCTTCCAGAAAAGTGGGAAAAGGGGTTGGGGCACAGAGATAAGAGGTCAGGGCATGGAAATAAGGGATGGGGCGCAGAAATAAGAGGTCGGGGCACGGAAATAAGGGATTGGGGCACAGAGATACGAGGTTGGGGCGCGGAAATAAGGGATTGGGGCACAGAGATATAAGAGGTTGGGGCGTGGAAATAAGGGATTGGGGTGCAGAGATATGAGGTTGGGGTACTTGTCCCTCCTCTAGAAAAGTGGGACTTGGTAAGAGTGAAGGAGAAGGGGTTGAGGGGTACTTGCCCCCTCCCAGAAAAGCAGAGAAGGGGTAGAGACAAGAAGACAAGGGGTTCGGTTACTTGCCCTGTCCCTGGAAAAGCAGAGAAGGGGTAGAGACAAGGAGAGAAGGGGTTGGGGTATTTGCCCCTTCCCCAGAAAAGCGGGACTTGCCCCTAAGGGTGAAGGACCAAGGCAGGCGTCCTTGTGTGGTCTGACACCCTTGAAACGTGGGCGTATAATCAGAGAGGTGTCCCTGCAGTGATTAAACACCAAGGGAAGGCTGCCTTCCCAGTCCGTGACCGGCGCCGGAGTTTTGGGTCCACGGATAAAACGTGTCTCCTTTGTCTCTACCAGAAAATGAAAGGAATTGAAATTAAGAGAAGGGAGAGATTGAAGTGTGGTGCCAAGATTGAAAGGAGAAAGAGATTGAGGGATAGTGAGGGAGGTTGGAGAAGAGAGTAAAAAGATGCCGCTTACCGGATTTGAAACTGGTGAGATGTTTCTTGGGCTGGTGGGTCTGAGGACCTGAGGTCGTAGGTGGATCTTTCTCAAGGAGCAAAGAGCAGGAGGACGGGGGATTGATCTCCTAGGGGAAGTCCCCTGATCCAAGTCACGGCACCAAATTTCATGCGCGTCCGTGTGAAGAGACCACCAAACAGGCTTTGTGTGAGCAACATGGCTGTTTATTTCACCTGGGTGCAGGCGGGCTGAGTCCGAAAAGAGAGTCAGCGAATGGAGATAGGGGTGGGGCCGTTTTATAGGATTTGGGTAGGTAAAGGAAAATTACAGTCAAAGGGGGTTTGTTCTCTGGCAGGCAGGAGTGGGGGTCGCAAGGTGCTCAGTCGGGGTGCTTTTTGAGCCAGGATGAGCCAGGAAAAGGACTTTCACAAGGTAATGTCATCACTTAAGGCAAGGACCGGTCATTTACACTTCTTTTGTGGTGGAATGTCATCAGTTAAGGTGGGGCAGGGCATATTCACTTCTTTTGTGATTCTTAAGTTACTTCAGGCCATCTGGGCGTATACGTGCAAGTCACAGGGGACGCGATTGCTTCAGGCTGTTCTGTGTGATACCCATTTATGTGCCACCTGGAAGTATATGGGGTTAACCACGTAGGCAGTAAACTTTGACAAACAGCAGAAGAAATTTAGTAATCAAAATAAATTATCTTCTCTTTTCTCCTCTTTGTTCAGGCAAGACCAATCATTTAACTTGACATGAAGCTGTAGCTAGCTCAGTGACACATTCAGCACACTTACTTGTATTTGTTGTCCCTGCTTCCCTGCTTTATTTCCCTTTTCATTCACCTGTGCATCTCTGGGGTTGCACTCAACAATAAAGGGATAGCATATGATCTTTTGCCTCTGGAAAAAGGGAACCTTGGCAAAGACATATATTTGCATATTTTCACTACTTTATTTTCTACACACGTCTATCAGTTTATTATCTCTTTAGTTATTTAGCACATTTTAAAGAGCTCTTCTTAAATAATATTTTTCTTTAGTATACATTTTATTTTACATATATTCTCATTCTATTTTGATAATGCTATGTACCTTTGTATCATTTTCAATTATATCTGTAAACATACTAATTTTGTATGCATCCAATGAATTTGATTATTTTTATCCTATGCTGTTGGGCTTCAGTTATGTTTCTTATTGTTCCTGATAATTCTCACTGATGGTGGTTTGTAGTCATGTATTTGATAACTTTAAGTGGTGAGCTCAAGTTTCTCAAGATGTAATTTGCAAAATTTCTGTAAACATTGGTTGAATGTCTGTACCTTGAGTACATTTGGGCTTTCAGCCAGGTGTTCTGGGTTACTACCAACCTGGGAAATTTTAAAATGAATTTATTAACTGGCATTTTTTCCTGGTCCACACAAAAATCATAAAATCAAATTCTTAACTGCTGAGAGCAGCCTGTGATTGTAGATTTTTATGGGTGAGATTTTTTGTTTCTACCAGATTCTAGGACTAGATAGGTAAAATCTCTTGTAGTTTTGTATTTGTCAACAGGAAAAATGTTTCTAGTTCATCAATTCACTTAGGAAATAGGCCTTTCAGAATTCAGCTTGATTGTGTGTATTTGTGTATGTATGCCCACTCTCTTGATGCTGTGAGGTTGTTTCCTGTCTACAGAGCCATTATTAAAACTCAAGATGCATAACAAACAAGCTTCTTGCTTCATAAGATCAGCAGCTATACACTGGTTGCTTTAGTTTTGGTATGAACTTTCTGATTTTCAATTCTATCTTCTTTTGTGTTTCTGATAATTGCAATATTACGCTGGGAGCTCAGCTACAAGGTTTAAAAGGTTGCAGTTTTATATTAAACCCAGAATGCCTAGGTGTGCTTTGTCAGTTGTTTTTTCTGGAGGTTATTTAGATAACATTACTGCCAGAAACAGGAGTCTGTTTTCTGACGTTGAATTGTGTTGTTAATTTACTGTGTTTGGGGTTAACAGGCTTTTACCAAGCAGGTTTTAAAATTATTACATATAGGCCGGGCTCAGTGGCTCACACCTGTAATCTCAGCACTTTGGGAGGCTGTGGCAGCCGGATTACCTGAGGTCAGGATTTCGCCACCAGCCTGGCCAGTGTGGTGAAACCCCGTCTCTACTAAAAATAACAAACAAATAAACAAACAAACGAAAGTCAGGCATGGTGCTGGGCTGCCTGTAATCCTAGCTACTCAGGAGGCTAGGCAGGAGAATGGCTTGAGTCCAGGAGGCAGAGGTTGCAGTGAGCCGAGACTGTGCCATTGCCCTCCAGCCTGGGCAAAAAGAGCGAAACTCCATTTCAAAAAAAAAAAAAAAAAATTATTATATGTAACCTGCAATCATGAGTTCCTAAAAGGAAAACACACATACACACACATACACACACTAAAAATGTTTAAAAAGTAAAAAATATGCAAAATTTAAGACACAACAAATTATGTTGGTGAAAAGCATAAACTTTGGAGGCAGACAACCTAAACTTGCCTCTGGCTTTATTACGTCAGTGATGTTAGACCTGAACCAGTTGTGATCCTCCTTGACTCACTTCTCTTATTTACAAAATAAACATAACAGTTTCTACTTCCTTGGATGGCTGTCAGGATTAAGTGAATTAGTATAAGTGTGTAGAACAGTGGCTGGCACATTAAAATGTTCTATGATTATTTTCAATTATTATTAAGGTTTTTTACAGTCCGGCTTCAGTGAAATTCTGAATTACTTAACAAATATAATCAAGGCCATCTTTCATAGGATATTTTTAAAATTGAATTTAACTCACGTACTTTCTCCCTTTCTCAAAAAATGGACTGATACTGCGTTTCAGTCCATTGTGGAGTGACAATAGCATAAAGAAATTTCTTCCTTTTGGCTCCTCATTACCCACATAAGTTTTGTGAGGCTAGAAATAGGCCAACAGGAAATCTTTAAAAGATTTAGGAACTGAGAATACTTAGAAATCATTTTAGCTCTATATATTTTACATTAGCTAATCAGTTTGTGATAAGAAGCCATATTAAGCCAACAGAAAATCATTAGATGATGTAC
The DNA here is from genome assembly GCF_000001405.40 of Homo sapiens. NCBI lineage: Eukaryota > Metazoa > Chordata > Mammalia > Primates > Hominidae > Homo > Homo sapiens. Next base: position 77,085,750 of record NC_000002.12, on the reverse strand, counting down.
ACAATACTGAAAAGAGACATAGAATATGACACCACTTTTGAAAGAGACAATGATTCGATTGTTCTGTTTAGTCGGACACATTTTTCTTGCTAAAAATTAAAGCAATTGTGTCAAGCGGAAAATGGTATTTCATATAGTATTTTCTGAAAATGAACAAATGGCATATTGGCAGTATTTTTTCCCTAGAATACAAAGCCACATTGCTCTTCTTAATACGTGATTCCATGTTTTAAAGAGAATAGGAAACTATATAAATCTTTAATAATTTTAATAATTTTAGTATAAGTTAATCTGTCTTTTATTTAGAAAGAGATAGCATCAGATTCAAAAGTATACAAATAACATCCTTAAAACAGGCAAAAAAAAAAAAAAGTGAGGGATTGCCAGTTGAATGTATTTTCTTTCAACTCTTCAAACAATGATTCTTAAATTATTGTTAGTGGATCACTCTTGTAGGTAAGAAATGTCCAAAAATAAAAGGCTTACTATGAAATTAATGTATCACTCAAAAAGTTTATATGATTTACCATATATATAAAATGAAATAAAATAAAATGTATTAAAGACCAATAGTAGCCTAAAATATTTCTTCATAAATTTAGTTGTATCTAAAATTCTAAAACTAGCCCATTTAACACATAAAAATATTTCTTTTCCAGCAATAGAAAGGATTTCTTTTAAAATTATCCTACTAAAATCAAAGTAGCTTTAGTTGAAATGTTGACATCCATTGTTGCATTATAAGCATTGTAAGCTTTTTCACATAACAAAAGTAACAGCTTTGAATTTACAATAGATTTTTGAAATTTAAAATTGCTTATGTATATGTACATATGCATAAAATTATCACTACCATTATTAAACATTAAACTCTGGCCTACATTCATTGTCTAGTACTTTTCCTACCACTTATAATTGTTACCACTTATAAATGTTAGTACTTCATGTATATCTTCATCTATGCAGAGCCCTGTGTACAGTCTGTAAATGGTTTCTTATGACAATATTATGAAATAGTAGGTCCCATTATTATAACTATCTCATGATGACACCAGCTGATGCTTAGAGAGGTTAAATAACTTGAAAATATAACACATCTAGTCAATGGCAGACCAAAATCAGTCAAGCTACAGAGCTATACTCTTAACCATTACATGTAGATGTACAGCAGGGGATGTAGACAATTGTTAAAACATGCATAAACTAGTCAACTTACCATAAATAATGTAAGGGTAAATATGGAAATATTAAGTACGATACGTAGTTATGTCTGGCTGTGAGAAAGAACACAACATGGTAAACATAGCTAAACAAGAGGGGTACTTGTTTCTGAAATAAAATTCTGAAGGCCGCTATAAAATCTCTGTTCACAAAGTCCTCAGGACGTAGGCTGATTGCATCTCATCACCCTTCAGTGCCAGCTATGGTCTTCATCTTCGGGGTTCAAGATGGTTGCAACTAGCCTAGCCATCACATCCCATATTACAAGTGTCGGAATCTAAGACTACTTGAAGATGAGCGAAAGACAAGGTCAATTTTCTTTGAAGTAATGTTCATTGAAAGTTTCCGCAAGTTTTCTTTCTGTTCATATATTATCGGTGAGACCTTAGTTACACACTTTATTTTTAAACAAATTATGTGTCCAGGGCCACGCATGGTGGCTCACACCTGTAATCCCAGCACTTTGGGAGGCCGAGGCGGGTGGATCACGAGGTCAGGAGATGGGGATCATCCTTGCTAACATGGTGAAACCCCGTCTCTACTAAAAATATAAAAAAATTAGCCAGGCGCAGTGGCGGGCGCCTGTAGTCCCAGCTACTCGGGAGGCTGAGGCAGGAGAATGGCGTGAACCCGGGAGGCGGAGCTTGCAGTGAGCCCAGATCTCACCATTGCACTCCAGCCTGGGCGACAGAGCGAGACTCCGTCTGAAAAAAAAAAAAAAAAAAAAAAAAAAAAAAAAAAAAAAAGTGTGTCCAGTTAAAAATTGAGAAGTTTTGTTACTATGAAAGAAAGGAAGAATCATTACTGAAGAACAATCAACACTCTACCAGAGTGAGTGAAAGGAGCATTAGAATAATTGATCTTTACTAACTGTTCATCATGAAGTAGAAAACTACAGTATGTGAATATCTAGTATTTCCAGGACTAGCTACAGTACTTGACTATCTAATATTCAGACACAGTATCTGACTGTCTAATATTTTCAGGACTAGCTTTCATTGCTGTGTAGCTAATTTGGTCATGTTTTTGGTCAGCTTACTGGTTTCCACTGTTAAAATCAATGGTTGGTGAAATATGTGGTAGATTTTTTATTGACTACAAGTTCTGACTTCAGTCTATGGCACATCTTATGTTGTTTTGGTGCCTATGTTGGCAAACCTTTAAGAATCCCTGAGAATTTGGGATATTAAAGAATCATCAGCACTCCTCAGGACCCCTACTATGGAGCTCAACCCAAAGCTTTTACTTACTGAGATCCTTTGCACCATGGAATAGCTGATCAGAAAACTGAAGACATTAACAATATCTCTCCTGCATTTTGTAGCCTTTGTCCTTCATGGAATTCCACCATGCTGCAATTGTTTTATGGAAAATTAAAGGGATTGAAATTTTCCAGGTTTGCTCATAAAAATAATAATGAATGAATCTGAATATATTTACTAAAAACAGAAACATAAGAATACAGTTTTTAATATAGATCAGAAGTGTATACTGATATATTTAAAAGTTATAAATTGATAAAACAAGAAAACTGAAAATATCAAATTATTGAGTAATTTTTCTTTTAGGGAGATATCTAAGGGCATGAAATTATTTTAAATATAAGATGCACAACAAGTCGTTCTTCTAAAGTAATGTGTTATAAAAATGATTAAATAGTAAAATATTACTTTTATTATGTATATAATGTTTAAAACAAGGCAGATGTGTCTTTTTTTAAAAGAGCAAATACGTGACATCATAGAAAGAAATACTTGTTAGAGAAGAACAAACATGTTCAAAATAGACTTTTTTTCTCTGACATTAATTCCAGAACAAATAGGATATTTCTATTTCTCTACTTTATGTTAATATTTTTTAACTAGCGAGATAAATTCAAATATATTCATGTATATGTGTTGACGCACTGGCTTATCTTTACTGTTTTTCACTTTATTAAGCTAACAGCAGTTTTCTGCATTGACCTATATATATATAAGAATGGTACCTTTTACAATAAATTCTATAGGTAAAGGCTTTAAGTGATGTTGAAAATTTGTCCTCAACAGCAGAAGTTGTACAAATTTACCATAAACGTTGTTTCTAAATTTATTTAAAATTAATATTTGTTTCTATGACACAACTTATGAAAAGAACAAAATACAGCATAATAGTAAGGTATTTGAATTTTGGGTCCCTCTCGCATAGAGTTCAATATGAGACACATCATAAGTGTCCAAGAAATAAAATAAGAGTAAAAAAAATTGTTCGTGAATTAATACAAGCAACTGGGAAAAGCAAAAATAAGCTGTGCCTCAGAATCAAAATCCAAAAGGGCACATCAATACTCCTGGAATTTTACATGAAGAATAAAGATATTAAGAAATTAGGACAGAAAAGTAGTTAAGAAAAGGTCTTCAAGAGATGAAGTATTCTTCTTGGATCTACTTGTTTTCTTGAAAGATAGAAAAAGTTAAATAAGCAGTAATACAAAACAAAAGTATAACATATAGCTACTAAACTAGGTAATGCTAAATCTTTCAAATAATATGTATGGATTGTAAGACAGTAATCTCTTTGTGATGAAATTTAGATAGAAGTTTTCATTTATTTGACTATTTAAAAATAAAACCCAAAAAGCCGATGAAATGTGTCTTGGTAGATTCTCTAATAGATTTTGTGACTGTCACTACTGGAGTATTGCTTCCAGGAATGATCTGATTGGTCTAAAAGGATATTTAGTTGACTCAGCAATACCCCATGGCAAGAAAGTTAAACAGTTTTTCAGTGTGCAGCATTATCAGAAAATTAGGTCTAGAACAATTTTTTAAAAGCCTATCCAGAATACGTTTCCTAACTGATAAACTGCTAATGAAATAAGATTTGAGAAAAATATATAGAACCCCAAACTTGACAATATACTTGCCATTTTTTGGGAAGAAAGTCACCTATGTACAATAAAATTTGTGAAAGTGATGAAAGCTTGACTTCTTCTGGAGTGAGTGGCAGATAGATATGTTTACCTCTATGTGCACATATATATGTATTAATTTCTTACACATTTATTTAAATATATATATCAGTGATTTTTATTTCATTTTCTATTCATTAACTTTCTATGTTCCAATTTTTAAATGATTTGTATAATGTGAACACCTTTTACATTTAATTTACTTTTAAATGTACATTTTATAATAGAAATATATTTTAAAATGTACTTTTAAAGGTTAAACATTTTGCTCTTTTCCAACAAATTTATGTGTGTGTGTGTGTGTGTGTGTGTGTGTGTGTGTGTGTGTGTGTTGCTGTCAGGTATTTTTCGGTGCTGGGAATACTTTAGGGAACAGAAACAATTACTGTCTTCTTGGGGCTTAGCTTCTATAAGAGGGACAGATAAAAAGTATACATGATCAAAAAGCAAATTATAGGCTATCACAGAAAACCAAAGGCAATGAGAACTGAAAAGACTAGAGAAAGGTGATAAATTACATAAGCAGCATGGGAGGCATTGAGAAATTGCAATTAAAGCAAGAAAATAATTGAGGCAGTTACCTAGTACATAGCTGGGTTGTGGGAATTGGTTGGGAAGTGGGGATGTGGACAGAGTAAAGAGCAAGCACAAAAGCCCTGAAGCTGGAGAGTGTTTCCTGTCATGGTAGAGCTTTGCAGAGGTGGTGAAACAGGAGCAAAGTAATAGTAAAGGAGAAATAACTGGGCGCTAAGCACAGAAGGCTTTATAGGCATTGTTAAGTACCTTGAGGGCAAGAGATGATGATGGCCCAGACTAGGGCATTAACTGCATTCCTAATAAAAGGTGTGAGTCTTAAGTTCTAGACATAAAATAAAGGTGGAGCTACCATAATTTTTTAAAGTGTTAAATAATTTGTTAAAATGAGAAAGAGAGAGGTCAAGGATGACTTTAAAGTGTTTAGTTTGAACCACTGGAGACAGAATTTCCATTAATTTAGATAAAGTAGATTCCAGAAAGGTCAATTTGGGGTAGAATTGTGGTGAAGAGTTCAATTATAGACAGGTCAAATTTGATTTGCCTGTTAGATTATCAAGGGTAGATGTCAAGAAGGTAGTAAATATACTTCTGCATTCCAGAATAACATAAGGATATGCATTTCAGAGTTGTTAACTTATAAAAGAGACTTCAGTCGGATATGGGATGTGTACAGTGAGAGTGTGCAGACTGAGAAAGGTGATCAAGGACAGTGCTCAAAGGAAACTGACAGTTAACATGAGGCTGAAGAGAAGAATAAAGGTCAAAAAAAGGAGATTGAAAACAACCAACCAGTTATGTAAGGGGGAAATCAGATGTACATAGAATTCTAGAAGCCAAGTACAGAAAGAATTTCAAGGGAGTTATTAAGTTTTTCAAATGCTGCTAATAGGTCAAGAAAAGAAGCAAGAAATAAACATTGAATTTAGCAATGTATGACCATTGAAGGGTTTAATGAGAGTAATTTTAAAGTCCTGTTGAGATAAAATCCAAATGAGAATAAATTTAGAGAGAATGAAAATAAAAGAATTGCAGACAGTGAATATAAATAACTCTTTGGAGAATTTTGTTGGAAAAGAACAAAACAGTTTAATCTTTAAAGGTACATTTAAAAATATATTTCTATCATAAAATGTATATATAAAATTAAATTTAAAATGTTTTAATTGTAGAAATCATTTTAAAACTGGAACATACAGAAAACTAAAAAAAAGTAAAAGAATAGAAATTAGAAATAAAAATCACCATCATTCTATTATTTAATAAATAGCAGTTACCTATTTAATAAATAGCACTTACCTAACTTTTAACTAATAATTATCAAGCTTCATAGAAACAGGAAGATCAGGAATCAGAATACCTTTTCAATAAAGGAGCACACAATAAATATTTGAGATGTGCAGGTCATTCAGCAGGGGTATCCAATCTTTTGGTTTCATTGGGCCAAATGGAAGAAGAATGGTCTTGGGCCACACATCAAATACACTAACACTAGCAATAGCTGATGAGCTTTAAAAAAATTGCAAAAATCTCATGTTTTAAGAAAGTTTATACGTTTGTGTTGTGCTGCATTCAAAGTGTCCTTGGCCACAAGCTTGTATAAGGTTTCTGTCCTAACTACTCAACTCTGCAATTGTATGATACAAGCATCCACAGACAATATGTAAATCAGTAGGCACAGATGTGTTTCAATAAAACTGTATTTACAAAAATAGCCACTGGTTCATATTTGGCTTGCAAACCATGGTTTGCCAATTCCCACGCAAGACTTCATTGCATTTAAAATTCTAACCCTTAGCTTTAACTCCATAAAAAAAGTTGAAATGTTAAATAGTCATAAAGTACAAATCTATTACTGGCAGAAAACAGTTTCCCTTATGTCAGTTGTTTCTTTTTACTTGTAGTGTCTTTGCTATTGTCTCAGTATTTGTATCCCCCAAAATTCATATGTTGAAATCCTGACCCTCAATGTGATGGTATTAGAAAGTGGAGCTTTGGGGGAAGTGTTAGATCGCGAGGCCTTAGTCCTTATATGAATGCATTTGATGCTCTTATAAAATAGGCTCAAGGGAGCCCATTCTCCCCTTCTGCCACTGAGGGACAGCCACCCATGAGCCAGGGAGAGAGTCCTCACCAGAAACAGAATCTGTCAGTGTCTGGATCTTGGACTTCCCAGCTACCAGAACTGTGAGGAATACATTTATATTGTTAATCAGCTACTCAGTCTATAGTATTTTGTTAGAGCATCTGGAATGAAGTAAGATGGTATTTCAATGTATCTCCCTAATGAAAAGGCAATTTTAACAGAAGTTTGTACATATTTTCTATAGCCTTTTGCTTGCTGGACAAGGTTTGTCACTGTACTAAACTATATGTGTATCAGATGATGACAGATTTTTGTCAATGAATCAAAAGGTAGCATCTCCCCAACATAATGGCAATTGTTTTACCATAAATCATGACAGCTTATCCATACAAAAGGCTTTCTGACTTGCTATGTTAATAAAATATTGATTATAAAAATATATACACTTTATAATGAAGAACAAGTTCAGCTCAGGCAACTTGGTTATGTTTTGTCACTTTATCGCTAATTCCTCTGTTATTTTTGGGATCACAGAGCAGTGCACCAGAACATGTGTGTGTGTGTGTGTGTGTGTGTGTGGGTGTGTGTGTAATAGACAAACATATTTTTTTCAATAAAATTATCTTTCCTAGATTTGTTGTTGGTTTAGAAGAAACTAGGTATGAAAAGAAAATAGCAACGAGAGAAACTAACACTTAGAACAAATTCAACATTGCCAGTTATTGTTAGATTAGTTTATGGCAGATATAAATGACAGAATTTTCAATGAAATGTCAGATGGCTTATGGAGGTATTTTTATTTAAGTTAATGACAATGTTGCTTATTGCTTTAAAGCAAAAGGTAAAAATGCAAAACACAAAGAAATTCTTGCTTGTAGACAGTAGAAAGAGTAGATCAACTGTGTCAGAAAGGAAGTAAAGTCTGCAGTTCACTGCCTGTAAGTAGTGAAAAACTGGGATTCAAACACCTGATGAAAACAGAAGGGAACACAAATTACTTCTTTGTGTCTCTCTTTCTTCACTTAAAAATGCAATGCTCCCTTTGTTAATGAGGCTATGAAGATTAATTATTTGACATGTGCTAATTACCATGAATGTGTTCTATATAGCTTATTAATCAAAATGCAAACTCCTTCAATATGGGTCAACTTATTGTTTTTAGAAGTTGTTGGGTATGTTCCACACATATAAAGACAGACTGAGAAGCATTTTTGGGGATTTATTTCCCAAAAACATACTCTATGTTTTAGAGCTAGTTATTCCCATTCTCCATAATTTCCCAGGAGCCATATTTACAATGCTAGATGTCTTTGTGGATCTTGGGCACTGGAATTATCTCAGTAGGTTCCCAGATCACTGAGCTATACTTGGAGAATATGAGTAAGAAAAATCTTCTACAGCTCCAATGAACTGGGTTTTCCACCATGCTCTACAGGCAGTTCTAATGACTTTTAAATGTCTAAAGGAGATATATTCATACCAAAATTTCCCAACATTTCTGACTTAATTCCAAATGTTTCCTGGAAGAACTTGAAAATATCTCTAATATGTCTGACTTGTACTATCTATTAGGATATAATAAAACTTACCATGTTCCTAGACTGGGAATAAGCTAGTCTTACTATAGGACCAAGTTGCCCCCATCTCACATCTTCAGATTGATTATAGTTATTTAGGAAATGTATGGATAAGTCACTTAGTGATATCTATGGCACAATTTACTGATACTTCTGTTTTAAGTGATAAAATGATTTGCTACATGAAAAGAAGTGTTATATCAAACTCATTAATCAATATAGTTATCCTTTATTCTACCTCTATAGAATTTTGCATATGGTGTGATACTCTATGTACATTCTAATACACAGGAAAATAAATTTTGCTTGTCAGACACCATCTAGGTACTAATCAACAAATAAGCTGTTGGGGAAGGGAATGGATTACAATAGTTGAAATGCTTGTTTTAGAGTTGCTGCATTTTTATTGTTGTTGATGTTATTGTTTACCTCATTACTGCTAGGGGAAATACAGGGGAGAGAAAAGGATGCTTCTTAACAAAGGGATGACTGATGTAAATTTTAGTACTTATAATCTGGCATAGCTCTAGTAATAATGTAGCACTCACAGTTTCTGTTTTCTCAAAGGCTACTTTTTAAATCAAATGACATTCATCGATACTTTGGACAATGAAATGTTATCTCAAAATCACGCAACTTAAAAACTAAAGAATATGGAGGACATAAACATTCTACTCATTTGCATGACTTTTATTCTATCATTTCTATTAATGTAACATTTTAGAGTCATTTAGATATACATTCAGTGACATTAACCATGCTTCATTTCAATGTAGCAGAAAGAATTAATACTATTCCCCGAAGAAACATAACAAGATATTCATGCTCATTTGTTATAACTAAGCAAAAACAGTACAGTGTATCCTTCTCATTATCGTGACAGTTGTTACTGTAATATCTGTTTTTTATACACTGCTTGTTTCATTCTCTGACTATATTTCAAGCATTAGGGGAGTAACGGGCTGAAACTGTTATCCCATTTTTTAACTTGTGAACTAAATTACATTCCATTAGGGACTCATTTGATGATACATTCCTTAAAGTATTTAAAATATGCAAATACATTGCAGCCTGTGAAAAATATGTATTGCTACAAATTAGAGTAGTTAACTTCTCAAGTTAAACCAAACACTGAAGGAATTTTTCTATCTTCCAAGGACAGTGTAAGTTCTGCTAAGTATGGTAACTTGGTGACAAGCCATTTATGTTAGATGGGCTTTTAATTAATGTTTTCCCTAGCTGCAGCATCTTTCTCTTCAAAGAATGGCTCCAAGAGAATGAAAATGCCTTTTTGCTTTATGTAAATGTCAAAAGTCTTACTGACCAACATAGTGCTAGGAGAAAGTACTGATATAAATGGAAATAGTTTTTGGAAAGGATTCTGCATCAGACTTCAGAATGAATGACCTTATCAGAAACCAGCTTAATTCTTCATCCCATTTTTTTTTTTTTTTTTTTTTTTTTTTTTGAGACGGAGTCTCGCTCTGTCGCCCAGGCTGGAGTGCAGTGGCGGGATCTCGGCTCACTGCAAGCTCTGCCTCCCGGGTTCACGCCATTCTCCTGCCTCAGCCTCCCAAGTAGCTGGGACTACAGGCGCCCGCCACTACGCCCGGCTAATTTTTTGTATTTTTAGTAGAGACGGGGTTTCACCTTGTTAGCCAGGATGGTCTCGATCTCCTGACCTCGTGATCTGCCCGCCTCGGCCTCCCAAAGTGCTGGGATTACAGGCGTGAGCCACCGCGCCCGGCCCCATTTTTAAAACAAAATTGAAAATTAATTTTAAATTTTGATTTTTATCATCATATTTGCATACAATTTGAGTGTATGAGAGAAAAATGTAGACCTTATTTTTATGCCAAGTTTACAAAAGGGATCCTAAGTAGTAGTATTAGTATTGCTGCCACCTTGGCTATATCCTCCTAATTACTGTGAAACAAGACACAAACTTCTGTGAAATGTAAACCTACATATAAAGCCAAGGTTTTATTTAGTCTGAAGAAATTTTTTAAAAATTAACCTCTGATTTTCTTATCGAGACAAATAAACAGACTGACACAGACTTCCAATTAATTTGTGGTTAAGCCTAACATTTACAAGTTGTAGAAATAATAGTCAAATAATTAGTGCTTATTAAAAACAAAACTGTTCCTTCCAAAATCAATTTCTGTATAAGTTTTGAAAGGGTGTAACATCTATACTTGACATTGATCTGTTTCATCTTCAAAGTTACCAGGTATTAGCAGAAACAGCTCACATATTATCTACTATGTAGGAAAGCATTATTGATGACAATAAAATAAAATAAATCTTAAATTTTTATGCAAGAATATTGATCTGGTTTCTGTGTCTCAGAGACAGTTTTGGTTTTAAATTAGCAACAAGTTAGGAGTCTAGATATGGTGGTAAATACGTTTCCACAGAAATGCTAACAAAAACATAGAAAAAATATCTTGTTATCTTGGAAAAAAAGTGAAACTTAAGTCAAACCTCTGCCAATGTAACTGGTTTTCCTTTAAACCATAACTTAATAGAATTTTATTTGACTAATTCAAATTCTGACACAACTTTTCAGTGCCAACCAACAATTAGAAGAAAATCTATTCTTACCTTTGTCCACTTCTTGATTTAGAAAGTCAAGGTTTGCAACAATTGACCTTTTTTCATGCTAATGTTTTGGGACTAATTTCTAAATAGTTCTCCTTCTCTCTGTCCAAAATCAGTACTTCTTTTTCTCCTTGTAGTAGACTATAATTCACAGTGATAAAAAATATATCCAGCCAGATATATACACATATGTAAAAATGGGTAAGGCAAATTCAGAGTTGTGAAAACTTGGAAATTCCATCACCAGAAATAGAGTACCATAAGCTTAATAACAGGGGTGTTGAATATTCAGCCTTCAGTTTTTTATAATTCCAAGCAGTAGAGGACACAGAAGATATGATCTTACTACTACTAATTCCTAAATGATAAAGTCAGTTTCAACAGAAAAAAGTGTTCAAGGGACTGTGGACAATAATTCACTTCCAAGCTCCAAATTTGAAGATGATCAGCCAGGCCCATGAAGACAGGATGTACAAATGCCCAAGAACACAGGATGTACAAATGAAACCTCACACTCACACTGTTAGCAAAGGCTGGTTAGGTTAGACCATCTATGTTATAACAAGTATAAATGCAGATATGATAAAACAAAATCATAAAATTAGATGAGAAATAGATGCAGATGAAGTTGGAGCCAGTTAAAATATCCATTAAGACATTTAAAATTGCATTCAAGAAAACAAAACATAAAATATCACTATGCAATATTGAAAATTTATAAGAAGAGTGAACTTTTTAAACAATGTAGGGGAAAAATATAAATGTACACAATATGTTATTTATAAGAAGAACCATGTAGAACTAACGAAGAGTGCATTTCTCATAAAGATAAATGGTAAAATTAAATTTATTAAATAAAATGCCCTCAGCTGAAGAAAAGAATGACTAGCATAAAAATCAAGAAGCTTCACCAGATTCCCAGAAAAAAAATACTTGGCTGAAGGTCACAGATTTAGCCATAGTGAATTTTTAAAACTATTGTAAAGTGAAATATATATTTGTATATATAGAGAGAGAGAGAGACAGAAAAAAACATTATAAAGGAAGGGAAATGAGAGTTTTCTGCAACATGAAATTTGAATTCATCTTATATTCACATTCACTCATTATACCCATATTTTTCAATGTATTTGAAGATTATGGAAAAAATGAAAATTCAGAAATCAATAATATCTTTTGGTGTAGAAAGACTGTTGCACATTCTCTAAGATTCATCCTTAGGTTCATAATAAAAAATGCTAATGATTTGTGTGGATCACATTGAAAACATTTTCATAGAAGGAATTATAACATAGAAAAAACAAATAATGGAAAGGAAAATGTCTGTACTGGAAATGCTATATAATTCCTCATCCTATGTATAATAGATAATAATAATTAATGTATTTATCTGATTGAAATATAGACCAAAATTTTACACTAAGTAAGAAGAATTGGATAGTATTTAATTTCTGGCCTATTTTACTAATTTTTTCCAATAAGTATATGTGATAATGGAATTCTAAAGTAATATTTTAAAATGTTAATGACATAAGAAAATACTTATAGTATTGTCAAGTTCTATGAATATGTAAACTATAACATACTAGGGAAAAAAAAAACACTGAAGAACCAGCAAATATTTAATAGTGTTTGCCTCTGTATCAGAAACATAGCAGGTGTATGAATCACCTGGAGATCTTGTTCAAATGCAGATTCTGATGCCACTGGTCTGGGATGCAGATTGATATTCTGCATGCTGAAAGATCTCCCAACTGATGTCAATGAGGCTATTGATATTAACATCACACTTTAGGAAGCAACAATCTATATAGTGTGCTTAAGAATAATATTTATGCTTCTTCTGTCTTAACAAACCATCATCTTCCAAAGTCTTCTATGGTAATCTGACAGACGCAAGTAGCCGAATAACTGAGAAAATCATACAAACCTTGGAAACTGTAAGGCAGCCTTTGTTTTTTTTTTTTTTTTTTTTTTTGGAAGACGGAGTCTCACTCTGTCGCCCAGGCTGGAGTGAAGTGGTGTGATCTTGGCTCACTGCAACCTCCATCTCCAGGGCTTAAGCGATTCTCCTGCCTCAGCCTCCCGAGTAGCTGGAACTACAGGAGGGTGCCACCACACCTGGCTAATTTTCTGTATACCTAGTACAGACGGGATTTCGTCATGTTGGCCAGGCTGGTCTCGAACTTCTGACTTCAGGTGATCTGCCCTCCTCAGTCTCCCTAAGTGCTGGGATTACAGGCATGAGCCACTGTGTCTGGCCTATAAGGCAGTCTTGGGTGACCCAGGATTGTATGTTGGAATCTCAATTAATTATATGCTCTAAATCTTTGGATTCATCTATTTTGAGAGAAAATATATTTATGTGTTTAGACCATCAGGTTTTTTCACAGAAATAATGTTTCAATTGCAATGAAAAACATGTTAAATGTATAAGTTTATAAGTATGCTGACATGAGTCAGGCAGATATTCAGCTAAAGCCCACTCATTTAAAAGAGATTAACCTATACTTTTTAAATAGAGTCAGAACTGTAATTAGTTGATTTAATTTTTCCCCATTTTTATGGTGCCAACTGGAGTCATTATTCTCAATCTGGGATCTTAAATTAACACCATAGACTTCAACATTTGAAAATTTAATAACATTCTTATGACTCTGAGTTTTTCAGATAAATTTTATTTTAATGTATATATAAAAATGTATTAATAATGTATATTTTCAAATTAGTCAAAAACAAGTCAGAATTTTTGAGGGACAGAGGAGTTGCATAATTCAATGATCCAAACTAAAATAAGAGAGTCTTACCAAGTCAAAAAATATTATTAATTCTCATACTTTATACCACCCACTAGCCCGATGTGGCCTGAGCTGTAGTGGAGGTGGTATGTAGATGAAGCTTGGACACTAGTGTCCTCAACTTTCCTTCACAAATGCTGGGTTTTGGATCCTGTTTGAAGATTTTTCTTTATCAACAACAGATACTGTATATTCTTGAATTTTGCTACTTGTAAAACTCTGAAGCATACATCCCCATGAATGGGAACAAATTCTTTAGTTGGTTGTTATTAAACAAGAAAACAATTTAGATTTGTTTTTACATTTTCATAATTTTTATGTGATTAGAACTTCAGGTTTTTAATAGTCCTATTCAGACTTAGATAATGTTACAGGAATAAATCTCCGTTTCTCTTTTCTTTCTATTCTAGGCATAATTATAATTTATTGCTATTGTTAGTCTTCCTTTAGAAGAATTCAGGAGCAAGATTCTAATTTAGTAAATTTCAATACACTTAAAATATTGAGAGTTTGGGCATATTTTAATGAATATATGAAATACCAGAGATGTATCTTTATATCACTCATAAATTTTCAATTTTCATTGTATTTATTATAATAATGCATATTGGAAATTTAATAAGCATGTGAAGGTCTCTGGATAACCATAACAAAATATGCATATATCAAAAAGAATATAGGTTTGGAAAATTTTTGTTGTTGGAGCATTCTGAAGCACAAACAAATTAAAGTTTAAGTTATGTAATTATTGTATAGAATCTAAATTGGACAGTGGGATTTTATGTATCATTTTTACGTCCTTTGCGAAGATTTTGATGATTTGTTTTTGGCATTGAAGGTGTGTATTTCAAAGTTTTCTGTGAAATACTCTTTATCCTCTTGTGTTTACCTACGTGTACTATTCCCAAAGGATGTGTGATCTCTGAGATAAAAAACAAAAAGGAGAATAAAATATTAGACATGCACAGGTAGTAATCCCAAGGGTAACTTGGGATTCAAATGTCAATATTCTGAAAGAAACAGCCATTTAATTTTAAAATTGTTATTTCAAAAAAATACTTTTGGCCAGGCACAGTGGCTCACACCTGTAATCCCAGCACTTTGGGAGGGTCACCTGAGGTCAGGAGTTCGAGACCAGCCTGGCCAACATGGTGAAACCCCGTCTCTACTAATAATACAAAAATTAGCTGGGCATGGTAGTGCGTGCCTGTAGTCCCAGCTACTCAGGAGGTTGAGGCAGGAGAATTGCTTGAACCTGGGAGGCAGAAGATGCAGTGAGCGGAGAGCATGCCATTGCCCTCTAGCCTGGGCAACAAGAGCAAAACTCTGTCTCAAAACAACAAAGAAGCAAACAAACAAAAAAATCAACTTTATAACCTAATGTTATAAAAAAAGATACAATATCTTAGTAGAAATGTTTGAAGGGAAAATAGAAAAATGAGTAAATAAAAGCCATTTGTCAAATTTTTAGTGATAATAATATTTTAGTTTGCTTTTCTGCAAGGTAGAAAGATTGAACATTTTTAGGATGTAGTTTGGTCATTTATGTTTTATCTTTAAAATATATATATAGAGAGAGTGACATCCATGAAAATGGCAGAGAAAGGACTTCTGAAAATTTGTCTCTCAATAAAGTCAACTCAAAAACTGGCAAAAGTTTGTCAGAAGTAACATTTTCATCACTGTTGAAACTAACCAAAGTCATGCAGCAACCTGTGGAGCATTTATTGTATTTTATTTTTTAAAAAAATGACTGAGCCTCTGTAAGAAGCATGAATTTGGTGGCATTTTTATCTTCTCATAGTCCCATTCCCTGATTTCAAACTCGGATATATTTTTGCCAAAAATAAAATAGCCTGCATTCTGGAAAAAGCAGAAGCACGCGATAGCTCATTCATAGCCTCATTTCCGATTTTATATATATATATATAATCTGATCTGTGCAGTACTTGCCTGTAAGTTTTAATTCAAAAGGCTTGTTTTCATTTGACCCAACTGGAGCTTGCCAGGCCTAAGAGCTTTCTCTTAGAGGGTATTTCTGAAATATGTTTTACAGGCAAGTGTTTTCAACTTTGCAGCTGCCTGAGGCAACAGATAGAAAAGACAAGCCAAAAGCTGGGCAAAGAATAACTAAAATGCGAAAATGATAAAGCTAAAGAATGTGATGTCCATAAGATCTTTGTAAAACTACTATATATTCCAGAGAATCTAGAAAGCCACCCACATATACAGAGTTGTGAACATGCTCAAGAAAGACTTTAGAAGGCCCTGTGCTCTCGTGGCTGGCTATGAAGCTGTACATAACTAGGAAGGAAAGGCTAAGGCAAAGTTGAAAATAGACAAATCTCTTGAAATACACAAGCTACCAACATTACCCCCACGAAGTAATAGGACACCAGAATATACCTATAACAAGTAAAACAATTGAATTAGTTCTACAAAATTAAAAGTCCAGAACAAGATGGCTTCACTGGGGAATTCTACCAAATATTTAAAAACAGAATTGCCACAAATCCTTCTTGAACTCTTCCAACACACACAAACACACACACACACACACACACACACACACACACACATAGTGAAATGTAGAGTTCCATATGACCCAGTACTTCTAGGTATATATCCAAGAAAATCTAAAAAACGTATCCACATGAAAGCCTGTACATGTATGTTAATAGTATTATTATATTCATAATATATATGTTATTCATAACGGCCAAAATGAGAAACACCTCTGATGAGACCAACTCGGTCGGGGAGACCCTAACCCAGTGGCGCTAGAGAAATTAAAGACACACACACAGAAATATAGAGGGGTAAAGTGGAAATCAGGGGTCTCACAGCCTTCAGAGTTGAAAGCCTCGAATAGAGATTTACCCATGTATTTATTAACAGCAAGCCAGTCATTAGCATTGTTTCTATAGATATCAAACTAACTAAAAGTATACCTTATGGGAAACGAAGGGATGGGCCCAAATAAAGGGGTGGGTCTGGCTAGATATCTGCAGCAGGAACATGCCCTTAAGGCACAGATCGCTCATGCTATTGTTTGTGGTTTAAGAATGCCTTTAAGCGGTTTTCACCCCTGGGAGGTCCAGGTGTTCCTTGCCCTCATTCCGGTAAACCCACAACCTTCCAGCGTAGGCCTTATGGCCATCATGAACATGTTACAGTGCTGTAGAGATTTTGTTTATGGCCAGTTTTGGGGCCAGTTTATGGCCAGATTTTGGGGGGCCTGTTCCCAACACACCTCAAATGTCAATCAACTGAATAACAGCTTTCAAAATGTAGTGTATCCACACATTGGAATATTATCTAACCATGTCAGAAAATGAAGTACCATAACATAGTATGTGCTATAACATAGAAGAACGTTGAAAACATATACAATTAAAGGAAGCCAGACAGAAAATGTCACATATTGTATAAATTCAGTTATATGAAATGTTCAGGATAGGCAAATCTAGGAAGATAGAAAGGAGATTCATGGTTGTCAGGGGTTCCCATTGAGAGAGCATGAGAAATGAATGCTAGCAGTTTCTAGGTTTCATTTTAGAGTGTAGGAAATGGTCCAAAATTAGACAGTGGTGATAGTATAACTCTGTGAAGAGACTAAAAACCACTTAGTTTTATGCTTTACAAAGGTGACTTTTATGGTATGTGATGTGTATCTCAATTTAAAAAAAAACAGGAAGCATTAAGAACCAAGTGAAACAACTTACAAGTTTCTAGCTGGCAGATGTTCTCCCTTTTCAATAGGCAGATTTTTTTAGGAAGCGGAAAGTAGTATTTTAAACAATTTGAAATTTATGGTCTTATTTCCATAATAGATTATACACAAATAAACCAGTCTCTATATTTATGAAAAATGAAATAGTCTCTATATCTCTTGTCCATATATCACCTCTAGTATTTATATCATTTGATTGGTAAAAATGTATTAATTTATAACTTTTAATATATTCCTTTATCCTCCGTATAAATTGATAGTATGCAAGGCAATAGCTCAATTTACTTTCAATTTATTTTATGATACTTTAAGAAATGTCATGAAAATATATCACTTTCCCTTTTTTTGATGGTCATCAAGATTAGTTTTATATTCACAATTGTATGTATTATATATTTTTTCATTAATTTTGACTACATCCACTAAGAGACTTTCTGATGTGAGGCTACCTTTGGGCTCAGAAATTAGTATACATTGGATTGTTGTTGCTCCTGTGACTTCCGTTTTCTTCATTTTTCCTGAAATATGTATGTGTGTGTGTGTGTGTGTGTGTGTGTGTGTACGTATCTTTGAAAACCAATCACCGTAATCCTTCTTTTTATGTTTTTCATAATATGTATCTTCTTATTTTTTTTTCCTGAGTTCTGGAAAGATTCTTGTTCTAACTTTCTAAATCATTGATCTGTTTTCTACGGTATTCCATCTGATACTTAAAAAGATTCTTTAAAATTTGTTAGTTGTATCTACATTTGAACTCATTGTCTCATACCCAGCCCCCCACCCACACTGCCTGAGTGGAGGCTCTCCTTTTTTTGTAGGTGCCCAATGATCCTAATTAGAAGTTGTTGTTGACCAGCTTAGTGCCAGGTTTTATTATCTAGGGGTACTTTTCTCTAATTTGCAATACACAGTGAGGCCATCCACCATTTTTATCTCACCTGTAATTTATCTTTTAGAAATTCCTTTAGTTTTCAGGATTTTCCCTTAAGTTTTAAAAGTGCTTTACATGTTGTCCATTCTTTTCTTTCTTCAGTCATTTTAATAAAAATTAGAAAAAAAAGTGATGTTAAGTTCAGATTGTCTCCTGCCAGATACTCACTTTGCTTATTTTCCAACATCATGTTGCAATAGGCAGTGTAAAGCAATCAGAAGTAGACTTATCTCCAGTTCTATTAACTGGGAATGTGCTATACTTTAATTCTAACGGAGTGTCAGAACCCCTTCCTCTTTGGCCAATACCTTGTCATGAAGTAAATTTGGAGTTTGGCACTTCCCCCATGGGGAATCCAAGCAAAGATATTAGGTTTGTGATCACTTCATGGCCTGGGATTCAGCCCCGCTCTCTCTGCCAGCCATGCATGGGTACTGGACATACATGCACAACATTACCAGACATACTGGTTTGAGTAAATTAGTCATTCTTCCAAATTCAACCAAATGTCACATCTTCTTTAATTTCTGTTTTATAAAATGTCAATCTTTAGTAGCTCCTATTATTTTAATACTTCACACATACCTTTCCTATGTAAAAATATACAGGTACATATGCATGTATATGCCTACATATCTCTATACGATTTGTATACCTCTCTCTACATAGTAAGCTCCTCTGTGACAATAAGGGCCTTTGATCTTTTTTCTTCATGTTGGCATTTTATTATAGTAGATGCTCTCCAATAAAGGGAAACTGTTGAACTTTCACATTAAGCTTCGCAAATCTCATTCATTAATATACGGGTTTTTGTGTGTCTTAGTGGCTCTTTGCCAAAGCTTGAACTTTAAAAATGAATTAACTTAGATAACTTGAACTTCACAGCATGAATCAATGACCACAGGTAGCTGTACCTGCAAAGATGATGCTATTAGTCTTTTTGTTTTTACAATGTTTACTACATGGCACTGTTGTCCTAAGTCCCTTTTTTTGTTTTATCCACTTAATACAACAGACTCAGTAGTTCTTGTTCTATGATTAACCCAGTTTTATAGATGAAGAACTGAGACACATAAAAACCTACGTACTATATTGAAGGTCACAAAAATAGAAATTAATAGAACCAGGAATTTATAATAAGCAATCTAACTCAGTATCTGAGCTCCTCACCAGTATGCTATTCTGCTTCATACTAGAGTGAGTTCTTAGTATTCACATTGTAAAATCCATAGAAAAAGTTATAGTACACCATTTTTATTCTTCTCTGAGAAGCTGTAGCTTCTATTGCACCATCCTGAATTTGCTCTATAGAGATTCCATACTGTATAGATCTATTAGATCTCGTTTTACATTAAACAAGCATTTGTTAAGCATTATCTGTGTGCTTGGTGCTGTAGCAAGTATTGCACATGTATGATCTCATTTCATGTGAGATACATAAGGCTAGCATCATTCTCCTTTTTACCAATATAAAAATGGCATCTCAGAGTTTAAGTCAACCAGGCAAATGATAGGCAGGTGAATTGGAAATTAACTCCATTCTGTTAACTAATGGGGGGAGACTCAAATAAGATTAACAAAGGCTCCTGGCTTGGACCAGGAATTCACTGAGCTTTAGCAAAATGTCTTGTTCCTGTGTTACACTCTGTTTCCTAATACTGAGTATATTTCTCCTGAATCACAGCCCCAGGCATTTCTCAGTATTACATGAAATTTCATTTCATATAATCCAACGTGTTATTCTGTTAGACTATGTTGTTACAAAATGTAATTTAGTAGCATATAGTAGTAATAGTGGTATTTATTTGCTCACTGAACAAACATGTATTTAGCATCCTCTACGGCAATGTTGAGATGCTGAGGATAATAAGACCTAATAAAAAAGGTCAATAAAGAGCAGGACATGCATTAATTTTACATTGCACTTTAAATATAATTTTCATAATTAATTGCCATTATTATAATGTGAGTTCTCTGAGGGCAAGGACTGTATGTTTATCTTTATAACTTCTGAGCTTATCAATGGGAATTAATATAGAGATGAGAAAAGTGCATGGCTCAAGAGTCCAGCAAATTTGAGTGGAAAAGGAGTTTTGCCTCCTAATTAGCAACAGGCAAATTAGTTAAGTTTCCTGTTGAATGGGAATAGTAATCCTTGAAAGGATTTTGATGAGCATTAAATGAAATAATGCTTATGAATTGCCCATCATAATACTTGATACATGGTTGTTTTTCAATAAAACATTATTATTAATTATTATTCCAGGTGTTGAATCGATATGTTAAATGAGCCACAGTTGAGTTCAATAGGTGCTATAATGAACATTAATTAAAAAGTCTTATCAGAGTCATATAATATCTAAGGACTAGTTGTATGGGAATGGGCAGGCTCCAGAATGTAGGAGATGTCTTCTGTAGGTTGCTAAGGGTAGGTTAAGTCAAGGGTAGGTTAAGTCTGTAAATCAGAAAAGGCAGAGAAAGCAGGGTACGAAAAAAGCACGGCCCAGATAGCATATCCAAAAGTCCCCCCAATCTGTGACAAATATTTTCCCCAAAAGAGGTGGATAATTTTATGGAAATAAATTTCTTACATTATATGAAGTAAAAGCATCAAGCAAATCTAAGATACCATTCATCTTGTGGGGCAAAGGTGATGATTGATGATACACTCCCGAACTTAATGCTGGAGTGGAAACTTGCCTGATGATAAACTGGGCCCTTCTAAGATATGCACATACTTCTCTAGCCTGAAGAAGATAGCTGATAACTGTGATGTGAAATTATTTTTGACAGGTGACTTTCAAAAGCATTTGTACATGTGTCATCTGTCACAATTTCCCTGAAACTCTCAAAGAGGAAGAAAATGCCAACTTTGAAATCTACTTTCAAATTAAGTTATTAAGATACCATTTCTTAGCTTCCTCTGTAGCTTTCCATGCTTTATTTTATCTCTACTATATATATACCACAATAAATGGGGTAATTATCAGGTTACCCACTGAAGGCCTATTTTAAATGATATATAATCATACTGTTGCAACACATCATTTTACAGTTATCACTTCTTTAAGCTTATGCAACATTATCTAGGGTGGAAGTACTTATTGGATAAAATTAGAATTCCCCAATCCTTTTTGTTAAACCAAAGCTGAATCAGTTTTGAGATTAAAATGTTAACTTTTACCCCCAATAAATTTCTTTTAAATTATGTTTCCATGTTGCATAGTTACATTTTTAAAAAAAATAAGGAACAACTTATAAGAATTTCTTGCTCCTTAAAAGTCAAGCTGTAAGTATATAGACACGTGCACACACTAACAGTAAACTTAATGTCTTTTCTCACTTTTCCTTTTGAATCTATTTTTCCAAATAGCCTTAGTCTCCTTCCAAAAAAAAAATCTAGGCCATTAGTCATCTTTATTTTAGTGAAATATTCTCAATGTCCAAGAACAGTAGCCTGCTCAATTGATGGGATGGGGGAAGAACACAAAGAGAAGGAATTAAACATTTTTATTATACATTCAAAAATTTTAGTTTATTATAATAAACATTTGGCAGGATGGGTAATGTTTGAAACTGAATGTTTCCAACCTCTGCTCAATTTAATTTTGACCAAAAATAATGGCCAATTTTTAATGTTATTGAATTTTGGGAGTTATAAAAAGAGTTGATTTGGTTTTTAACTTGAAAAACATTTTCCTCTTATGTGCAATAACATATTTTAAAGACTTCTGGATAAAAATGCTAATTTGAAAGAGACTACACATGTATCTTCTGTTGGTAGAACAATTGATATCATTAAAAAAAGCTCTATTTTTCTACTTCATGTATTTCCTTCCCAAAACTTTAACAGTACAGGTAATTTGGTAGAAACAGAGAGGCCTATGAAATAATGGCCGCATGGTTAGCAAATACACAGGCTAAGAAGGCAGTATTACACTATTCAAAATAGAATTAACCCAAGAGATGTAAAACAAGTCTTTGGAGATCTTACTGTGATATAAAACCTGGACACAATGATGACAATTAGGTTATGCTACCATAAAAAGAACAAGGGGAGGCCGGGCGCAGTGGCTCACGCCTATAATCCCAGCACTTGGGGAGGCCGAGGTGGGCGGATCACGAGGTCAGGCGTTCGAGACCAGCCTGGCCAATATGGTGAAACCCTGTCTCTCCTAAAAAAAAAATACAAAGATTAGCTGGGCATGGTGGCATGTGCCTGTAGTCCCAGCTTCTCAGGAGGCTGAGGCAGAAGCATGGCTTGAACCCTGGAGGTGGAGGTTGCAGTGAGCCGAGATCGTGCCACTGCACTCCAGCCTGGGCGACAGAGCAAGACTCTGTCTCAAAAAAAAAAAAAAAAAGATAATAATAATTTTAAAAAAGAACAAGAGGAACTGAACACAGAAGAAAAATCTTAGAATATTGTTTGAATCCTACAATTTGCACTGACAACAATGAAGGCCTACTTCTACTATCCTGCATCTGTACTGCAGAATATTGTATCTTGTGCCAACATCACAGAACACTTAAAAGTGATTAAACTTTGGAGATCCATAAGCCACCTGCTTATTCCTGGAGGCAACAATAAGATACATTGAAAATTAAAGAATATGTTATGTTGGGAAGAGATAGAGACAGAGACAGAGAGAAAAAAAAGGAACCTGAGTTACCATCTAAGTCCTGCCTCTCCTCCTCTATTCTAGGGTTTTAAAGTATCAGTATAATCACTATGCATATTGAGTAGGCAGAAGTACGAGGTCATTTTCCAGATAAGGGTTTGTGGAGTTGGAAAATCTGCAATAATTACCAGATCAGATTACTCATCAGTTTAAACACTGATTAAAATTATTATTAACTTTAAATTGATTGCCTTAAATTGCAAGTGTAAGCTACTCTCCTCAACTCTGGAGTTTTATCATTTTCCTGCAGGGACTCGAATTCTGTTATGTAGGACTCTAACATTTTTAAAGGATAACATTCTTAACTGCTTTTCTCCCTGACATATGCTTTTTGATTAATTTAGTTTAGAAGCTAAAATAAACTGCAAATAATGATGTTTCCATTTTGGTAGATTTTAGAATTATTGTGTAATAATGTAAGTGGATATTGTCAGTTTGGAGGAGTGTCCAATAATGTAAATATGCAGAAAGTTATGCCTGCCACCCCCCAAAAAAGAAAAAGTGGATCTTTCCCAAGGGTTAATTCAATCCATCACTGACCAATGACGAAAATATTTCAGTCACTCCTCTCACCTCTCTATGCCCCGGACACATTTGTCACAAGCATATTCTGGAACATTAGCTATTTTCATCGTACTGTACTTTATAAGGTCACTTGTGGTTTATACATTCTCAAGAAGTCTACATTAAATATTTTGTTTAATTGGCTCATTAACAGCTATCAACTATTAAATACTATGTAGATGACTTTGAAAGTCAACTTGGGTTCAATTTATTCATCAGGCAGTGATGATAATCCAGCGTGATTGGTTTGTATATGTATAAAAAGAGCAAAAAAGTTTGTTCAATTAACTCATGATTGTTCACATTAATGAATCATAGTTTCATAGAATTTAATGGATGGGCATTATGTGGTAGGTCTTTCAATATGGAGGATAATGGAAAACTATTTGAGAGTTGGTTTGATACATATATATGTATATATGAACATGATATTTTCTACTAATATGAAAATTAGCAATGCTGCAACCAAAAAGCAGTGTTTAATCTTGCTAATCTGGCCCCCACACTGAACACTCTTTCTGGAGAGATTTGAATGTTTGTCATGACCCCTAAGATTGATGCGATACAACAGGCTAAAGCAGCGCTGATCTCACTTTGAAAGCTTCTGTATCACACTGAATGGAGAAATAATTAATGTGTTGACTCTCAGCAACTCTGCAGGTTTATTATTTCTGTTTTGAAGGTCACTTTTTTTTCAGATTTTGGTGGACTAGACAGAATAAATTAAGGAACTGTTGAGAGCAGCCTTAAAACCCTAGACTTAAAATTTGAAATACTGGCATTAGCAATATAAACTTATTTTCAAGATTGGCCAAGTATAAACACAATAATTAAAATTGGTGCTACTATTTACTCTAAAGGATATTCAATTATCTAATTTGCTTCTCACATTACATTGTGATATAAGAAGGACTACTAAAATCAACTCATTTTATAGATTTAAAGAAACTGGGGTTAAAAAAAAAAAACTCTAATGGCTTGTCCAGAGTTAGAAATAAATCAAGGAAGTGGCAAAACTAGGACTGGAATTGATATTTTTTACTCCAAATGATAGCTTTCTATGGTATTCTAGTAAACTGTTGTGTTTTTTACTGATATAACTTTATAATTTGCTATTGTTTTTATTCTGTACTTAAATTGGAAAATAAAGTCAGATGCATAGAATAAATTTATATAAATTGTGGTTGAGTCATAAACATTTATGTGACAGGAATTGTGCTCACATGTTTCCATGAATTTTTCTACCTTGCCCTCAAAACACTCCCATTAAGAAAAACCATATTTTCCTCATTTTGAAAAAAAAGAGACATAGGTTGCATCTTAAGATACATTGCACTTACCCAAGGTAAGAACTGTTAATGGCAGAAGCCATATTTTAATCATAAACTCCAGATCTAGAGCTATTCAGCATTACACAATACTGTGTATACCATATATAGATATTCCCTTAATATTGCACACTATATTTTATCATGAATTAAAAATAATTGTTAAATTATCTATTATAATCCCATGTTTTTATGCTGGGTTTTCTCAAAATATTCAAGTCATTTTAATACAAATAAGAAAATATACAGCCATATTATCTTAGATTAATATTTTTTAAATTCCCAAACATATTTACCTAAATCTCTTTTTACAAAGATACTAAAAAGTGCTAATCTATTTTTTTCTGAGGACATTTAATCTGAATTCTTTTCATTTACTATTCAATAAAGCCAATAGCATCTTTATATTACAAAATAATTGCATGTTTAGCACAAAAATTTGAAAATGCCACACCCCCAAAAAATCACCAGTAAATTTTTCATCAATAACTATCTAAGTTATAGGCATATATTTACAGGCTTTTTTCTAAGTATATATGTTATAAATTAAGGCATAGGAAGATTACAAAATTAATCCAACATCCAACAGTCAAACAAAGGTAGAATCCAGACAAACTGACTCCAGTTGTTCTCTACCATGAAATAGTTTGCAAATGTTTATGAAAAACACTCTTAGTTCGTGGGTGACACACAGATAGGCGGCCAGACTGGCCTGCAAGCCATAGTCTGCTAACTCCTGCTCTTAACTGCTGCTCTACCCTGCCTCTAAAAACAAAGCAGATACAAAAAACAAAGAACATTGTTTTGATTCTTAATTCTTAAGATTCCTGATTTGACAAGCAATTAGGGATAAATAAGCCTGCTGCTCTTGAGAGAAGTTGGAGATATTATTTCAGGTATAATAGACTTCACAAGGCCAAGAAAAATATATTTAATGTAAAAAGCGACTTTAAGATGTGGGTAAAATGTATTTTGCTTTACTTTTCACTCCTCCCAAAAGTGGTCAAGTAATGATCATTGGGCAAACATTTATTGCCCTTTCAGCTTTCCTATTGTACTGTCATTGTATGTGAGTTAATTACTTGGTACAGAACATGCCCATAACAGAATAGTGTTGTTCAGGTTTAAGGAATCCCATGTAACTCATTTGAAAAGAAAACAAAATTATTGAGTCTCTTGCCAGTGACTTGATTCTAAACAAATTATGCTGGTCAGGCACATGGAATGTGTTCCAAATGATGATTGAGGAGGAACTGGCACCACACTCAACGAGCTTGTGTTGACTCTAGGCCAAATATAAGCCATTACATTTAGTTTCTTGTTATTTGGTTCTAATATCTAAGTGCTGAAGCTACCCAAGTAAAAAAGGAAATAAAGAAAAAGTGACTTTGGAATATTAAGACAACTCTACTGAAAGAATTATCCACTGTGACAAGATAATGGTTTATTACTGAAAGACAAATGGCCTTCCAAATCTCAATATATTTGTCAGGAAATAAAAAAACTTGAGACAAACACAATATGTTTATTTTGAAGTGTATTCTTTCAGGTTGTTAGTATAGTTCCTTTGATTCAAGTATGCTAAATAACCATGTATAAAAGAATAAATTTAGCTACAGATCTTGAAAACCATTGCCAAGTTTAGCAGATAACAAAGGAGACTGACAAAGTTTAGCGAAGGAAGAAAAAAGACTTTGTTTTCAAAATGACAAACTTTTTGACTGGCCCAAGTCATGAAAAAATTTGTAAAAGTCACTTAGAAATTGGTTATTTCAATACTCACTCAATAAAAAACTCTAATTTCTAAGTATATTTATAGAAACTCCATTTTAAAATCAAGCAATTAAAACCAAGACTTACTGTCTTAAGATTCAAAGGAACTAAGTATCCAATATTACCTATATTAGATTGATATAAGTAATATATTTAAAACAATCGTCTAAATAAATAAGATTGTTTGAATCATATGCCAAATATAGAAAACAAGAAAACATAATTCTAGCTTTGTTTGACATCTTATACTAATTCTCTTTGTAGTGTGTTTTAACTATTTAAAATTTATTGTAATAATATATGTTCTGGTTTTAATCAAGCAAATGAATAATATTCTAATTACCCTTGAAATATATTGGGAATACAATGATGATTATGAGATTTTTACTTTGTATTAAGGGGACAGAGGAATAAATAGAAGAAGAGATGAAAATAGGAAAAAGAAAATACTGAGTGTGGAAGAAAGAAAGAAGGAAAGAGATGAAAAAAAGAAAAAGAGGCTAGAAGGACGTTAGGCTACAGTTGGATTCCAAGGATTTATTTTATATTGACTATGTAACAGCTGCCCTCTCTTCACATTTGCCTAAGTACTCCCCAATTCGCCAGTAGACTTGGCTTTCATGGTCGGTAGCTCTAGCTGTTACACACTGACCTCAGGCTGGTTCTGGTTCCTTTTAGTTTGTCCCTACAAACAGAAGCACTTTTTATATGACCAAAAGCAACTTAAAAAAATACCCACTAACTAAGGACCTCTGATTTGTGACCTATGAAATGACATCAAATATGAGCAACCTCAAACAGACTGACTTTCCTTGGAACTTTTTGTTGGTTGTTTGAATTAGAAAACTGAAGGAATCAGGGCTAGAAAAAATAGACATTACCATGAAATGTTCCCATAAGGTGGGATTGACAACAGAGGCCCATGAAAAATCTAAAATATTGACAAAATATTGACAAAAATTTATTGGAGGAACAGAAACCGGCAGAATCCAGTTGGTAGTAACAAGTGGAAAAGCTGATACAGAAAATGGAAATGAAATACACTTACGTGCATCCAAACTCTTAGGATAAGTTTTCTCACCTCTAAGTTTCATGAATCTCTGGGTTATGATGAATCTTATTCTTCATGAAAGTTATCTCCCCACTTCATATCTATCCTTAATAGAGGTGTCATTTATGTTTGTAGGTATGTATGTATTTTAATAACTCAGTTCTTCTTGACTCTAGGTGCATATCTAAAGCATATGAAAGCTTTTAAAAAAGTACTTAAGAGGTCCTGATTTAATGGAGTAGGGGAAGGGCACTTGCGTTTTGCTTGAAACCACCTGAGGTGGTTCTAATGTGCAGCTGGGATTTTAAATCACTGGACTAGCTGGGTTGGTTCTTAATTTCTTGAAATCAAAAGAGCCATACTAAAATTCATGTTACTAATAGTAAGGAAAAGTAAAATTCACCACTGCTGCACTATGATTTAGCAACTAAATTGCATGTTACTATTTGTGAGCTAGTTATTCCTCTAATTAGTGGTCTTCTTGTGGCCAATGATAATCCAATTAATTAGTTTAGCTTGTTCCAGGTTTCAAAGCATTTTCGCACACATATCACAATTGCTTTCAATGATAAGTACCTATTATACTGTTAGCCTAGTCTTTTCCAGTTTTTTTAACATATGCATATGTTTTATGGTAACTTATCACAATTATCTAAACTTTATCCTATGTTTTATGGGATTCTCCCTCAAATTTAATTTACATTATATCTTTATTGAAAGCATAAATGTCTGGTAATCTTTCTGAACCATGGTATATGTTTTGAATCAGGGATCAGCAAATTTTGTATCAGGTCAGCAAAGGTTTTCTGTTAAAAGCCAGATGCTAAATATTTAAGGCTTTGTAGACCATACAGTACTCTGTCATTGTAATGTGAAAGCAGCAATAACAATATGCAAAAGAATAGTCATGGCTATGTTACCATAAAACTTTATTTACCACAAGTGGTAGGCCTGATTTTGCACACAGGTTGAGTTTGCCAAATCCTATATTATATGAACTATAGTTTGTCTGTATGAAAAAATCTTGGGCTATAAGCATTATCTTCCAAAATTTTGCAGAAGTTTTACCTTGCCTATAGATATTTAGGGTGTGAAGGGAAATTAGAGAATAAGCAGAATTTTCCCACCAAACTGGAAACCATTTTTTGAGGAAGGAAAAAAGATGCTTTGAATTTCTTTTTTCTCCACATCATTAGGATTCAATAATTTAGCCAAGAATATACCCAGGTACATACAATTTCTTACTGATACACAATAATCTGAAACCTTCAATATTTATTCAGGGAATGAGTTTCACATCTTTTACTGTACTATTACTTTATGTGTATTTTTATGACAGTCTTTTCATATATTTTAATACTTTTTTCAATTACTTTCATCTCTTTATCCTTTTATTGATTTTAAGCCTTGATTTAAATCATTTATTATGTATTCTGTTATAGCCAATCTGCTCCTAGTTGCCTACTTTGTATTTTAGATATATGTTGATCTTAGTCTTGTAGTTGCCCTTGATCTCACATTATGATTATTTCATTTGTACAAGTTCTTGATGTATAGAGGTGCTATACTTTTGAGTCTAGTGGAAAATACAAATTTAATTTTTAATAAAATCTTATTCTTGAAGCAAGTTTATTTCATAGAAGGGCATCTTCTTCAATGCATTTATTGGTCTCTCTAAACTGCCTTATTTTTTCATATATCACATAATTATTCTCACATTAGCTTTTTATTATTATACTTTAAGTTTTAGGGTACATGTGCACAATGTGCAGGTTTGTTACATATGTATACATGTGCCATGCTGGTGTGCTGCACCCATTAACTCGTCATTTAGCATTAGGTATATCTCCTAAAGCTATCCCTCCCCCCTCCCCCCACCCCACAACAGTCCCCAGAGTGTGATGTTCCCCTTCCTGTGTCCGTGTGTTCTCATTGTTCAATTCCCACCTATGAGTGAGAATATGCGGTGTTTGGTTTTTTGTTCTTGCAATAGTTTACTGAGAATGATAATTTCCAATTTCATCCATGTCCCTACAAAGGACGTGAACTCATCCTTTTTTATGGCTGCATAGTATTCCATGGTGTATATGTGCCACATTTTCTTAATCCAATCTATCATTGTTGGACATTTGGGTTGGTTCCAAGTCTTTGCTATTGTGAATAGTGCCACAATAAACATACGTGTGCATGTGTCTTTATAGCAGCATGATTTATAGTCCTTTGGGTATATACCCAGTAATGGGATGGCTGGGTCAAATGGTATTTCCAGTTCTAGATCCCTGAGGAATCGCCACACTGACTTCCACAATGGTCGAACTAGTTTACAGTCCTACCAACAGTGTAAAAGTGTTCCTATTTCTCCACATCCTCTCCAGCACCTGTTGTTTACTGACTTTTTAATGATTGCCATTCTAACTGGTGTGAGATGGTATCTCATGGTGGTTTTGATTTGCATTTCTCTGATGGGCAGTGATGGTGAGCATTTTTTCATGTGTTTTTTGGCTGCATAAATGTCTTCTTTTGAGAAGTGTCTGTTCATGTCCTTCATGTTAGCTGTTTAAACAAGAAGAGATGTACGTGTGCCCAGAAAGAGCAAGGCTGATTTCTACTAGAGGTTGGGCATGTTCTTTCCTGAGAATCAAAGACCCAGTCACAGAGAAGAGGATGTTTCTGTGGTATCTTTTTATTTTGCTTCATCAGGTATCCAGCAGCCCAGGGAGGTGGATGGAGAAAGCAGCAGGGCAGGCTGTCATGGCAGAGGGAAGCACCGCTGTGCTGGACAGCTCCTTTTCTGTGTGGGTTGTGGTAACTCTAAGTAGCGGAGTCAGTATCCTCTTCTGCTGGCACTGTTACCTCCTTGGGAGCCAGCTATCACAGGGCTCCCCCTGCTCTTGGCTCAGCCTTGCCATTGGAGCAGGAATAAATGCAGCTGTTGAATCTCTGCCCTGAGAGAAGCAAGTGATCTGGTTGCTAATAAATTGTTTGGGGAAAAGGTTGCAAATGAATAAGTCAAAAACAAACTTGTTGAAATGATAGATTGGTCAAAAATGAATATTTCCAGCCACTGATTTTGCAATTTTTCCAGTCACTGATGCCTGCTTTACTTTTAAAAACAGCAATTACTCAAACTAAAGAAATAGCAGCCTGATTGTTTCTACTTTTAAAAACAGAGGTCAGCCTGTGGTACCATTCCTACTTTTATAAACCATGATTCTTGAAACTAAGCAGGTAGCTCTTACTAATTATAAATGGGAGTCATTAAGCCAAAGGCCATAATAATGTCTGTACTTATTGGGAGTGTCAAATTAATGAGAAATAATCTAGTTTGGGAATTTTTCTCTGGCTTGTACCTATCCTAGCTATTTAGCTATGTTTACTCCATTTACCCTGCACAGTATTTCCGTTACTTATTTAATTAAATAGCTTTGATAAAGTCTCTCACAAAATGCCAAGTGAGGCAAATAAGTGCATACTTTTTTTTATTGTGGAGAAGTATTTGTCTAGCATCTTCCCTCTTGTTATTTGGAAATAAGAGTGGCTGCTGCTGGAAAACAGTTTTAAAGTTAGCAATTGGACATACTTACATTTTATTCATTTGTAGTTTTGAACAATGTACAATGTAATTTTCAACCAATTTATTTTTGAAGAGTTTGCTGGAAACCATTACTTGTGGCTTCTAAACATTTGCACATTTGGCTAGAAGCTTGCACAGTCTCTGTAGGTACCCTCTCCCAAGGCACCGTCTCTCTGGCCTGCCCTGTTACTGACTCCTCAGAACAACTCCTTGAGATTGCTACTGTGGTTTCCCCATGTTTTGGACGAAAAATCTGAGACAATATCTTGAAACTAGAGACTATTCAAAGCCAGATTTCATTTTAGGCATGCTGACTTGAGTCAGAACTCCAAAACTTATCATACAATACTTTTCACTGAAAGCTTTTTTTTTAAGTCACTAAGTATATTTCTGACTCAAAATCACATAGGTTTGAATTATCTACCACTCACATCAACACAGGTTATTTGAAGATTCTCTAGTCAGTTCATTTGATTTCCTTTAGCCATTGTCTTAGTATGATACCTATATTTCACAAACATATTAAATGGGAAGATATTTTATATAAATCTCTTTTAGCTCAAAATTTCAATTTAATTTTCCCTTACTTTTTTTTCAGTTTTATATTGTGACCTAATTGTGTACCCAATGTTCCTTTTATGTTTGGCAAAGAGACTCATTAATTCTATTACCTCTAGCAGATAAAAGGGGACTTTTGAAATGGCTAGCAGCTACAGATCAATACCCTAACTCAATAGAGATAATTATTGAAATCACTAGGAGACTAGCAAGCTGTCAGCTGTAAGCAATCATTTTAGGCCTGGAATAAATCTTCAGAAAACACAAAGCAAACTTTAAATGTAGTCTTTTAAAATTGAGAGTCCTAGGCCTACAATTGTCTTTCTATTATCCATTTCCACAGATCTGTTATTATTAGTTCCTTATAATATATATTGATTTTTAAATACTTTGTTCTACTATGCTTCATATTGAACCTTAATTCCTCCACTTTTTTTCCTATCCATCATCCTGCATTGTTGTCTTATTAAACTATTAAATTTTGTTTACTTAGTATTTAAAAGTATGAATATCTTATTTGGATTTAAGTATTTGCAGTGATCAGTCATGGAGATATAGGAGAAAGTTGTCATATCTACAAATGCAAGTAAAATTTCCTGTAACAGCATTTCTCCTGTATCTGAATTCTGCCTTACTGATACATTTGCATTTTGTCTACTAGTTACGGTTTCTTTAAACCAGTGAGGTTGTAGTTATCACCAAGGACTCACTTCTTTATCGCTCTCAAATTTCACACAGCTGCTTTCCATTTTACCCGAACTATGTTAGTAAAATATCCCTTTCTTTTCATTTGATAGTTTTTTTTTTTAGCCTTTCTCCTAGGATTCCTAGCTCCTTTTCAAGAATTATTGAATGGGCCTAACACCTTATTATATTAGTGAATTCAAATGGAAAGCTATTCCATTGTATATGCCCTGAAGAAAATCAATTAGGCTGAGTCTTACATCAAACACATTTTTCACTGTTTTTTAAAAAAATTCTGTGTCAGCGTCCTTTGTATTGTAAGAACATAATTAAAATGAAAATCAATAGAAACTTTCACGAGGATACTTGCACACACACACACACCCCTACGCACACAAACACGTTCTTGTAATAATAGAGAAGAAAAGCAATGCTTATAAAATGTTATAATAAAACCTGTTATATAGATTCTAACCTATTATAAAATATGGTATGGTATGACTTCTTCCTTCAGATCAGTAAAAAAAAAATACCAGTTGAAAGATGGGAGGAGACTTTAACTTATTAGATGAGTAACATGGCCCTTAATGGTCACTTTTATATATTTGATTATCTCTTTTATGAAAAGGGAGATGTCGGCTGGGCATGGTGGCTCACACCTGTAATCCCAGCACTTTGGGAGGCCAAGGCGGGTGGATCTCCTGAGGTCAGGAGATCGAGACCAGCCTGGTAAACATGATGAAACCCATCTCTACTAAAAATACAAAAAACTAGCCAGGCGTGGTGGCAGATGCCTGTAATCCCAGCTACCCGGGAGGTTGAGGCAGGAGAATTGCTTGAATCTGGGAGCCGGAGGTTGTGGTGAGCTGAGATCATGCCACTGCACTGTACTCCAGCCTGGGCAACAAGAGCAAAGAGCAAAACTCTGTCTCAAAAAAAAAAAAAAAAAAAAAAAGGAAATGTAACGGTATTTTTTTTTGCATTCCTTTTCCCAGGAATCCTTTTGTATTCCTTTGTTTTTTCCTTCACTTATCCCTCTCATGGTCAAAGGTCAAAATGTCTTCAGACACAATCTATGTCTCATTTATAAATAAAATAAATTTTTAAAAGTACACATAAATTACTGCTGGATCTCAAGGATAAAATGGAAATGAAAGCATTTAAGACCCAAGAAACAATTACATGTCTGAAGATAGTAGCATAGTAGAATGAAATGGATGGCTGATTTACATAGATGCTTCCACTGCCATGAAAATTATCCACTGTTTTCAGTTTCCTATTTGACAAGGTGAAATAGAGTGAAAAAAAAGTCTTTATTCAGGTGCTCAAGTTGCAAATTTGATCATTAATTTTGTCTTTATGTAAATAGTTAATGCTAACAGATGACAGCCCTACACAAAACCTGGTTTTACAGATGTCTAGGGACTTTTAAAAGTTTGCTGTACTATCTATCCCAGAGAAAAAGAATAGAAAATAATTTCAGACCATGACATTACATGTATTAATTTTAGGAGCACACTCACACACATGGCTAGTGATTCACTGGTGGAATTAATGTATTTTGGCTTCAGTCACTCAGTCTTAGGCATTAAGATGATGGATTTTTTCTTGATTCTAAAAGCTTTCTTCTGAAAGTCAAACTTCTGTGGACCAGAGAAGAGCGCTTAATTCATTTGACACTGAGAACTTCTTTAGGAAGTGCATAGTGCAAATGGTAAACAGTTCTTTCACTCTCACTTGGCCTCTCCCTAAACAGATCCTGCTTTTATGATTATCTTTTATCCCACTCTCCTAACAGTAATTCTTTAGTTTCTCATGGTAAATATCTCTAGTGCAGGGTTTCTGAAACTTGCACTACCAACGTTTTGAACTAGATAGTTCTTTGTTGTGTGAAGCTGTTTTCTGTGCACTGTAGGATGTTCAGCAGCACCCCTGATCTTTGCCCACTAGATGACAATAGCAGCCCCTCCATATCCTAACTATCAAAAATATCTGCAGACATTACCAAATATCCCATGGAGAGCAAAACTGCCCAGAATGAAGAACCGTTGCTCTAAGGCTTAGTGTTATCTATTTTAAAAAAAAAAAAATGTTTTAAGTATCTTGTTTACCTAGATACACAAAAGTTAATTACCCTTTTTTAAAATCATCTGAGAATATAAGACATTGTCATGATTACTTAGAGAGTATATGACTGAATTATCAAAATATTTGTAATAAGAGTACTGATGAATAATATCTGAGAAGTTCTTACTCTGGCTGATAATTTCAAGAAGTTAAAGTGTATTTACTTATCTAATACTCAATCCTATGAAATAAATAAAATTACTTTTCCGTTTTACAGAAGTAGAAAGAGTGGTTTGGAGAGGTTAAGTAATGCCAAGATCACACAGCTAGCAAAAAGAAATAGGTGAAGGATGTATTTTGCAATATTCAAGATATATGTTTAGATCAGAAATCTAGTTTGTTTCTAAGAGTTCCAAGGAGTTACTGGCAATAACTTCTGTAAAATGCTTGAATGCACCGACTGTTACAGGTTCAGATTCTTGGTCTTCATAATGATATCTTATCTTTATTGTCCTAATTCCTTATAGAAGTATTCTGACACGTGGATCTTTAAAGTTAGATTCCATAGATTCAAGCTTCAAGTCCAAATGGTAAACCGATATGCTATTTACAAGGTAATATAGTTGAGGGGATTGGGCTAAATTAAAACAAACAAAACCCCCTACAATTATAAATAGCATCTGGCATTAGGCCTCGAGTAGAGAATTGGCAATGTTGGGGCCAGTGGCCCATCCAAAAGTGGTAGCAGCCTATTACCTCCAGCTCATGGTTGCCATGCAGGAATATGAGGTTAAGGATCCCAGATCTGCTGATTTCACAAGAAATGCCAGAATCCCAGATTTTTACATAAAATTCCCTGATTGTATTGCTTAGAATGAATTAAAATCAAAGCAAAAAAAAAAAAAAAAAAGACTTGGTTCTAACAAAACACATCTGCAGACTAGAAGCCTATTGGGTACTCTTTCTGACCTCTGCTCCAAAGGACAAGTGTTTATAAATTAGAATATATTATGGAGATGATTCTTTGTTGCAGAAAAAGGAATATTGCCTTTCTAGCTATTGAATTTCTCAACTTTGGTCATTTCACTGCTTTTTAAATCATCTCTAAAAGAAGCAGAATTTTACGAAGCAAAATATATACAGAGAGAGGAAACACTAAAGAACATTGGTCTGGGCAAAGATTTCATGAACAAGATCTCAAAAAGCACAGGCAACAAAAATAAAAATAGACGAGTGGGATTATATCAAACTAAACAGCTTCTGCACAGCAAGGAAAACAATAAACAGAGTAAAGAGACAACCTGCAGAATGAGAGAAATTATTTGCATACTATTCATCATACAAGTGGTTAATATTAATAATAAATAAGAAACTCAAGCAAGTCAACAACAAAAAAATTAATTTAATTTAAAAATGGGCAAATAAGGTGAGAGGACATTTCCTAATAGAAGACAAACAAACGGTCAACAGGTATCTCAAAAACACTCAATATCAATAATCATCAGAGAAATACCAATCAAAATCAGAATGAGATACCATCTCACTCTAGCTAGAATGGCTGCTATTAAAAAGACAAAAAATAACAAAATGCTAGCAAGGCTCAGAAGAACACTTATACACTGTTGGTGGGAATGTAAATTAGCACAGCCATTATAGAAAGCAGTATGGAGGTTCCTCAAACAATTACAAATGATCCAACAGTCTCACCACTGGATATATATCAAAAAGAAAAGAAAAAGGAAAAGAAATCAATATGTCAAATAGATATATGCATTCCCACGTTTATTGTAGCATTATTCACAATAGCAGAGATAAGGAATGAACCTAAGTTGCCTATCAATAGATGAATGGATAAAGAAAATGTGGTGTGTGTGTGTGTGTATATATATATATATATATATATATATATATATATAAAAAATGAAATATTATTTAGTCAAAAAAAAACAAACTGTCATTCACAGCAACACGGATGAGCTCAGATATATTAAATGAAATAAGCCAGGCACAGAAAGATGAATATTGTATTTTCTCACTAGTATGTGGAAACTAAAAAGCTGATTTTCTACTAATAGAGAGTAGAGTGGTGGTTATTAAAGGGTGGATAAGAGAGTGGGGAGATGGGGATAGCCAGAGGTTGGTTAAAGGATACTAAATTACAGCTGTATTGGAAGGACAAGTTCTAGTGTTCTATAGCACTATAGGGTGTTTAGGATAAACAATTTGTTGTACATTTTGAAATAGCTAGAAGAATGGACTTTGAATGTTCTCAACACAAAGAAACAATAAATGAGATGATAGATATGCTAATTACCCTGAATTGATAATTACATATGGTATGCATGTATCAAAATATCACACTATGCCCATAAAAAACATATAGTTATCGTGTATGTATTAAAAATAATAATAAGAAAAATTCAAACTGGAGAATAAAGGTTTCAAAAGTAAATGTATTCAAAATAGGGATTTTTAAAAATTCAAGTCAATAGAATTTTTATTTAGAACTCTTTTCCAGCATGGTTTTAATCATATGCATATGGAAATTCTCCAGTTGAATTTTCAAGATTAAGAAAGTTATATTAAGAAGCTGTAACACAAATTGACTTTATTGCTTATTTATAAAAGTTGATCTATGATGGCAGTTCATGTACTTTTTAATGCCAAATAATTCATGCTAAAACTTCATTATAACACCTAAATGCATGTATGGGTCCACTTCCCTTGACTCATTTAGCATAAAAACAATTTCTCACGCCAATACTTCAGCTGACCATTCTGAATGTACCATTACACACACATGCACACACATACATTCATACATACATACGTATATATCATTATAAAATCATGATTATTTTGTGTATAAGCAGAAGCACATGCTGCTTCATTTTTTCCCTAACATAATATCTTCCATTGTCTGCATTTGACTTTATTTTCATGACATAGCAAAATAAAAATGCAGAGAAATATAAGATGAGATAATCGAGAGATATGTTTTGTATCAAAATGTCTTTGCATCTAGATATAAAAATAATCACCTTATTTAACAAAAACACAAATGAGCATTATTTGAAAAAGTTAACTGTTACTTCACTGCTAAATGTCCTACAATGCACAAGACAGCCTGGACCTCAACCCCAAACTTGACAAAGAATAAGTATGCCCAAAATGTCAGTAATGCTGAAGTTCATAAACCCTAATAGTTTATCTTCCAAGTACGATTGGTTTATTGTATGTTATGAGTTGAAATTTGTCCTTCTAAAATTCAGATGATAAAATCCTAATCCCCAGTCCCTCAGAATGTGAATTGATTTGGAAATGGAGTCATTGCCGATGTAATATGTTAAGATAAAGGGAAGTGACACTGGAGTAGGGTAGACCATTAATCCAATATGACTGGTGTCTTTATAAAATGGCAAGATTAGGAGCAGAAACACACACACAGGGAGAACATCATGTGAAGATGTAGGCAAAGATTGGGGTGATGTTTATATAACCTGATGAATGCCAAAGATTGCTAGCTAGCAAACCACCGGAAGTGCACGGAGGGGCGTAGAACAGCTTCTTCCTCACAGCTCTCAGAAGGAACCAACACTCCAGAAACCTAGATCTCAGAGTTTTAGCCTTCACAAGTCTAGAACAATAAATATCTGTTATTTAAGCCACTCAGTCTGCAGCCCTGGCAAACTAATATATTGCACTTTTAACTTCTGTGCCAGCACTTACCTTCCTTAAGGATTCTGCTGAGGAACACCTGTGAAAAAAAGAGAAATAATAATATCCACAACAATAAGCTGTGCCTGAAATGACTGAGTAAGGCTCAGTTCATTTAATAATGCAATCACCTTATTTAAATCAATGTTATGTTTGAAACCAAAGCAAAAACAAATGCTTTGCTAAAGATGTCTGAAGATGTAGTAGGGGTGCCCAGAACAATAATTTCTGGTAAAGATTACTCCCAAACTGAGATGTAACATGTTTCTGAACCAGTAAATGCATTATAACTACCAAATTATAGCAGAATGTATCTTTATTATTGGACATTTGCTCCGAGAGAGGAGCAGAATATGCTCATGCAGAACAAGTTAGCAATCAAAACAGTTGCATTTCTAAGTATCAGGCTTCTGCTTCCCTTTCTTTTATCCAGCCAAAGTCACTTCATTTGCTTTGATGATAAATGCATTGTGAATACTTCAAACTCTTCAAAGTCATTCTGTCTTTTTCTGGATGACAAAAATTGTGTGCGTGTGTGAGTGTTAGAGATGGGCATAGATATACATGCATGTGTGACTATACTATGGGACAGACCTCCTTCTGCCTTTTTCTCTATGCTTTTTAAAATTTTGAATCTTATTTTTCTACTATTTCTCATAGTGTGAATGAGGCAATTGCTTCCTCTGAGTAAAATGAATCTCTGCACTGCAACATTGAGGGTGCATGTGTCAGACACATAGATGTTTCCCTGCTGAATGGTATATACTCTAGTCATTCTGCCAAAGGCTCCTCCAGGGACATCATCATTGAGACTGTCTGCCAAGATTCTGTGGCAACTGGATATCAGGTTATTTTCAAATGTACAATTCAGTGGAGTGATAGAGCATAGTGGCTGACACTAAACTTCCAGTTCCCAAAGATGTGTAACTATTTTTCTAGAAAAAAAATCTGCCTATTGCACATTTTGCACTTTGGTTGGCCGTGTGTTAAAAATTGTTCCCAGAGATGGAGTTCACAGACTAGTGTGAATGAGTGAAATCTGCCTGGAAGGAAACAGCCTGCACTTTAAAATTAAGTACCCATTCTTTTAGGCATCTAGAGCTGGTTCTATTGCAGTGTAAAACACATAGGAACACCTATGAAGTGTTTTCACATAAATAGTTGAACTGCAATCAAACCAAGATGTGAGTTTTAGCTCCCAGTACAGGTAATACAAGAGAAGAACCACTTACATGATACTAAAAAGAATCAAACGTACAAATCCAGAATGTGGAATGTTCTTTAAGACAGTGAATTTGGTTTCTCTAGCAAGTTAATATAATTAAAAGAAAAAGGAAGGAAATTGTTCTATATTAAATGTACTTCTTAAGAGATATAACAATCAAATGTAATGTATGGATTGGATCTTTGTTCAAACCAAGTGTAAAAAACTATATCAGGAAACTATCAGAAAAATTTGATTATGGGCTGGATATCAGATGATAGCAAAAAAAATGCTGTGCTTGTCCATTTTCATGCTGCTGATAAACACTTACCCAAGACTGAGCAATTTACAAAAGAAAAAAAATTAATTGGACTTACAGTTCCATGTGGCTGGAGAAGCCTCACAATCATGGTGGAAGGCAAGGAGGAGCAAGGCACATCTTACATGGATGGCAGCAAGCAAAGAGAGAGCTTGTGCAGGAAAACTCCTCCTTATAATA
This sequence comes from Homo sapiens, assembly GCF_000001405.40. Taxonomy (NCBI): domain Eukaryota; kingdom Metazoa; phylum Chordata; class Mammalia; order Primates; family Hominidae; genus Homo; species Homo sapiens. The sequence goes on along the minus strand of NC_000002.12, from coordinate 77,045,618 downwards.
ACCATCTTGTGAGACTTACTCACTATCAGGAGAGTAGCACAGGAAACACCTGCCCTCACGATTCAATTACCTCCCACTGGGTCCCTCCCACAACACATGAGAATTCAAGATGAGATTTGGGTGGGGACACAGCCTAACCGAATTAAAGCCAATTTTGTTTTAGGCATAAAATATCTCCATATTTGTTTTAAAAGGTGAATAATGATTGAATTTGCAGGGGAAATGACATGATACCTGGAATCAGTTTCATAGTACTTCAGCTGATAAATAAAATAAAAATAAATAATAGATAAAAGGAATGAGGAAAAGACAACTGTTGAAACTGAGTGATAGGCACTTGGGAATTTGTTGTGAGATTTTTCTCTACTTTTTTTGTGAGATTTGAAAAGTTTTGTAACAAACATTTAAAAAGTAAGAATGCTGACTTTAAATTCACATATTTCTGTGTTCAATCCCTGCCTCTCCATGTAGAGTTACTAGATTTGTGCTGGGTAAACATTTCTCACTTCATTTGTATATTCTGCTAAAAATACCATATTACCTCTTTATGTAAAGAGAATTTATTTTCACATATTTAAAAGGCAGGTACCTCACATAGTAAGTAATTGGTAACCAATCATGATCATAACTACAGCATTCCTACTACCCAGATATATGTCTCATTTGTGCCACATACACACACACATATACACATATACACACAAACACCTATCTACATACACATATATATGTATATGTATACATTTGTCTGTGTATGTTTATATAGGTCTCATTTGTGCCACCTACATGCATATATATTCACACACACATTCACATAATTTATACACCTGTATCTATACATATGTATGTGTAGATATTTATATATGTCTGTCTATATATAGGTGGCACAAATGAGACATATACATAAATGTATGGTGTATATATATATTTTGTAATATGTGTGTATATGTGTATGTGTGTGTTTGTATATGTTTGTGTGTATATATATATAGCCAAAAAAAATCAAATAAACTAGTTTTCACTCCCACTAAATCCTCCCTTTTGCATGCACACACACACACTCACAGACACACACACCCTTGACTAATATCTGCATATGTTTAGAAAAATACATTATTATAAGAAACATTTGAATGTCAACTTTCAGAGCTATATGGATTTCCTCTTTTAGTATATCTCTCTTTTCAGAGAGAATAGGATAGAAGTTAGCATTTTTGAGCTTCCATAGAAGGTAATGTTTGGACTGTTTGATGTAATTGGCAGAGTGTTGAAGAAACATTCCAAGTACCATATTTGACAGATAATCTTTAGTTGACCTATTTTAAGTAGTGTATGTTTAATTTTATTAAAATAATATTACCTTTAAAATTGTATATACTTTATATTCTAAAGTGTTCAGGGTACTCAGGTATGAAGGACAGTAGGTCCTCTGCAATGTATTGCTGCATTGGGTGCACTATGTAACATATTCTAATACCAAGAGCAGTCATTTAAATAATTCCAGGTCCTTCCTCAGAATATCTAAGGCATTATAATTTTTGTCTTTATTTATTTTTATTTGGAAGAAAATGAGGAAGAAAACAAACAGAAATGAAGGAGGAAATGAGGAAATCCTCCATATGGGAGCATTGCACACCCTGGAATAAGTAAACCAGCATTTCATTACTTGGGATGTATGCTATTCTAGTATGTGGGTAAAAAAAAAAATGTTTTTACCTGTTTATGGGCTGCAAAAATGACCATTTTGCTATTTTAATTGTAAGACATTATAATTGATTTTTTTATCTGCCATATAAAGCTTTACATTCGTTAGTTATTATTCCAGTAGAAATCCTTCATTGCTTTAAGATGAAGGATATTTGCAAGAGGAATTCTGCCAGATTGTAGGATTATTAGACTAGTCCCGATTCATCATCCTTCATAAAGTTTGGCTGTAATCTGCACATTTATATGATAATTTTCTAGTATGATTAAATGTTCCCATATTATACCTTTTGAATAAGACAGCACTTGCTTAACTCTTTCTCTCTCTTCTCTCTTGCAGTGTCATTGTTGATTATAACTTAAATTCAGTTTCAGTAGACTACATAAATTGAACACAATGACATTCGTTTAGGCATCTTTAGGCATGTTTGTGTAAGCATTACAGGAAATCCCTTCAGGGAACCAGAAATTTCTCAGAAGTGCTCTTTGTTGCTATATTTTATGTTGTGTTATAGTTGGAGGACAATACTGTTGCGAAGACAATGCCCAAATCCTCTTTTTCTATTCTCCTATGGACAACACTTCTGAACGTAGTGGAGAAAATTTAAGCACGCTGAAGAAAGTCAGTTATTAGTTGGTGGAACATTAACTCCAAACTTGAATGGGTAGACTAGAGGCAACTTCTGACCTGCAATCAAAATAGATAAAGTAGCCTGTTTTCCCCACAGAACCACATCCACTTATACAGCAATAACAATGAAAGATACGTACAAAAGACAAAACAGGAAAGAAAGAGAAAATCAGTTAGATTAAGGCTTACTTCCTAAGTCCAAGGGCAGGGTAGGCCTAACGAAACCATGGAGAAGGTTTCCTAGGCCTGAGTAAATCTCACGAGTCCCAGCATATATTGAGAAACAGAGACAGAGCCTAAGAAACCCCCACCATCTGCCCACCCCCAACTCTTCACCCTGATAACTCTAGATTGAGCTTTAATCCCTTTGTGTGGCACAGAAAAAGTCTTATCCTTGACCACAATGGCCCATTCCAGAGACTTTGTCTAAGAAGAGTGGGAGAGGTCAGAAAGTTGGTTGAGGAGGTAAAAAGGAGCCTTAGGTCCTGAAGTTACAAGTGCTTTTATTACACCATCACAGTTCTAGCACTGGAAATGCTCTTGATGAATATAGGTTTAGAAACACTTCATTAGTAATGTTAAATTATACAATATTCACATAATTTACTTATCATCATAAGAATGGCATGAAATTAATTTTACTTTATATAAAGATTTTCTATACAATAAAAACAAACTTCTATTTTATTCCTGTACAAAAATAGACCCCATATTCTATTCTAGACTGTGTTATACAAAAACTACACTCTTGTTATAATTCCAGTTTGGTTGAGTACCTATAATATTCAATATTAAGTAGATACTATGTTTCATACATCAAAGTAAATTTTATAATAGAGATAATCTCAATAACTTTTTAAAAAATAACTTTTTATGTTTACATATTTGTGCATATGTACAGAAAAGTGTAACATTGAACACAGAATTTCCATAAATCCTTCACTGTAGTTTTGCAGTGTTAATATTTTATCATACTGCTGTGTTGATTTCTTTCTTTCTATTTTTTCTTAACTATTTGAGAGTAGCTTGTAAAAATAATGTCCACTTACCCCTAAATATGTCAGTATATATTTCTTAAAAAACAAGGACATTCTTATATATATTCATAGTGTAATTCTCAAAAATCGGGAAATTAAGAGTGATATAATACTATTATCTAAAACCATAGGCCTTATTCAGAATTTGTCAATTGTTCAAGTAATACTCTTCCTCACATATTAAAAATGTTAATTAAAAATATTGAATTACACATTGCATTCGGTTGTTATGTTTATTTGTTCTTTCTTGTTTTTTAAATTTGGAACATCTCCTTAGTCTCAATATGAGCATAAAGAAAGTGTATTCAGATGATTCTCTTTATTCCATTCCGGGTCTTTTGTGTTTTCATACAAATTATAGAATTGTTTCAATATTCAGAAAATATTAGGTCAGTGCAAAAGTCATTGCGGTTTTTGCCATTACTTTCAAAAGCAAAAACCGCAATGATTTTTGCACCGACCTAATATTAAAAACTCAAACAATTCACTAGCAAAAAGAAAACTGATTTAAAAATGGGTAAAAGATGTGAATAGATACTTCTCAAAAAAAGACATAGAAAGGGCCAACAGATGTATGAAAAAGTAATCAACATCACTAATCATCAGAGAAATGTGAATCAAATGAGATAGCATCTCACTCTAGCTAGAATGGCTAAAAAAGACGAAAAATAATAAATGTTCATGAGGATGTGGAGAAGGGCAAATTCTTATACATTGTTGGTGGGAATGCAAATTAGTACAGCCACTATGGAAAACCATATAGAGGTTCCTTAAAATTTCAAAACTACTGTATGATCTGGCTGTCTCACTAGTAGGTATATGTCCAAAGGAAAGGAAATCAAGATGTTGAAGGAGGTACCTGTACTCCCATGTCTATTGCAACACTATTCACTTATGAAATCAACCTAAGTGTCTATCAATCAACAAATGAATGGATTTTACAAATGTGGTATATATACACAATAAAATACTATTTGGCCATAAGAAAGAATGAAATCCTGTCATTTACAACAACATGGATGAACCCAAAGAATATTATATTAAATGAAGCAAGGCAAGCACAGAATGACAAATAGTGTTTGATCTCACTCATAGGTGGAATCTAAAGTTGATCTAACAGAAGTAGAAAGCAGGAGATTGGTTACCAGAAGCTGGAAAGTATAAGGAGGAAGGGTGTGGGGAGGGGTTGGTTGATGAGTACAAAGGTACAGTTAGATAGGAGAAAGAAGTTCTGTTGTTCTGTGCACAATAGGATGACTATAATTATAATAATGTGTATTTCAAAATAGCTACAATAGAGGATTTTGAATGTCCTCATAAAGAAATGACAAATGTTTGAGGTGATAGGTATACTATTTATCCTAATTTGATAATTACACAATGTATACATATATTAAAACAATACACTTTACCCCATCAATATGTATAATTATCGTGTATCAGTGAAAAACAAAATAAAACTTAAAATGGAAAAAATGGACTAAAGCAGTTTCTCTTCTCCAGAGCTATAAACATTAGTGGACTGGTTAGTTTCCAAATCTCTTTTCATTTGCTCCCCTAAACCCATTATCAGCCCAATATATATGTCACTTTTTCTGCCTTGTATATTGGAAAATGTATATGGCTCTGTGTTTGAGTAAATAAGCCTTTGCAACTGCCATATGCAAAGGCTCCACAGTATTTTGCTCTACTGAGAAGCCTACTGTTTACTAGCACTTATGAGTAGGGCTATCAAAACACAAGCTTGATGACCTTGTTTCTCTCTCTCTCTTTACTAAATTTACTGAGACTTCATTGAAATTTATCAATTTGACAATCTCTTTCAGCTTCATATGATATGACCTTATTCAAGCTTCATTTTGTTTCAGTAGATTAAACAAGAGCTGTTTATTTTTAGTTATTTCGTGTGCACCATTTGTCAAAATCTCTGCAAGCATTTAGCAAATGATGAGCTGTAATTTGCATACATCATGATTTTATATATATATATGTTGTAGAACATAAGGAGGTTCAATATATGTGTCTTGTTAAGGGAAGAACAATTATATTTTAATTAGTATTTAAATGGAAAAACATGGAAAATCTCAATAGTTTTATATGGATTCATGGATTTGGACTACAATGAAATCCATGGTAGCATTAATCAGGTGACAGTTTTTATTATACTTTGCTGCCTACCCACCTGTCTTATAATGCTACAACATACATCAAGATAATTTGATTTAGCCAATATGTAACAAATACATCCTCATACTTTTGATTATAAAGACAGTTTATTGTAATTTTAAGTAATTAACAGCTAAGAAAATAATTATTTTAAAAATATTTTATTAATATTAACTAATGAGAAAATTACTAAGTTTCCTTTTGCAATATTATTCTATTAAAATAGTTTAAAGATAATCTCCCTTGTGAGTGCAATGTTGTCCTAATTATTTTGTTAATCATTTTTGGTTTTATATAAAGAAAAAGACAAAAATTTAAAGAATCAAATAATATTTCTTAGAAATGACTAACATGAAAAAAGGGAACATTCTAATGTAAGGATCTAATCTGTGTATACAAATAAACACAAGATGGTATTACATTATTAATATTTGATATGGTATAAAAATTATACTTTTTTCATCATTGTAAAATAAGATAATTTCCTAACAAATGGAAGATAGATTGGGGAGGTGTTTGTTTTACATAAATCCAAACATCACTTAACTTTAAAATTGCTTCTTACTGCTAGTCCTAAATGTGTCCTCTAAAATTGAACGAAATATTTATGATGACAGATTAGTAAGAGATATCTATGTCATTGACTCTGAGGGAACTGACACTAACTTTTTTAAACAGAGCTTGATTAAAACAAATATACCTGTATCTCTGTTCATATTATCATCTGATTTGCCTTCATTTAAAAAAAAAAAAAGACTTACAATTTTAAAAACATTTGAAAGATGTTTTGGACTCATTTCACCATATGTCCCCGACTCAGACTTACAGCCTGTATCTAAGAGAAAATTAAGCTGCCCCTACTTTTTCATCCTTAGAAGCTATTCTGTGATCCTCTTTTTATAAGATGACAGATCTGTTAAAACTTAGGTATGTAATATCTTATTTTTTCTTATCATTTTATAAATTAATTACTTCCCTTGATCAATTTATTTTTTAAATTAATTCCACTCATTTTTATATTGTAAATATGGTTAGCCTTGTTCCATTTTCTTATGAACTGAAGGGGGTTTTTAGAGGTCTGTTGACTTTTACTGGACCTTTAGTATTGCAATTGCTGTGTGGCTTATTTTACAGATTTTTAAAAACCCACTATATAATAAGAGCAATGCCACAAGTGTAATTTGGTCTCTAAACTCATACATTTTTTGTCTGAGAGTCAAGTGTGCAAAGAAATAAAATGCAACATTAGATGGTTAGATCCATGAGCAGTAGTGTAAGAAAGAAGAAACTCTCCAACTGATTCCCCTATCAATATTGTGTTGCAGGATAACTTGAGTAAGCACAAAACCTCTTAATTGAATTTCTAGGATAATTTCTTGAAATCTGGCTTTGCAAAATGGCAGAAGGAGACTAAAACTAGGGGACAAGAAGTTGTTATGCTAGTTGTTTAGTTCTATCCATACATAGTTTAAATCTTACTATGTCATACAGGTGCTAGGGAAACTAATAGAATAAATTCAACTGAAGGGGATACAGAATTTTGTATCTAGTCAGTATTGGGCATGTGACATACACAATGCTAAAATATTACTTCATAGACTCTGAACAGTACTTTATAATTTTTCTAAAATAAATTTAGTCATTAAAAGGTAATGCTAACTTGTGAAAAACAAAACAAATCGAAACAAAGCAGATTCTATTTTAGGACTGCAGTTAGCTTAACATGCCTAAGGTCAAGTGAATTCTAATAGCAAAGCTGTGCCTGACTGTTCACAGCAAATAGTAATCTATTAGGCAAATTTCAAATGCTGAATTTTTAATGCAATATGGTGATTAAACCATGGCCTTGACTCTTTTTAAATGATTTGTAAAGAATAAATGAAAACCATAGTAAGGATGTTGAATTAGTCCTTGCAATTTTTCTACTCAAAAGCCTGTAAAGATTTTCCTTGGAAATATAGTAGATATTCATCAATAAATATTTAGGAAGAAAAGAAGTCTACAAAAGAAACAGATGGGCACATCACTGGGGAGAAAGTCTGCTTACTATAATTATATAGGTTATTCAAGGAACACAAGGCTCTGTGTAACTTCAGCAAAGTGTGTGAGCTTGTGCTCCTTAAGAATTTTACTGGTCACTGGACTCCTCCAGAAACACTTCACTCCTAGAATCCTCAAGTGAGAAAACCAGAGATAAATGTGTACTTCCTACCAAGTGCATTAATATGAAACCAATTTAAATTGTGAGATTAACACTGAGAGAGCACTTGCAATCTATTATCATTTGCATGCAAAGATAAACTCTGGTGGTTGATGTTCCAAGCTGAAAACAAATAAGCAAACAAACAACCAAACAAATAAAATGTGTCTAATGGGGAGTATATAGAGCTATCCAAATTGCCTCTTTAAGACACATTTTAAATATTTCTTCTTATATTAGAGTCTACATTTTTAATGGATATTTGTGCATCCTATTTGCATGAGACACAATGTGTTAAGTGAAATGTGAGGCTTTTCTTTGGTAATAAAACAGCAACAAAGGAAGTACCTGGACATAAGCATTTTTTTATGTTTGCAAGTAATATTTCAAGAATTTAGAGACAAAACATGTAGGAGCTGTATAATGCTTGCAATTATGTGCATGGCAGGATTAAGCAATGGTTACAGAGAGAACTATAGTGACCCACAGAGATTGTGGTGACTGAGTGCCTTATAAATTTAAGACTCACCAAAAGATAATAGGGGGCCATATTCTTTGATCACTAGTGTGAACTTTGTATTTAACATGGTTTGTAAAAGTTATTTTAACTCCCTTTTAATTGGATGATTTAATTGGTCTTTGTTGGAAAACCAGGATCCGTGAAGCCCATATTCTCTCTCTGTATATAGACATATATAATGGATAAAATATTAGTGCATTTATACTTCTGGTGAACTAAATGATTACAGCCTAGCAGTGGAACCCCGTCCAGTTGCCTGCACAGCATAATTTGGGTGAGAGGGAAATGGAAAAATTGATTCTACAGTTCCATCCCTTTGAGGGGACAGCTAGGGAATTGCTAAACAATTGGTAGACGAATCCCTAGCATGCTAGGCATCTGAGTCATCTCCAATTTCTATGGAATTAAGTAGGGGTCAATCACTTCCTTTCAGAGAATTCCCTCACAACCTTAGGTTAATAAATAATCTATATGTCTTTCTTGATCAGCAGATTGATTTAAGAAATCCCTAAGTTGGGTTGGGACGCTTATGTATGAAAAATGTCTCACCACATTTTTGCTTCAGTTACTACTATTGAGTAAACTGGAAAAGACTCTTCTTTCTCTCAGATATTCAGCAATATCCAGCTTACTAGCCAAGAGCCAAGCTAACTAAGGCCAAAATAGGTACTCTTTGAAAGTCTCTATATTGAGTGCTTAGGAGACTACAAAGAAATAGCATCAATATTCCACAGAATACGTAATATTTTAAGAGATTTGACATGTTCATGCAAAAAGAAAAACTGAAACATTTAGAGAATGTCAAGAAGTAAATGATGATAAGGATTGTAGGAAGCCTATGGGTTGATAGAAATCCTCTTTTACTGGGCTGGTCAACAATAGTTCTGTAAAGGATGAGATATCTGAGCAAGATCCTTAAAGTAGAATTTCTAAGACAGCCTTGTTTGCCAGAAAAATTAATAATGTTCTAGAGTTTGAAGACAAGCCTGAGGGGGAAGAAATACCCTAAACTAGGATAATAATACTCTAGTCCATGAAATTGTAAAATATCTATGTAGAAATGTGGATAAAGCCAGAAATGCTATATCCAATTAAATAAAATTTATTTTGCAATTATTTTATTTTTTATCTTCTCCCATAATGACAGTATTACCTTCATTATTTTTTCTCAGTTTTGTCCCTCATTCCACCATAATGCTTTCCCCTGGTGTTTCTGTTTTGTGGTCTACATTATGTCTGCAAGCAGGTAAACCATTACTACTCATGCATATGCATAAGTTATCAATTTGTATTCTTTAGCTTTTATGTAGTAACATCCACATCACTGTGGGAATAATATGTCTTAATTAATTAAAGATCCAAACAAATTCTTGGAGAGTAAGACACTGTAACACTCTAGAGAGGTATGGTTGAAGTCTGGAATCTGAAAACCATTAGGCTGCTCCTCAGAGCTTAATAGAATCTAACTCTAAGAGGACAAAGTTTCAAAAAGCCCCTGATGGTTGTTAGATGCCATTGTGGTACGTATTTAGTAGCTAGGGAACATTTTAAAAAATGAAAATCAACTCACATGCTCTCCAACAGGTAAATTACTAAACAAATTGTGGTGCACTCATAACCTAAAGTGTACTTAGAAATAAAAGGGACTATTGATGCATGCAACAGCCTAGATGTCCAGAGAATTATGCTGAGTGAAAAAAGTCAATTCCAAAAAGTTACTGATTGTATAATTTGATATTTATAAAATTATTGAAATAACAAAATTATAACAGCTTACATCATTTTTGTTTCTTGGGTTTATGTTAAAAGAAAAGCAAAACACTATTTTAATTTAAAAAATGAAATAAAATTATAGAAATGATAAACTGTTAGTGTTGCCTGAGGTTATGAAGGTGTGGGGAATGTGAGAAAAGTAACTGTGGCTGTAAAAGGGAGGACGGACCTTCGTAGTGATGGACATGCTGTTTCTTGATTATACCAATGTCAATAGCCAGGTTATAATGTTATCTGTAGTTTTGCAAGATATTATCATCGGGGGAACTTGAGTAAATATATACAGGATTCTTCTGGTTTTTTGTTTGTTTGTTTGTTTGTTTGTTTTTCTTAGAACTATGTGTGAATCTGGACATCACACACCGGGGTGGGGGGAAGGGGAGGGATAGCATTAGGAGATATATCTAATGTAAATGACGAGTTAATGGGTGCAGCACACCAACATGGCACATGTATACATATGTAACAAACCTGCACATTGTGCGCATGTACCCTAGAACTTAAAGTATAATAAAAAACAATAATTAAGAAAAAAAATAATAAAAATAAAAGATTATTTTTTAAAAGCCTAGTTAATCACATTTGGAGAATGAGAGGAAACCAATTCATTTTCTTGAGAACTAGTAAATAATGTGAAATATCTTGCCTTTATCCTGGGTTTTATATATGAACTGTAACACTGGGTAAACTAATGGTAGATAAATGAAATCTTCTCTTTATAGAATAATTTCTAAGAATAAGTGAAAAGAATATTAGAATTAGAATGTCATAATTTTGCAACCCTCAAAAGATTACTGAATACAGGCACTAAATTTCAGTGATTGCAAACATCACCAAAAGATAAACAGGCAGACGTGATACACTTCCTGCAGAAGGAAAACATCTACAGCCCGACCAAAGTGATCAAACCTCAATCTAAACAAGCCTCTGGATTTAGTTGCCTATTTTCAGGAAATACAGGAGACAAAGGAATACGTAACACTGCACCATGATTATGAAATCAACAAACTCCAGACTGTGAGAAATCCAGATTTCCCCAGAGCTTCCACCCATAAATAGTAAGAAAATAGAAGACGGAGAGAAAATCTGCAGATTGAACAGAAGCTTGAAAGGCATCATGTTTTTAAAAATTGAGCAAGATTAAACTATTTATGTCTAGGAATGTGCATATTGATATTAAAACTAGAAAAACGTAGAAGAAAAGGATTGCAATAAATGTCAAAAGAGCAATTTAATCTTGCAGAGAAGGAAGAAGTTGTGATTGAATTGAGACACTTGGGCAAGACTTCTAGAAAGCTGGCAAAATTCTGTTTCACAGCTTGGGTTGTGGTGACAAGGATGTTTACCTTATAATATTTCACTAAGTTCTGCATATCTTTTCTGTAGTTTATTAAAATTAAACAATTTGAAATGGATTCTATAATGAAAATTTTCCAAATTTTGAAAATGCTTTGAAATCTTTACTTTAAAAATCTTATTATATGCTATTTTAAGATTAAAATATTAATATAATTATTTGCCATAACAGAACCTTTATGGTTTTTTCCAGTATTTAATTATCAATAATAAAGGTATACTAAGCATACTTTTATATTAAAAAATCTTGAAATCTTGATTGTATTATAGTTTCAGCCTCAGATATTCTGGTCCTTTGCTTACAGCTCGCAAAGTAAGGAACATATAAAACTATTATGATCTGAACATCTGCAGTGTAAGTCTTTATTTAACATTTAAGTAATCCATCTCCTCCTTTATAAGTTAATTATTTTTATTAGTTCATTTAATAAGACATTATTAAATTTTAAGAGACAAACAAGCCACATATATAGCATAAAACAAAACAGCCCTATTGATATTAGAAATTAACTGACGTATAAATGAAAATTACAAATCTTAGCTCTATGTTGACTTTTGCATAGCATAGATTATTATCACCCTTCACTACAAATATGGAGAATTATAATCTAAACTAAGAGCCCCAAGGAGAGACATTTGAAGATTTGTGGTGGGAGAATTTTTAAAATACTGTTTTAGAAATATCTCCTCCTTCAATAAAATTGATATTCGGTACACAGGGAATGGTGATTTAATTTGTCAACATTATTTACAGCTCCATGGCCGATATCATATACAATATTAATATATTAAGAGTAAAAAAAACTATGCATTTATTGCTTACATATTTATGAGCTAATTATACTACTAATGGAAAATGTCTTTCATTGCTGTTAGACTTCGATAAAGATTTTTTTAATAATCTTTACTTGGCATTTAGTGAGCTATAAATGTCTTCATAAATATAAATTCAATGCTTTCTTGAGAGAGCCCATTTAAAATAATAAATGCATGTGACAATGATCTTGTTTAGAAAATATGAGTTTTAAATACTGAATAGATTACAATCTATATTGGCTCCTTGGAATTATTGTTCTCTCTCTGTAGCTGAAGTTTGAAGCCATTCCTCCCAAGAGACATTATTTCTGCTGCAGTTTTTCAGCTATTTTTCAACTTTAAAACATCAGATTACCATTGATTGTGATTGTCCCGAGAGATATTTCTTTCTTATTCCCTGTGTGCTGTTCTACTGGGAGTTAAAACACAGTTATAAAATATCAAATGTGTCACGGGTAGATCACTCTTACTTAGTACAATTAGTAGAACCATGTTGTATGGTGTAATAGGCAATTAGAACCCAGCAAGGAAGAAACCTTGCACATTACAAACTCCCATGAAATCATGGCACAACTGGTGCTAAAAAGAATCAGCATTTCCAAACATATCATTATTGAAACATAATTTCTATAAATGCTGTTTATAAATCAGAAAAAGCCTAAAAGAATTAAATCGGTAAGTCTTAAAGAAGATCCTAATGCAGTCTTTCAGCATATAATGAGGAATAACACTGGGGTCTATGACTATAAAACATATATTAATGATCCTTCTTTGCAAAAACTGAACAGCTTTTAGGAAAAACTGGATTAAATTTGAATAAAACAGATCTTAATTAGTCCAGCTTTTTTTCATCTATTCAATTATTTATTCAATTATTCAAAAAATATATTGAACTTCTATTTTGTGCCAATTTCTGCTCTAACAGATGGCAACGTGAACAAAACTAACTTGGTATTGTCATGAACCTCATAATCTAGTGGAAGGAGAAAGATACTAGGTAATAAAATAGACATATAATAGTCCAATGGTAAATGCTGTGAGGAAAACAGGAAAATTAACAGGGAAATAGAATAAGCTTGGAGTTGTTATTTTGTTTGAGATGATTAGACTAACCTCTCTGATATAATGAAAATTGAGCAAGGATTTGAAGTAAAAGAGTTACCTACGTAACAACTTGAGGGAATTGCTTCAGAAGAAGGGAATGGTAAATATGAAGGCCCTGCAGTTTTTAAAGTTTCACTGTGCTTCCTGTATGTGAAAGTCACTGCAGAGCCAGGTGGAAAGCGCAAGGATAGAAGTAGAGAGGCTGATTAGGAGCAGAATACAAAATTCTAGGCCCAAGTTAATGGTGGTTTGCACCAGGACAGTTGCTGTAGAGGAGGTGAACAAAGATCAGATTCTTAATATCTTTAAAAAGTGTTTTGATTTGCGAAGAAATGAGATGCGAGGCATAGAAGAAAGAGGAGTTGACAATCATGTTAGGGTTAGGGGCCTGAAAGATTTGAGATGCTGAACTGCTATGGACAAGAAGGGAGAGAAGATAGACATTCAGGAAGACGTGTCAAGTAGGCAGACAGTCATATCTCTAAATTTACTTCTTATAAGTATAATTCACTATATTAATTTACATTTACATGCACATATTGTGCGCGCTCTCTCTCTGTCACACACACGCACACACAAAGATATAGTTAGAGATCACATGGTGTTCATTATTGACTGGAGACGTTCATTTGGGTGTCATCAGACATAGGTGACATTTTAAACCATGTGACTGCATGTCATCACTGACACAGAGAAGCCCTGAAAAGCGATCCTAGGACTAAATAAACCTTGGGACTCTCTAATATATCTCACTCCCCGAGTAACCCATCATCTACAGTCTTTGATAATTGTTCCAGTGATTTCAGTAGAACAATGTGTATTTTTAGCCATGTGGAAAAATTAGGAAATAACTAATAAACAGCCCTAGGATAATCATGATCTACTTAGAAAAGAAAGTTAAATTCCACCTCAGATGTTATAGTAAAATAAACCTTGTGTAGATTAAATAATGAAATAAAGACATAAAGCCACAGGACAGCTAAAGGAAAATATTTATTTGATCTAAAATTTGTGAAAGCATTTGGAAGTCCATTCTTAATGAAAAAAGAAAAATTAATGCATAGTACACTTAGCTACACAAAATTATTTTAAAAACACAAATATTTGGCATGTAAACAAACAATAGTTAAAATAAATGGCAAATGTAGAAATAGATATTTTGCTATATAAATAACAGAAAAATTATAATATCTGTAAATGTATGTTCTACATAAGATATTAACATTGTGCTTACAAACCTGAGTAAATTCTCCATTTAAAATATAAGAAAATAATATTTACAGTTTATTCACAAAGAAAAAGATAAATCCCACTGTCCAGTGAATCTCTTAAAATATTTACATCAATAGCCATTGACACATTGCAAATTAAGAGAGACAGTTGCAAGTAACAATATTAGAACCTGAAGAGTGTTTGAGCTTTGATGGGGCAGAAAGAACAGTTACTTCAAAATATTGCCAAAAGAAATGCATGTTGATACAAATTTTGTGACAGATTATTTGGCATTACTTATTAAAACTTTAAAGATTGCCAATAGTCTTTAGCAAGCAATCATCTTTCAGGATATTACTGGAAGGAAATAATGCGTCTTTTTTTCTGGTGGTATTTGACTCATCTAAGTTCATTTTCATAAAGAATTAAATTGTTCTTTATCAAGGAGTCTTTTTGGTTGTTATCCTTAGTTTTGAAAAATTGTTTTAAAGGGTAGATTCAGATTATTTTCCTTTTTCATCCTCTATAAATTCTGGAAGTATAAATCCTGTTGGAAGTATTTATATTCACTATCTTTAAGGTTTTACAAATTTAGATTTAAATTCTAAACATTGTAATAGAAAACACACCGACTTACTGTCAATAAATGTTTACTTTTTCTGTTTTTGAGTTGGAGCCTCGCTCTGTAACCCAGGCTGGAGTGCAGTGGCATGATCTCAGCTCATTGCAACCTCCGCCTCCCAGTTCAAGCGATTCTCCTGCCTCAGCCTCCCGAGTAGCTGGGACTACAGGCACATACCACCACACCCAGCTAATTTTTTTTGTATTTTTAGTAGAGACAGGGTTTCACTGTGTTAGCCAGGATGGTCTCGATCTCCTGACCTCGTGATCTCCCCGCCTCAGCCTCCCAAAGTGCTGGGATTACAGGCGTGAGCCACCATGTCCGGCCTATTTACATTTTTATCACTTCATTTTTGTTGTTAAATCTGTGATAATTGGAACTTGTGTAAAAGTTTTTATTGTTTCACATGAAATTTTTTAATGAGACAAAATTTTTAAAAGAAGTTTAAATCATAATTGTGTTTTGCACATTCCATGGGCTGACTACTAGACCTTTTACACTATGACACTATAGCTCTTGAATTATTTGTTTTAATCCTCTTATTTTATTTAATGTGTTTTAATTTCCCCCTGAGTCCCTAGGATTTTGGTCACCACTGAAACCTGTCAGACTGTAAGGACTCTGCTTCATTGTCATTGATGTCCTTTTCTGATGTGTCAGGGTAGATGATGATTCCTTTTTTACAAAACAAATCTTTGTTCTGCTCAAGAATGTTTCTTGTTACTACATCTTTGTTTATTGCTTAGCATTTATTCCCTCTCTTCAGAAATTCGCATCACCATATATTAGATTTCTGTTTCCTATGTTATCAAATCATCTCTTTTAGAGTTTTCATTTCTGACATTCATCTCTGTGATGGCTAATATTGAGTGTCAACCAAGTATTGTTCCTGAGTGTGTCTCTGAGGGTGTTGCCAGTGTGGCTAGAATAAAGCAGGCAGAAGAAAGTGGAATGTGGAGACTTAACTGAATTTTCTGGCCTTCATCTTTCTCCCATGCTGCATGCTTCCTGCTCTCGAACATCAGACTCCAAGTTCTTCAGCCTTTGGACTCTTGGACTTACACGAATGGTTTGCCAGGGGCTCTTGGGCCTTCAGCCACAGACTGAAGGCTGCACTGTCTGCTTCCCTACTTTTGAGGTTTTGGGACTCGGACTGGCTCCCTTGCTCCACAGCTTGCAGACGGCCTATTGTGGGACTTCATCTTGTGATCGTGTGAGTCAATACTCCTAATAAACTCCCATTCATATATACATCTATCCTATTATTTTTGTCCCTTTAGAGAACCTTGACTAATACAACCTCTAAATACTAACGTTATCAAACTTGTCTACTAACTCATAGATTCTACTGTCTGCAAAGGTGACTCATTTTATTGCTAATGAATATATATATAATATATATATATTATATATATATATATATATTTGTGTGTGTGTGTGTGTGTGATGGACTCTCGCTTTGTCACCCAGGCTATAGTGCAGTGGTGTGACCTTGGCTCACTGCAAGCTCCGCCTCCCGGGTTCACACCATTCTCCTGCCTCAGCCTCCCGAGTAGCTGGGACTACAGGCCCCCACCACCACGCTCAGCTAATTTTTTGTATTTTTAGTAGAGATGTGGTTTCACCGTGTTAGCCAGGATGGTCTTGATCTCCTGACCTCATGATTTGCCCACCTCAGCCTCCCAAAGTGCTGGGATTACAGGAGTGAGCCACCGCGCCAGGCCTGCTAATGAATATTTTAATTCTATGGTTTTTGTCCTGCATTTTACACTTTTCTTATATCATCATCCTATTTTTATTGTGTTTATTTCTGTCTGCCTTCTTTTTGTCAACATCAGAATCATTTTTGTTCCATCTTTGATATTTTTCCTTCTTTTCAGAATCAATATTTACCTTATTCTTGTTGAAATTATAGGTATAATTATTGACAGTATAGTTCCTTCTATCCTCTTCCAATCTCATCCCACATAATCCAGTTTTCAAGTGAAATTTTTGAAGTTTAGTCATGAATAGTCCCTTTTTATATCTTTATACTCTCTTGGGATTTTCCAGAAGTGTGTTAATGAAGTGAGGAAGGTTAGAAAGTTCATCTCAACTCAACATTTTTCCTGGAAATCCTCTGATTAATGTTTTTAAGTGGTTTCTGACACTTGATTTCCATTCATGCTTTTGGCTTCTGATGTTCTATTTCTGTATCGTTGAACACTAGCCAACTTTCCTAATCTATGTACCTTTCATTACTCAATGAGTCATGCGCTACGTTCTGATACATCTTCTTACTTCAGAACTTGCTTTGGACTTTAGATTTGAGTGTTTGCATTTACTTTTTCCAACTGAATTTTTGTCCATATAGAGCCTAACAGAGATACTGCAATAAATAATTACTTATATGTTTTTAATTTGAGCAAAGCCTCATCAAATCTGACATGTCTGTAGAGTGAAAAATCATGAGTTTTTCATAGTTTTAAATTATTGCAAGTTTGTAGTTTTTTTTTTAATTTGTAAACAAATACTAGATAAGAGAGAAAGTTAGAAGTTTCACCATTAATTCTGTTGATAATTTTCATTCTGGCTTTAAGCAGTATTGCTGTTTCTCAAATGGGACTGTATTGAACATATTCTTTTGGATATTGAATATATAATATGTTAAAATCAACCTGGTATAAATTGTACAAACATGCTATAATTAATGTAATGCTCATTGTAATTCAAATGTCTTGATATTTGTAATATTTCCTTTGCATGTTATTTAAAAGCCAAACAGTCAATAAAAGATTAACTAGATGAAATTATCCTTTCGGCAATTCACTACTAACTACAGTTGTTTAGAAGGCTCTTAGTGATTCAGAAAGCACATTATGCATTTAGAGCTGATAGTACACTGGTAGGATTGGTGTAGTCATGCCATTTGTTAAGATATTAAAATGCTTCTATACTGATTGGTAAATAGTTTCCACCATAAGACCCTTGAGTGGCTACTCACTCATTCTATTGCTGCCACCTGGCTATTGAGATTAGGAGAATTTTAATGCTTCTAAAACCTTTTAATCACTGAAGCATGCACATACTGAAAATTAATTTTGGCATGCTGTGACTATTCATTCTACTACATAGGCTATTTTAAAAAGCATTTATGAGTTCTTTTTTTATTTAATTCATCTCCTCTACCTTTATAACCTTTAAAAAATAATCCTCAGATTAAAGCATCTATTTCCCCATTAAAAATTGAATCTTGCTCTTACATAGCATTTCCTCTGGTATGAAGAGGCATGTAAATAAAAAGTAATCTAACATTGTATCAGAAAAGGAGATTTATGTCTAGTGGTGGAAATAGTCCATAAATCGTGTAAAAGAGAAGGCAAGGAAAGAGGGGCATTGGGGAGGTGTGGGTTGTGGGCACTATAGGGATTATTGTAATCTCAGTGGGTTATTTTAATATAGCAGGTGTCAAAAGACCAATGTAGTGGAAGCAGGAACTCAAATTCTGTTCCAGATTTCTAATGGGAAAGGGTGATTTTCTTTGCTTGGCTTTAATTAAGTTGTGCCATATATTTTCCTTCAAAATAACATTTCCTGGAACATCTTACTAAATATTCATAGACACATTTAATACTTATTTGCATTATGTTTATCAATATTGCAGTCTTCTTTTGAATACATGTGTATTTCTACAGTCTAACATTGTGGCTTCCCCAAATATGCAGCTTTATTTTAGACAATTTTTAAAACAATTTGTATGTGAATATATGTTTGTATATGTGTATAATAGGCAAACAGAAGTGCAAATAATACTCATTCAGAATTTTACTTTTTCTATGACAATAAACAGCTTTTCAGGTTTTATAGAAGGATTTACATATATAATAATTAAATATGGTATAAAATTAAAATGGAATCTGATACCAAAATTTTAGAAATAGGCTATTCACTTACTATTACTTTTGTTGTAAATATGCAATACAATTTAAAATGTTAATAAAACTCACTTATTGTGATAATTTAGATTTTTTTGTTAGTGCATATATGAGACAACCACTCCCATGATCATTCTGTGGGTTAAAAACCAAGCATTTAGGATCTGGCAGCATGTACTTGATTCTGAGCTCTACCTTCCAAGTTGCACAAGGATTTTAACTTTTCTGAGCCTCATTTCTTTTATCTGTTGAGTTAGGAAATATAATATCTACCTTCTGGGGTTTTCATGAGGATTGATTGACATGATGCATGTAAAGTGCTTCAAATGGCCCCTGCAACATAAATGCTAGCTATTATTTTCCTCACTGTAATAAATCAAAATATTTTTTTCTTGTAATGCTAATTACTACAAAGCATTCCAAAGAATGTGGTCTGGTTTCATTTAGTCCCTAGTAAAATTACTTACCCAAGGCAAAGAAAATAACATTTTGTTTTAGTCAACGTTTATAATGCGTGACTTTATTTTAGAGCTATGAATTCATTGTTCCCCCATTGCACATGCTTTATTTTGATTCAAGTAGGAAACATGTGCAATCGTGTCCCATGACTTGTTTATTTAGCAAGATAATTTATCAATATTTTTGAGGAGCGGTCATTGACTTCAATCTCTTTGAAATACTGACTGAACTAGGATCTCCTGCTGAGTATATGTGGAAATAACTGTTGATAAAATGGCATTTAAAATGAGGAATAAAAGGATAAAAAAATTATACAACTTGTGTAGTCAGTAGGGTGGAGTGGATGTGGCTAAAGATTCATAATAGTGCTTCTCTCTAAGCCAACAGTCTTCTTGAGGCTCCAGAAATATTCTACATTTTTGTTTTTGTCATCACTGCTTCTACCAGCCTTGTCCTTTTTCTTTAGTCACTTACTAAGCTATTGTACAACTGAGAGGAAAAACAGAATATTGATCTTATTTATTTGGATGATGATTATTGAAAGGGAAGGAACACAGATCAAGACTATTAATAAGAGAGAGAAGACTGAAGAGGAATAAGAATCTTTGCCATTTCTAAGAAATGTGTTGCAGGAAACCAGAAGAGGTTAATGCCCACCCACCCACCAGGGAGCAGGGACAAGAATTCTCTTACATCTCAGCATACCCAAGACCTCCTCCAAGATTTTTCCTGTGCTCATTAGGAATAGAAGGACCTAGTACTATTCAAGTAGGAAAGATCAGATATTGTGATAAACAGCAAAAGAGGGTATCTAGATTTTGTAGTCGTAAATCAACCTTTTTCAAAGAGATTATTTGAAAGGATTATCAACAGCCTGTATTTGAAAGAGCTCACCATATTTTTCCAGCTAAATATATGTGATCTCTTGACATGTCATGGATTTTACCTGGAAACTAAAGTATTACGGATCCTATTATGTTATGATTCTTAACTTTTAGAATGAGTGATATAAATTCCCACTAATTATGAACGTACTGATTTTTATCACAATTTGAAGTATGAAAATATAAATGCTTTGACTTGTTGAAAGTTTTAAAATTACAAAAATATAGATCAAGATTCTTTTTCACCGTATTTGAAACAAAAAACTAATAATTTCTCAAATTGTTGACTATTGGAAATATTTTGAAAATATTATCCACATTATCAATTAAGAAGTGTCCTACATTTCCAACAAGATATAATCCTTATTGGCTTTCCAGACATCCTTAGAGAAACAGTGTACTAGATTCAGTGTTTAAAATGTGTTTCCAATAATAGAATTCCTACTATATACTTTTACAAGCATATTAAATTTGAAAGTGTTTTATATTTTCAGAGTGGTTCATACATGTAATTTTGTTCCATTCTGAAACTGGAAAAGTGTTAAGTGAGTAAAATAAGTTTTATTATCCCTAAGGAAAAAATACTATAAAAACAAAAAGAGAAGAGATTATAAGGCTTACTTGTGGTTTTCCAATTCATTAGTAACAAAAAAAAATGTGATTTTTCCCTTTTCCTCTCTGTTGTTTTTTTCTTTAGAACTTGAATTTTCCTTTTTTTTTTTTTTAATTCTAGACCCTTTGCAACCAATGACATGCATGTGTGAGGTAGGATGCTGGAATATTATTCAGCCATAATACAGAATGAAATTCTGCCAATTGTGACAACATTGATGAATTTGGAGGATATTATGCTAAAGGAAATAAGCCAGACACAGAAGGACAAATACTGTATAATCTCACTTACATGTGGAATCTAAAAAGTCAAACTTATAGAAACAAAGAGTAGAACAGTGGTTACCATGGTGATATGGTTTGGCTCTGTGCCCCCACCCAAATCTCATTTGGAATTGTATTCCCGTAATTACCATGTGTTGTGGGAGGGACCAGTGGGATAATTTGAATCACAGGAGTGGTTTCCCCAATACTGTTCTTGTGGTAATGAGTAAGTCTCATGAGATCTGATGGTTTTATCAGGGGTCTCCCTTTTTGCTTTTCCCTCATTTTCTCTTGCCACTGCCATGTAAAAAGCACTTTTGCGCCCGATCATGATACTGAGGCCTCCCCAGCCATGTGGAACTGTAAGTCCAATTAATCTTTTTTTTTCCTTCCCAGTCTTGGGTACGTCTTTATCAGCAGCATGAGAACAGACTAATACAGTAAATTGGTACCACTAGAGTGGGGCATTGCTGAAAAGATACCTGAAAATGTGGAAGTGACTTTGGAACTGGATAACAGGCAGAGGTTGGAACAGTTTGGAGGGCCCAAAAGAAGACAGGAAGATGTGGGAAAGTTTGCAACTCCCTAGAGCCTTGTTGAGTGGCTTTGACCAAAATGCTGGTTGAGGTGGCCTCAAATGGAGATGAGAAACTTGTTGGGACATGAAGCAAAGGTGACTCTTGTTATGTTTTATCAAAGAAACTGGCAGCATTGTGCCCCTGACCAAGAGATTTGTGGAACTTTGAGAGAGATGATTCAGGGTACCTGGCAGAAGAAATTTCTAAGCAGCAAAGCATTCAAGAGGTTACTTGGGTGCTGTTAAAAACATTCAGTATTAAAAGGGAAGCAGAGCATAAAAGTTGAGAAAATTTGCAGCCTGACAATGTGGTAGAAAAGAAAATTCCATTTTCTGAGGAAATATTCAAGCCAGCTGCAGGTATTTACATAAGTGACACAGTGCTGAATGTTAGTTAATCCCCAAGGCAATGGGAAAAATGTCTCCAGGGTATCAAGAGACCTTTGCGGCAGCCTCTCCCATCACAGACCCAGAGATCTAGGAGGAAAAAATGGTTTCATGGTCAGGGCCAGGGTCCCTGTGCTGTGTGCAGTCTAGGGACATGGTGCCCTGCATCTCAGCCACTCCAGCCTTGGCTGAAAGGGGCCAACATAGAGCTTGGGCTGTGGCTTCAAAGGGTGCAAACCCCAAGCCCTGGCAGCTTCCACATGGTGTTGAGCCTGCAGGTACACAGAAGTCAAGAATTGGGGTTAGGGAACCTCTGCCTAGATTTCAGAAGATGTATGGAAATGCCTGGATGTCCAGGCAGAAGTTTGCTGCAGGAGCAGGGCTCTCATGCAGAACCTTTGCTAGGGCAGTGCAGAAGGGAAATGTGGGGTTGGAGCCCTCACACAGAGTCCCTACT
This sequence comes from Homo sapiens, assembly GCF_000001405.40. Classification (NCBI taxonomy): domain Eukaryota; kingdom Metazoa; phylum Chordata; class Mammalia; order Primates; family Hominidae; genus Homo; species Homo sapiens. Next base: position 77,022,923 of record NC_000002.12, on the reverse strand, counting down.
GGGGACTGCCTAGTGGAGCTGTGAGAAGAGAGCCACCATCCTCCAGACCCCAGAATCGTAGATCCAACTACAGCTTACAACGCGAGCCTTGAAAAGCCACAGACACTCAATGCCAGCCCATAAAAGCAGCCAGGAGGGAGACTGTACCCTGCAAAGCCACAGGGGCAGAGCTGCCCAAGACCATGGGAACCCATTTCTTACATCAGCATGACCTGGATATGAAACCTGCAGTCAAAGGAGATCATTTTGGACCTTTAATATTTGATTGCCCTGCTGGATTTCAAACTTGCATGGTGCCTGTAGCCCCTTTGTTTTGGACAATTTCTCCCATTTGGAATGGCTATATTTACCTAATATCTGTACCTCCATTGTATCTAGGAAGTAATTAGCTTGCTTTCGATTTTACAGGCTCATAGGTGGAAGGGACTTGCCTTGTCTCAGATGAAACTTTCAACTGTGGACTTTTGGGTTAATGCTGAAATGAGTTAAGACTTTGGGGGACTGATGGGAAGGCATTATTGGTTTTGAAATTCAAGGACATGGGATTTGGAGGGGCAGGGGGAAGAATGATATGGTTTGGCTCTGTGTCCCCATCCAAATCTCATTTTGATTTATACTCCCATAATTCCCACATGTTGTAGGAGGGACCTGGTGGGAGATAATTTGAATCATGGAGGAGGTTTTCCTCATACTGTTCCCATGGTAGTGAATAAGACTCAAGAGATCTGATGGTTTTATCAGGGGTTTTCTCTTTTGCATCTTCCTCATTTTCTCTTGCCGCCACCATGTAAGAAGTACTTTCACCTCTGGCCATGATTCTGAGGCCTCCCCAGCCATGTGGAACTTTAAGTCCAATTAAACCTCTTTTTCTTCCCAGTCTCGGGTATGTCTTTATCAGCAGCATGAAATGGACTCATACAGGTGGTCTTGGAGGTGGAGGAAAAGGGGATATGTTGATCAAAGGGCACATACTTTCAGTTATAAGGTGAACAAATTCTAGGGAGCTAAGATACAGCATGAGTGGTGATAGATACCATAATTAATTTGGGTGTGGCAATCATTAAACAATGTATGTGTATATGAAATCATCATGTTGTGCACCTTGAATACATATTAAAAATTTATGGCATTAGTAATTGCATTATCTATTGCTAAATAACCACTTTCAAAATTTAGAGGCTCCAAAAGCATATGTTTTTCTTGATGTTATGGATTGAAACTTTCTTTTGCTAACCTCCCCAAGGTAAACTCATGCAGTTGCATTCAGCTGGCAGTCTGGTTAAAGATGGGACCTGGTTGGGATAACTGGAGATCTTTCTCTATGTGGTCTTTCACATATAGTACAAATAGTGTGACCTTTTCTTCACAAAATGCCAACTGACAAGCCTAGATGTATAATCACTTATCACGTTTTTGCTTGCATCATGTGTATTGGTGTCCCTTTGACCAAAATATGTCACATGGGCAAGTCCAGAGTCAATTTGAAAAAGCATTATCTTGATGTCTTAATGTGTAGATGACAGAAGTGAGTCATTGCAGCCCATTAATGTAACACTTAATCCTGGTGTGTTCTGTGACTCCACTGATGCATGTCCCTCCTCTGTCTGTAAAATATGGTCATACTCTCTCTGCACCCCCAACATCTTACAAGTTCCTAGCATTCGTCTTCAAGTTCGTGGTCTTGTTATCTGTATAGTTCTCACTGATATATACATCACTGATATATATATATCACTGATTATATACATATATATGGCTATACATATAGATAAGGCAATAGATAGATAAGGCTAGATAGATAGATAGATAGATACATAGATAGATAGATACAGAGAAGTTTCTTGCCTGCAGTTCCTTTAGTGGCTTCTTATTGTTCCAGGGACCCACAAACTGAAAAACTGAGTTATATACCTTCATGCTCCAAGCATATAATGGTGAGACACATACAGGATAACAGTAATAGAAGCTCCCATTCAAAAATTCGAAACTTCGAAGTCAATCACCAGTCCATAACAATTCTGAAAATAGTTTGGTATATTTTCTCAGTACTCCCCAATCCATGGACAGAAAATGATCCTTGGTTAGTCTGCTTCTGTTCCTTGGACATGGAATTCTCAGCATCTTCGTTGTTGTTGACTTCACTCATGGCTCTACGCTGAGAGATACCATTTCTTTTCTTTAAGAAATGACCAGTGTTTGAGCAGAGTATCTACTTGACCTTCTCAGGCTGCTTCATTGTCATAGAAAATTGCATGCATAGAGATATTTTTTCATTTTGAACTACCTCTGGCTTTTTGTTCGTTATGTTACTACCTTAAAAACATTGAGAGTGTGTAATTTGTGTTTATATCATGCCCCAAATGTCAGATCTATGATTTTTTAAAAATAGATTATTCTGTCGAATTTGGTAGAGGGTTAGAGGGACAACACATGTACGATTCTTAGAAACCTTTTTGTGTAGCTGATGGGATCTGCTAGGTACCTCCATAAATCTTTCTAAAGTATTATGTTGGTGCAAAAGTTACTGTGGTTTTTGCCAATACTTTTAATGTCAAAAGCCACAATTACTTTTGCACCAACCTAATATTAGCAGAGGATCATACAACTACACTAGATTTAATTCTTATTGTGAGGCCATTTCTTACTTTGAGAATCTTTGGCTAGCTGGAGACACTAGAGAATATTAAGGTTTTTATTTTTTATTTTTCCAAACCAAAAGAGTTCTGTGCCTTCTATTTTTTTTATTAATACTACTTATAAACTGAAAATTTCTACCTTTCTTCATCTTTCTCTTCCTGTACCTTGTTACATACAGCAAAAAGAAGCACATTTATAATATCTATCCTAGACACATCCTTAGATTCATAAGTTCATTAAGTATATTTTATGTTTTCCAAGTAACCTAGGAGATAAATTTTCCAACTATTTTGCTATCAAAAAACACAGGTCACCATTTTTTTCAGCCTCCAATAATAATTTATTTGCTTCCTTTCGAGCCTCCACTAACATTTTGTTTGACATTCTTTCAACCTTCACCCACAGCCTCTTTGCCATTTTTCTAACCTTTTCCCATTACCCAGTACTAAAGCCAGTGCTACATGTTTTAAAATTTTTATTATATTGGAGCCTCACTTTTGATAAAAATTTTCTGGTTCAGTTATCTATTGCTACATAATAAGTATCATTAATATAATAATATGTTATTATAACCAAGTTTAGTCTGTCTTAAAATGGATTTAGATATATCTGAAACAAGAAATTGGCTTTATCTGCAACTGATGTAATTTTTATCACTTGGTTAGCAGTGTTAATAATACAAGCTAACCATTTTAAGCAATTACTGTGTGCCAGGTATTGTGCTAAGGATTTAAATTTATTTCCTCATTGTATCTTCACAGCAGCTCCTTCCATGAGATTTATAGTATTATTTCACTGGTGTAGTCACTGAGGCTTAGAAAAGGTTTATAACCTTCCTGAGGTCACATAGAAAGTTAGAAATTTGTGATTAAAACCTCATGATTCTGACTGAAGAGGTAGTACTCTTAGATACTACACAATGTTGCATACCTGGCATTAAGGCCTTCCAGGGCTTAACAATGGCAAAGATATCAGTAAGCAGGGTCAATACACTCTGTCTTCTTCTTATATTTTTTTTTTTTTTTTTTTTTTTGTAGAGCAGTGACAAGCTTAGTATCCAATAGTATGTTCCTGAATAAATTCCATTTTGTAAAACTCAGTACTATCCATTTGTTAGTGTAGCTATATTCTGACTCTCTATAACAAGTCTAAAAATTGAGTTTCCATATTTCATTCAAGAAGTTTTTCATATAGCACTGTGAAGTGTACAGCAGATTGGGGCCTTCCAATGTGTGAGATTTGAGACTAGAGATTCAAATTCACTACATTTCTGTTACAAGATATTTCATTTTTTTTCTTTAGAAACTGAAGTAATGGGCTAAATGAAAATAATCAGAATTTAAAATATTTAATGAAATTATGCATTACCACATTCAAACACAAATCCATTGTAAAATTAGACTAAAATATTCCTGTACCTTAAAGTTCATTAGAACTTGCTTTCATGAAAGAAGAATAATAATGTGACATACCAATTGTTTATTATGTGCAAGTTACACTTCATCAAAGAACTTAAACTTCTTAAAGGGCTTTAAACTTTAACAATTATATTTTCCTCTTTAGTTAGAAAGTTTTCTGAGTTGTGGTAAACCTTCAGCTGTACTTCTGAACTATTAGTAATTCAAAATTTAACTTCAGGAAAGAATGATGTTTATATTTCTTATCATAATGAAAATCTAATGATTCTTGAAATTGGCCTGGTTGCTGATGTTATCACCAGAAATGCAAAAGGTTGGTTTCTGCCTTCTGCTCAGAGGAATGCTGTAGAAGTCTGAGTCAATAGCCATCATGCGTTAATCCATCCATACAGAGCAGTCTAGTGCAAAAGGTTATCCAGACACAGATATGATATGGCAGCTACATGGTTTCTTCCCTGAAAGGATGTAAATGAGAAAATCCCAGCCATTAGCAAACAAAAGAACCCTTAGGAGTCCTGCTGGTATCAAAGAAGTCTTTATTCCCTGACTGTTCTCTTTTCACCAGCTCACAGTCAGATAAAGAACAAAGACAAAAAAAAAAAAAAAAAAGCAATCAAGAGCTTAGCATTACATGGTTAAGTGAAATGTACTTTTGAAAAAAAAAACAAAAAAAATTTTTCTTTGGGGGACCTATTTTTCATCACACAACAGAAATTAAATATTTGAAATTGAAACTAGATTTCAAAAACATCAAAAGGAAAAATAGTACTTTCAATTCTTTCTTACATTAAACAATTTGTATACCAAAGCTATAAAAAGAAGTCAAGTATATATTGATCTAAACATGCGCATAGATGGATAAGAAATTTAGATTTACCTTATTTATATATAAAATATATTTAAGTATTATGCCATTATGATTATTTGTTCACATCTTATCTCGTTTGAGCTAACACTTCCTGTTTTAAAGAAAGACGCTTTCTAATATATAATTTTTGGGTGATTATGCAGACTTGCTAAATATAAGTAGATTGGGTTCTCATTGTCTAGAAATTTATAAAAAAGCTAAATTAATCAAATAAAGTTAGGAGACAATTCACATAGTCATTCCTAAAATTGTTGTTTTTATTCTCCTCTTCTATTTATTTTTCTTTTAGATATCGTAATGACTACCTCGGGTTGTAAGTATAGGAGGAGGAGAGGAGTTATGTATATACAAAGTGTATTTGGTTTAAGTACTCCATGTCTAGGAGTGATCAAACTGTCCTTACTAGTAGGAAACTCCTCTGTAGATGGTACACAAACACGTGAGAGATGTGGCCACTACTTTCATTTAGCTCCAGCAAATGTTCCTTTTACTTGTACTTACCAGACCTTAGGAGGTACAGCTAATGGAGGGGATATCTGAGGCAGGAAAGATTCTTTTATAGTTTTCTTAAAATTAAAAAGAAAAGATAAATGGAAAAGGAGATGTATGAGGCCAATAAGGATGGCATTTGTTCTATAAAAGGAGTTTTCAGGATATAATTATTTTATCAGATTATTTAAAAGCTTATGTAGTAAAATGGGCTTAATTTAAATGTGACTCTTAGAGAATATATGCATTACTTAAAGTGATAAGATGGTAGAACAACAGGAGGTCAGGCCTTAGTTAAAATGTCTTTGCCACCTTGGATATCACACTTTATCTCTGTGGCCGTGATGTCCTCATCTATGTTGATGTTTATCCTGGAGAATTCTTTCTGATGATACTTAAGGGTTATCAAACAATGAGCAAAGTGCCTGCAACCAGGTGTTGCTTCTTTTCCCTCAGTCCTTTAAAATGAATAACACCCAATATATTTTAGCTGAGTATAATTGAAAGGGAAGCATGGAGTATTCACAGCTTGCTACTATGAAATAAAGAAAACAAGATATGACCCTAACTACAGGCAAATAGAGTGCTGCTACACATTTCTCTGCTGGCTGTCTCCCTTATTAAAAAAAAAAAAGTCAATAAAGTATCATTTCAAATATCCAATTGGCCTTGCTTCCTAATCAGTTTCTGCAGCCAGAGGCGGCAAATGTTGAACAAGGCAATAGGTGAGAATGCAAAGTTCCCAGAAATAGAAAGTGTAATTCTAATATGTAATTCACTAGAGGAAACACTTCAAGGCCTCCATTTATCATTTCTGAGTGGGGGCCTCTACTGGGGGAAGTTTATTTGCATTTTCAGGGGCAAAATGTTCTGCCTTGTTTCAGAAATAGGTACCTAGCGTGAGAAGAGAGAGGCAATTCAAGCAGTCCAGCTGCAAATGGATGTGGAAAGCTTTTGAGCTGATATAAGGCAACATGATTGTAATACATTATAGGCTTACAGACCATATGGAAAATCTCAGCTCTTAGTTACCCTGGCCCGTTAAATCTGAAATATTTGTTTCTATTCAGCAATCAGAACTTGTTTCTTTTGCCCATCTTCTTCCTCACTCTTTTTTTTTTTTTTTTTAAATGGAGTTCTCCCTCTGTCGCCAGGCTGGACACAGTGGCGCGATCTGGGCTCACTGCAACCTCTGCCTCCCAGGTTCAAGCAATTCTTTTGCCTCAGCCTCCCAAGTAGCTGGGACTACAGGCGCCTGCCACCACGCCCAGCTAATTTTTGTATTTTTAGTAGAGTCAGGATGTCACAATGTTGGCCAGGATGGTCTTGAACTCTTGACCTCTTGATCTGCCCTCCTTGGCCTCCCAAAGTGCTGGGATTATAGGCATGAGCCACTGCTCCCGGATTTTTGTTTGTTTATATTTTGTTTTGGAGACAGAATCTCATTCTGTCACCCAGGCTGGAGCGCAGTGGCGTGATCTCGGCTCACTGCAACCTCTGCTTCCCAGTTCAAGCGATTCTCTTGCCTCAGCCTCCTGAGTAGATTACAGATTATTTAGTAGAGACAGGGTTTCGCTATGTTGGCCAGGCTGGTCTCGAACTCCTGACCTCAAGTAATCCACCCATCTCAGACTCTCAAGTGCTGGGATTATAGGTGTGAGCCACTGCACCTGGCTGTTCTCTTATCCTCCAGAAATGTTCTCTTATCCTCCTTGGTAAGCATGGCGGCAAGTCCTCAGTATTTCTGTTTCTCTGACATTTCCAGGCTTTTTCCCCTTTTTTCTATCCACTTCATACATTTGCAAGGCAGAAGAGTGTCTCTTGGTCATTTATTTCCTACTTCAAAAATACATCCAGTGGCAATGTTGTTTCTATAAAGTAAAACTTCCGCCGGGCATGGTGGCTCACACCTGTAATCCCAGCACTTTGGGAGGCCAAGGCGGGTGGATCACAAGGTCAGGAGTTCGAGACCAGCCTGACCAACATGGTGAAATCCTGTATCTACTAGAAGTACAAAAATTGGCTGGGCATGCCTGTAATCCCAGGTACTCAGAAGGCTGAGGCAGGAGAATTGCTTGAACCCAGAGGTGGAGGTTGCAGTGAGCTAAGATCGCACCACTGCACTCTAGCCTGAGTGACAGAGCAAGACTCTGTCTCAAAAAAAAGATAAATAAATAAATAAATAAAGTACAACTTCCTCCATGTATCAGTCAGGGAAGCAGAACCAATGGGAAATATATACTAAGGGATTTATTGCAAGGAGTTGGCTTACGTGATTTAGGGACAAGCCAGGCAGGCAAGTCTGAAATCTCTAGGGTAGGCCATCCAGAAGGGTTGACTGGAACTGTGGATATAAGCAAAGCTGCTATGCACAGGGAAAAAATCTTTTCATCAGGCAATCCTCATCCCTGTTTTTGAGGCCTTTTTACTGATCTAATCAGACTCATCCTGATTATCCAGGCTACTCTCCCCATCAACTGACTATGGAGTTTAATCACATCAACAAGATACCTTCACAAAAACATTAAAAGTAGTGTTTATCCAATTACTAAAGACAGTAGGCTAGCCAAGTTGACACATCAAAAAATCATCACTCTTCAAATAAAAAATCTCTTTGAAAAAAATGAAAAGTCAATTATGAGATATTATATAATCCTTATGTTTTGTCACTAAAAGTAATATTTATAATTTTTTTTCTTTGAGACAGAGTCTCACTCTGTCCCCCATGCTGCAGTACAGTGGCACAATCTCCACTCACTGCAACCTCCACCTCCCAGGTTCAAACGATTCTCCTGCTTCAGCCTCCCAGGTAGCTGGGATTACAGGCGCCCACCACCACATCCAGCTAATTTTTGTATTTTTAGTAAAGACAGGGTTTCACCATGTTGGCCAGGCTGGTCTCAAACTCCTGACCTCAGGCGATCTGCCTACCTCAGCCTCCCAAAGTGCTGGGATTACAGGCATGAGCCACTGCACCTGGCCTATAAAATCTTTATATATATATATATGAAAGGGCACAAATGCTTCTTCTGCAATGCTTTTTATGAGAATAGTCAATCATATAAACCATGGGACAAGAGGGACGAGATGATTTATATTGTAGGGTGAGTTTGCCTTATTTGTGTTCTGTACATTTGAAATATTTCAGTGAGTAGCTATTCTTTTTATAATAAATTAATATTTAATTTACAATGTGAATAGAATATGCACTCAGTCCTATATTCTAATATGTATGTGCTCAACAACTGGCCTATTCCTTTCACCATCTGCCTTTGCCTACTTCCCGTTACTTTTGAATTTGGCCTTCTCAGCCTTGTTTGCCTTTGTATACTCCTCTTGATCCGCCCTCTCTACTCAGCCTTGCTAATCCATAGCCTGTAGGGGGATCAAACAAAAAACTGTGCATGTTCATACTCATCATGCAGATTTGATCATATTAATCATACTCTCTCATCATACTCAAAACACACAGTGAAGAATTTATTCACTTTAGTTCCCATATGGTGAAAGAAAAAAAGGAACTTTATTTTCCATAAGGAACCAACCTAATCTTATTGTCAAACTCCCTTAAATATGGATACAATGATCTTAATTTTACCTACAGGAAACTGAAGCACTGAGAAATTAGGTAACCTGTCCAGTTGAAAGAACAGACCCTCCCAGTTTAAGACAGCCTCTTTATAGTTAACATTATCTTATTGGGGTAAATATATAACTCTTAAAAATTTCAATATTTTATCTGAGTTGTTTCTCCCTTTACACAGGATTTTGCTTCCAGTTCTTCTGTCCAAGAGATTGTGTAAATTTACTGGGGAGATTGTTATCGCTGTTTTCTTTAGGAGCTGGCATTGATTTCTGCCCTTGTTGCTTCCACTGAAGACAAGCCAAAGACTATTGTAACTCGTATCCTGTTCTCTCAGCCTAGGCTGTCAATTGTTTTGGAAGATCTAGGATATCTCCCCATTGATACAGATAGTACTACTCACTTCACTTTTTTTTTTTTTTAACAGTGTTTCAGACTCTCTCAGGCTTGGCTGCAACTTCCATTTGACTACCAGTTTTCCATCCAATGCTCATTACAAGGCGATTTTCCCTCACAGTGGTAATCTCAGGGGTAAAGTTGCTCCACAGTAATATCCATTCTCTATTGCCTGCGAGCTGAGGGAGAATGACAATCACTTTCTCCGTCCCTGCCTTTGCCAAAACATATCACAGCACCACATCTGCTCTATGCAGCCAACTGACAGCAGCAGAAAAACAAACTGGAATCAAGGCACATGCCTTCTCCTGCTCTTTGCTTCTACCTCAAGTGCTTCAGTGGTTATACCTTTCCCTCCTGATTCAGCCCAAAGCTGGGTGATTGAAGATCTTTGTGTAATGATCTATCTCAATGGGAAAGCTGAAGGAAAAAAAGAAAAATGAGAATAAAGTAAAGTGGAGAGAAGGTTATCCATTCATTCATGCTATTATGCATGCACTCATCCTGTTGTTCATGCTATATTCTATATAATTCTGTCACAAATAAAATTATACCTCTTGAACATCTGTATTTTCCTTGGTAGGATGTGCCATAGGCCTACAGTCACTTAATACATCGTTTGCCCATTTCCAGGTATGTTATTAATAGTATTTTAGGTAGTAATTACAAATTGGTATTATATATCCGTGGTGGCTTAGGCTTAACCAGCAAAGCAATCCTTGTTTGAGTTGGTAATCTTGTCTGCTTTTCTTACCTTATTTCAGTTATATTGTGTGTTAGTTGAACACCAGAGGCCTAGTTTTGCTGAATTGCTGCATAATCACAGAGTTTGGGGGTCACTCAATTCATGCTTCTGGGTCCCAGTTCCATATCTAGAGGTTCAACCTGATAATTTGAAAAGGGATTTCTAGTTCTAAAAGCCTATGATACTTTTACTTTAACAAGTAACATTAGAACTTTAACGTGCAATGAGATCAGCACTCATCAATCCTGCCCAGGCTCTGCAGGTGATTCTCTGTAATCTTCAGTATCTCTGCAGTTAAATGATTTTATGTTTGTGTCTTTAGTTTTGAGTTAAAGAAACAGGAGAAGATGAAAAGTGGAAGGGAGGAGTTTACAAATACACGCTTGTTAGGCATTAATTTCTCATTGTCAAAGCTGATTATGCACTACAAGAGGTTTTACTAGAACATCCGTTTCAAACCTCTGTGTTATAATACTGATTTCCAAAAAAAAATGATTATTCTTGGAAATAATAATGTTATTTGAAAATAATAATTATTTCTAACGAATTATTCCAGTTTTGACAGGACCTAGAAATACTTGAGTAAGCTTCCCTGCTTGCCTATGGTGCATTTATATTCTCTCAATTTAATTAAAATTAAACTACATTTTTCAGAATTCATTCCCTGTATGGTTTCAGGTTTGCATTGGCCACAGACAACATTTTGCGTGAGATTTGAAAGGTAGGAGTAAAGGAATATGCCATATTTTTATGCTCTAAAGTTTGATGCAGGCTTCAAATGCTGGCATCTGGCACGTGCTGTCACTGATCTGTTAACTTACCTTGTAAATGTGGGGTGGTATCTTCCTTACCTTACACCAGTTCTCTTCCTTTGGCAGTTCTGAGGTCTCAACCACGTGAATGGTTAAGAGCGATAAAAATCTCCCCAGTAAATTTACACAATCTCTTGGACAGAAGAACTGGAAACAAAATCCTGTGTAAAGGGAGAAACGACTCAGATAAAATATTGAAATTTTTAAGAGTTATATATTTACCCCAATAAGATAATGTTAACTATAAAGAGTTAACATCTCAACCACATGGATGAATGCCTCATCCATGGCAAAGGATACTGACCTCTCCTGCAAGTTATGGCTTCTAGGCTGGCTATGCTAGAAATCATATGTATGTTTCAGTTTGTTCTCATGTATTTCACATTTTCTTCATTCTACACACACACACACACACACACACACACACACACACACACACACACAAATGCTTCTTCCTAGTTGCCAGTCTGGTGGCTGACTTTAGAGACATCAAGCTCAACAATAAGCATGCAGTTAAAATCTTGCATGGTTTTCTCTACCAGTTCCAATAATGGTGTAAAATCTAATCCCAATAATAAGTCCCTATCCCAGCTGTATTCTATCCAATGTGATAGCCACTCACGCATGTAGCTATTGAGTACATAAATGCAACTAGTCTGAATTAAGATATGAGTACAAATACACTCTAATTTTTAGAAATTTAGTGTGAAAACAAGAATGTAAATGATCTCATTGATAGTATTATATGTGATTACATGTTGAAATTATATTTTTGAAAATATTGGGCTAAACTGTGTTAAAACTATTTTTATCTCTTTCTTTTTACTAAGACATGATTACTAAAAAATTTAAATTATACTTGTGCCTCATATTTGGGACTTGCATTATATTCTTTCTAGATACGGCTCTTGTGGGCTACTCATAGTACTTCTGACTGTCTGATCAAAAATTGGTCATTACCTTTAATATCTCCTGTCTCCTATATGGATGAATAATGTTAGAGAAAGTCCCCAAAATCATACTGATGTCAAGTTTATTTGAATGTTGCCTTTCATATGGCTATGCTGTTAAGAATGGTGAAGTAAAATCACCTTCCATGGCCCCTAACCACAATCAGTCTCAACTCAGAACATTGTCTGTGGATAAGACTTTAGTTGACTAATCTCATTCTCAACAGTGGATTCATTATTTATTTATTCATTTAACAAATATTCTCCAAGTATCATCTAAGTATCAGCCACTTTTTTTACATCCTGGGCAGAGAAAAGAAGGCAGATACAGTTTTGAACATGATACAAAAGAGTTCTGTTTCATATGAAATCAGAATGTCAAAGAGATATCTTCATTCCCATGTTCATTGCAGCATTGTTCACAATAGCCAGGGAATGGAATCAACTAAGTGTCTATCAACAGATGAATGGTTAAAGACTGTGTGTGTGTGTGTGTGTGTGTGTGTGTGTGTGTGTGTGTGTGTAAACAATACAATTCTATTCTGCCTTAAAAAAGAAGGAAGTTCTGTCATATGAAAAAACATGGATCAACCAGGAAGACATTATGCTAAGTGAAAGAAGCCAGGCACAGAAAAACAAATATTGCATAATCTCATTTACATATGGAATGTAAAAAAAATCAAACTCATAGAAACAGAAAGTAAAATAGTAGTCATTAAAGGCTAGGGGATGGAAGGAATGGGAGGATATTAATCAAACAACACAAATATTCAGTTACACACAATAAATACATTCCAAAAAACGATTGCACATCTTGTTGACTACAGTTAATGACAATATATTGTATATTTGAGAATTGCTTAGAGAGTAAATTTTAAGTGTTCTCACCACAAAAATAGATACTTCTATGAGATAATGCACATGTTAAATAGCTTGAATTAACAATTCCAAAACATATACATATATCAAAATATCATGCTGTATACTATAAATATATTCAATTATTTCTTATGAATTTAAAAATAAAGTTAAATCAACTTTTTTTTTTTTAAAAAAAGGGTCCTGCCCTGATGAAATTTTAAGTTTAATGATGGAAGACTGTCGGTACACTGTCCTGAGCAAAATAAAAGTGAGTAATATAATATGATAGTGACTTGAAGAGGTCTTCTTTAGATGGTTTGGAAAATGACCGTTTATTCTTCAAATTACTAAGAGATGGAAACTTACACTGTAATAAGAGGCATGAATTTATTGGTAGAGAAAGTGTGCTTAGTACAACAAATAATTTGAAGCAACAAAAGGGAAATTATGGAGGTGAAGGTGACTGCTGTTAAGAATCAAGATGTGGCTACTGCAGTGGCAGAACTGGTGTGTTCAAGTTTAATGTTAAAAATGCGAGACTTACCACAGTCTTAGCTTTATTTTGAATCATACATGGAAATTAGAGGATCAATTACAGTCTTATCAGCAAGTGTGAAGGAACCATACCTTTTGGCACTTGAAAATGTGTTTACTAATATTTAATGTGTCCATAAGACGCTTTGAAGGATATAGTTTATACAATTAGAGCATTTGAGAGGGATGAGTCATATTGCATGAATCATGCTTGTAATCGCTTTTGAAATTCAAAATCACTAGCAGGCTTTGAAAATGTGTGTTCAACTTCTAAGGAAAATGGGAGAAGACAAACCTCCCATGGTAAACAAAATAATGCTACAGAAAACACTTCAGAGGAAAATAGTATTTCTTACAGACGCCAATGTTGAAATCATACAGTAATTACAAGAAAAGAAATTCACTGGATCTGACATTTTTTCCTTTGTGTTGGTCCATGAGTTGTCTATAAATGATGTCAGCTTTCCATTTGTGTTGAAAACATTCAGTGGTTTAGTGCCAGAGTGATTTTGACAAACTTTTTCATTGGTGCCAATTCTCATGATGGTGTGCTCTCAGCATTTGCCTTTGAATTTCAAATGATTGTAAAACTCCAGGGGTTCACACTCTGTGAATGAAAAGAGACAAGAAGATGTCAGTCAGTAAAACTGTTTAGCTGCATTTCATCGTTTTTTTTTTCTTTTCTTTTTTTTCTTGTTGGCTCCAATATGGCTTGAGACCTAGCATACTGTATGATACAGTAAAGTGTTAGACAGAAAGTGCTAACCCAGTCAGAAACAGTGAATCCTACAAGGAAAAAGTAATAAGCTACTAGAAAGGCATTGCCGGCGCCTCGTCATGCCTTCAGGCCTAGAAAACAATTATAAAAATGGTACATTTGGAAATCACTGTGTCCCAGGCAGAAGCAATAAATTCGCTGAGTTGATGTACATGATTGGACTACTGGTAAAAGGATGAGCTATATGGCAAACACACCTCAACAAGAAAGACAAGAGTATAGTCTGGTATCCAGATGTTATTCAATTATACAGCTGTCAGGAATTGCATTGACAACATTTAGTGAATTTAATCCTGTCAGCCCCTACGTTATTTGTTCTGTGGTGACAATGCCAGCAACCTTATTCAAAAAGCTTGATCAATATCATATCAGTGGTGAAATCAGACTATCTACAGTTATGCTGGCTTTTGAATAAAACTAAATTATTTTAAACATGTTGAAGAATCTGAACCATACATTCTGTGATATCTCCATGATTCTGCTTTTAGGAATTTGGCTTGAATTTATTTAAAAAAATACATATTACAATTATCAGAGAAATAAAGGTTAGAGGTTTTACATATCAGCTTTCACTTAAGATGTAAACCTAAATGTGTGTACCACCAGTTCAAGTAATTTTCCTTTAGTTATTGGGACTTAAAGGTAAAGATTGCCATTTGGGATGAGAATAATATATGCTAATACCACACAACATTTGAAGTTTTTACTTATTCTCTTTTTTCATTGTCTCTTTCATTGATGCCTCTGGCCAAACATAAGCGATTGGTTAAACAACAGGATGCTACAGTTGTTCACTTTGGTGTGGTTTACATTTTCCTTCTGTATTTCAGTTTGGTGAAGTGGAGATTAATACCTTAGATAATAAATCTGGAACACAGTAAAAGTGTGCATTTTCAGTGAATGACTCAATTCATTGAAGGAACAATGAAGCTATATGAAAGCTATCTTGGATATAGGACAAAATCACTTAACCTTTGCCATGTCTTTTGTTGGATGGTGTAGATTATGGAGTTGTACTCAGCAGCTGATTCCAGGAGAGTAATTAGGAAAAGAGCCAATTTTCTATTCACAGAACTCTCTCTCTAAAGCCGAATGGAAGACATGTAGCCTTTTCTTTTCCACCGAACCATTGCAAGAAGACTATAAATACCTTCCTTTATTCTTTCCCTTTAGAGAGACTTGAATGGTGAGATTTACTTGCAAAATTATTCGATAATATGTCAGCCAAATGTACAAGTTAGTAACAAACCTATGTTGCCATTTTTATAGACAGCAAAAGCACTATGGCAGATTAACACTTTCTCAGACCTTGTAATTAATTTTTCCTTGGTCCTCCAGTGAATGGAAATGGCTATTTCTGTGTATAGACTTTCATTGCTTTCCAAATATATTCTTTCACATGGGAATGAAATTTGGTCATATAGCCAATATATCTCAGCAAATTTTACATGCATGACTCTATCTTCATATTGATCTTTTTAAATTGCTAGAATATTTTGCACTGTGTCTAAAGTTACTCAGCATTTCCTTCAATATAATATAAAAGGAAGCCTTGATGATTGCTTCCTCTTTTTACTCACAATCCTCTGTGCTTCTTAGTCTTTCTTCTCTTAGATAACAGAATTGCAAATGTGCCCACACTTCATCTTGTGTGTGCATATATATATATGCGTGTGTGTGTGTGTGTATATATATATATTCCTCTTTATTTATTACAGGAAAATTTCAAATTCTCTTGAGTTTCTATTATTGTCAGCTTGCCCAAGTTAAAATTTAATCTTTTTTTTTAACTCAAACTGTTCATACAATAAAGAACAAAAACAAAAAACAAAGCCAACATTCCCATCCTATTAGGTATTCCTCTTTCTATAAAGCTCATCTTTTGTCCTCCTTGAACCTGGATGCCAAAGGATGTTTGTGTCAATGTGATTGGCTAGAGACACATTTGGTACAACTGCTGTCCTCTGGACTTAACGAGTCTCCACAGGATTAAGGTCTGCTCTGACCTCTACTCTTGGTGTTCAACTTTGATTTCCACTGAAGCTTAGCTGGTCTTGCCTGTTTCTTGTGAGCAGCTTGTTCCCACCTGCCATAGACAAGCACCAAAATGTCCAGTCGCAATCCCTCTATTGTGATTCCAGACCCTTCTAGTCTCCCGGTTTTCTTCAAATATTCCATGATCCCCAGAAGTCTAGAATCTCTCCGCTTGTTTTTGTGCATCATGATGATGTCTGCAGGTTCTGGGGGCTACTCTCCAGCTCAACAACTTATACATCTTCCTTAGCTCTTACCCCTCTATACCTCAGAATGCTGCATTGAATACAGGACTTTGCAATTGGCATTGGCCCTAATGTTATGATTTTCTTCTTGTTCCTCTAATCCTCATCTACCAAAATAAAATTTTCTGGAAGCTTTACTTTTGGAATGATAATATTCCTAGGTCATATTTCTCAACCAATTTCCACCATAGCACAGGGAACATCTCTTTAGTATGTGATTTAGTAAAAATGAGCTTGAGAATTTAGAAAACATCTTATTTCTTAAAGGCTTAGGTTCGAAATTATTGTAATTCCTTAGATTCCCAAAGTGTTAGGGTCCAGATTAAAGAATGGATCCTAGCCCATTCTAAGGTCCATTTTATTCTAAGCCATATTTTTACCCCTTAAGAAACGAATGTCCTTTGTTTAAAACATAAAAATTCTCAGAAGAGCATGGTTGAAAAGGAAAATATTGAATCATATGTGAGAAAATATTTTAAATATATATCATTTTGGGGTTTCGATTTATGTATTCATTTAAGAGTTTGTATTCTGGATTCCAGATTACCCAGATTTGAGTTTAAATCCTGACTCTTCTATTTGCTATGTGATTATGAACCTTAACTATCCTCTTTGTGCCTCAGTTTCTCTGTATGTAAAATAAGGACAATAATAGTATCTATGCACTAACACAAGAGGATGTTAATAAATAAGCTAATATTTGTGAAGTGTTTAGAATACTTCTGTATTAGTCTGTTCTCACACTGCTAATAAACACATACCTGAGAGTGAGTAATTTATAAAGGAAAGAGGTTTGACTCACAGTTCCACATGGCTGGAGAGGCCTCGCAATCACTGCGGAAGGTGAATGAGCAGCAAAGTCATGTCTTACATGGTATCAGGCAAGAGGGCATGTGCAGGGGAACTCCCTTTATAAAACCATCAGCTCTTATGAGACAGATTCATTATCATGACAAAAGCACAAGAAAAATCTGCTCCCATGATTCAATTACCTCCCACTGGGTCCCTTCCATGACATGTGGGGATTATTACAATTCAAGGTGAGATTTGAGTGGGGAAATGGAGCCAAACCGTATCATTGCACCCCTGGCCCCTCCTAAATTTCATGTCCTCACATATTAAAACACAATCAGCCAGGCACGGTGGCTCACGCCTGTAATCCCAGCACTTTGGGAGGCCAAGGCAGGTGGATTACAAGGTCAAGAGTTCAAGACCAGCCTGACCAAGATGGTGAAACCCTGTCTCTACTAAAATTACAAAAGTTAGCTGGGTGTGGTGGCAGGCATGTATAATCCCAGCTACTCAGGAGGCTGAGGCAGGCGAATCCCTTGAACCAGGGCAGCAGAGGTTGCAGTGAGCTGAGATCATGCCACTGTACTCCAGCCTGAGTGACAGAGTGAGACTCTGTCTCAAAGAAACAAAACAAAACAAAAACAATCATGCCTTCCAACAGTCCCCCAAAGTCTTAACTAACTCCAGCATTAACCCAAAAGTCCAAGTCCAAAATCTCATTGCAGACGAGGCAAGTCCCTTCCATCTAGGAGCCTGTAAAATCAAATACAAGTTAATTACTTTTTAGATACAACTGGGGTACAGGCATTGGTAAATATACCCATTCCAAATGAGATAAGTTGGCCAAAACAAAGGGTTACAGGCCCCATGCAAGTCAGAAATCCAGCGGGGCAGTCAAATCTTAAAACTTGGAAATAATCTTTGACTCCATGTTTCACATCTAGGTCATGCTGATGCAAGATGTGGATTTTCACGACCTTGGGCAGCTTCGCTCCTGTGCAGTTGCAGGATTCGGCCACCCTCCTGGCTGCTTTCATGTGCTGGCAGTGAGTGTCTGTGGCTTTTCCAGGTGCATGACAAAAGTTGTCAGTGGATCTACCATTCTAGGGTCTGGAGGACGGTGGCCCCATTCTCACAGATCCAATAGACAGTGCCCCATTGGGGACTCTGTGTGGGGGCTCCGACCCTACATTTCTCCTCTGCACTGCTCTAGCAGAGGTTCTCCATGAGGGCACCACCACTGTAGCACACTTCTGCCTGAACATCCAGGTGTTTTCATACATGCTCTGAAATCTAGGCAAAGGTTCACAAACCTCAATTCTTGACTTCTGTGTACCCACAAGCTCAGCACCATGTGGAAGCTGCTGAGGCTTGGAGCTTGCACCCTCTCAAGCCATGTCCCAAGATACACTTTGGTCTCTTTTAGCCATGACTAGAGCAGTTGGGATGCAGGGGACCAAGTACGTAGGCTGCACACAGCAGGGGTCCCTGGACCCAGCCCAGGAAACCATTTTTCCCTCCTAGGCGTCTGAGCTTATGATGGGGGTTGGGGACTGTCACCTTGGCAATTAACATTTGGCTCCTTGTTGCTTATGCAAATGTCTGCTGAAGGCTTGAATTTCTCCCCAGAAAATGGGGTTTTCTTTTCTACTGCATTTCAGGCTGCAAATTTTTCAAACTTTTATGCTCTACTTCCTCTTGAACACTTTGCTACTTAGAAATTTCTTCCAATGGATACCCTAAATTATTTCTCTCAAGTTCAAAGTTCCACAGATCTTTAGGACAGTGGCAAAACGCTACCAGTTTCTTTGCATAGGAAGAGTGACCTTTGTTCCAGCTCCCAACAAGTTTTTCATGTCCCTATGAGACCACCTCAGCCTGGATTTTATTGTTCATAACACTATTAGCTTTTTGGTCAAAACCATTCAACAAGTCTCTAAGAAGTTCCAAACTTTTCCACATGTTTCTGTCTTCTGAGCCCTCCAATCTGTTGCAACCTCTGCCTGTTGCCCAGTTCCAAAGTTGCTTCCACATTTTCAGGTGTCTTTACAGCAGTGTCCCACTACCCAGTACCAATTTACTGTAGTAGTCTGTTCTCACACTACTAATAAAGACATACCTGAGACTGGGTAATTTATAAAGGGAAGAGGTTTAATTAACTCATAATTCTACATGGCAAGAAAGGCCTCACAATCATGGTAGAAGGCAAATGAGGATCAAAGTCACATCTTACATGGCGGCAGGCAAAGGTGATATACAGGGAAACTTCCCTTTACAAAACCATCAGATCTCTTGAGACTTACTCACTATCACAAGAAAGGCATGAGAAAAAACCCATCTGCATGATTCAGTTACCTCCCACCAGGTCCCTCCTACAACACGTGGGGATTATTACAATTCAAGGTGAGATTTCGGTGGGGGTGCAGAGCCAATACATATCAACTTCCTAGTATATTATAAGCTCTACATAAGTAGTTAATATTTATTATAATAATAATGAAAATAAGCAAATAAAAGTAAAATAGAATCTATAATTATAAAAAAAGCTTAAATTATAAGAAACACAAACGTGGACAAAATTCTATCAACAGGAAGAAAATAACAAATAAGAACATAAAAAGCTGAAGTTACAGAATAAGGGAGTTTCAGAGAAGAGAAATTCCATATATTCTTATCGCAAAGTAAAAACTACACATAAAAAAATTAAAAATAAACAGAAATTATACTGAGTACCCACTATATGGCTATATGTCAAGTCTATTCTACATAACTGAAGTTACCACTGTTGACAAGACAAATAAGTTCCTTGCTCTGTGTAGCATAAATGATTGGTGTGGTCCAGAAAACTAGCAAACAAGTAAAAATGAATAGAATAAATTAAAATATTATTAAGTACTCCAAAACGTAAGCTCAATAAATAGAACAGGACAATGTGATGAAGAGTATTGATGGGAGAGGTAGAGCTTAGATTCTGTGTTCTAAGAAGCATCTCTTAAAAAGAGACTTTTTAAGCAGAGACCTAAATGATGAGAAAAAGACAATCTTGGGAGGAGGTGAGAGCAAGGACACCAAGGAAGCAACAAGGGCAAGGAGAGAACAAGGTGTTTTCAGAAATCAAAAACGGCACTGTGGAGTAAAGTCTTGGGAGTTTAAGCAGAAGAGTGGCACATTCTGCTTACATTTTTGAAAGAATGCTCTGGCTTCTATGAAAAGAATAGATTGTTTGAGGCTAATAAGGACATAGGGATAGCAATTAGAAGGAAATAGTTGTATTTCCAGTTAACAATGGTGTCAGATTAGGTAGTCAGCAATGGTGGTTATGGGGAAACAGACCCATATACTATTTATTTGAAAATGTATTGTAGTATTTGCTGGGGATCTGCATACAGGAAAAAATGACTTCCTCTAGCCAAGAATTGGGCATCTACCACATGACTCTCATTAACACATGATTTTTCCAGCTTCTCTTTTAGAAATCTGGGTAGGACACCAAATTTCACTCCTTCTGAAATTACTTTGCAGTCCCCAATTTTAGAGCATCTGGTACTGGCTAGCAAATGAACTCTAAAAGGCTATTTTAAAAGGAAGCTAACATATATGTTTGAAAAGAGGCCAAGTATACATTTGAAAACAGGGGACTCACAATATTATTTGAGAATAATACAGAGTGTGACATTGAAGATTTGCAAAGTCATCATGATGTTGATTCTAAGAGAGTAAAATGTTAAGCGTGTATTTTATAAATTGTGTGGAAGAAAATCAATCAAGCCCTATTAACATAAGCTTTTATTGAAAATGCCAGGCATGAGAAGGCTCCAAATGAACATTCATACTTGGAGCAGGAGGGCAGAGTGTTTTAAGGAGGTTTAACAGGAGGGGTGAGCTGAAGTTGATGTTTGTCATAGATATTTCTCGAAAAGAAAGGGATTGTGCAGATCCGTTATTGTTTAGGCAATAAGACTTTTGTCAACAGTGTTGAACTAAAGCAGTTAGGAGTTGAGATTATATACAAGGGCATGGGAGAAAGGCTCAGGAAGCACTGTGGAAAATTCTTTGTCCTTCAGTGTCTCTCGCAATTGAGTTTTAATTTTTGGAATACCTTACATGGCCTGTATTGGATATCGAGGGGCTGATTTTGTAGTGAATGTAGATATAGAAAAGTGGCTATAAGGATAAAGGAAAGACAGAACTCTAGGGTGGTGCCTTGATTTTGCGCTGTTTATTGATTCTGTTCTTGCCTTCTATCCATAAAGAAGTATTAATGAGAAATTCTCATGCAGAGAAAAGGAATGTTTAATCCACTAAACTCCTAGCACATGCACATACTTGCCTTAGGAATGTTGTATTGCATTCTGATATGGTTGGCTTGTTGAGGTAGCAGGTAGATCACTTTCCTGGGAATTGGGACCCAGGATCTCCATGTAATATATTCATCATTTCAGATCCCCTGTCAGTTATTCAAGAAAAAAGTGTAATCCTAAAACAATAATCAGAATTCACAAGGTAAGCCTGGGGCACACTGGAGAGTAAGTGTCTTCTCTCTTTGGGCCTTACTTTTTTGAGTGTAGATTTTAAGGAGGGCTGGTACAGGTTTCTCTGCAGCAGCTGCTGAGATGACAGCTACTACAGCCCTAAAAGTCAGCACTTCAATGGGTTGAGCCTAAAGCTTCAGAAAACAAGGCAGGATAACTTTAGTTAGTTAGCTTAAATATACTGAACACATTTTTGTATCCTTTGGGCTTAGGAAGAATATTTTATTTGTGTGTCAGGTTCTGTTGTTGCTGGTGTTTAAATGTCTCAAATCGTTCTCCCCTGAGGTATAAGGTAGCTTCTTTTGAAATAAAATACTAAGGAGTCACAGTGCCTTTCCAAGGGCAAGGAGATTCCCAGTGTACAAGAATCAAGGTGTTGCTATGTGAAAGGTCCCTCCACAGCCACCATGGAGGCTCAGGGATTGATTTCAGGAAAAGAAGAAAAAAAGGAATCTTCCTGATGAGAGAGCAGAATCTAAATAATAGTTATGAAGAAAAACAAGATGTAGGAATGACAAAAATAATTTTAGTCATTCTACTACTCTTGAGTTCTATAAGTTTCCAGAACAAACCAAAACATGAATCTCTCTTTTGCTTCCTGTTCCACAAACAACAAACTGAAAGGACAATAAAGAGATACCTTCCACTTCATCTTACTTAGGGCATCCTCTTCTACCAATGGGCAATACTGTGCCTTTGCAGTATGCAGTCCCTGAGCACACTTAATGTTAAAAGTTAGAAGTTGCTTAGCAACCCCTTTACTACTTACGTGTTGTAGATACAACTGACAAGACCAAGGGCATAAGCAATGCTCTACCTTTCTACTAACAGGTTTGCATACACTCTCCCAAGCTCTCATTTATTGTAACCCTTTGAATTTGAAATATCAGCATCTTTGTAATGGAGAAGACCACACAATTACTAACCCTTTTTTTTTTTCTAGAAATCCCTTAAGGCTGAGAAGGAGATAGACTGTATGTTCAGTCCAAAAGAAGAAATTGCTCACTAATGAGGGCAAAACATTCTCCTGTGTCCAGCTGTCCCCACAGGCTCATTCACAGTTTTGATTCAGGGTCATGCTTTCCATCTACGGACATACTTTCCCACTCTTTCTCCGTATCAGCCATTATCTGGGGCTTTTGTCAATTCATCAAGTCCAGTGAAGCTAAGAAACCAAAAATTCACTTAGGTGATATTTTTCAGTCTACCTTCAGTAATGTCTAAAGAAGAACAGTCTATTGTACAGCTTTCTAGCTGAAAGAAGCTATTATCATTGTCTGTTTCATTCTTTCCATAGTATATAGGGCTGTCACTCTGCCCTTGTGCACTTTTAAACTGTAGCAACTTAGTTTTAAGGTAGAATGAAAACCACCTAAAAATGGTGTGTTGAAGCAGTTTTATAAAAGTTTGGAATCTACATTATATAATTGTTCAAAATGACTTTTAGTTGAGATCCTGAGACAAGTGGAAAATAGGTACAGACAGAGAAATTCTAAACTGTGTGCCGTGAAAGACAAAATTGAATTCACTATTATCTGGGTGAAGAAAATTCAGTATGCCAGATACATGTAGATTGTTTCTACTGTATTAACAGCTTAAGTGAATCAACTTTTAAAATCTGAAAGGTAGAAAAGCTGGAGAAATTTCGCATGCCCTTCTATTCCTGTCATGATTCAAAATGGAGTATCTCTGTTTTGGCCCGCCTAGGCTCAATATATGTTGATTTTTAAAAATTGAGAGAAACTGTTTATCTGCCTCACATGATCATTTGCAAACTCCTCACCAACGCTTTTTTTTTTTGTTTTGTTTCCTTTTGTGTTTTCCTTCCTGGATTTAAGCATTTTTTGCAGCTCTACGATTGGCCCCTAGAGAGTCTTAAGTCACAGCCATCATTACTGTGTACCAGTTGCTCAAGTACATCTTGAGATTCTATCAAGATATTTTCTGAAACTGTTCACTTGAGAATTGTATCAGTCTAACTAGAGAGCTGAGGGATTTGGATCATACCCACAGCTGCCATACAGTAGCTTCCCAGGGTACCTACAGCTGGGGTTAATGTTAATGTGTGGCCCTTCTACTATCTATATTATAATCAATTTCAGTGCTGCTTAAACAAACAGATCCATGATGCACACACACTACCCCTCCCCAACACACACACAACAACAGTAACAACAATAATATCAACAACCATCTATGAAGTCAAAAACTTCAGGATGAGACCCAGGAGTCTGCACTCAGCTCTCTAAGTTAGACTGATAGGAAATAGAAAGAAACACATGTTAGGGCGAGTAGTTACAGTTCTTATACTGTTGAGTAATATTCTTTATGATAGTGGTTTAATTACGTTGATTTATTGATTTTGCTGCAGTTCAGTTTGAAAGTGTTTGGGATGAGTCATAACCACAAAGGGGCTATAAGTCAGGACTGACTGAAAGAAATCTCAATGTACGCCTGATGTTAAGGAAAAAAAAAAAAAACAGAAAATATAGAGGAAAAACTGAAGGAAGGGTAACTAGGGATTGTGACAGTGACTGTTTTTGTCACATTGTGTTTTTTGTTTTTTTGGGTTTTTTTTCTCTCCAACGGGATACACGTAAATTTTATAGCAGTGGATGTCAGACTTCAATGTGTACAAAAATTGCCTGGGGTTTCTTGTTAAATGTGCAGATTCCTGGGTCTCATCCTGAAGTTTTTGACTTCATAGTTGGTTGTTGACATTATTGTTGTTACTGTTGTTCTGTGTGTGTTGGGGAGGGGTGGTGTGTGTGCATCATGGATCTGTTTGTTTAAGCAGCACTCAAATTGATTATAATATAGATAGTAGAAGGGCCACACATCATTATTAACCCCAGCTGTAGGTGCCCTGGGAAGATACTGCATGGCAGCTGTGAGTATGATCCAAATCCCTCAGCTCTCTAGTTAGACTGGTGATGTAACCCTCTAAACTTATGTAGGAAATAGGAAGGATTAAACTGAATAAGCTGAATGGGATAGCAGGCAGTGTATTGTATATAACAGATACTCCATAGATCAGCAGTCCCCAACCATTTCTGGCACCAGGGACTGGTTTCATGGATGACATTTTTCCACAGACATGGGGAGCAGGGTGGGATGGTTTTAGGATGATTCGAGCATATTACATGTATTGTGCAATTTATTTCTATTATTATTATATTGTAATATATAATGAAATAATTATACAACTCACCATAATGTATAATCAGTGGAAGCCCTGAACTTGTTTTTCTGTAACTAGACAGTCCCATCTTGGGGTGATGGGAGACAGTAACATCATCAGGCGTTAGATTCTTATAAGGAGTGTGCAACCTAGATCCCTCACATGCGCAGTTCACAATAGGGTTCATGCTTCTTTGAGAATCTCATGATGCCACTGACCTGATTGGAGGTGGAACTCAGGCAGCAATGCAAGCTATAGGGAGCAGCTGTAGATACAGATGAAGCTTCACTTGCTGGCCGGTGCTCACCTCCTGCTGTGCAGCCCAATTCCTAACAGGCCATGGACTGGTACTGCTCTGTGACCTGGGAGTTGGGGACCCCTGCCATAGAATGTTAGTTCAATTTTCTCTAGCTCTGTCACCAACCACATATTCTTAAATGTGACTTCATGGGTTCTTCTTTGTAAACAGTGATGGTATAAATTAGTAGACTGAATCAGCAAGTGGGAGCAGTATGGTATCAAGGAAAACTGGTTTGAGCTTTGGTGGATCTCATGAGACAGTAACTCAATTTTGTCACACCATTTTAGGGTTTCAGATTCATATTTCATCAGTGTTCATGCGTGATGAGGCCTGAGCTGGAGGACTGAGTCATGCTGAATAAAACATCTCAACAAACTAAGGCAAATAAGAGATTTTTAAATCATCAAACTTACAGTGAGAAATAAAGCATTTATACTGGTAGGTACACCAACATATTTACAATCAATGAGCTCTACTGCTGTATTTGAACTGCATGAGAATCAAGAAAAAAATCAGGACTGAAAGTAAAAATTCACTTCTAGAAATCAGTGTCAAAGAGATATAAATATTTGAAGCCCATTTGATTGAGCTTCATAAATTGATAGTTGCTGGGGGAACATGAAATCAGAACAGGGGAAATTAGGTTAATTAAAATTTTACTGACTTTGAAATAAGACATTCTGAGAAAGCTATCTAAAAAAATCTAGCTCTGCATAAATACTCAAAATCACTTGACAACACCCTGTCCTTTAGCTCTGGCTCCTTCTCCCTTGATGAGGACCAGCATTTCTTTCTCAGCATAGGTATTTGCCAGGCTTGATATGTGCTGTTTATCATTTCCTGTATGTATAGAAACATTGACAAGTTCCAGCCAAGCATCTGCAGGAGTGAGCCTCTAAGAAATAGATTGCAATAGGTATGACTCTCAGGCCAATAACTCTGTTATGTCAATTATGTAATTTTGTTTTCTATAACTACACTTAATTTCATTTTAACATTTTTTTCTCAGCAGATTGTGAGGAAACTTTTCATCAATCATTACTAACAGTGTGCATTTGCTCCTAAAGATTATTACCAGAGGTATTTTCCTCCCAACATCCTACTGTGGTCATAAATGCTTATGACATTTTTCATATTTCTAGGCAAGAGAATATTTGTATTAAGTTCGCACTTAAGAATTAGTGCAGCTTTATAGTCATTTTTTTATTTTTCCTGTGAATTTTTACTAATATTAAGCAAAATTTTACTTGATCTTATACAATTATTAAGAGTTGTCTTTTCTCCATAATTTTCAAAGAAGTAACCTCGCTTAATTTTATTTTACCTCTGAAATAAGTCTTTGTTCAGGTAACCTGAAAAGAACACTTTATAGGACTCTAAGCAAAATTATGCAGATTGACACAATTTTCATTAGTAGGACACAGAATCTCTCATGATTAACATTATTTAATAATTTCTCAACAGAGGTTTTGTTTAAATTCATGAGCTTTTGATATCATATTTCTCTAAATCAACAAAATTGATCTAAGTTACATTATCTAAGAGTTCAATAATTTTCTCTGTTCTATGGCCCCTCTAAAATATATTACATCTATTGCTTGTTTATGATAACATGTTTAATTTTCAGAATTTCTAATTGGTGCTTTTGCATGTCAACTCATTCCTGATTTATATATACCTATGTTTTGTTCCATAGTTTCCTGTTGGTGATTTACGATCTTCTTATTTTATTTCTCTGAGTATTTTAGGTAGATTCACTTTATAATCATTTTTAAAAAATACTACATTATCTGCATACCTTCGTAAGTTAATTATTTCTCCCTGAGTTTTTTAAATAGTATTCTTAAGTTACTAGTTTTTTTCTCTGTGCTTTAGACCTTGATATGCCAATTCATCTTGAATAGGTGTTTGTGTATGCATGGGCATATATTTACTTTGTATTTCCCATGTTCACCCATGTGTGTCTAGTTGTTTCCAGCCTGCAAATTGGGATCTTATATTTATATTGGAGTTACAGAGTTCACATCTTGTAGAGATGCCAGAGTTATAGTTCCTGAATCTATATGGCTTACCTTGGTCCCAGTTGTGTGGACATCTCTATTCCCTCCAGCTTTCCTAGGTAGCAACACTAGGCAATGACTGTGACTTTTTTGGATCTACTTTTGTGGGTGTTTCAGCTGTGACTAACAGGGGAATTTATTAATTTTTACTTTGATAGAGCCAGTCCCCCGTTTGCCTCCCCCAGAATTTGATCTAGAAACTTCATGGAATTATCATTCAGGCTTCATTTATTGCTGTGGGTTTCAGTTCAACATTTGTTCACTGAGATAGCTATATGGTGTAAAAGTACTGCAACTATCATGCTAGGTATTTAGAACCAAGGTGGAGAGGAATTCCACATATAGTTACAGCAATATCTTGACCAGAATTCACAAGCATAAACATTGTGCATCCATATTTCTCTTGAACATGAATTCAAAGGCAGAAAAGTAGTTCAATAATTGCTCTTGAATATGCTACTTTTAAAATATGTGTAAACTTAATTCATAGGAAATATGAAAATAAGGAATTATCTAGGTAGCTCTTTCCATTCGTAATTATTCCTTACCTTTCTTTCTGTCTCTTATATGCATTTTCTAAACTTTAGTTCTACAGAGCACACTTCAAAATTTAAAAGTTCAGTTTCCTGAGTCAAATTTCTCCTACCAATCTCAAGTCTTATAATAAGACAGACTTGTCAGTTATCAGATTCAACTCTGAGGTCTACCCTTGGAACTTTCCTCTTGATTTAGATAAAAATGTCAGGAAGGGGTTTGAGCAAAGATTTCATTTTCCTAGTTAGGTCAGATAATAATTTAGCTTAGATAGAATGCCATAAAATAGAGTTCCCTAGCTTTTTTTAAATAAAACTTTGTGTGCATTATTGTTGATAGTAGGGTGAATCAATTTCACACATTCATCAAAACAGCAGATAATACACTTTTATGTAATTATTTGCTGGATTTCCTTTACTATAAATACCACGTTCATAAAATCATGAGATAAATCTTCAGTGTATCAATCACAAATTACTCATCTTATTCTGTTAATTTTGATATTTCTTGAAAAGCTAATATTTCATAATATTTCTTATAGTTAGACTATGTCAAGAATGATGCAGGATTTGAAATTTTATCCTATTTACAAGCAAATAGGTTAGCCTGCCACAATCTCAATAATGGTAGCAGAAGTCATGAGGCTCCTGGATCAGAGACATGGGATTTTATTGCTCATGGCATCAACAGTAGCCAAAGCTTCACGCTGATTTACATCAGTTCTCTATGCTCTCCAATCCTACTAAGGAAATGCAAAGGGCCCATTTTGGATGCTTGCACATGAAATTGGTTATATGTTGCAGGATAGAAACACAGCTTGGGGGATTCACCATCATTGTATTTATTATTTTATTTTATTTTTTTCTCAATTGTTTATTTTTATAATTTTTAAAATAATTTCAACTTCTGCTTTAGATTCAAGGGGATACATGTGCAGGTTTGTTACGTGTGTATATTGTATGATACTGACGTTTGGGATACAACTAATCCTGTCACTCAAGCAGTGAACATAGTACTCAATAGGTAGTTTTTCAGTTATTTCCCACTGCCTCATTCCACCTCTAATTGTCTGCAGTGTCTATTGTTGCCGTGGACATTGGTATGTCCACGAGTACCCAATGTTTAGCTGCCACTTATAAGTGATAACATGTGGTGTTTGGTTTCCTGTTCCTGCATTAATCTGCTTAGGATAATGGCCTTTAGCTGCATCTATGTTGCTGAAAAAAAATATGTTTTCATTTTATGTTATGTCTGCATAGTATTCCATGGTGTATATGTACCAAATTTTTCTTTATCAAATCCATGAATGGTGGACACCTAGGTTGATTTCATATCTTTCCTATTGTGAATGGTGCTTCAATAAACTTACAAGGGCGTGTGTCTTTTTGGTAGAACAATTTATTTCCCTTTAGATACATACCCATTGTTGGGACTGCTGGGTGGAATAGTAGTTCTATTTTTACTTCTTTGAGAAATCTCCAAACTGCTTTCCACAGTGGCTAAACAAATTTACATTCCATGAAGAGCGTATAAGCATTCCTTCTTCTCTGTAGACTCATCAACATTTGTTGCTTTTGTATTTTTAATAATAGCCATTCTGACTTATGTGAGATAATATGTCACTGTGGTTTTGATTCACATTTCTCCGATTATTAGTAATGTTGGAATTTATTCATATGTTTGTAAGCCAAATGTATGTTTTCTTTTGAGAAGTGTCTGTTCATTTTCATTGCCAATTTTTTAATGGGGTTGGTTTTTGCTTGATGAGATATTTAAGTTCCTTATGGATTCTAGATATTAGATCTTTGTCAGATACATAGTTTGCAAGTATTTTCTTCCATTCTGTTGATTGTTTACTGATAGCTTTTTTTATCCTGTGCAAAAGCTCCTTTAATTAGTCCCTACTTCTCAATTTTTGCTTTTGTTGCAATTGTTTTTGAGGACTTAGTAACAAATTATTTGCAAAAGCTGATGTCCTGAATGGTAGTTCCTAGGTTTTCTTCTAGGATTTTTACAGTTTGAGGTCTTACTTTTAAATATTTAGACCATCTTGAGTTATTTTTATATACACAGAAAGGTAAGGGTCCAGTTTTATTCTTTCAGACAGATTAGCCAGGTATCCAAGCACCAGTTATTGACGAGGAAGTCCTTTCCCCACTGCTTATTTCGGTTGAATTCATCAAAGATCAGATGGTTGTAGGTGTGGGCTTTATTTCTGGGTTTTCTAATGTGCTTCATTGGTTTAAGTGTCTCTCTTTGTACCAGTACCATGCTGTTTTGGTTACTTAAGCCTTATAGTATAATTTGAAGTCAAGTAATATGATACACCCAGCTTTTTTTTTTTTCCTCAGGATTTCTTTGGCTATCTTGGTTCATTTTTATTCCATATGAATTTTAGAATAGTTTTTTCTAATTCTATAAAAAATGACACCGATATTTTGATAGGAATAGCATTGAATCTACAGGTTGTTTTGGGCAGTATAGCCATCTTAATGATATTGATTCTTCCAATCCATGAACATGGATTGTTTTTCCATTTGTTTGTGTTGTCTTTGATTTCTTTCAGCAGTGTTTTGTAGTTCTCTTTGTGCAGATCTTTTACCTGCTTGGCTAGCCATATTCCTAGATATTTCATTTTCTTTGTGGCTGTTGAAAAATGTTCTTGATTTTAATTTCAGCCTGGACATTATTTGTATATAGATACAACACTGATTTTTTACATTAATTTTGTATCCCCAAACTTTAATAAAATGGTTTATCAATTTTATTAGACTTTAGGCAAAGTCTTTAGGGTTTTCTAGGTATAGAATCATATCATCAGCAAAACAGATAGTTTGATTGCTTTTTCTATTTGGATGCCTTTCATTTCTTTCTCTTGCCTGGTTGCTTTGGCTAGCACTTCCAGTACTATATTGAATAGGAGTGGTGAAAGTGGGCATCCTTGTCTTGTTTCAATTCTTAAGGATAATGCTTCCAGCATTTGCCCACCCATTATGATGTTGGCTGTTGGTTTTTCATAGATAGCTCTTATTATTTTGAGTCATGTTTCTTCACTGCCTAGTGTGCTGAGAATTTTTATCGTGCAGGGATGTTAAATTGTATTAAAGGGGTTTTCCATGTCTATTGAGATGAGCATATGGTTTTTAAATTTGATTTTCTTTATGTGGTGAACCACATTTAATGACTTGTGCATGTTTAATCAATCTTAAATCCCAAGAATAAAGCCTAGTTTATTGTGGTGAATTAACTTTTTGATGTTCTGTTGGATTCCAGTTGCTAATATTTTGTTGATGATTTTTGCATCTATGTTCATCAGGGATATTGGCTTTGAGTTTTCTTTTTTTGTTGTGTTTGTGCCTGGTTTTATTATCAAGGTAATGCTGGATTCATAGAATGATTTAGGGAGGAGCCCTCCTCTTTGATATTTTTGGAATAGTTTCAGTAGAATTGGTACCAGCTCTTCTCTGTACATCTGGTAGAATTTGGCTCTGAGCCCTTCTGGTCAAGTTCTCTTTTTTGTTGGTAGTTTTTTATGATTGATGCAATTTCAGAACTCAATATTAGTCTGCTAAGGGCTTTAATTTCTTCCTGTATCAATCTTTGAAAGTTGTGCATTTCAAGGAATTTGTTATAAATTTCCGCTAGAATTTGTACTTCGTGTGCATTGGTATGTTCATAACAGTGTTGGAGAATCTTTTGTATTTCTGTCACATAAGTTGTAATGTCACCTTTGTTGTTTCTACTTGGGCAATCTTCTTTTTTCCTTTGTTAGTCTAGCTAGTGGTCTATTGATCTTGTTTGTCCTTTCAAACAATAAATTTTGGTTTTGTGATCCTTTGTATGAATTTTTGAGTCTCAATTTCATTCAGTTACACTCTCATTGTAGTTATTTCTTTTCTTCTGTTAGCTTTGGGGTTAATTTATTCTTGCTTTTCTAGTTCCTCTAGGTGTAATGTTAGATCATTAATTTGAGATCTTTCTAACTTCTTGATGTAGGCATCTATGACTAAAAATTTTGCTCTTAACACTGCCTATGTTGCATCCCAGGGATTTTGGTATGTTTGTCTCTGTTTTCGTTTATTTCAAAGAATGTTTTCTTTCTGCCTTAATTTTCTTTTTTACCCAAAAGTCATTCATGAGCAAGTTGTTTAATTTCATGTAACTGTGTGGTTTACAGAGATCTTCTTGTTATTGATTTCTGTTTTGTTTCACTTTGGTTCAAGAGTGTGGTTGGTATGATTTTGATTTTTTTTAATTTACTGAGACATGCTTTATAGCCAAGCATGTGGTCAATCTTACAGTATGCTTCAGGTGCAGAAGACACTAATGTATATTTTGTGATTGATGGGTGCAATAGTCTGTAGGTGTCTATTAGGTCCAATTGGTCAAGTATAAATTTAAGTTCAGAATTTCTTAGTTAGTTTTCTGCCTCAATGATCTGCCTATGCACTATCAGTGGTTGTTGATGTCCCTCACTATTATTGTGTGGTTGTCTAAGTCTTTTTGTAGGTCTAGACCTATTTGTTTTATGAATCTGTGTGCTCCAATGTTGAGTGCATATGTACTAAGGATGGTTAAGTCTTCTTGTTAAATTGAACCCTTTGTCATTATGTAATGCCCATTCTTTTCCTTTTTTACTATTGTTGGTTTAAAGTCTGTTTTATCTGATAGAAGGTAGTGACCCCTGCTCTTTCTTGTTTTCCATCTGCCTGACACATCTTTTTCCAACTCTTTGAGCCTAGGTGTGTTATTACATAGGAGATGAGTCTTTTAAAGACAGCAGACAGATGGGTCTTGCTATTTTATCCAACTTACTCTGTACCTTTTAAGTGAGGTGTGTAGACTATTTACATTCAAGGTTAATATTGATGTATTAGGTTTTGACCTAATCATGAAGTTGTTAGCTGGTCATTTTGTAGTTTTTATTTTGTGGTTTCCCACCGTCTTTTTAGAAAGCAAAAGGAAGTCTACTTTTTCATAGGTGGAAACAAAATTAAGATTGGATTAGAGGTGTTACTTATTTTTTCACAATTTCCCTGCAAAAACAACCCTGAGAAATTTTCCTGGTAAAGAGTGATTAAGGCATTGCCTTCTAGATTTACCCAGAAAGAACTTTTATGGATGCTGAAACTTCATGGGGTATTACCTCTCCCTAAACTAAATAATGAAGCATAATTTTATGAAACCTATTAGATATTTAAACATAATATGATTAACAATATAAGTAAATAGCCAGCAGTTACTCACCATTGTGCCATGTACTTTATCTGTTTTATCACAATTAGCTTCTATCATTTCTCCCATTGAACTTTTAGTCACTTCTTTTTGAGATAAGTAAACCAAATCTTAAATACTTTAAGATGGAAAAAAAGAAGTTTAGAAACATTATAGAAATACTTTTTATAAAATAACGATAATGACAACTACAATCAAAACAATAGTAATAATAAGCTTTAATATGACTGGTATAGATTTTTTAAATGTAACAATAACACACTGAGATCCATTACTGCCATTTCTAGCTCAGGATACTGAGATTAGGGAGATTAAGCAACCTTGGACAGGCTAACTATTCATTGCAAAGACAGGGAAAGATTGCTCCAGAACATGCATTTTCAACTCATTTGCTGTATTTTCTCTCAACATGTAACTATGATTTCATACTAACAAAAGTATCCTTTTTGGTACTATATCCAACATATGCAATCTTTGTTTATGCTATTTTATACAGTTGCAGATTCAAAATTTTTACTAATTTTTCTGTATTGAAACACAAATGAAGTAATTCGCTTCAAACCCTTAGATCATGAATAAGAAAATCTTTGTTGTGGGTCCTCTTACAGACCACTAATGCATGTTTTTGTGGAAAACTAGTAGCAATTTGGGAAGTATGAAAGCTGAACAGACCATTGTAGATACCATATTAAATAGATTATTAAATTTTCAATCTACCTGCTACTCAGTCACTTTATTCAGGGACAGGGGTATCTATGATCAAGACCAACAATTGAAAAACAATTGAGAAATAATGGATAAATCAAAATGAAAACTGAACAATACATGTAATAATATGTAGAAATTGTATTGCCTAAAATAACTATTTGAGAAGCATTGAAATTGTTGGGAAAAATTATTTGATAAGATGCTTGAAGTAAAAGTTAAGAAAAGACACATTTTTGTTTTCATAATAATTGATAATACCTGAACTGTTTTAAGTGATTATTTCTCAGAGGTTATTTGTTTTGCTAAACACTACAGTAAGATTTATTTTACCAATCTGAGTTTTCTAGCTTCAGTTCCCTCATACCACTGCCTCCCAGAAAAGAATTAATAGTTTTCTGGTGGCAATTCTGGTAAAAAGGTGATAGGAGATGTCAAGTCCAGGTAACGCGTGGGGAAGAAAGAATGGGGTGGGTGGGGGTGGAGGAGGACCACCTGTTATGGAACTGACGAGAGTTCTTGGAGAACAGAAATATTTAATAAGAATTTTTAAGGTGTTTCACTATAATATATGCAATGTAATGACTAAGTTTATAGCCTCTACAAAATATTTAGTAGAAAATTTGGGGCTTTTAAAAGGTTTTATTGTTTCTTTTTGAGGAATTCGAAGGGGTGACTTTTGAAATACACGATTTCAGTAATTGCAGCATAGTGTAAGTTGATGTCCATAGCATAAGGGAAAAAAGAAAACTCTTGTGTAGACTGGAACATTCCATCACCATGGCAACTTTATGGAGAACAAATTTCTCTGAATTAGCAGCTGGGTCAAGGATATTATCATCATCAGCCACCTCAATGCCCCGATTTAGGTTTTAGTGGAACATGTACCATGTTTTGGTAGATTGCTGGCCTACCACGGACATGTAAAGGATTCATTCTACTCTTTTCTTTCCTTGTGCTTAAGGAGACTTGCTATGAAATTATCGAGTTGAGCCTTTACCTGTTAAAATTATCAATATCAATGACAAAAAAATAGGAAGACGAAGCATTTGGAGAAATTAGGTTGGCTGCAGACTGGAAAACACAAGAAAACCCATAGTAATGATTAGAACTAATTATAGAGGCAGATGAAAGTTGATAGAAGAAAAAAGAACCCAGAGCTAGAGTATAAAGAAAGTATCTAAGAGTGACTCTGTAGTCTCTAAATATTCTTTTATCACACATAATACTAGTAAAGTTTTTAAAGCATTTACCCTGCATATTTAGCATTTGAAATTTATTCATATAATAAATATATTCCATAGCAATCATTATTAGTACTCACCAATATTCAGCTCTTTTCTTTTTTGGGCATATGGGTGACTATATTTCCTGGCCCTTTTAGTCAGTGGAGTAGTGAAATGTCCTGCAGAATTTTCCCGGTGTTTCTTTTTCAGGCCTCCAAAGTGGAGGAACACCATGAGCTCATGTTAGTGCATCTACAGGATAATGGAGACTCTGTCGTACTGGTTGTTCGAGAAACTGTGTGGAGCAAAGCCCTAGGCAAACTAATGTGGCTTAAAACTCTAAAATACATTTATCTCTCATTTTTCTGACCATAAGAGATGAATATATTTTACAATATTAAGCCATTGAAATTTTGAAATTGTTACCACATCATTACTTAGATTATTGTAAGCAACATACACACACAGGTGAAACTTAAAATTACTAATACAAAAATATATATAGAAACTCACATGTCTTCTTTCTGTACCCCATTGCATATTTCTGAGCATTCCCTTGGATCCTTTTGCTCCCATTTGGAAATCACTGCTCTAGACATCACCTAATATTACCAAGAGAATATATAGACATATAAGGTCAATTATGATAATTCTTTAGAGTTTTATTTTTAAAAGAATAAATTATTTAATCCTGAAAAGTGTGCACTTTGTCACCAGGTGAAGTTTGGGTACTTTCCTTGCATGTTATAAGTGCTAGCATTCTGGCTACAATCAGATGTTATACAACCTTTGGTTATAAAAAGAAACAATACTTCTTAAAAAGAAAATATAAAAATTAATAATACTGTAAAAGACAATTCTTACACAGAATTTACAAAAAATGTGAGGATTAAATAAATAAGAATTGTTATTCCTAACCCATATCATTCTTCGAAAATACTCCAGATTTTATTTTTTTCACGCTTTCTAAAAAATAAATAAAAGAATACTTTATTGAAGCCAATACCTTCCCACTTTTGGCTACTGACTGTCAGATAAATATGGTGTCAGAATAGTTTATGCTACCTAGTTATTTGAAATGTTTTCTATCAGTTACCATGCAAATTGAAGATGAGGTAATGTATTTGCCATGTTTATTTTAGTTGCATACAATAGAAAGTAAAATCAAATTAGCTAAAGCAAAAGAAGAAATGTATTGGCCTATATAGCTGCAAAGTCCAAGGAGTAAACTTGCTTTAGGCATGGCTGAATCCAAGAGTACAAACAATATCATTAGAGATCTACCTCATTTTCTGTCTCTCGGCTCAGGTTTTCTCCCTGTTGATTTTCTTTTCAACCAAACTTATTCTATGTGCCAGGATAGCTGTGCCAGTTAGTTCTGGGCTTTCATTATGTTCAACTTCTGAGATTTCAGTAGCAAGATAAATCTTTGTAATTACCATGCCCCCAAAATGTTCAGATTAGCCACATTAGTTACATGTCTTCTGTAATGTAAAAGCACAAACAACTATTGGTTTCTTTGCAGAAGAGAAGACCTCCAAAAAGGAAAAGACCTAAGTAACTTAGAAATGGAAAAATCTGACCTATGCAGGGAGGGCTTCTGATTTAGCTCTTGCAGACATCATATCTTGAAAAGAAATCTCTCTAGTATATTTTTGGTTAAAGACTATGAAATGAAATCTTCTACAGTGCTAAATTTCCTGCAGCCAAATCATTTTTAGTAATCAATAGCAGAAGAAAGGATAATAATGCTTTCCTTTACAACTAAAAGAACAGAATTTTAAATGCACACTCTTCAGAAGTTCAAGTCAAACAATGAAAATTCAAGTAGATATTCAGAAGGAACATCTCAAAAAAAAGTAGCACTGCTAAAATGCAAAAGTCCAATGAAAATCTAGAGTTAACATTATTTAAAATCTAACTAGATTAATCACTCATATCTCTAGATGGCAAAGCACATGATAAAATTAAAAGTTACAATGCGAATGGAAGGTCGAGAACTCTACCCTTTGCTAGAAGCAGCCAAGTGAGAGATTGTGAATTGCGATCTCAGTGGTTCAGAGGGTGGATTACTTGTTTTCAGGTCTTTGAAATCTCTAAGTAAGAATGTTAGTGGAGTAGAGTGGGGCAAATTCATTCTTCCTGCTCAGTCATTAACGACTCACATTGTCTTTCAATATTCTTTTATGATTAAAAATGATGCGTGCGTAGTACATTAACAGAGCCACTATAATATACAAACACAATGCCATTCAAAAAAGCCGGTGTTTTGCTTAAATAAATGTGTTTTTAAAGCATTAGATTTTATCTCCTTTTTGATTGCCTCTCACATTAGTCAGAAGCCTCTAACTTCCTGGATTCCTTAACAAAAACTTCAAATCATGCGGCAAGACATTTGACATAACAGAATTTTCACTAACATCCTTTCAGCAGCTAGCAACTTTAGTCTCAGGAGGAGATCTTTCACCCGGCTCTGGGTTATTAAAGCTAATTAAAGTGATGACCCTTGTTTGCCATACTGTCACTCAAGGTCTCTGGAAGGGACATCCTATTGCTTCTTATTCCTCTGTTCCTTTTCTGTGGTGTTAGCAGACGAACGGAAAGAAATGCTATCCCACTGGGGCTCTAAGCTGAAAGCAAACTCTGTGAATCGTTCTTTTTACAGAAGCAGCAATCTCTCAATTTACTTTTAAGGAAACATTATCCCCCACCATTTAATTCACAGGTGGGGAACTTTTTAAATATAAACAACTTTTACATCTTTCTAATACAAACTCTTTCACCAAATTTTCTAAATTAGGAATGCATGTTTTTTTACAAAATAATCTCAAATAAAATTTTAAAAGCTCTTCTAAAGTGTACCA
Organism: Homo sapiens; assembly: GCF_000001405.40. Classification (NCBI taxonomy): domain Eukaryota; kingdom Metazoa; phylum Chordata; class Mammalia; order Primates; family Hominidae; genus Homo; species Homo sapiens. The sequence goes on along the minus strand of NC_000002.12, from coordinate 76,985,143 downwards.
AAATTTTGATAGAAGATAAAGAATTCCTTTTGGGGGAATTGTATAAGAGAAACTGCTTGAATGTATGGGATTTTGAAAGACCCACTCATACAAAGAAAATTAATACTTTAAAAAAACTTTATTTTGAATGTCTAGAATGCTGTCGTAGTGAAACTTCTATCCTCTGATTTTCCCCAAATTTCAGAAAAAATAATTATTTTGCTCTGAAACGAGTTAATAATGCTTGCTTTTTCAAATTCCCCTCTACTATCTACTTGTGCAAATGTATGTTATGTCTACATCAATTTTTTCATCATGTTAACTTGAGTGTGAGCAGCAATATAGTTAGGAATGCTTTGAACTGCAGTAAATACACTTAACATGAGCTTAAACAAGTAGGAGTTTATTCTCCTAGATAAAGAATCTTGAAAATAGCAGTTTAGTGGTAATTCACTGGCTCCATCATATCTCCAGTGTTTCAGGCTTCTGTTGTTTTTCTGATCTTCCAATCTTAATGTGTCAGTCCTTGACCTCAAGTTGCTAGAAGCCTTCTCCACCTCCAGCACCATATCACAGTTTAGGGTAGGAGGAACAGGATGCTGCGGAGAGCCTGCTAGCTGAGTATGTGTCATCCAACAGGCTTTTCCTTAAGTCCCATAGGCCAAATGTTACATGGCCATGCATACATATCGGTAAGCTAAGAAACAGGGAATTTTGGATGTAGAACAACTAAAACATGCAACAGTATCTGCTGTTTTTGTTGTTCATTCTCTTTGACATAAACATCTAGTAATGACCAGGTGCTACAATTCTACCAAAAAAACTACACATTTAAAAAATATTGAAACATTTCTAAATTTGAGGACAAATTTCAATTAATGTGTACTAATATAAAATATATTTTATATAAAAAAGCAATTGCTATTAAATCAACAATACATCATAAAGCTGTGAAAAGCTGTCTTATGTGTATCACAGTATCTTAATTCTCAGTCAGATGATTTTCTTCTGTTTTGTGTGTCTATTTTTTTAAAATGCAATTACTAACATTTTAACATACAAGTTTCATTAAAGGTATAAATAATTCATCATTGTTTAGGTAACCATGTGGTGAATCTTCATTCAGATGATGATTACAAACAGAAGGTATTCAGGTAGTCACACTGGAAATTGCTCTGCCTGTTTGTAATGAATGTTTGTTAAATTTTTGATAATCCAATTTTAAAAAAGTATATGAAAAATAGGTGCATGTCATCTAGAAACACAACTTTCTTGTGGCCCAGTATCACCGATTTGATTAGCTGTTTGTCTCTAAACTTTGTCATTGTGAAGGCAAATGAATTTTAAAATATTTGATGGCCTTATTTTTTAATCTCACTGAAAAGATTTACAAAGTTGAATTTGTGAAGATGATTGGAAACGATCCACATCATTTCTTTCTGTGTATGATTGCTCTATCTCATGTATGATTTTGAAAAAAGGAGTCAAATTAAAAAATACTATAATTACTGTATAAGTCTATTCTCATGCTACTAATAAAGACACACCTGAGACTCTGTAATTTAAACAGGGAAGAGGTTTAATGGACTCACAGTTTCACATGGCTGGGGAGGCCTCACAATCATGATGGAAAGTGAAGGAGCAGCAAAGGCATGTCTTACATGGTGACAGGCAAGAGAGCTCGTGCAGGGAACTCCCATTTATAAAACCATCAAATCTCCTGAGACTTATTCACTACCATGAGAACAGTATGGGGGAAACCGCCCAGATGATTCAATTAGCTGTGGCTGGCCCCACCCTTGACACCTGGGGATTATTACAATTCAAGGAGAGATTTGGGTGGGGATACTGCCAAACCATATCCCTACTGTTTAATAATGTGTGACTTAGGGTCTATAAAATGGATTAGAAATTTAAGGCCAATTTTGACCTTTCTGCCTCATTCTAACCATACCATTACCTTGAATATTTAGGTTTATTATAACGTTACTGAACTATGCAGTAACTTTCTCTACACTGGCAAAAATGAGTGGTCTTTACCATTTTACCATTATGCTGGGATTAAGTGAACTATTATTTAAAATCTGTTTGAATGTAAAGGACACAATATTTATAGTGAGAGTATTTAATATGTGTCTTTATTTAATTTGATATGTGAGCTTGAATTAATCATATAACTATCAGATCTTCAATTTACTTATCTGTAACTTAAAACAAAAAAGAAGTTTAAAAAATGCTTTTATGCTATTGCAAAAGAGCCATGTCTGTAAGAATTTTTTTTAATATAAATTGTGACTCTCTGCCCCTCACTTCACTTATTTGCAAGTGTTTCCTGTATTTGACAAGTGTGTCCTATTTTTAATTGGCAAGTGTGTTCTATTTTTTGCAAATCTATTTTAACATCGGCTTTTATTAATTATCCTGGTATTTGGTTTATACCTGCCTCTCTTTCATCTCTTCGGCTTTCAGACTTTGCTTGTACAGCTCCGGAATGGATACCTGTCTCTCCATTTCCCTGAATTCACTCTTGGTTCCTCACACACTGCAGCATCATGACTAAGTCATATTCTACCACCCAGTCTGGTGACTCTTCTAGATACAAGCTCCTTCACCCAGTGTCCGCCCTGTCTCACTGATAGGGAGGCATGATGCTCAAAAAAATTGCAAAGAATTATGAAAATTTATTTTTATTATCATTATTAAAATGAGGGCAATACACTTCAAATACTTTTTTTCCTTTCCATTTACTTCATGAGCAAAGAAAGAGCCTGATTGCCCAAAAGTAAAATTTTTACAGGGTTAAATATTTTTGTCCCTTTTGCATCACCGGCATTGTCAGAGTGAAATATATAGTTGTTTTGATATGACACGGAAACTTTCTAGAAATTTATGTTATTTTGGTGATTTTTCTGCTGAGGGTTTCTTACTTTTTCTGTATTCAAATGCAAGAAGACTGAGTGAGAAAATGGAAGTTGAAGCTGATTTTCTCTTCAGGTGAAATGACTAGAGAAGCAGAGGAAATATGACAAATGGTAGATCATAACAATATCCATGGACACATAGTAGAGTATGGCCTAGGGTTAAGAACTTAATATGAGAAAATAGAAATTCACTGAGCACAATCCTTTTGTTAGCAAATATGCTTTTAAGTTGTTATAAGCCCCCTTGCATCAAAGGGCAAGTAAACCTTCTCCGAGGCAGTTTAATTTTCAGTGACCCAAATTGATCAATTCCAGAAACTGAGACTCCTCAAACCACACAAGATTTATATATACTCTTTATCTAATGTTTAAAACAAAACTCATATTGTATGTTCCATTGCTCTACATAGAAGCCTAGACTATTTCTTAATAGATTTAAAAAAAAAGATGCTGGCCTGGTGCTGTGGCTCCTGCCTGTAACTCAAGCCTTTGGGAGGCTGAGGCGGGAAGATTACTTGGGTCCAGGAGTCTGAGAAGAGCCCTGGCAAAATAACGAGACTCCTTCTCTGCAAAAAATTTAGAAACTAGCTAGGCATGGTGGCATGCCCCTGTAGTTCCAGGCTTCAGGAGATTGAGGCAGGAGGTGCCTTGAGCCCAGGAGTTTGAGGCTGCAGTGAGCTATGATGGCACCACTGCACTTCAGTCTAGGCGACAGAGCAAGATCCTATCCAAAACAAAACAGAAAGCTTACATTATATTTCCAAATAGAGTTGGACTGATGTTAAATTTCTACAACTGAAATAGATTTTGATTTGCAAAGCCCAGCTGTCTCTGCCATGGCAGATGTATGCAGTTGGAATAGATGCCTTGAGGTAAATGGAGATGTCTGATGTACCTAGTTGCTCTTCCCAACTGTGGATTTCTGAGTGAGAGATAGTTAAGAAATAATTTCCTTTCTATGTTTTATTATCTTCTGGATATCTATTTTAGAGCAGAGACTATGAATTTTATAGTCACATGTCCGTATTTCCCACATATAACCAGTGTTGGCTAAAACAAAGTCAATGAATATTGAATAACGAATGAATGAACACTATCACTTTTTAGTGTAACAACAAGATAAATGATTATATTCTTCATGAAATGTAAATATTTTTGTAGCATGTACTGTGATGGCAAGCACTTGTAACTGAGTTAAGCAGCATCTGATAACTACATTAATCAAGTCATTACAACTTTGCCCCAAGGAAATTAAAGGCCAGTGTTAAAGAATAAGACATTGTGTTAACCAGGTAGATAAGATCACTTAAATATCAGTAGGTAATCATAGGAGATGTAATCCTCCAATTTTCATTAACTTTTTAAAGATCTATTTAAAATATAATGTAACAGAGAAATGTAAATCAAAGCACCTTCACTCCTTCTAATCCCTTAATTATACTTTCTATCCAATCAGTACATCCGGCATTTCTTGACATCTAAGTTTCAAACACTAGAAATCTTTTCTCATGGTTACCAAATGCTGGCTGGGCTCACTTCAGGAGCCATTACTCTCGAATTTAAAATTCCACCCCACCCCACCCCACTGCTGACTTAAAAAGTTCCTCCTGCTTTTCACTTGCTTGCCAACATACCAGGCTAGAGTGTATCTGTCTTAATCATGCTGATGCCAAGAACTTGTCTTCTGTGAGAGTGGCTTCTTTCCATAGTGATCTGTCTTCTCTTTTCTTGAATTTTTCTGCAAGTGACACATAAGGTAGTAGGACTATTCCATCTGTTTTCTCTGCCACCTTTAATTTTCTTTTAAAAATTTATGTATTTGAAAATTTTAAAACAGATACATTGCTCAGGACCATTGTTTTTCTTTTATACATACAAGACACTACACTTTTATTAGCTTGAACAAAAGTGTAACTTGTTACAATGCTACAGGGATGTTCACAGAAACTAGAGATAGTGGTATCTGGAACTCAGCAGAAGCTTCCCCCAGGGACTCAACTGTCATCAGACTACTTTCTCCATTTCTCATTTTCGCTTTTCTTTGGGCCTCTATTACATTTTTCTGTCTTGCTGAATACTGGCTTTATATAATCCTCCATCTGCACAGAAGAACATGGATACTTGTAATATTTTAGTTTATGTATTATAATTTTAGTTATGTAGAGATAGTCTGATCTCACTATTCATTATATAAAATCCAAAGAAGGGTAGGATTGGCTGAACTTGGGTCTAGAGCTACCCCTCAGCCCTGCCAGCGACAAATCATCTGTGGCCAGGGGCTCTGAAGTTAACCATTTGGATGCAGTGTGGGGTAATTTGGATCAGAGAGTTTATTTCCAGAAGAAGGGGTGAGAAGAAAAGAAGTTATTATAGTAAGTGGAATAATGGGCAGGAAACCAGATAGGAATCTAAACTGCTTCATTACTCCACTATTTTAATATATAGCCATGTTGGTGTGAGCTGAAACATCTTCAAATACTCACATCTTCAAGTATTTCATATGTATGTATGTATGCATCTATCTATCTATCTATCTATCTATCTATCGCTTATACTCTAATTGAAAGCTGTGATTCAAACACAACCAAGCTCTTGCAGATTCATGAATATACCATAAAATGTCGTGCTAGTTCCCTTGTTGTTGTGCCTTTTTATGCTTCCTCTCTCTATATATATATATAGAGGAAGAGCATATATATATACAGAAATTCAGTTTTGCAGTCTGAATTAGATATGCATTGTCTGTGCTGTCACGTATCTCTGCTCTCTGACATATCACAACACATCTCAAAGTACATTGTACTCACTTTTCTATTTGTCTAACATATGAGCACCTTGGTCACATGCAATGAAGGTCCCTTTTTTCTCTGTTTAGTATGTAAAACCTAAATTACCCCTTGAAAGTGAGATCTGCTTTTCCTAGGCTTCAACAATCTGCAGGCAGAAGTGAGGTGAAATTATCAGTAGTAATAGACACCCTACTTGTTCTTGTGTACACTTACTCATGCAGAATTCCAATGACCTGAAATTACCCTTGAAGCACTTCTGGGAGTCCCCAAGAAATGCCTGATATGTGATCCTATGCATGTCTGATAATGCTAGAATCTTTATATTACTCAGTTAAGCAACTGCTCAGCACTAAATGTGGGCAAGGTATCCTCATTGACCACTTAGCATCCTGGTTTCTCTGGTACTTTTCTGATGGTGGAAAATAACAAAGTCCTTTTCCTCCACTCTGTATCATGTTTTATTCTCTGGAGATGTGAGAATTTCAGGGACTTTAAGGTTGTCTCCTGGCGTCATATATTATGCTACATGAAAATAGCTTCTGCACTTTCCCTTCATTTCTGTAACCTCAGACCTCAGACCCAATTCATGCTTCAGGGAAAGGTAAGACACTGCATTGTTCTGCATCACCTCCATCCTAGTCTCAATCTGTAGGTGGCAACATCCCCAGATTTCCCATTTAACCTTTTGCTAAAACAAAGAAGTTCTCATGCAAGCCATCTCCTTGAGAATATGTTCAGCGGCTCGCTATGCATACTCAGGCACGTCTGAATCTTAATGTAGTACTGTTGAAAGTGCTACATCTTGTAGGTAGAACCTCTGTAAATATGTGTTGATTGAATAAATGACAGAATGAACAAAGGAATGATTAAGTGCACTGTGCTATCTCACCAGTTTCATTTTTATTCCATGTCTCTCTATCTCATCCATTTCTTAAAATGCAATAGCCTTAAGCTAGAGGTTATATAGTGAGCATTTGAATTGCAGAAAATAAATGTGCAAGGAGAACATTGTAAAAAATATATTTTCATGTTACATAAGAAAAAATGACTACAGCCATTACCATTCATCATCACTAACATAACTAAGCAATAAAATCCTTCAACTTAAGCCAAGCATGTGCTTTCATTCTGTTTATCTGTATCTAAATTTCAAACAGCTAATGGAATCTGGGGGAAATGCCTTAGCAAGGTATTAATTTTCAACAGTACAAGGAAAGAAACTTGCCCTCTGAGTCATATAATGCTGAACTGTCCTGGTGGAGGAGGCAATCTGTTTGTAGGCCAAGGGGGAGAATAGTATGGGAAGGCTCATAAAAGAAAGAAAACTATGAGAGGGCAAATGTTTTTCATCAGAATATAATTTGTGTGAGCAGAGCCAGATAACATATTAACCTTCCCCATAGACTCCTTAGCCATGGGTTTGACCATATGGAAGCTCACATTCACACTGACTGAATGTAAATAAAGGTTTTCAACTCCAGTGCTATCAAAGCCATTTATGTTTCTGGCTCAGCAAGCCTTTCAGTTCTTTCTTAGACATATTTATCAAAAAAGGACATCCCACTGTTTTCACCACATTTGGAAGGAAAAGAAGTTTATGCCCTAATCCGTATTTGTTTTCTTCTAATAGCTTTTTGAACAACAACGACAACGAAAAATCTACATTCCCTATGCTTTAGATTGTTCCTTTATGACTGAAATATAATAATCATCAGTTGATAACCATTATAACAAAGAGAATGAAATGTCACATTTTCCTAGTATAAACGTCATCAATATTTTAAAAGAACTAAAACTTTACAGTGAGTTATGACTGTGTGGACCTAGGAACCCAATAACAGTTAGTGATGGTTATTGCATTTATGCCTTGGGCATTGAGAGGTAACTTTAGATACCTTGGAAATCACAGGCTTCTGGTTCAAGTGTGAATGACTGCAGTGGGTTAATGCTTACTCGCCTTCAGAAATTTTAGTTTCATATTGAGAACAAATCAACATTTGTAATTTTTCAGAGTTAGCTTACAATAAAATGTTTTCATGCTGTGTATACTCTATGAAAGAACTGTGATTTCCAACAGGTTGGTAAGTTTTTGGGTGTTTGTATTTATATTGATCAAAAACTAAGAATCACATATTATACCCAAAAGAAGACCTTAGCAAAACATTTCAAATATGAAAAAAAAAAATTAGGGGGAAGTGTACAGAAAATCAGTATAATATCCAGGTGTCTTGTAAAAAAGGATGGTTGCTGATGTCATTAAGATTGGCAAGGGATGTAGAATCTAGAGTTTTATTTAGGATTTATTAATATTCAAGCAGAAGTAAGAAAAACCCAAGGGAAGAGGCCAGGTTGCTAGCTCAAAGGTAAGAGTTTTGCTGAAAGTGAGAAAAATCTATGTACACATACACGTACACTGACACATGTAAACACACACAAACACACACAGCCTATTAATGCTTTTTTTCTGTTTAATTTTAGTTGACACATAATGTACATATCTATGGGATGTAGAGTGATATTTCGACACATGTATACAATGTTTAATGATCAAATTAGGGTCATTAGCATAGCTATCACATAGAACATTTATTGTTTCTTTGTGTTATGAGCATTCAAAATCCTCTCTCCTGGCTTTTTGAAAATATACACCAAATTACTGTTAACCGTATTTACCCTACAGTGCTACAGAACACTAGAAATTAATCCTCCCATCCAGCTGTCACTTTGCATCTATTAACCAACCTTTTTCCACGGATATCCCAGCCCCTAATACCCACAATTCTACTTTGAATGCCATAGAAATGGATGAAATCAGATAAATGGTGTGGGTGAGTAGAGAAATGAATTAGGCTGAGCCTAGGCCACAGCAATATTTAGAGGATTAGTAGAGAAGGAAAACATTGTAAGGAGAGCTAAAAAGAGAGACTAATGAGGTGTATAGGAACCAAGAGACTAAATGGCTACTGATAAAAAGTTAACATTTTGTCTCATAATTAATATTGGCTAATATTATTATTCATGTGGTTTTGGTTTATTTTTTTTAATGAAATGTTTTCATTAAATAAAGCTTTCATCGTTTATATATGGGTTTCTTCATTCAAAGCCCAATATGTTTTGCTTTCCACAGATGCTGGCTCTAAATAGAATATATTTTGATTTTATTTACTCTCTTGATACTATTATTTTAGATGCACTTTTATAAAAATATATTGTGTTATTACTGAAGGCTCTTTGAATGGTTAATGACACGATAAGCAAGCAAAGGGAAAAGTTTGGTAACAACATTGCTTATACATTTAAAGGAAAGGATTACAGAGCATGTCTAAAAACAGATTAAAATTTGTATAAAGGTTTAAAACCCATAAAATGCACACAAACCAGTTTTCAATAGGACCATATTCATCATAAGGAAAGTTATAATTCAATAGAAGGAAACACCATTTCCCCAAAGAATTAGAAGCAAGAAATGAAGAAAACCTAAGTCCAGAGCATGACTGGCCAAGAAAGAATGCAATCTATTTATTTCATTAGGAAAAACACAGAAACAGGAAGTACCTCTTCTCAAATGTTGTTATGACTTATTTGCTTGTTTCTAAATTACTTAATTATTTGATTAGTTACAAAATAAATAAATAAGAGAGTATAAGACACTGATTTGACTTGTTTCCTGTAAATGTGGCCAGATGTGGTGTCATCAGAAGGATGCTTCAAGGCCTATTATAAGGTACTCTGCCAAAATGGTCCAATAGTAAATATTTTTTGTCTCCTCAATGTTTTCTACCTAGTAGAGTAGTTCCACAGTTAACTTCTAACCTTGGCTTCATGACCATCTTCTGGCTGTTGGAGGTATGATTATTTTCTTTTATTTTGAACATATGGAGCCACAGTAATGTTAGATAAAATGCCCCAAATCATAAGGAATATTAGAGGTGATAATATTTTGCCAGAACGTGGTATTATCTATACAGTTGTTTATCTTTTCTGTAAACAGCTTTTCTCAATTCTCAGATTTTCCTTAAAATAAATAATAAATAAATAAATAAATAAATAAGTCTCTTATGATTAAGCCAGAAGAATGAATTTCATTTATTCCTGTAAGATTTTGTTTTCAAATCCATAGTGAGCAAGTGAAGCTGAATCCTTCTTGCCTAAACTAGCTATTACAGCTATTAGGAAGTAAGATGCCCTGTTTCTCATCACATGCATGGCAAAAACAGAGCACTATCTAGTAAACCACTATGAGAAAAAAAGAAACTCAGTTAGCAAAAACAAATTATGGGTTTTCCTAGCCTGTGATATGCTCTTTACTCATAAATAGACCCAGTGGTAATCAACCAGTGTCACCAATTAGGGCTTTTTGTTGGTTTGTTTGTTTTTGTTGGTTTGTTTGTTTTTGTTAACCACTGATCAGCATATCACTGTACATAGCTCATAGGATATTTATAGATAGCTAATCACTCTCCAAAGTGCCACTTAATTGATGAGTTTTTAGTACCAAGAAATAGAACATAAATATAAAAAAGAGAAAAAAGATATTATTATTAAAATACATGCCAAGATGATTACTGTTGTGCATAATTATTTCTCCATGTGATTTCCTCCAATTAAAAAAAAGAGTAAAATGGTTTGAAAAGACAAAAACTGTGCAAAATTTAACAACTTTTGTAGTACATTGTTGACTATACTCCAGAAATATTCTTGGAAAATTAAATTTATAATAGTATGTCAGAATATTTATTTGAATTAATTCTCTCAAATTTCACAATTTTTCTCCCAAGTTCTAGCACAACTTACTGAAAAATATATCCTTTGTAGTGATATGAAATTCCACTTTTATTAGAGATGAAAGTGGATATATACTTGGATAGTTATTTGGCTTTTGCTTGATTTCCATTATAAATATGTATGTGACACATATACACTATATGTGTGTATCACAATGGTACTGTTTTATTACAAGTTTGTATAGATAGTAGGAGTTTAGTTAATATTATAAAATGTTCCATATGTTGTAACAATAATAATATAATCAGTGCATAGTTTCAAACCTTTTAGTGTTCTCAAGTTAAACGTTACTAGCTCAAAAACCATTTATTTTTTAATTTCAGGAGTGATAAAGCCAAAATAGGCTTAAATTCTGTTAAACCATTGATAATGCTCTGGTATGTCAAAATAATCCATATATATATGTATGTGTGTGTATATATATATATGTATATATATATATGTATGTATATATATGTGTATATATATATATGTATATATATGTATGTATATATATGTATGTATATATATATATGTATGTATATATATGTATATATATGAGCAAATGTGTTAATAATTATGTAATTCAGCTTTAGAAACTGCATTTTTTTAAACGGATGGTAAAACCTTTCTCTAAGCAACTGGAAATTATCCTCTTAAGTGCCATGTTCCTAGTGGGGCAAAAAGCACTGGACAGTACATTAGGCTCCATCTTGAAAATGTGAAAATGACAGGCATTTGTTTCTGAATGTATGTTTCATTGATCCTTTATTTAAGAAAAGCTGAACAGTAACTTTCCATTACATTTATCCCATGACACATAATCTCAGCTGTGAGAATTAGTAACAGAATAAATGACAAATGATGGGAAAAGATTGACAGATGCTAGTAATTGTGTGCACTACTTTGGTTATTCTATTCTATCCAGACTTCTATATTTCATTTTGTCATCCTTTATACATTAAGCCTATTCATCCATCTTGTCGAAAGATGGAAAATTACGTAAATGGGTTATTCGCCTGTATTAGCACTGATAGAATAAAAATGAGCATACCGTCAAAAGTATATATTAGAGCTCATCAGAAGTAATATGGTCTGCAATACCTCTTGTCTCCCAGGAAAATCAGTATTTTCTTGGGCAGAGTGTTCCAAATACTGAAGAAGAGTTCTTTTCATCTGAAAACTTTAGACAATGGGAAAAGTTAATAGCATGTCTACCTTCAGGAAAGTGTACATGTTAAATATAACACATATTTTCTAAATTATGCAGCAGATAGCTGACATTTCTGAGAAAATATTTCCCCCATATAAGAATATTTTTTAAAAATAGACAAAAAGTTAGCTATTCAATCTAATTGGGAACTGGGACAACTAGTACTCTCCTATTTTATAAATATAATAAAATAGAAAATTGCCTGTAGCATGACCTGGAATTCTGTGTAATTACTGCTTTCAAGATAGATATCATAGAAGTCATATTCTAATCATGGTAATTCAGTGTCACTGATCTTCCAACTCTTTGTCAGAGTCTCCTTGTAACTACCATTAAGTATAGCACTTTTTACGAAAAAATTAATTTATATCTTACTTGATGATATTTCCCATTTTCCTCAACAAGTCAAAACATGCTTTCATTGTTTTAGTGTCCTGGAAAGCATTCCCATATTTATTTGGTTAAATGGTAAAGTCTTTTAAAATATTGATAAAAATATTTACACAATACTATAGACTGCTTTTTAAAGGAAATGCAGGAAAAGGAAACACAGAATTATGAGTTAACAACCTTTTTTGTATTATACTTATTCCATTATATCATTTGGTGAAATTCTTAGTGAAAGGTGACATAATAAATCAGACACAAAACATGCCATCCGGGATTTCAAATGCCATGAGTTTAGGGACAACAGTTTTATTTATGGATGTGTTTACACTACCACACTGCACACAGAAAGAGGGTATAAAAGTTGTTCAGGCTGGGCGTTGTGGATCATACCTGTAATCCCAGCACTTTGGGAGGCCGAGGTGGGCACATCACGAGGTCAGGAGTTCGAGTCGACCAGTCTGACCAATATGGTGAAAACCATCTCTACTAAAAATACAAGAAAAGTAGCCAGGTGTGGTGGCGCACAACTGTAGTCCCAGCTACTCAGGAGGCTTAGGCAGAAGAATCGCTTGAACTCAGGAGGCAGAGGTTGCAGTGAGCTGAAACTGCACCACTGCACTCCATCCTGGGCAATAGAGGGAGACTCCAGCTCAAAAAAAAAAAAAAAAAAAAAAAGTGTTCAATGAATAAATGAATGGACTACCGATGATATACACAAGGCAGAGAGTGACAGGTGACTTCCAAGTACTTTTATTAAGGAGCTTGCATATATGAAGAGATTTTGTTCTCTGCTGAGGGGTTCACAAGAATGATGGCTATATTCACATGCCCAGCTACTTCCTCTCATCTCATCCTCCTCAGTCCTCTCTCACCTAATTGGATGGGTAGATTTGACTAGAGTTTCTCAGAGAACTACTATTGGGTTTCTCCTTTTCGCTAAGACAAACTATTCTGTGGAGATGTCAGTTGAGAATGACTGAGTTAGTATAGAACTGACTGACTTCTAGAAAAATGCTGAAACAACCAGGTTCTAGTACTATATTTTAAATGGAAGCCATAAAAGAAGAATGATGTAGCCCCACAATAAAGGCTTCTGCTCCCCTGTAAGTAAATGAAATAGCATGATCTGTGCAATGAAATACAGCACTGTCACCATGATCAACAGTCCTCATTTTATAGAGAAGCAAATAACTATTAAAAAGTTTTTATTACAATTTAAACGTTATAGATGTTGTTCTATGTTTTGTCCGTATATTTTGTGGGCCTGATATAGGGTGGGAGGGTGTTGTTTTCTGTTATTTTCTCATATCATGCATCAGTGGAACTTTGAAAAAAAATTATCACTGAATTTTTGCAAATATTTGTAAATACTTTTAAATACAATTAATACAGTTAAATGCTGACTCTTAAGTTCTCAATTCCAAGCTTACTTCTTATTCTCTTTTTACCACCCATGCTTGCTCCAATATTGCTCCAACAAGACACCATCCAGATATATATTTCTTCCTTGGGATTGGAGCTGTGCCCAAACTTGAGTCTGGAGCCCTGCCATTATCCTGTGAGACAGACACCCCTGATGCCAGTTACCTGTCTGGATCTCTCCCAGGTTCCCTGATGCAGTGGTTGGCCTTCCCATTGAAACTCAACTGATATTCCTTCTGGGATTTAGCCCCTGTTAATCATCTACTTGCCTCTCACCAATTGCCTGTCACCAAACTTTGGAAATCTGTGGTTGTCAAACTTCAGTGTACATCAGAATTGCCTGGGGAGCTTGTCAGAGGTACATATCCTAGGGCTCCAACACATTCTGATTTAGGTAGATGGGGCTAAGGAAAGCACATTTTTAACAAACTACAGACGGGCTGATGCAGATACAGATGATCCTCAGAACAGACTTTAAAAACATCTTCTATTAAGAGTCTGTTTTAACTGTTTGGGAAGACTTTGTTCGTGGCAACTGTCCCCTCCACTAGCATCAGCCCTAGCACAGCCAGTATTGCCCAGTTCTCTTTCTCAGGACTCTTGGAATGTTTGGACCATCACATTACCTACACACCTCACATGCTGCTTTGAATGTTATTTTTTGTCCTATAGGTTCTGGAGATACTTTGAGTAGAGGGGTACATTCTAAACAGCAAGTAATACCATGATCCCATGACTCAAGTAGGCCTCATTATATTTCAATTGTAACTCCACACTGTTCTTGTCTCAGTCATTCCCTGAAACTGCAATTAATTGTAATTCAACTTCTCCAACCTGGAACCATGACATTTAGATGGCACACTAAACAAAACGTACTGGTCACGAAACACCTTCCAATCCAATCAGCATTTTCATTTGTAGAAAAGAAATCTAATTACATTGCTACAGCTCTAGGTTGTGAGGTTCAGCTTTTTATAACTTTTGGCAGAACATATGTGAAGATGGTGTGAAATTGCTTCAGGATATTTTCCTTTTGTGAGAAATCGCAAGTCTCATAATGCAAGCCAATTATTTCTCAGGGGTTATTATGGTAAAAGCAACAGTTATTCTACAATATTTTTAATAGTCATATGATATGCCACAAGTGTTGCTGAATTTATAAAACTTTTTATTTATATAACTTATTCAATAGCATGCTTACAGAGTAAGGACACGAATCAATACGCTTATCACTTTAATAGGAAAGAAACCAAAAGGAGGTATCCTGAGAATGATTTTTTCACTATTCACAGTACTATTAGTTGCCATGGATGCCAGGGGAAGAAAAGACTGTTTCAAAATTGATCAATATGAAATACATCACTTTTGTCTGTGAACAAAATAGGCAGCATGATGTACTTCGTTATATGTATATATTGGGCTCTTAGAGATTTTAAATATTCTATCCGTTTTACCCTGTACACTTATACAAAATTATCAAATTATGAATCCTGTTTTTGGAACCATTTTACATATCATGGAAGGAAGATTGTATTGTGTGTCTGAGGATTAAATTTTGAGGTCTGCTTTGAGACTCACCTGTTGAGTGACGATGAACAAGTTACTTAACTCTGTGGGTTTCAATTTCATCTTCCTAAAATAAGTGAGTGGGGCCATGTGATCTCAAAAATTGTTTCTGATTTGAAGTTACATGAAAGTTGTCAGAAGTCCCAGCAGAACAGATATATTCTGAAGAAGACACAGACCATGAGGGATAGATTTGAGATTTTGTGTCAATTACGAATTGTCTCTAATCCGCCATTTCTTATTTATTTATTTTCTCCCTAAGAAAATGGAGATAGCATTGCCAACTCTTGTGTTGGTTGTGAGGTTTAATGAAGATAACATTGGTAAAATAAGAGGCAAATAGTACGTGATATATTTTGAGAATTAAGCAAGTACTCAAATATTATTACCAGTATCTTAATCATCGTCATCATAATCACCATCATTGTAATTACTGGTAAATGTATTATTTTGTTGTTATGGCATTTTTTTTGTTGTTAGAAAATCATTATGGAAAGTGCAAAGCTTGGTTCAGCATGCATTAGATTGATGCAACAGTTACTGCAGTTTTTGCCATTTGAAAGTAACAGGTTCCAATAATAGGTTTTTAGCCATCTGGATGTCCACCTGAATGGCCTAAAATTTCTCTAAAGTTAGATCTGCTCTTACAACTTTTCCAGAGTTGTATTTCTTGGAGGAATTTTTAAATATTTGCCTCTGGAGGGAATTACTAGCACCGTTCATACTTCTTGAATTTTTCCGTCTCCATGTCCGTCACCAGCTAGTAACAGAAAGAACAGAAAATAAAAAATGAGATAGATAAAAAAGTTACTAGAACTTATACAAGATAGAATAAAGTTTAATTTCCAGAATGACTAGGAAAGAAACAAGGTCTATGCTATTACTCCTTGGGCAACCTGACCAATCTGCCCAAGAGACTAATTAGCTGTGTGGTGGAGATTCCTGACAAGGAGAAGGGTGTCTTTAAGGAGGACAAAAAGCTTTAAACATGTTTCTGAGTTATAAAAAATTGAATTTCTTCAACTTTAAAAAGTGAAATAGAGAGTAATACAACCTTGAATGTAGTATGTAGAGGAGAGGAAAGCCTTTTGGGAGGCCAATAAAGGCAGCGGTCTCTTTATTTTGCAATTAGCAAAGACCAAATGACTGCAAGGTAATTGACAAATCCCTAGGCACTGACGGAGGAGCTAGGTTTTATTTAATACATTGACAACAAAGCTCTGGGACTGTGAAATCTTTAAAAGGAAGCCACAAATCAATGAGAAAGGGGGATCCACTTTAAATGCTTTGCTGAACACGAGAAGTCTTTGAACTCTGAAAGACTGGACAAGAGCCTGGACTAAGAGAAGGGTAGTTTCGGAGAGTAAGGATCCTTACCGGAGAGTGTGGATTTACTAGACATCATGTGCTCATCAATTATCTTTTCTTCACCTGTCCTCTCTTCCTTCCACCATACATTTCCCTCTTCTCTTCTGCCTAACCCCAAACAGAATAGTTAGCTAAAAAGCAAAATGAGCAGTGGATTAAAGAAAAGTTATTGAGAACGACTAGCCTAGCTGTTGAAGAGATATTTTTTTCAATATACATACAATGTGAGAATACAAATAGATAGGTAGATGGATAGATACATAGATATAGAGGCAGCAGAGAGAGAAAAGGGAATGCAAAAGAAAATTAATGGGATTTTACTACATATATATGTATGTATGTATGTGTATATATATATATATATATATATATATATATATATATATATATACACACATACACACTTTTGTATTTACATTTTACCAACCCTATATATTGTGAGATTTTTAGACTCATTGCCAGATTTGTTTTTTTTAAAAAGAATTTCCAATGTTGTTTTAATTTACACTAATTTGATTATCATTACTGAATTAAACAGATTTTATGAATGTCTTGTAAGCTACTTTTTTTTTCCTGTGTAGGCTTTGCATAAGTGAATGCTTGCATATGCATCAAAATGTTAATCACAGATAGATCTGTGCGATATAATTGAATAATGAGTTACTTCATTTTGCTTACTTATACCTTTAATCTTTTTATCCATTTTTGCCTTTTTAATAAAATGAGGAGATGAACAATAATGTTCATTTGTCTTTATATTTGCCAACCAACTGTAATGCATTGGGAACTGAGCTAGCAGCTGGAAACAGAGGCACAAGTAAGACATAGTGTCTGTTCACTTCAAGCCCATTAGCCAGAGGGAGAATGGAATGAATATTATAGCATGAGTATTTACAAGTTGTGATTTAAAAAAAAAAGCAAAGCAAAATAATAATTAAATACTAATGGGAATAACTGCTTCTCAAAGAAAAATAAATGAAATCTGAGCTGCAAAGAATGTGTTAGAATTTGACAAAACTATGTACATAGCTGAAGAAAAAGGGCATTTCAAGAAGAGGAATCCTCATGCGTTGAGAGCACACATTTTTATACATATGGCAAGGCTGATGAATTACAAATTTATTGTATGTGGTGGCATATAGAGTAATTGATGGGAAGTTTATTTTAGAAGACTTAAAACAGGGAGGTATGCAGCAGGTTAAAAAAGCCCCAAACCCACATTTCAACAATACCAAGGAGATTAAACTTGCTCTGTAGGCCCTGGGAGGAGGATCACTGAGTGACCTTATGTTGGAAGTGACATGATCAAAATTGCAACACAGAAAGATCTACTCCAATGTTATGCACGATAGATTGGTGAGTGGAACTGTATATAGTGTTGTTAGTATCTCAACTGATAATGACTGTGCAGCTAGAGAAGATTAGGTCAGAGAACGATTTCAATACAATTTCTAGCACTTTCTGACTGATTGAGCATGAAACTCAGGGAGGTGTCTGGAATAAATCCACAAGTACTCATTTAGTTGAATAGGTAAATGGTAGTGCCTCTCCTAAGAATAAAAAAAAAAAAAAAAGCAAGGGAATGCACTTATTCTGAAAGGAGAAACATAATAAGGCATAACAGGTAGAAACAGCTACAAGACAGTAAACATGTGATGTTATGTGATGGAAATAGTGACTTAGGAGCCTGATTAAGTACAAATTTATTTATTTGATAGGTGATTTGGCAGTTTTAAAAGCTAAAAATATAGTAATACTATTATACAAGAAAATATGCGAGAATAAAAATTGAGAGGGCTGAATGGGTACCTTAAGAAAATATTTAAGGACCCAGATGAACAATGAAGGCAATACAAGCAATCTGAAAAGTCGTCAGAGAGGTAGAAGCAAAATCCACAGAGAATGTTATTAAGAATCCCCAAAGAGGGTTAATTGGCAGTGTCAACCACTGTACAATGTTGTATAAGAATTGCAAAAAATCATGTTGGAATTGGTAATTAGATTGTCATTAAAAGCATGACACTAGTATTTTTGGGACAGCCAATTTGATTAAACAGGATTCTAATAAGATGAAGAAGTGAACGGAAGACAAGAAGGTGATAATTTTTCCAAGAAATTACTTACAAAGGATGGAGAGAATTAAGTTACAATGGGAAATGGAGAATTGAGGGATTTTCTTCTTGCTTGTGTTTGTTTGCTTGCGTAGTTATTTTTTAGAAGTGAAAGAGCCTTATGCATGTTTGAAATTTTCTGAAAAGGATTCAATATTTGTTTCTTTTATTACTAAGTAAACTGTAAATATGAGGTCAGAGTCTAGAGCAAAAACACACAACAGACCAAAAAATACATGTAATTACTCCTAACCCCCTTCTTGCTGTCTCTCTTTTCTTTCTCTCCCACTTCCTCCTTTGCTCCCTGCTCCTCCTTTTCCCCATTCTTCTCCTCTACCTCCTTCTCCTATTTCACCTGATACTAGAATTCCTCCTTTCTCCTCCCCTCCATTTCTTTTCTTCCTCTTTCACTTTTCTTTTTGTTTGCAATTCATTGTTATGTTCCAATGTTCAAAGTATTTGTTGCCATTTACTATAAAACCTGTTAGGGGAGTTGGTTTGGGAATTATAGCCTATGCTTTAAAATCCTTTGTCTATCCTAGTATAGATTTCATCTTTCCTAAAATTGTTGTCATATGATAGGAACGATTTGTAGCCAACTCTTGCCACCAGAGTAGATGTTGGGAAATCTCTTTGCAATTTGTTTTTGAAGCTGGCCAGTGAGTACCTGGCTCCAATCAACCCCTACAGTTATTATGAGGGTGTACAAAGGCAAATTTAGATACTCGGTTTTCACTTTATTGATATACCTATAGGGATGATAATTAGTACTTTCATTTGCATAGTTTTTAATTGTCCTAAATGAGCACATATAACTTATGTAATTGTGACATTTTATGAAATAGTTTCATTTATATAAATTTGTTTTCAAGTACTGTGTATTTTACAGTTAGAACATGTTACAGTGTTTATTTGAAATGCCTAGTGAAAAGCGTAAGTAGTAGAACCAAGAATTACTCAATGTGAATTCAGCTAAAATCAGGCTAAGTCAGTTTTGAATACTGTTTTTTTTAACCTGTAAACAATAATAATTATAAGAGTTAAATATGCAAGTATGTATTTACTTTAGGTCCCAAAACAATAAAATAGTTTTTGTTACATCATCCAAAGTTAAATGTTTAGAAATTAAAGATGTTTCTGCTCATCAAAGATATCAATTAATATAATCATATGATTCTTTTTTACCCTGTTGATATGGCATATAACATAAATTGATTTTCATATTTTGAATCAACCTTGCCTAGCTGAAATAAATCCTACTTGATGATGGTGTATAATTCTTTCTACACATTGTTGAACTCAATTTGCTAATATTTTGTTGAGGATTGTTTGCATCTGTGTTCATGAGAGAGATTGGTCTGTAGTTTACATTCACTCTTCTATAATATCTTAATTTGTTTTTGCTGGTAGGGTAATGCTGACCTCATAGAATGTGATAGGAAGTTTGTCCTCTGTGTGTATTTTCTGAAACAGATCCTGGAAAATTGGTATCATTTCCTACTTAAATATTTGGTAGAATTCACCAATGAAACTATCTGGACCAGATGCTTCATTTTTTGGAAGGTTGGAAGGTTATTAATCATTTATTCAATTTCATTAATAGATATGGGCTTAATCAGATCTATTTTTCTTTGAATTTTGGGCATTTATATCTTTCAAGGAATTGTATTAATTTTACCTAAATTATTAAATTTGTGGGTATAGAGTTGTTTGTTGTACTCTTTTGTTATTATTTTAATGTCCATGGGAAAATTACAAAGGGCCTAGTTTTTATATCTGGTATGGATAATTTTTGTCTTCTATCTCTCTCTCTTTATTAATTGTTTTTTATTTCATTGCTTTTCTCTGTTTTCCCATTTTCACATTTATTGATTTCTTTTCCAGTTTTAATTGTTTCTGTTCTTCTGCTTGATTTAAGCTTAAATTGCTTTTATTTTTTTAATTTCCTAAAGTAAGGAAGATTAGATTATTAATTTTAGATCTTTCATGTTTTGTAATATATGCACTACTCAATTCTAAAACCATAATTTTATTTCAGTTTTCAATATGTCAAACAATTTGAATATATGACAGGGAGTACAGACCCCTGTAGAATTATTGAGCTTTACTTAGGAACAGGAAAAAAACAATTGGTAAATTTCAACACTTTTGTTGGAGGATGATGCAGAAGAATCAGAGGACATTTCAGCTGCTCTGACTTTTGATAGTATAGGAATACTCTGTATGGTAGACCTGAATTTATCTGTAAAATTATTTCCTCCACATATTTCATGTTACATTCAATGAAACAGAGGCTAGTTACACTCAACAAAGCAGACACTATAGACAACTAATAAAGTCTTGCATATCTGAAGAGTTGATTTTTTTATTGCTTAAAATGTTAACAGTATTCTCCAAACAACACATAACACTATCCCCCGTCTACCTCCAACTAAAGTGAAGTGCTATTAGGGTCACAGCTACAAACATTCATTTTGTTTGGCTCATAGGGGTTTAGGCTCATTTTTATTTTAGAATTCCAAATGAATTCTGACTACTTCTATGAAGATTTATTTGATGTCTATCACTGAAAGTTATTTGTCTTATTAAAATTTGATAATATATTTCTGATTGTATATAAATTTAATGAAAAGCATAATTTGTAATACAGTAGGCCATAAAAATATTCATTATTAAAATATTAATGACATGTTTTGTGTAATATACTTTCAGAAATTTAATATAAAAATGAAATTTTTAAAATTATATAATTATGGTAATATTCTCTTACTAAAAATACTTCCTTAAATGTTTATCTGCCATTAACCTATGGTACAAACTTCTTACTATTATTAGATATTTACATTGTTTATATTTTTCACTATTATAAACAATATGTCAAGGGACCAATATTCATGAGAATGTCCCTGTAATATGTCTGAAATATGGAAAAGCAGTATGAAACAGTACGAAAATCCTAAGGCTTTGAAAACATAAAGCTAAATTTCCCCTTATACATTTTTATTTTATAGCTTAGATGATACTTATAAGAATCTTTAAATGTGTTTTCATTCTCAAGGAAGAAATAAATTTCATTGTTTATTAATTTGAATTTCTTAAATTATTTCTGAATCAAATATTTTTTCAAAGGTTTCTTGGCCATATGTGTTTATATTACGTATTGCCTGATCATGTGGTTTAGCCATTTTCTGATGAGAAATCTGTTTTAATCACTTGATCAATACATTTTTTCAGATTTTCCTTTACTTTTTTCTAAGGAGATAGTTCCAGAGCAATGATAACTAATAGTAATGCCTTCTTAAGTAGAATCGCCATTTACTTAAGAATACAGTATTTAGGATTTTATCACAATTTAATGTTGACCCTTGGTTTGTAGTCTATAAAATTGTTATATTAATTTTACTTTTACTTTTTTAGTAATCATTGCTCTTTCAGGAATAAGAATTAAATTTTTATAATACATTTTTTACATTGAGTAAGGTCATTAAGTTGAAAATTTTCATTTATTGATCAATTAAATAATTACATTGAATTATTTTTGAATTCTTAGATGAAAGCTAAATTTATTATGCATAATTTATCTTAATATACACTTTGAATATTGTCAGAGTTCTACCTTTTGTTCATTGATAATCATGATTGAGATTTATTGAGACTGATCTGATGGTGCACGTGTTTGTGTGTATAAGTGTGCTATTTTTAAATTTTCTAAATCAACTTTTGGCTTCTGAGTCACGGTGGCATTTAAAAATGTAAAGTTTAGCATCTTTTTAATGCTCTGGAAATGTGCAAATAGCATTGCAATTATCTGTATCTTAATGAGTTGAATGAGGTAAGCTGTAATACCCTTTGAAATTTCTTTCATAATACTTGCTTTAATTCCTAAGATGTTCTGTCTATTTTTAAAACAGTATTTTATTTAATATTATATTAAAATTTATTTCACCAAAATTTGCAATTATATTACTGAATTTGCTTATAAATTTATTTCATTTATTTTTATTTTAAAAATAAATACATACGTGGGTTTTAAATGGTGAAGTAGTAAAAGTCACTTCACCACAAAAGTTCAGCTATTTATATTGTTTCTCTCCCTAGACAAAAAAAAATACACTTTCATTATTTATTAGCATAATAGTAAATAATCATATACCTCTCTCTCTTCTCCATCTCTGGTTCGTTTATCTAGATAGTATATTGTTATGCAAACAACAAAAATTGAGGCATGAGAAAAGGGAGGTGGAAGGTAATGTAATTACTTAAGATTGTGAGTTTGCCACATTTGTAACCACTGCTACACATTTATCCACCAATACGTATTACTTTGTATTGAAATTTTTGTATGTGTCTAATCTTGTACATGCTGTTTTGTACAAAACTGTCTTCTCAGAAATTTTTATTTATCTTTCAAATTACTTAAGTAGTTATTTGTAGTGATGTTTAAATCATATTTGACCTACCATTTAAAGTGTGTCCTTTCTTAAACATATAGTTTACTACTCCAAGCCTTAGTTCTATCATCTTTAAATAGTTACAGTAGAGACTCTATAAGGGCTTAGATTCAACATGTATACATGCATGAAGCATGCTCTGGTTATCTCCAAGGTATATGACCTATATTGAGGAAGAAACCCTCAGAAAACCAGAAATACTATATTCATAAAGGGGCTTCATTGAATAAATTCATAATTGCAAAGATCACCCAAGTTCAAGTGAGAGCTATCAATGTCTTATTTCTCAACTTTAAGGTTTAATGAATGCTTTAAATATTGACAAAGCAAAATTTTAGAGTATATTATTGAATTAAAATTTGTTGAAAATAAGATACATATGTATAGTATGTATCACCTAGAGCCTGGGAAATAGAATAGATTTTTGTCCTAATTTGGTTATAACCCTTCATTTTAGAAATTCAAAAGCTGACGATCAGGAATCTGAAGTGACGCCCTAATGTAAAAGTATTCATTAATAGTAGCCCTGGGAATCTAACGCCTTTCTTACTATTGGTCCAACATCCATTCCACTTTATATAGGTCTCTCTGTTTAAGTGCTTAGGTTGCCCAGGATGCTTCTTTTCTCACCATTCTGGCTAATGGTTCAGTGAAGAAAATATATAATGAGATTCTGAAATGTTGTTTAAGGTAGCCATTCCTGATAGAGCATTCCTCACATTAGCAGAGACAAAAGTCAGGAATGACGATGAGTTTTTTTTTTTCTTTGATGTATAAAAATATTGGCAAGCTAACAGATCTGTGATGTTCCATCTCTAATATTTCGCTTAAGCCTTATTGTAACAGTTGGGAATTATAAGACTCAGAAAACGATGATATGGACAAATCATTCATGTTTTGACAGCATCTCCTCTCACTGCCCGAAGATTTCCAATTATATTAGATATTTATTTACATGTGACACCAGATAAACATGATAAACAGCACTTTTTACAACGTTAGATAGTTAGGAAAGCCTGTATATTATGCTATCCAATAAGGGGAAATGATTTAACCTGTCGTTGTAATAAATAAAAATGAAAGTAGATAATGAGTTAATATATTTACATTATAAGTGCTGATAGAAAAATTAAAAATAAAACTTTACATTCTCTAATCTTTCACAAGTATTAATTACAAAATTATATTGAAAAAATAAATTATCTTGTAGTATTACTTTAATATCCACACATTGGTAGCACAGTGTATTATACATAGTCATTATTTAACAAAAATGGTGAGCATTTATTTTTTAAAATGTGCCAAAAATTCCACAAAGCTCTTTAAATATATTTCTCATTTTAAATTTTATAAGAATGGTATGATTTAAGTCCAGATATTTAAGCAACTATATAAAAAGGCTTACAGTTTTTATTTAGGGAAAACAAAATGTATAGTGTTACATAACAAATGACAATAAGGTTCAAAACTTAACGTCGTGATTCTAGAGTCCCTTTAATTTTTATACCATCTTAATCTTCAGGAAATTATTGTTGAATGACTGTGATATTGAAAATAATATGTGTGTGTGCACACACATGCATGTGTTTGCTAAATTGAGTATTTGAGTTGAAGATACCACATGCAGCTGGATAATAAGGTCTCACAGTTTCTGTTTTTTCAAATAACTTCTGAGAAGAGAAATAATAAAGAGATGGTACAAGTCCACATTGCTATAATGTTCCTTTATATAGAAAAACTTTAAATATTTTGATGTTTGTGTCTTTTTAGTAATAATTATAATGCTTATTTTTATAAAGTTAAAAAATAGAAAATCATAAAACAAAAAATAAAAAATGCATGTAATTCCACTGTTTATGTTTTATGTTTTCTGTGCAAATACATATACTGTTATCTCTCTCGTAGCATTGTTATAACTAGCTGATACACTTGAAACATTTTTTCCACGAGATAGCTGTTCTATAAAATTGTTTTTAATGTGGAATAATTTTTTTTTTCAAATATGGTAGAATGTGATAAGTTCTGTACTGTTTGGTAATTAGGATGATGGAGAGAAAGATGTGGTGTAGGCAGTCCTACTGGGAGACCTTGAGTTGGTTTCCATTCTTCCCTAAGTTTGGTAAAGTCGTTTTGCCCTTAGGCCCTTTTTAACAGGTAGCTTTTTTTTTTGTTTGGCCAAGTTTCCATTTTTAATACAGAGTAAACCAGTGGCTATGAAGGCAATGGTATTGGTAGTAATACCACTAATAATGACCAGCATACTTGTAGAGATTTTAAAATAATAATAAAACCAAATAAGGGTTGGAGTTTTTAAATCATAATGCACTGGAATTTTAAATAATGTAAATGACACAATAGTCTTCTCTGCTGACATGTGGGCCACTCACACCCACTCTTTGCTACTCACCATTATAATCACACCCCACAGCCTATCAAGTTAGAGGAAGAGCTGCATCACACACTTCTTTAAATTCCGTAGCCAATGCCACATGCTTAAGTTACCTTATTTTGCATGTTGTTTGCACATATTTCATGAAAATTTTCCAATAGGAGTAAGTCTTTGCTGTTTTAGATACTGCCTTCTACTTTATCCCTTTACTTTTGAAATTAAGGAGTATATGCCTGTTTGTCCTAGCTTTCTTACAGGAATGTCTAATGGAACAAACCCCATTTTTAAAGGTGGATAATTTCTCCTTTGTTTTATTTCTGTCGTGTTTTTTTTCCCCAGAAATATTTTGATGTTTCTGATTTTAGTTATTAGATATCAGTCTTATCACCCACCTCTAATACTGATGTGATATTTTTCTATGTTTATGTGACTTTCTTCATTTCAGTCATTTTCTAGGAAGGGCATGCTAGGTCCCTATATTCAAAATGCTGTCCTCTCCACCATGACATTTGTTTTAAAATTGATATCATGATGAAAACATAATATAGTTTTAAAATTTGACATCTTACCAAGACTATCTTAAAGACTATTTTAATAGAATATTGAAAGTGAAGATTACGAAAAGACATTAAATTTAAAATTTCAGCACTAAGTAACAGAAATCATAACCAGCCAAAGGGATGCCCTGGGCTTAGAGGCCTGATTATGCTCATGATGCAGAAAGTGGCCAAAAAGCAATTCAGCTTTCTAGGTAGGAGGCCCTTTTCCGAAAAACAATGACCGTGTGGCTGCTTCCCTTTTCAGCACCAAGGACAGTCCCTTTTGGGCTTTACACAAGCTCTACACAAGCGTTTTCCAAGTAACAAGCCTGGAAAACTAGTCCAGCAAGATACTTGGGTGGTGGTGTTTGAGGTTGTGAGGAGGTGAATGGCAAGGGGGCATATTTCAAAATTAAAAATCTGAAAAATACTGCAGATTTTACAGTAATTTTGTTGTACACACTTTATGGTAATTCTAATCCCACTAAAATGGTACTCTATGTATCAGTTTAGTAGGATACCTTGATCTTACATTCAGTGAAACATGAAAGTTACCCAAGAGCTATTTTCTTGATTCAAATGAAACAAAGAACATGAGTGAAATTCAAGAGTTATGAAGACCCTCGAATCTGCACATGAGAGATAGTGTGAGGCTTCAGGGCCTCACTGTGAACCTAAAGGATCTTGTATGGAAATGGATGCTGTTTACTTTTTAAATAGTATTTTAACAACTATGAAACCAGCTGTACCAAAAATTTAAAAGGGTTCTATCTGGAACATTCAGCAATATCAGCGTAGGTGTTTCTCCTCTGCGTAGGGGTGGGTGCGTTACAAGCGCAGCTCTTTCAGGTGATTATGGGGCTCAGTTATCTATCTTCGAGTTGGAAAATCCATCAGTACACAATGCCAGAAAACCATAGAGTCAAACTCAAAACTTTCAGCAATCAAGAGTTTCTGTCATAGTTTTTTATTGTTCATATTCTGGATTCCTGGGAAAGATTGTGACAGTAAATTTGGCATTATTATGATGACATGGCCCTCTGCCTGGCCACTGAGTGCAAGAGGTTAGCTATTCTATAAATATTTGATGTCAAACTAAGGGAAAGCTGGGAAGAAATGTTGTATTCCATGGAATTTTGTAGTAAATGAAACCTCCTTTTTCCCATGTGATTCATGTCAAGTGTTAAAGCTTAACTTATTGTCTCAAAAATACTTAAGGCCTACAGCTGATAATAACTAAAATTGGAACAAATAACAATAAAAGACTTTATGTTGATTAAAATTATATATAAATATATATACACACACACATATATATACACACACACAAACACATATATGTATACATATAATCTTAAGGGAAAGCTAGTCTATCTGGCAGAATTATTCAAACCATATCATAAGCACATATGTTTTGAGAAGTGAGCGTGTCAAAACCATGTGAGTGTGTGCCATTATGAGAAACTTTGATTATTCTTCTTATATTCAAGCTTTTACACCCTGTTAATAGAAAGTGCATCAAATTTATAGCAATTTATTAGATCAGTTTCTAATGATGGTTCCTGAGGTACTATTAAATCCATTTGGCACTATCATAAGAGGACAGTCAAATATGATAATCCAAGTTTGATAAAGATTGAAAAATAATTCTGGAATAGAAAACAGGGATTCTTCTTGAAATTGTTAAAGTTGGGTTTAAAATTTAAATAGAATCTCCAGTAAATCTAAAATATTTTTCCTGTTACTTTAGAAAGATTTTAAAATCAAGTAAAGCAGGGTTCTTTTACCTTGAAATTATTTGTGAGATATCTAACTTGTTATCACTGTGGAAAAACCATATAATATGACATTCACCTTTTTAACATACGTGTACAGTAAAACATTGTTAACTATATGCACTTTGTTGTAGAGCATATCTCTAAAACTTTTTCATTTTGCATGACTGAAACTCTACCCATTGAACAATGACTTTCCATTTTGCCCTGTTTCAGACCCTGGTAACCAGTATTCTACATCTGGTTCTAAGAGTTTGACCACTTTAACACCTCCCATAAGGAAAATCATGCATTTTTTGTCCTTCTATCACTGGTATATTTTGCTTAACAGAATGTCTTTAAAGTGTATCCATGTTGTAGCATATAACAATATTTTCTCTTTTCTTGCCAAATAATATTTCATTGTATGTATATATCACATTTTTTAATCCATTTATCCATTGATGGACACAATTTGTTTCTAACTCTTGTTTATTGTTAGTAATGCTGTGATGAACATGAACTTTTCTTTTTTGGGAAGTTTTTGATCACTTATTCAACTTTCTTACTAGTTATAAGTCTGCTAAGAATTTTCTTTGTAATTCAGTCTGGGTGGTTTGTAGGTTTCTAGAAATTTATCCATTTCTTTTAGATTATTCAAATTTTTCACAAAATTTTTCATAGTAATCTCTTGAAATCCTTTTTCTTTTGTGGCCTTATTTGTAATGTCTCCTGTTTTCTTTCTGAATTTATTTATTTTGAATCTTCTCTCTTTTTTTCTTAGTTTCCTAAAGGTTTGTCAACTGATTGATTTTTCAAAAAATCTCCTTAATTTTATTAATATTTTAATTTTTCTATTCTCTATTTTTTCTTATCAAGTGTTTATTATTTTCATTTTCTGCTATCTTTAGGTTTAGATCATTCTTATTTTTCTAGTTCTTTGAGGTATAAAGTTAGATAGTTTATTTGAGATTTTTCTTCTTTTATAATGTAGGCATTTGCTGCTATAAACTTCCCTTTTACTACTGCCTTTGCTACATCCCATAGGTTTTGGTCTGTTGTGCTTTATTTTTGTTTCTATCAGGATATTTTCTAATTTCCCTTTGGACAAATTGTTCCCCTTACCTTTCCCTTCTTTACGTATTAGTTATCCAAATGTGTTTAATTTTCTTTTATTTTTTATTTTTTCAGTTTTTATTCTGCTATTAATTTCTAGTTTCCTTCCACTGTGGTCAGAGAAGACACTTGCCATTATGCCAGTCTTCTTAAATTTGTTAAACCTTGCTTTATGACCTAACAAGTGATCTTTCCTGGAGGCACCTCTATTCTTCTTTGGTTATCATTTGTATGGGATATCTTTTTTCATTCTTTCACTTTTGACTAATGTGTGTTGTTAAATCTAAAATGAGTCTCTTCTAGACAGCCTACAGTTGAATATTATTCTTTGAATCCATTCAACCTCTCTAGGCTTTTTTTTTTAAGTGGGAGTTTTATCGATTTACACTTAAAGTAATTACTGATAGTAATAATTTACTTTTGCCATTTTATTCAATGTTTTCTTGCTGTCCATCTTTGTCAGTTTGGGCTGCTATCACAATTTACCATAGAGTGGGAGACTTAACTAATAACTATTTTTCGTAGTTTGGAGGCTGGGAAGTCTAAAATCAAGGTACTGGTAAATTTAGTGTCTGGTGAGGGCCCACTCTTGGTTGCAGACGGTCATCCACTCCTTGTACCCTCCCCAAGTGGAGAGTGAAAGGTGAGATCCTGCATCTTCTTCTGTTTTTAGGTGGTCATTAATTCCATTCAAGAGAGCTCCACCCTCATGACCTAATTACACTCCAAAGGCCCCACCTCTACATAGCATCGTATTGGGAATTGAGAACTCAACATATGAATTTAAGAAGAACATAAACAGTTCATATCGCTGTCTTGTAGCTTTTTTACCCTCTCCTCTTGCTTCTTTTCTGTTTTATTGAATTCTTAGTAGTGACATACTTTGATTCCTTTCTCATTTTATTTTTCATATCTTATGTCTATATTTTCTTATGATTACCATACATAAAACACCTTATCATGGTAACAATCTGTTTTAAGTAGGTAACAACTTAACTTGAATCACATACAAAAACACTACACTTTTTTTCTCCCAACGGACTTTTTTACATTGATGTCACAAGTCACATTTTTTTATATTGTGTGTCAATTGACCTATTTTAATCGTTGTAGTTATTTTTATACTTTTTTGTTAACTCCTACTTCAGAATTAAAAGTTATTTATACATCACCATTACAGAATTACCATATTTTTATTTATCTATAAATTTACCCTTATCAGTGAGCTTCATACTTTTACATGCTTTCATGTTGCTGTCTTGTGTCCTTTTATTTTAACATGAAGAGTTCCCTTTAGGATTTCGTGGAAGGCAGGTCTAATGGTGATGTACTCCTGCAGCTTTTGTTTTCCTGGAAAAGTCTTTGTTTCCCCTTCATTTCTGAAGGATATTGTTGTTGGTTATGGTATTTATGTTATGGCTGGCGGTTTTTTTGTTTTGTTTTTGTTTTTGTTTTGTCCCCAGCACTTTTACTATATCATACCAAGTCTTTCTGGCCCACAAGGTTTCTGCTGATAAATCACTGATAGTCTTATGAATATGTATGTGATGTGGTGAGTTGTATGTGATGAGTTGCTTTTCTCATATTGCTTAGAAATTGTTTTCATTATTTAATTTTGATAATTTTATTATCGCGTATATCAGCGTGGGCTTCTTTATGTTCATTTCAGTTCTAATTCACTGGGTTTTTCAAATCTGGACTTTCATTTCTTTCCCCAGATTTCAGACCACGTTAGCCAATACTTGTCCAAGTAAGCTTTCTGGCCCTTTCTCTCTTCTTCTTCGTCTGGAACTCCCGTATTTGTTCATTTGATGGTATACTTTAGATCCTTTGGCTTTCATCCCTCTTTTCCATTTTTTTTTTCTTTTTATTTCTCAGGCTGGATAATTTCAAATGACCTATCTTCAAGTCTGTTGATTTCTTTCTTTGGATTGATCTAGAAACTGTAGTGAATTTTTCAATTCGGTCATTGTATTCTTCATATCCAAAATTTTGTTTTTTGTTGGTTGCTTTGTTATTAATTTCTATCTTGCTGATATTCTCGTTTTGTTCATGCATTGTTTTCTGAGCTTATTGGTCATCTTTTTGATGGTTATTTTGAATTCTTTGTTATGTAATTTATATACATCTATTTCCCTAGAGTTTGTTTCTAAAAATTTATTTTGTTTCTTTGATTAGGCCTTATTTCTATTTCTTTACATGCCGTGTAACATTGTGTGGGGATCCATACACTTTGAAAAAACCTACCTCTCTGAGTCTTTATGGACTGGCTTCATTCAGAGAAAGACCACCCCCAGCCTGCCTGGCTAGAGACTCTGAGGGCTTCTCAAATCTTTTATACATGTGGTCTTTTCTCCAGGCTTGTGCACGTAGTTTCTCTGTTGAAGAGGCTTGTCAGTTTCTTTCTCAGGAGGTTGTAGTCTCTTGCTCTCTCTGGTGTCTGTCTGTGGTATTGCAGGTTCTCTGATACTGTCATAAGCTACTGACCTCTCTTGTGCTCTGTAACCTTCAAGCATACAAATTATGCCAGCTCCCATCAGGACTCTGAGTCAGATAAGACAGTAATCAGTACCTCAAACAGTCCCAGAAAAGCTGAATATCAGATGCACATTCTACTCTACTTTTTCCCTCCCAAGAGAGAAGCCACAAACCAGGCATTTAATCCCAATTGTGGTGAATTGTGCTGGTTTCTGTGTGGTATGATGTGTAGTCCAGGGCTTCAATAAGCTGCTGAACTCTCTTTTGATCTCTGTGGACCCCAGACATTCAAGGTATACCAGTTAACTCTCAGTGCTCCTAGTCAGTCCCTTGGGCAGCTTCCCAAAAATGATGAAATATATGATGTATGTTCTACTCTTCTCTTTCCCTCACAAGAGAACGTAATGTGTGTGTGTGCGCGTGTGTTTTCCTACCAATTGTGAGCAGTGCTGCGTTAGGAAAGGTGCTCTCTTGTTTGAAATAAAATAGCATTTTTGCCCGTTTCAAAGCAACTATTCTTGGCTTTGAGGTTGCATGGAGTACTGCCACTTCCTGACTGATTTCTAAAGTTCTCATAGAGGCTTTTTGGTCCATATACTGTTGTTAGATCAGTGTTCCTGTGGGGGAAAAGGTCTGGAATAGTCTATTGTGTTATCATGGTGACATCCATAAACTCTTCTTGTTTGAAGTTTTTCTTTTTTTCCAGGTATACTATTTTTTTTTTTACTTTATTTTTTTTCAAATTTTATTTTAGATACAGTGGGTACATATGAAGGTTTGTTACACTAGTATATTGTATCCAGGTAGTGAGCATATAGCCAATAGGTAGTTTCTTGAACCATTCTCCCATTCTTTTCTTTCTTGTCTAGTAGTCTCTAATGTCTATTGCTCCCATATTTATGTCCTTGGATGCTAAATGTTCAGCTCCCACTTATAAGGGAGAACAGGCAGTAGTTTCCTTTTCCTGCATTAATATATTCAGGATTATGGTCTCCAGCTCCATTTATGCTGCTGCAAAGTACATGATATCATTCTTTTTATGACTGTGTAGTATTCTGTAGTGTATGTGTACCACACCCAGTCCCCCACACTGGCGGACATCGAGATTGGTACCATGTTTTTGCTATTGTGAATAATACGGTGGTGAACATACAAGTGCATTTGTCTTTTTTGCTGAATGATCTATTTTCTTTTGGATATATATTCAGTAATGGGATTGCTGGGTCAAACAGTAGCTCTGTTTCCTAAGTTCTTTGAGAAATCTCCAAATTGTTTTCCACCGTGCCGAACTAATTTACATTTCCACAAACAGTGTATAAGTGTTCCCCTTTTTGTACAAACTTGCCATTATTTCTGCTTTTTTGACGTTTTATTAATAGCCATTCTGACTGGTGTGAGATGGTATCTTACTGTGGTTGTGACTTGCCTTTCTCTGATGATTAGAGACAGTGAGCATTTTTTCATATTTGTTGGCTACACGTATGCCTTCTTTTGAGAAATGTCTGTTCATGCCCATTTTTAAATGAGGTTATTTGTTGTTTTCTTGTTGATTTGTTTAAGTTCCTCATA
This sequence comes from Homo sapiens, assembly GCF_000001405.40. Taxonomy (NCBI): domain Eukaryota; kingdom Metazoa; phylum Chordata; class Mammalia; order Primates; family Hominidae; genus Homo; species Homo sapiens. The sequence goes on along the minus strand of NC_000002.12, from coordinate 76,952,324 downwards.
GGTTCTGGATATTATAGCTTTGTTGGAGGCATAGTCTGCAAATATTTTCTCCAAATCTGCAGGCCATCTGATTATTCTACAAGAGAAAGAAATACATGTCATTCAAACAGGAAAATAAGTCAAACTATCTCTTCCCTGTCAATATGATCCTATACCTAGAAAACCCTAAAGACTTTGCCAAAAGCCTACTATAGCCTACTATAGCTAATATCTACTACAAAGACACATGCACACCTATGTTTATTGCTGCACTGTTGACAATAGCAAAGACTTGGAACCAACCCAAATGCCCATCAGTGATAGACTGGATAAAGAAAATGTGGCACATATACACCACGGAATACTATGAAGTCATAAAAAATGATCTCATGTCCTTTGCAAGGACATGAATGAAGCTGGAAGACATCATTCTCAGCAAACTAACATAGGAACAGAAAACTAAACACTGCATGTTCTCACTCATAAATGGGAGTTGAACAATGACAACACATGGACACAGGGAGGGGAACATCACACACTGGGGCCTGTCAGGGGGAGGGGAGCAAGGGGAGGGAGAGCATTAGGACAAATACCTAATGCATGCGGGGCTTAAAACTAGATGATGGGTTGATAGGTGCAGCAAACCACCATGGCACGTGTATACCTATGTAACAAACCTGCATGTTCTGCATATGTATCCCAGAAGTTAAAGTAAAAGAAAAAAATTATCTATTATCTGAAGGTTTGAGCAGCAATTTCTTATAGTCAAACAAACCTTGAAATTTTTAAGGTTCACCTCTCTTACTGTGACAATAAAGGCTAGGTAAATATTATTTGGAACAAACAAAAAAAAGATGTGGTCCAGTGACCTGCTTTTCTTTAATTAATAGAGAAAGACATTTTGTCATTATGAAGAGTAGAGTTGAAACTCTAGGTTAACGGTAATTATCTTTTAAAAGAAATAAATTGTTTTTTTATAGACTCCGATACCTAGAAAAAAGTGACTGAAAGAGAAGCCATCCTTAAGAATAGCAGTTCATACTCTCCTAATCATTATACGTCTTTCATATTTACCATTAAATTTCATACATGTTGACAAGTTAAATCACAGGACAGATATTTTTACACTGCTAATCACTTCAGCTTTATTGTTCCTTGATGCTTATAAGTTTACTTTTAAAATTTAGAACAAGACTTATAATTTTTTCCAACTATTATTCAGAGCAGCCAATCTATCATTTGACTTTTGTATAAACCTTCTGTGAATAACATCATCATTAAATTACATGTGCTACACTTACTGTATTTATTTCCTCCTTATGATAGAAAACATTAATATGCAGATCTATTCTTAAATCACATTGATGGATTCCTCCTCCAAAGTGTTGAAATGAAGGAAAACAGGCTGCACGTGAATGCATCTGTCTGGTTTATTTGAAGACACATTGTCAGGAAAACAATGAGGTTTTTCTGACATCTCGGAAACTCTAGTTCATTTTAGCCTAGTCTTAATATGGCTGAATCTAGTCTTAATATGGCTGAACCCTTTCTAAAAAGTACCTACAACTGCTCTTGAGTATCTGTTTTATTTTTGTAAGTATTAGATCAGATTTCACTATTTCCTCTTTTCAACATTAAAAATGCTTTCATAGGGCCCTAATTTAGCCAAATGCAGAATGTAGTGTTTGTTTACAACTGTTTGTAAAATCTATTATCTGAAGTTTTGAGCAGCAAATTCTTATAGTCAAAAAAAAATCCATATTAAGCAGATGAGTGAGTATTCATTTTGATTAACCAGAGGACACATTTTTTCCTAAACTTTTCAATTCAGATACAATATTCATTTTTCCTGTTTTGAAGGTTAATAAAATTTTCTTAAATAACTCCCTTTACTTTGCATTAGACAAAGTTTGGAAAGTACAGGCAGGGATGATTTTCTGACATATGCTTTGTTAAGTTGAGATGCATAAGTGTGAGTGAGGTTATAGTGTATTTGTGTCTGACTCCATCCCAATACCTGAAGTGCCCTAGGAAATACGCCTTCCAGGATATGTGAGCTAAAATGTAACATTACCATAGAGACCTTTGAGGTGACTTTTAATATATGTATTTAGACTACTTTTCAGAACTGGTGGTTGCTCTTGTTTTCTGGCAGAGCTATTTAAGGATTACTGAGTTCCCAGTGAAATGCTCTGAAGTGTTTGGGAGGGCTTGCTTAACTATTTTTCCTATGTGTCACCATTACCACTACTGTTTTCATAATTTGTGAATTCATTTCTCTTTGTTTGAATCATGGCCTCTACTCTCACTCATTCATGTCCAAGCTTATGCATCTTACTGTTGTCTTATTACTTTTCACCAGTTTTATATATTTTGTCTTCTATCTTATCTCTACTTTTCCTGCATTTTGCTTTTCTCATGGCTCTTAATTTGGCTATAATGGGACTTAGCCTATGATCTTGACCAGTCAATTATAATGCTGCTTACCTCTTCTCTGTTGAAATAATCATTGCATTTTCTGTGTTTTCTTAATGTCATCATCAAAATATTTTTACACCAAAATCAATAATGTGATTTAAACTATCTTAATGTGTTTGGTGATGCAAAATCTGTTAGGTGGGAGTAAATTATAATTACAGAGAAGTAACACATTTTACAGATACATTAATTGAAACACAGAGGAACTGGATACCAGAGAAGAATCTGAGATCTTCCCACTGTATCCTGTGGCCACTGAGCATCACCATTTCTCTGCTAGTATTTTTGGCACGTTTTTCATGCCACCTTCAACAGCTGAAATTTCTCTCATCTATCAAGTCTGGCTGAAAATGTTATCTCTTCTATGAAGTGTTCTGTGAACTATTCAAGCAGAATAAATTGTTCTCTCCTTGGGGTACTTTATTCCATTCCCTAGTAGAACAGGGTTTACCTTGCATTATATTGAGCTCTGTATTGCTCTGCATCTCCTTTATTGTGAATTCCATGAGAGCGAATTCCCAATAAAGCAGCCTGACTTCTTCATACTTCTTCATATACTTCATCCTCACGTATCCCATGTGAAAGAGCCAGAAACTTGATAACTATTCATTTATTTGAACTCATTTTCTAATTGTACCCAGGTTCAGTGTTGAGGATTTCTCCAATAACTGAAGAGAAATAGATGTAAGCTAATTCTGAAACAGAGATTCTGTAATGTAAGCAAGAGAGGATTGGATGTTTCTGTATTTTTATTAGCTAAAGCACTCTTTATTTTCCCCAAAGCACTCTATTTCTCTTAATTGTAAGAAGAGTATGGATTTTGGTGCAAATACGGAATATTCACTAGGGAATTAAATCTATCAGTCATTTAAAACAAATATGGCTTTTGTAAAGACATACTCACTATAGGATCCAAATCACACATATAGCTTTATCAAAATCAGTAAAATATTTAAATGAAATCCACCAAATGTATATTCCTTCTCATAAAATGTACAAAATCTAGTTATGATTAATAGCATTATTATGAGCCCCAAATTTCATTATTGAGTATTGCTGAATTTACTTGCAGTTCAATGTTTAAATGTAGTAAGATTAAAACTATTCAATGAGTCCTTATAACTTGTGGCAAATCATTATTACTTCCTCCAGTTGCTATTGTAATATTATTAATCATAATGAATTCTTTTGAAATTCAGTGGCGCAGCAATATATTATTCCATAGGCATTTCTACTCTAAATTATCTCTGGTGGTTTAGATGTATAAGAGCTGTTATTAAGTTACCATATAACACCTGCAGAATCATAATCAGCCCAAGAAATTGATTCCAAATGAAATTACTCTTACCAATTCTACTGGAAATGGATATCAAAAAAATATGAAAAGAGATGACACATCCTAAAATGAACTATTTCTAAATAGTGTAAGACTATTACATTTTCTTTGCAAATAGGCCCAACACATTTCAATGAAAGAAAAACACTAAAAGGCAAGACATTTGTCTTCACCTGACAAAACCCACATGAGTTCAGTCATGTTGGTTACACACCTCTCCATTCTAATTAAATATTGAACAGGATTTATGGGGACAAAATTGTGGCATCAAGGTAAATTTGTCATCACTTCTATCTATAAAGTTGTCTGCTCACAATAACAAATACTGTGGGAGAAAGAAACAAAAGACAGTCCTACTTTTTTTGTCATTGAATAGACTTTCCACTTGGTGATGTGGATTACTTGCTGTTGCCGTGAAACTCGTAGATACGATACTATTTGGGAATCTCTCTCTTGACTCAAAGCTTCTTTCTTCTCCATCCTGTTACAAAGAAAATAGTTTGAGGATCTGCAAAATGAGAAAAATGTAAAAGCCCAGCTCAGAGCATGCAATTAAGAAAGATGCTTCAGTCCAGAGTAGAAGGGAGGAAAATCAGGATATTTGGGCAGCTTCTAATTTCTTTTTGATTTGGGGAGTCGCCTTGCAATTTCTTTCTTTTGCTTGGGCTCTGATAAGAATCTGCTGTAAATGTGCCTATTCCCTCAAAACAAATAATGAAACACACACTTTCAATGTCAAGTATAAATGATTTTATGGTTAGTGGGTGTATTGTATTAACCATACTGCTATTCCTTTCTAATGAACAGCTGCTATCTAAAGTAGGTTATGAAAAGTAGAATGCTGTTCATATGTGTGGATATGTGTGATCATACTTGTATGCATGGGTGTATACAAATGTCTATTTGTATGTATGTTAACAAGTTTCATTTTTTTTATTTTAGTCTATACGTTGATTCCTACAAAAAAGGGTTAGATAAGATGGAGTTTAACATACATTATGAGTGAACACTAAATAACACAAATATTTTATTTTATATGATATTAATAAAACAGAGCTTCACAGAACAATTCATTATTCCCACATTATTGTATTTAGTGTATAATGACTATTCCTCATAAGAACCTGGCTTCAAATTCTTGCATGTCCACTTTACTGTCTTTGTTTTTCTAGAGAAGTTATGCAGCCTATCAAATCTAGCTTTTAACTCTCTCATCTTAAAATGAAGATAGTGTTAATAACAGGGGTACAGTGAGACTTAAATGAGAGAAGGCACAGGACATATCAGTGTAGTCTCAGGATCAAGTGCATTTAAGTAAACATTAGTTCTACTTCTACTACTACTTATTATTATCAGCTTATTACTCCATTATTCCTTCTGTTGATGTTCAGTTGACAAGGGCACTTAACATTTTAAGAGCTCCATTTTTTTCCCATTCAAATCTAAATACTTCCTTGAAATTTCAAGAACAGGAACTGAGAGTTTAAAACCCTTCCCTCTACATCTTTATTTATTGGTTCTATAATTATTCTCTTCACTCAGGCCTTCCTGGTTACACTGTAATGTTTTCAAACAAAGGAACTTGGCCTTTCTTCCTTCTGTCCAGCTGTGTATGACAAGTGTGCCTCATTTGGCAGACCAGACATATTTCAAATAATGGCGCATAAATAATTTCTTCCATATTGAATGATGCTTCAAATGATAATAATTCAATAAAATTTTACAGGAATAAAAACGTCCACTTTTTAATGTTGTATAATTTAGAAGATTACAGACCAAATTCTTACTCTAAGTATGAGTGACAATGCTATGTAACATCTGTTACATGTCTACAATGTTGTGGAAACTGGCTAGGCTTTAGGTATTCAGTTTTACTTATTCCTTCAATTGAAGCTGGCAATGCAGAAATTATTATCCTGATTTTAACCATGACAAAATTGAGTTGCCCATTGTGCATGACCTTTAACTCTGTATTTGCCACTTCACTCTCAGTTGTCTTTAAACACCAAAAGCCTGACCTTTGATATTATATCTAGTCTATAGCATCATTTCCAAGCACAAGTCGGAGTACTGGACACCTTTCCAAGAAAGCAAGAATAATGTTTATATTTATTATATATTAGTTCTTGTTTGAATGTGCCACTATAGTTATAAAAATCGTGCAAATGGGGATGTCAGCAAAATGGCAGAATACCAGGCTTCTGACTTTTCCTCTACACACGTATACACTGAACAAACGCTGACAATACCTCAATTCCCTCTAGAGATCATGCAAAAGTTTTATAAAAATGTGTTGAGTCATGAATGCATATTTATATTATGTCCATTTAGAATGATTAGGACTGTGATTTCCTTGAAATACTTACTCTGCAGAAGGATTTCTACCTTCTTTCAGGAAAGCATTTAAGTCTAGGGAAAATACTGACTTTTAAGGCATTATTATCCACAGAGACAAGATATAATGTGCCTATGTGTATGAAACTTGGCAAAATGCTATACTTTAGTGATATTGCATTGAGATTTCAAGAAGCTTGAAAAGTTAAAATATCATGGCTATTTTAAGAGAAACTCTTATTGTTTAAAGAGAATTCAGTGAAGAACAAGAATGAGAAGGGATATACAGATTTCTACAATTTCTCAATTGTGGATAAAATTATTTTTGCATACTTGAATGAATTTTAAGTCATAAACCAGTTTTGTTATGATTACAAAAGTCTACTTTTCTGTAATGATGTTTTGAAATAAATACATACACATACACACACACACACACACACTTCTACACACTCAAAATCTGAATGCTTGACATATTTCATATTTTTACTCCAAATTGTTTTCGTCTTAGACTAGTTAATGTTTCATTGTTTTTCTTTTTGTTCTTGAATTTTATTGCAAAACTTTGAATGGGGGTTGCAGTATATATATGCAGGACTTTTTCAGTCTCTAATATATATTTAGGTTAAAAAGACTTTGTAATCAAATGCTGCTTCTTTTTCTGTGGAAAGCTATTTAATATTCTGCATTGCATCATAAATCCTCTTTCTGCCAACAACTCCATTGCACATTTGCCATGATAGTTCACTCTTCATTTTCACCAATATTGCCCCATGCCTTATAGGGCCATTTTCAATCTGCTAAAATAAAGCATGATACATTTTATGGTGGTGGCATTTTCACAACAGTGAAAAAGTTGTTACTCTGAGACCGATAAATATACATTGAAGCAAATCCTATGCTCCTTAGGAAAATATGAAGAGTGTCATTTAGGCACGCTAGTTGCTTTATTTTGTGAACAATTTCTCTAGAGTTGATGTTACTTGTTTATTCTGTCTTATTTTTACAGAGATAAAAGGAAAACTATTAAATAATTACACTTGGTAAGATTCCCTTTACATACTTATATTTTGTGTGTAATATGCTGATTTTTACTTTATCTGTGACCTTGGCCAAAAAACACATACCTGTCCTAAAGCTGAATTAAAGTTTTTGAATCCTCAGATTCGGGTCCCAAATCCACGGGATAATTTCCATATTCTTCAAACTGTGTAGTTTCTTATAGCAGCCCTGGACTCGTAAAAACTTCCCAAGGAAGCTCTGTCATCTTCCTTCTTATACCTGAGCTGTAGAACACTGGTAAATATTCCTGAGTAATATAGATTTAACCTTTACAAATAGATTATTCTGATTGTTTTCTAAATCACTCCGAGACTCTTTTTACTCGCCATTTGTAAATTTCCTTCCCATTAATCTAAAATGAACTTTGGGAAGTTGAGAAGGACACTTCTCAATTTCCCAGCTGAATTTCCCTACAATCCTAATTTTCAGTAGATAAATATGACCATACTTTTAGGGAAAAAATTGAAGAGAGCAGACGAGTTTTAAATTTTTCTTTTGCCTTCTGCCCCTCCCCAGTAATTTCTCTCTATAGATGAACCTCCTTATACCTCCTTCATGATTATGTGTCATCTCCTTTCATGTTCAGAAACAATACATTCAGTTCTACTCATTCATTCACCAAAAATTTGTTGGGTAACTAATACTTATCAGGTACTGGAGAAATCACTGGAAACACAGCTGAGAACAAGATCAACATGTTTTACTGGAAAGCTTTCAATATTTTTGAGTAAATAAGTAAGTAGATGGAGAATTCAGTGTGTTTTTTGGTGCTGGGATAAGGGAAGTACAGTACCATGAGAGCCCCTAAGAAAAAATTTTATACAGATTTGAGTGTCAGAGAAGGCTGACTGAAGGAGATGACATAGGAAGATGAGTCAGGAGCATAAAAGAGAGGAATTAGGAAAGTATGATTCCAGGAGTAGTGACAGCATGTTCAAAGAAGAAACAACATGCAGAAAACACAGTGAAAGCTAGTGTGACTCGAATATCCAGAATAGAGTAAGAAGAGATGTGAGAGGCAAGCAAGGGGCAATTATGAAGGACATCACAGGTCACATTAATATCTTAGGTCAGAGAGTAGGGCGATCATATGTTTTTGGATGGCTCAATATAGAAATTGCATTGATAGTGGGCAAGACTGAAATCTAGGAGATCAATGAAAAAACTTTAAAAATAGTCCAAACAAGAGGATAATGGCACTAGGATAATGGCCCCAAGTATGAAAAGATATGGCCAGATACACAAGATGAGTAAGAGAATATGTGGAACTTTTGGTGTGGAACTGGGTGCAAACAAAGAAGATAAGCAAGACATTAAGGCTGATGCTTATATTTATGGCTTAAACACATGAGTGGATTACATGCTAATAATTCAGATGCATAATAGAGGAGAAGTAGATTTGAGACAAAGGTACTAAATTCAGTGTGTGTTGTTCTGAGGTTTAGACTCCTACAGGGTATATAACTGATGTCATTCAAAAGGCAATAGGATATAGGAGTCTGAAGCTCACAAATGTGGTAGGGTAGGGTCAAATTGTCATGGAGAGAGGAAAAAATTGTAATGAGACCATATACAGCATAAATGTAGACAACTCTTTATGGCACAATAACTGTTGCCAGTGAGTCTTTTAAGTGATGCTCAAACATGTCTGCATATTAATCATCCAGGCAGTTTTATTTAATTAATTTATTTTTTTGTTTTGAGACGGAGTTTTGCTTTGTTGCCAGGCGGGGGTGCAGTGGTGCGATCTCCGCCCACTGCAAGCTCTGCCTCCCGGGTTCACGCTATTCTCCTGCCTCAGCCTCAGGAGTAGCTGGGACCACAGGCGCCCGCCACCATGCCTGGCTAATTTTTTGTGTTTTTAGTAGAGACGGGGTTTCACCGTGTTAGCCAGTCATCCAGGCAGCTTTTAAAAATATTGGTGTTCTGAACCCATCACAGAAAGAGTAAATCGGAATTTGAGGATTTGGAGATTTCAGGCTCCAGGGATTGGTATTTTCTAACAGCTTTCCCGGAATTCTAGTGTGAAGGCAGGGCTAAAAACTACGATGTAGAGTTGATGTACAGATTACTATTTTATGGTATTTCATAATGTCCCTGATTTATTTATGATTCTCAAAATCATGTTGCTCTTGTTCTTTTGTATAGAAAGGGAAAAGGACTAGGAAACGTAGTTTAAGACTAAATGATAAATAATCTTGAATTACTTATCACAACATGCCAGCCTTAATTATTGGCAGTATCAATTACCTACCTTTACAAAAGATCATATCATTTTATGGATACATTCATTTTGGAATTAGAAGCCATAAGATAGAAATTAATATGTATTTAGTACCTACTATTCCCCACACTCTTATTAAGAATGTTAAGTAAATTATATCATGCACTAAAAACTTAAAAATGTATATCTACTTTGTACAGATTTAAACACACACACACACACACACACACACACAGATTCCTAGAGGTTGGTTACTTGACCAAGGTTCCATTGTAAATATAGTAAAACATAGAACCAGTATTCATAAATGTTGGGGTTGAAGCTTTTTGACAGATCATTTTTGTAATAAAAATTCATACATTTTCTATTTTATCTGGCTGAAACTCTGAGAATGTTTTTATCGCAAAAAAAAAAAAAAAATGTTAGCACAGAAGTTTAAGCATCAGAAATACCTATTCTGTTACCTGTTCCCTTCAAGGGGCAAAGCACCAATGATCTTTAAATCTTAACACCCCGTCAGCTGGCACATACTATGCTTTTAAAATGTGTTTAACCAAAATCAATTGCAACAAAAGCCAAAATTGACAAATGGGATCTAATTAAGCTAAAGAGTTTCTGCACAGCAAAAGAAACTATCATCAGAGTGAACAGACAACCTACAGAATGGGAGAAAATTTTTGCCGTCTATCCATCAGACAAGGGGCTAATATCCAGAATCTACAAGGAACTTAAACAAATTTACAAGAAAAAAAAACACCACCAAAAAGTGGGCAAAGGATATGAACAGACACTTCTCAAAAGAAGATATTTATGTGGACAACAAACAGATGAAACAAAGCTCATCATCACTGGTCATTAGAGAAATGCAAATCAAAACCACAATGTGTTACCATCTCTCTCCAGTTAGAATGGGGATCATTAAAAAGTCAGGAAGCAACAGTTGCTGGAGACGATGTGGAAAAATAGTAATGATTTTACACTGTTGGTGGGAGTGTAAATTAGTTGAACCATTATGGAAGACAGTGTGGTGATTCCTCAAGGATCTAGAAACAGAAATACCATTTGACCCAGCAGTCCCATTACTGGGTATATGCCCAAAGGATTATAAATCATTCTACTCTAAAGACACATGCACACGTGTGTTTATTGCAGCATTATTCACAATAGCAAAGACTTGGAACCAACCCAAATGTCCATCAATGTTAGACTGGATAAAGAAAATGTGGCACATATACACCATGGAATACTATGCAGCCATATAAAGGTTGAGTTCATGTCTTTTGCAGAGACATTTATGACCTGGAAACCATTATTTTTAACAAACTAAAACAGGAACAAAAAACCAAAAATCGCATGTTCTCACTCATAAGTGGGAGTTGAACAGTGAGAACATACGAGCACAGGGAGGGGAACATAACATACTGGGGGTTGTTGGGGGATTAGGGGCAAGGGGACGGATAAGATTAGGATAAATACCTAATGTAGATGACGGGCTGATGGGTGCAGCAAACCACCATGGCACATGTATACCTATGTAACAAACCTGCATGTTCTGCACATGTATCCCAGAACTTAAAGTATAATTTAAAAATATATAAAATAAAATGTGTTTTACACAAACAGCAACTTTTTGCCTGGGAATTAATCAAATATGACTCAATATATAAAATATAATATGTGTGCATCCTGCTAATGAAGACTGCTGATGATATGGCTTTATCGCCTTTCCTTTTTGTTTTTGTTTTTTGTTTGACCTTACTTCTGAAATAATATTTTACATATATTTTACTTTACCTTCTTCTTTATTGTGTCTCACCTTCATTTTCATTGCCTTCTCATATTCTGTTGAAAGACAAATCAAATTCAAGCCACAAATTTAAAAACAACAATAATCACCAAACACTTGAGCTGCTTTTACTATGAAAATTAATGTAAATTCTGAAGATAACAAAAGTGGTAAGAAGTCAATAGGTACTGAAATTGTCAGCAAATGTTCACTTGCTAGCCTTGTAGTCAACAAAACAAAGAAAAGAGAGAGAAGAAAAACAATCCTGAGAGAGTGATTTTTTTGCAAGGACTAAGCTATCAGGTTTAAATTCTGGGCTTAAGAAGGGAGTTCAGGTTAGCACAGTGTAGTAAGGGGAAGTGGAGACCTCATCCACACACTCACTTTCAGAACCTCTTTCTGACGTACATAGTACGTACAATCTAGAATTGTCACATCTAAGAAACAGAACAACAACAACAAAATATTTGTTTGTTTTTAAGTTTTATTTTAAGTTCAGGGGTACATGTGCCTGTTTGTTCTATAGGTAAACTCGTGTCATGGGGGTTTGTTGTACAGATTATTTTGTCACCCATGTGTTAAGCCTAGTACCCATTCGTTATTTTTCCTGATCCCCTCCCTCTTCTCACCCTCCACCCTCAGGTAGACCTGAGTGTCTATTGTTCCCCTCTATGTGTCCATGTGTTCTTATCATTTAGCACCCACTTATAAGTGAGAACAGGTGGTATCTGATTTTCTGTTCCTGCGTCAGTTTGCTAAGTATAGTGGCCTCTAGCTCTCTCCATGTTCCTGCAAATGACATGATCTCATTCTTTTTTATGTCTGCATGTTCCTTGGTGTACATGTACCACATTTTCTTCATCCATCCTACCACTGATGGACCTCTAGGTTGATTCGATGTCTTTGCTATTACAATTAGGGCTGCCATGAACATACATATGTATGTGTCTTTTTGATAGAATTACTTACATAGCTTTAGGTATATACCCAGTAGTGGGGTTGCTGGGTTGAACATTAGTTCTGTTTTCAGCTCTTTGAGGAGTGGACACACTGTTTTCCACAAAGGTTGAACTGATTTACACCCCCACCAAGAGTGTGTAAGCATTTCTTTTTCTCTACAACCTCTTCAGCATCTGTTATTTTTTGAATAAAAGAAAAGAATATTTGAACCAACCCCTTCTTGGATTGAAATAATGAATAATTGTCAGTAACATATTCATTTGATTAAGGATTAAGTGGTATCAAGCAAGAATAATCTGGGAAAATTCTCCAAGATTTTCATTTTTCAAAATTTCCTGAGAAATGAAAAGATTTATGAATGATCTATGTATGACCAGTTAGATGCCCATAAATATTAATATTGCCAAAAGGATATCACTTAAAAATTAGAGCATGTAGGACTAACATAAATACCTGTAATAATTTTGGACAATATTCTGCTAATTTGGGGTCAGATGAAAATTATTTATTTAGCATAGTCATTAGAGAAGCATGGATATTTTTTATAACAAGTAAAATATTGGTTCTATTCCTTCAGTACTAAGATGGGCCACTAGATAGCAACTAAAAATCTGTTTTATCTTCCATGATATAAATGTATCACTGCACGGGAGCTTTCCAACCAGGAATTGCATTCCTTTAATTCTGGCCAGACGATTTTTTCACCAATGGAATGTGGACAAAAAAATCTGTGTAATTTTTCAATTCTTAAAGAGCAGACATGCTTTTACTACTTTTTTGCCCATTTACTGTTGAATTTGGTGGATTCTAAGGCCTTTAGGAGTAGTGGAGTAACAAAGTGAAAGAAAGGTAGCTTATGGCACTTCATGCAAAGCAAAGACTCCCAGAAAATTTGCACTGAAATGTTATCTGAGCAAGAAACAAATTCTGTTGTGTTAAGCCACTTAAAATCTAAGGTTTACTTGTTATAGCTACAAACATCAACCTAAAAATACAATCACCATTTTTTTTTCAGTAACAGGTTACCAGTAAAAGAAAATTGCTAAAAAGTATTATTCCCACCTCTAGTAAATAAGAAAGTTGTTGGAGTCTGAATATTTATCTAGAAAGTAGAATGTGTGGGGAGTTTTCTAGATTCCCCTAACTTATTCATAATCTCCTACTCACAAACCTCAGAAAATTCTTCACAGAATTATGATGAAAAAAATTATCAGAGAATGTCACAAACCTATAATGTTTGAAATCTCATAAGACTAGTTTACCACTATATATACAGAACTTAAATGTAAAAGAAACACCTGCTGGAAATAAAAACTTTTACATAAGACATGAATAATTTGAAATATTTTGCTATTTGTTTTTCCTATTAAATATACTTTTTCAGTGATATATTATAAAGGATAATTTTTAAAATAAGCTTCCATAATAGTGTTTTTGCCTGATGAAACAATTACAGAAGTGTATTCTAAGACCTCTTCCTGAGAAAAACAATTGGTTAGTTTTATATCTAAACTTTTTCAAATGATTTGCTAAAAATGATGAAAAGAAAATTACTTGAAATGTAGTATCTCATTTTGTTCACTGAAGCTTATTATAATTCAGCTCATTAATTCATATATGCAAACATAACAGGAGTGAAATCACATTTCCCAAAACATAACTACAAACAATAAAAAGCAATTAGGAAGAAGTCCTTTCTAATGAAATTATGCAATTCATCATCAGTAAAATCACTCTAAAAGAATCATTATAATTTGATTTAAAATTTTAACAATTTATATTCTTTTGTCTTCAAAATGAAAATACATCATAATATTTTTATCACTAGTATCTAAAATACTAGCAGAATGATACTATTAGCCAGATGCTTCAGTTTGCCAGACAGTTAGGACCAAATGATGCATTTTTGATTAACTCAAAATATCTAGTCTAATCTCTGGAGTCTCTCTGTACTTGGCAGTAGATGGATTGAGAACAGATAAATGTAAGGAGAAAAATAAAAGCTTTTAAAATGAACTAATAATGTGCAACTACCAATCAGTAGAATTTTTTTCATCAGAAAGTATTTTATAAAATAATATAAGAAGAGAGGAAAAGATAATTATTTGATAATTCTTAAAATACTGGGGAAGGAAAAAAGGAGGGTATTTAAAAGGAAAATCAATTAATGAAAACTCCCAAAACTTTAAACAAAATTATATTCCCCTTAGCTCCTCCATTTTTCGTAAGTTATACTTTGATCTAAGGATACTATGCAATTGGTATTAAGGTTTCATTTTTAAAAATATATATATAAAGATGGCCGGGTGCAGTGGCTCATGCCTGTAATCCCAGCACTTTGGGAGCCTGAGGTGGGCGGATCACGAGATCACGAGATCGAGACCATCCTAGCAAACATGGTGAAACCCCGTCTGTACTAAAATACGAAAAAATTAGCCCGGTGTGGTGGCACACCTGTAATCCCAGCTACTCAGGAGGCTGAGGCAGGGGAATCGCTTGCCCACGGGAGGCGGAGGTTGCAGTGAGTCGGGATCGCACCACTGCACTCCAGCCTGGGTGACAGAGCAAGACTCATTTCACACACATACACACAAAAGAAAGATTTTGTAAAGATAATTAAGATCTACCTGTCAACTTGCCTAATGCCTACATTAAAATAGCAAAATGATTTGATGCATTAGCTCAATCAAGTTTTAAAAAGATGAGCAAGTTCTCTTCAAAGATTAGAAGTGAAGGATGACCAGACTGATTCTGGTGCCAATTTCCCATCACATCATTGTCAGGAAAAGGGTTGTCAAAGTCCTGCCTTCCAGTAGAACTTCCTAGAAACCCCCATTTTTCCTCCATATCTGATTATGGCTAAACATTGAGATTTTGGTTTGCATCAGTTAATAAACTTCATAAATATTTTTGCCATATGCCTCCTACTTATGGCTAAAGCTTTTGGGGTTAAATTTTGGTCCATAAACAAGGAGTACCATTCTCATTATATGCTGTGTAATGTTTTCTCTTTAGAGTTGGGTAATAAAATTACCATCACCAAGACTGTAGTTTTTTCTATCTCTGTATAACTTTCACCCTCAGATGATGCTTATTAAAGGCCTTCTGTGGCTTCCCGTTGTCATTGTCACCATGAATCTACTGATAAGATGATATGTTTTCACATATACTTATGTGCTCTTTTTTTTTTTTTTTTTTTTTTTTTTTTTTTGAGATGGAGTCTTGCTCTGTCGCCCAGGCTGGAGTGCAGTGATGCCATCTCGGCTCACTGCAACTTCCGCCTCCTGGGTTCAAGCGATTCTCCCTGCCTCAGCCTCCTGAGTAGCTGGGATTACAGTTGCCTGCCACCACGCCCAGCTAATTTTTGTATTTTTAGTAGAAATGGGGATTCACCATTTGGCCAGACTGGTCTCCAACTCCTGACCTCAGGTGATCCACCTGCCTTGGCCTCTCAAAGTGCTGGGATTAGAGGCGTGAGTCACTGTGCCCGGCCAGGTGGATCTTTGAATGAGAAACTTGCCAGTAAAGAGTGAGTATCACTGCAAGGCTTTTTCTTTTTCTTTCTTTTTTTTTTTTTTTTATTATACTTTAATTTCTGAGATACATGTGCAGAACGTGCAGGTTTCTTACATAGGCATACACGTGCCATGGTGGATTGCTGCAACCATCAACCCGTCATCTACATTAGATATTTCTCCTAATGCTATCCCTCCCCTAACCCCCCACCCTCAACAGGCCCCAGTGTGTGATGTTCCCCTCCCTGTGTGCATGTGTTCTCATTGCTCAACTCTCACTTATGAGTGAGAACATGTGGTGTTTGGTTTTTTGTTTTGTGATAGTTTGCTGAGAATGATGGTTTCCAGCTTCATCCATGTCCCTGAAAAGGCCATGAACTTGTCCTTTTTTATGGCTGCATAGTAGTCCATGGTATATATGCACCATATTTTCTTTATCCAGTCTATCATTGATGGGCATTTGGGTTGGTTCCAAGTCTTTGCTATTGTGAACAGTGCCACAATAAACATACGTGAGCATGTTTCCTTATAGGAGAATGATTTATAATCCTTTGGGTATATACCCAGTATGGGATTGCTGGGTCAAATGGTATTTCTAGTTCTAGATCCTTGAGGAATCACCACACTGTCTTCCACAATGGTTGAACTAATTTACACTTCCACCAACAGTGTAAACTCATAGCCAATATCACACTGTATCAGCAAAAACTGGAAGCATTCCTTTGAAAACTGGCACAAGAAAAGAATGCCCTCTCTCACCACTCCTATTCAACATAATATTGGAAGTTCTGGCCAGCACATTCAGGCAAGGGAGAGAAATAAAGAGTATTCAATGAGGGAAAGAGGAAGTCAAATTATCTGTTTGTAGAAGACAAGATTGTATATTTAGAAAACCCCATTGTCTCAGCCCAAAATCTCCTTAAGCTGATAAGCAACTTCAGCAAAGTCTCAGGATACAAAATCAATGTACAAAAATCATAAACATTCCTATACACCAATAACAGAGAGCCAAATCATGAGTGAACTCTCATTCACAATTGCTACTAAGAGAATAAAATACCTAGGAATACAACTTACAAGGGATGTGAAGGACCTTTTCAAGGAGAACTACAAACCACTGCTCAAGGAAATAAAAGAGGACACAAACAAATGGAAAAACTTTCCATGCTCATGGATAGGAAGACTCAGTATCGTGAAAATGGCCATACTGCCCAAAGTAATTTATAGATGCAATGCTATTCCCATCAAGCTACCATTGACTTTCTTCACAGAATTGAAAAAAACTACTTTAAATTTCATATGAAACCAAAAAGAGCCCGCATAGCCAAGACAATCCTAAGCAAAAATAACAAAGCTGGAGGCATCACACTACCTGACTTCACACTATACTACGAGGCTAGAGTAGCAAAGCTTTTGCATATATAATATACAATTTGGCCTGAAAGAATATGTGTCCCATTACTTAGGTTTGGGATACTGTGTCCCATTACTTACACTACACAATGTCATTTTTAATATTTTGTCTTTCCTGCTCTTGAATCTAATAGGCTTGTATTGAGACCATTGCATTGATTGTATTATTACTATTCTTTTCTCTTTTTGGTGAAATGATACTGAACTCAGAAAGTTCGATAATCAGCATATTTAATTAAAATTCCTATCTAAGTCATCTTTTTTTTTTTCCTCCAAAGAATATGGAATTGGGAAAGAAAATCCTCTAAGTACTTTCCAAAGTTTTACTTTAATCATAAACTAGATTTACAGAATTGTTAGATTAAGCTGATACACTGCTGAATACCTTCTATGTTTTTCCTTTCTGAGTAAATGTCTACAGGATTTCTTCATACACACATTCATTCAACAAAGATTTAGTGAGCATCTGCTTTTTGTGAGACATAGTACACAGTATTGTCATCTATGTTTTCCAATGGGAGTAGTGGTGAGCTGTTTCCAACTCATGCCAGTTTATGAAACCTGATTCTGCACATATCTTCCCAGCTCCATGTTCAGGGACATCGTACTGATACCTTGAAATTGGCCACGGTGGGAATATTTACACACTGCAAATTGACAACTGCTATAGATCAGGGCTTTTTAAATTTTTTTGCCTGGAGAAATGGTTGTTACACATTTACCAGCACACCATTAAATTGAAGTCTTGCAACAACTGTGTGAGAAAGGCACAGTAATCTGAATTTTACAATGGAGACATCTAAATTGCAAAATTTTAGTTGTTATGTCCCTAGTCACATTACTGTCATATATACGACTGGATCTAAATGCTGGTATTCAGACTACCTTAATCATTTTTAACATCCTTTAACACAGTTACTCCATGTCACTAAACAATTGCCTTTTAATAGTTTAACTGTCTGATAAAGTTATACATATGTGTGTAAGTGGGTATTTATATAATGCTCTCTTTTATTATCGTATTCAACATAATTACATTATAGTGATATTGCTGAAGAAATTATGTGAGTGACAAGCATAGAGACCCATTTATTTAAATTCTCATGAGATTTTTCTGCAGAGTAAGGTTCTTTATTTCCATTTAATACAGAGTCCTGCTTTGAGAGCTGGAGTACTGATGCAAAGTGAACACTGATAAATCAATGTGAATGTTATCGACGTCTTAGCCACTGACTTGAAGATGTTATTTCTCAGCATGGGTGTATCTGAATAGGACAGACTATTACCAATATATTTGAAATCTCTACTCTTAATATTGAAGTAAAATGGGGAAGGAAAGCATGTAAATTTGGGGTAAAGGGTTAAATTATCAACTTTTCCAGAAATGTCATGGCTGACTCTAAAGCTGGTGTTTCCAGGGCTAATGAATAATACCCAGCAAGGATAATTCATTGATTCTGATACTAATTCTGTGCTCAGAAATTTCTCCCTTTTTATTTATTTAAATCATCAGTCTCAGATCCAGTCAACACCTTGTAACTGAGAATAGAGTTATCTGGCAGCTTTCAATCAATATAATGGAAATTGCTAGTACACCAGTGGATCAAAACCCTGTTATGTTATTTTTTCAAAACATGATAATCTAAATGCAATAATTAATTATAAAATGCAATTTTTAATACCTGAGGATAACTTTAGTAAACAATTCTAAAAAATTAATAAGTACTTCTCTCTTTTTACATACCCCAATTCTATTTACCTTTTTGAAATTACTTTTGGAAGATAACTACGTAAAATTTGATCCTTACAGCAATGCTAAAAAAAAATATACCTCTGCAGGCAAGCAGGTATTTGTATGACCGTGTGAGAATAAAAACATGCCTATTTTTGCACAGAGAAACACAGTTTTAAGATGTAGTGATTGGCAAGTTATACCATAGTAGAAAGGGGTAACATATAACTTTATTGTTTTAGAAATAGAAACAATTTTATTGATTGTTTAGAAACAATTTTCATTGATTACTCATTTATTTTTTGACATGAAATTCAGATGAAGGGAATTGATGGCATTTCACATATTTTTTAAAATGTGCTATTTAGATATATTTATTGTTATCCTAACTTGACTTGCTGTTGTGTTCAATATTATCTATCTTAATGGTTAATGCTTATGCATAAAAAAATAGGATGTGAGGAATTGAATATTAAGATTTCTCAAATGATTTTTCTATGTGAACTTCAACCAACTGTGTGAAAGTTTATCATTTCATACCTAATGTAGATGACGGGTTGATGGGTACAGCAAACCACCATGGCACGTGTATACCTATGTAACAAACCTGCATGTTCTGCATATGTACCCCAGAACTTAAAGTATAATAAAATTTAAAAAATTAAATACCAAAAAAAGAACACATCATTTCAAATTAATTTCTTTAGAGTAAGTATTTTCCTCTCTTTTGTGTGTATACACACGTGTGTATATGTATATATAGAGAGAACACATGTGTGTCTATGAATATATGAACACATTCATATATATAACATGTCATATATATACAAATATTTAGAAAATATTTAGAAAATATTTTAGAAATATCTGGAAATATTTAGAAAATACATAGAAAATATTTTTCTATTTACAAGAATGAAACATAGGTTCAGAGTACAGAAGAGACCAAATTCCAAACTTGATACAGACTAAGGGCGTACCGTCTTCTTCCTGTAATATTTTTTTGCACTCACACTCCTAACTTTCACTTTACTCCACTGGCTAAACACTCCTGTGATGAAGATAGGGGAATGCCTTTATTATAGGTACCTGTATACATATCATAATGTATACATGTTGGAGATTATACTACTAGGGGAAAGAAGGAGACAAGGAGTTATTGGTGGAAGACAATATCTGCCTCTCCATACTTGGTGCTTTGATCACTCAAATAATGGTAGAACCTGTTTTTGGTACACATAAGCAAATTTTACCCCTCCCTAGTAACTAAACTCAAGGTTCAGTCATTTCAGGTTTTCAGCTTAAAGTCTAGCTACTAAGGAGGTGATCACATCTGGATATGATGCTCCGTGGCTCAAGATACTTTTTCCAGCCTCATCCAATAAACAATACAAGGAGGAACAGGATGAACACAATAAAATTCACGTTGAAAGGGCAGAAGATGGGAGAAACACAGTAGTTACTGATCGAAGTCATCAATTCTCAGGATAAAGTAACTGGAGCCAAATATCTTGTGGAAATACATTTTTTGTTTAGTCTTAAAACCCTGTTTTTACTTAGTAACCTCCCTGTTCTGCCCATCCTCCTTTCTCTCAACTTAATGCACTCTATCATAATATTGAAATTATTAGTAGGAATTTTTAGGGTTCTAATTAATCACGACTCCCTTCTTGAATGCTTTTGGATCATTTGAAAGGTAAAACTAGGGTATGGTTGGTAGCAAAATATCAGCTTTATGCTGGTAAACCTGGACAGAAAAAAGTACGTTGGAACTGAGGGCCAAATGAATTTTTATACTTTTCTTCTTTAAATCAAGACCTTATAATCCATCTGTAAAGGCAGTTAGATCCATAGAGAACATGTGTATCCAGCCAGCCAATTGGATTTCATCCCTCCAACTTTGAGGGCAAGGAAGAATTGTCCTTATCAGTAGGAGGACAACTAGGAGACACTGAGTGATGAAAGTGGTGGAGAGAGAGAGTGTATCCAGGCACATTACGGGCACAGCAGGGAACCTTGTCCCACACTCAGGATTAAAGGAAGACATTGTGAGAAAGGTCAAGGAAGACTGTACAACCCAAGGTCAAAGCAGGAATGAGAAAAGAATAAGGAAATGGCTTCTCCTTCCCTATTTTACTTTATTTTATTATAGAAGGTGATTTTCACATAATGTTGATAGTCATGAGTATTTTTGCTAATATGCATTAATATATGCTCACATTTCTCCTAAAAACTGTCCAGAATGTAAATAATCACTTCTGTTTAATGACTTTCTTGTTTATTTGATGGAAATCAGATATATCAACATATTAGCATTAATTTTGACTTGATAAAAAAGTAAATATATTTTCTATTCTCTTTCAGTTATTTTTTTCTTTCTTTCTTTCTCATTGCTTTTGTTCCATAATCCCATGGCCTTTTGCTTGCATAGGTAAGATAACTGCTGTAAAACAAATTTTAAACAAATGTAAAATACCTCAAAAATCATACAAGGTCTATGAGCCACAAGCAGTGCTGACACAGTTTTATAAACATCACTAGGACTGGTGTGAAATATTCTTTTTGGATGATAGAAAATGATTTGGCTACCATCTAGAAAATTATAAAGAATGTAATTCATTATAATTTATTTGTAAACAGTGCTTCATAATTTCTTGAGCATTTCTAATGTTTTCTAATTTATTCATCATTGTACCTCCTAGGCAATTTTAATAACCATTTATCATTATTTTACAGATTAGGAGGTTAAGGTCAGGAAGGACACATGACTTTATCTAGTGAGGAAACTAATCCAGGCTTCTAACTCTGGCCCTCTGATTCCACATCCATTGCTCCTTCCACTACAGCATGCTGAAGTCAATAGTGAAAAAGCACTCCATATGTCACACAACATGCTGTAAGACTGTCCAACTATTTTGAAGAAAATCTCCCGGAGAAATCAATGACCAAGAGAGAATTGCAGAAAGCAGATGGTGCCATCAGCACACTTCTGCTGTGGCATCTGCGGTTACTTCTGTGCCTCTAGGTTGGATTGTACTTACATCAAAAGAGCCAATATGTGCAAAAAGGAAGAAAATAATAAAATAAGAACAAAACCCATAGCACAGACACGTTTACTAATTACAGAACTGCTGATGGATATTAACCATATCGCGTGTGTGTGTGTGCACGCATGCGTGCACACGCACCTGAGCATCATGAGACTTAGCTAATGCTCAGTGAATGCTGTAAAGCTTGGAGGCCCAGAGGCCAAAGGGCCCCCAAGAGACTTACCTAGAAATCACAGTAATAGAGTTGCAGTGGAAACCCCCTACCTAATTACAGATGGTGCTCAAGGCAAAATCCCATTAAGACAAGTTTTATGGGTTTGTTGTGGATTGGCTGTTAGAAATTACACCATTAGTACACAGAGCCTGAAACTGATACAATACTGATCTCCAATCTTTCTGCAGAGAAATACAAAAAATAAAAATAACCACCAGAGATAGTTTTTCAACTCAAACTGGATTTCACTCTAAGAAAGTATTCTATAAATTAAATTTAAAACACACACACACACACACACACACACACACACACAAACTCTAATTGCAATTATCACATTTTTAGAATTTTAGTACAAAACATATTCACCTACTTTTAAAAATATTTATATTCTAAAAACATGCTACAAAGATAGGATAGATGAGGTAACTTTGATTTTTCTCTTTGAAACATTATTTTTTAATCAGATCACTGATGCTAGGATATGTGGTTTGGTGGAGGCAATGCCAGGTAAACACTCATTTTATTATACAGAAAGGGCTTTGTCATAATCCTGTAAAGTCTGCAGCCCTGGGGAATTATGCTGGACTTCACTTGTTTAACTTAAAGAAACATGTCTACTCTCTCACTTTTTCTAAAGTCTGTAGTAGGATATTTAGACTTTCTCACTGTAAGTGCAAAGGAAGTTTCAGAAGAAAACCGAAGTTAAAAAAAGCTAATAGCAACAGCAGAGCAGGTCTAAAATTATCAGTTCACACTCCTTCTTGAACCCAACTCCGATGGGTGGACAAATATTCTCTGCAAATGTCCAGATAGCATTGTCAGCCATAAGACCTCTGTTGAATCTTCTCAATTTTGCCATCGTAGCATGAAAGCAGCCATGGACACTAGGGAGGTAAATGGGCACAAATGCATTTGTTGTACTGTAGGCTCGATGTGGTTCATGGGCGTTAGTTTGCGAAACATCTAGCTGTTTAATGTCACCCCACAAAGAAACAAAACAAAGCAAACAAAACCTCTTCTTTCCTTCCAGTGATATGTCTGGTCCTAAACTCTGTGACCTAATTTAATTTTATTTCCTTGAAGCGCTCCAGAGCTCCTCCTGAGAGGCTGAGCTTGTAGGCTTGAGCTTGAGGTTAAAATATGTAGTCAACATTATCATAGTAATGTTGTAGTAAGATAACTCCAGTAGTAGTAAGTTAAACCTATGTTTTAGTCATCTGCTCACCTTTGTAACAGGAATGCTCACAAAATCATATCTAAGTCACTCTGAAAGTGAGAACATACTATATTACATAGAGCTTTGTAATGTTGATTAAAATCAAATAGAGTAACATAGAAACAATCACAGGAAATATATTAATATGATTTTATATTAAAGTTGACTACATCACATTCTTTTGTGTTCTTTGCTTTGCTTAATTTTTTTTCACAGTGTAAATCAATAAAGGAAATTCTCACAAATTATGTAGCAAACTTGACAAGCATTTTTTAATATCATGAACTGATTAAAAGTCATTCTGTCAGCTTGAAAACATTGAGAACTCAGTATTCTGGGTTACAGTTTTATTTTCCTATTCATGTAAAAAGAAGGTGAGTTGGTTTCCCTGAATGCCCATCTCACCAGCACCAGCAGCTTTATTCTATGCCCTGAAATCATTTAAGGCACGACTGCCTTTAAAATGCATGAACCCATATTTGCCCTCAATGTTCAAGGCTTTGATCTTTCACCACTGATTGTTCTATATCATCAAAAATCCTCAAAGCTCCTCCGTGGATAGTGGTCAGGCCCATAGGCACGCTGCAGAATTTGATCTTGCAACCACAAAATTGAAAGTCTTTACATCTCAGCCTCTAGTCCTGCACTTGTTTAAACATATTCATAACACTTTGGAATGGCTTTTGCTGTTATTCAGTAAATTATACATGATACCACTTTTAATGTTTTAAATGAGAGAACTGACAGTCAAAATAGAGAACTCCAATTAACACTGAATTTTTATTTTATCAATATTTTAAAGGATTTTAAACATCAGATATGAGATGTGATTCTAAAGTGTGACTTTTGTTGCAAACCTAAATTTCCACATCCACATGGCTCCTGTCCTTCTGTTAAATTCAACAAACATTTATTATGTGACTATTATATGTCTCATGTAAAGCCATATAAAAATTGGAAGGGCACATTCTCTGCCTTACAGGAGCATGAAATTTAGAAAGGCAATTGGGACACGTATTTTACAAAATTATTCAGCTTATTTGAATCATTTCAGTGTAATTGCGCTTTAAGAACAAGGCTTCTGAAGTAATAAGTTACATGAAAAAATAAATCGTGTTGCTTCCTAGTCAGAAAAGGGCTTGATTTAACCCTTGACATCATTTTTACCTCTTTTTACCTGCTTAACTGCATTGTCTCCTGTCTCAATGTTGAGAGCCTTAGACGGAGACCTTCACAGAGAGATCAGTACTTTTAAATGGAAAGTTTCTTAAGAAGAATATCAAACATCAGGTTGAATTTTTAAACTGAGGACATAATACACAATCAAGGATACTAAATGATATATATTCATTTATTTGCTACCTCTTAGTTTGTTAATTAGGATTCCATTGGCTGCAAGAGACAGAAACCCAAGTAAATTAGTGGATTGGAATAGAGAAAGGTATTGGCTTTTTTACATACATGACTTTTGGAAAACTAACAATAGGAAAGGCAGTAGCTCCGAGAACCAACATCTACCAGGAAGCCTTTCCAATTCCATCTTTTGTCTCTGTTTATGTATGGCATCTGCTTTATTATCTCTCACACTTGACCTGTAAGAATCATGGTTATCAGGAAGAACAAAAGTTTACATCGTAGAACCGTTATACAGCAAGGCCTTTAGAGGCTTTTTAATCCCCTCAAGGTCTAAAACTCATAAGGAAGTAACTAAATTGGATCATTTTGGGAGAAGTTTTCATCTCAATCCAAATCATCAATGTGGATACATATGGTAATTCCTAGGGTGGTCATGTAAGAATATGGTAACTCCTAAGATGGTACTATGCAGGTCTAGCAAAGGGAGGGTTCCTAGGGAATAGGTTAGATAATCACTGATGAAGATCTCTATAGAGATCCACACCAAATGCATGAACATAAGTATTGCAAGTGGCTAATAACCAAAAATCCAAATGTCATAAGCAAAATCACAATAGAGAATTGCCTATTTGCAATTTGTATGCAAAAATAAATTAAGCAGATGTAAAATATTATGTCCTCATTCACCATCTTGACACATTTTCACGTATCTTTGCTTTGGTCCTGGTGAAACGAGGAGGATGTTTCGTGTTTTCATGACCTTTTCTGATAGGTTTTAGGGAACTTTAGTGTAAGGAATAGTATGTACATGCAGACAGTCTTAGTTCGTTTTGTGCTCTGTAACAGAATACTACAGCCTGGATAATTTATAATGAATAAAATTTTACTTGCTTACAG
The DNA here is from genome assembly GCF_000001405.40 of Homo sapiens. NCBI lineage: Eukaryota > Metazoa > Chordata > Mammalia > Primates > Hominidae > Homo > Homo sapiens. The sequence continues at coordinate 76,926,769 of NC_000002.12, read as the reverse complement.
TTCTGGAGGCTAGAAAGTCCAAGAAAGAGTGGCTGGCATCTGGTAGTATCATCTCATGGCAGAAGGACAAAGAGAGGGCAAGAGAGAGCAAGAAGGGGTCAGACTCATCCTTTGATAAGGAAACCACTAACACCATAACAAAACATTCCTGCAATACCAGCTTTAATTTATGAGGACAGAGCCCTCCTGGCCTAATCACCACTAATAAAGCCCCCAGCTCCAAACACTGTTGCATTAGGAATTAAGTTTCCAATATGTGCTTTTCGGTAGACACATTCAATCCATAGCATTTAACCTCGGGCCCAAAATGTATCTCCTTGTCATATACAAAATAGGCAATGATAGACTTTCATTAGAGGATGAGACCTAGAGAATCCATTTATTATGTAATAAAATTTGCTGGATCTAATATAGAGTGATATGGTACTATTGTTGATTGGCAGTGGTGTATTCTTGTTGAAACTGTTTTTCTTTGTAAGACAATTTATTGTAGTCTTATTTTCTCTATGTTTAAAAAGTAAATGTTTTAAAGTTCTTTGTTAATCATTTATAAAAGTACTCCTAGACACATTGCACATTTCCTCAATCACTTTAAATATTGAATGAAAAACATTACAATCCAAAAGAAGGAGACAATTTTATTTATCAATTTATGAAAAGTAGAATTTTGAACAAATTCACTTAGAGTAACAAACTCCTAAATGAATTGTCAGGCTGACCATGTGTCATTTATAAGCATAGCAGTTGGAAAGAAAAGGCTTGTAACAACCTGGTTTTATCCTCAAAGAACTTACAAGCTGAATATTACTTTTAAAAGAGGAAGGGGAGAGCAACTATGACAACTATATTGAATACCACTTTTAAATGTTTTACTCTTTTTAGGATGCTTTCATTATAAATACTGTGTGAGGTTTTCTCCCCAAATCTTGGGAGTATAGCTAGTTCTAACATATTATGACATATGTATTCCTAAAAAACCACTTTGCCATGCAAAATTGCATAGTAAAAACCACAAGCCCTATGGAGTAACTGGGATTGGGTCATAACACTAAAAAATTGTGTTAGTGAGACATTTAAGAAAAGATAGGAACCTAATAAAACAGGTAGCACACTTTTACACAGAGTGAATGGTTAAGAAATGCATGAATATGACCAAAAATGGAAATTTACCTTGAAAATGGCCTGAAGCTTGTTTGTGGATAAGGGCATCAGAACGTCTATTAGTTTTCTGATACTGCTTAACAAACAACCATAAGCTTAATGGGCTACATCAACACTCATTTTTTATCTTGAAGTTCTATAGGTCAGAAAGCCAGACAGAGCTTAAATGGATCCTCGGCTAAGAGCCTCAGAGGCTGAAATCAAGGGGTCAGCTGAGGCTGTGATTTTTGTTAAAGGCTTGGTCCTCTTTCAGGCTCATTCAGGTTGTTGCCAGAACAGACTTTGAAGGTTGAAGGATTGAGGCTGTCATCTGCTGGAAGCCAACCCGCTCCCTGGGCAGTTCACAATACAGCATTTGCTTCTTCATGAAGAGTAGGAAAGCATCTCTAACTTATTCTTCCATCTCTTTTACCCTCTTTTAAAGGGCTCACCTGGTTGGGTAAAGCCCACTCAGAATAATCTGCCTATTAACAAAAAGCCAGCTGGTAAAGGAACTCAATTACATCTTTACCTTTTTTTCTTACATTTGCCATACAATGTATTATGATCATGGGAGAGGCAGCCCATCGACTCTCCATGTTTTATGTTTAGATGTAAGTTACAAGTCTCTCTCACCCAAGAACAGGGGATAAGACAAAGGCACGTGTCAATAGAGGTCTTCCTGGAACTGTGCTTAAGTCAGAAGGGTTCCGGCTTTAAAGTTACCGTGAAGAGGTAGAAGGAATTCTATATGAAATTGGATTGAAAGTTTTAACACAATGTATGAATCCATGGGGTTTACAACACATGTGGTGAACTAAGGCAGGTGGTAGATATTTGAGGGGTGTGTGTGTGTGTCTGCGTGTGTGTCTTATTATTCCTATGTGGTGGCTCAGTTCAGCTGGGTGCAATTTTCTGCATTCAGCTAGTGTTTCTCACAGATGAAATCATGCATAAGCCAATGCAAAATTTGTATTACGCTCAAACTGTTTCATAATATATCAGTAGTGTTGAGACTAATGTGCATTTTTAAAAGAAGTATTATACCAGAGTGAACTGTATGTATTTATTCTTCTACCACCTTCAGTATTTAGAATGTTGCCATACAGTGGAAGTTTAGCAATATCTTTTAAATAAAATAGAATTGAATTAGACTGTGGAATTGGGATAAATGCATGGATGGGGCTTTAGCTACATCTATCAAGTTCTTCCTAAATTGTACTCCTGGCTCTAATGAGCCAAAGAAAAAGAGAAATGGGATGAATATATGGTTTATCTACATAATCACATAGAACTCATAAAGAACAAAAAGAGAAGAGTTGAGGAAAATAGTTTATAAAGACAGGTTGGTGCAATTTCAGTACCTTAGTTCCAGTCTCATGATTATGAGACCTATTATATATATTTTTTGCTTTAGTTTTAAAATAGGTGTTTAGGATAAGTGAATTTCTGAAAGGAGATGAGTTTTTATAATATAACTTTTCAGAAAGACATAAATAAGTTTGTCTTCATTTCACACCTTAACTATTTGTGAAATGCTGGCCAGGTAATTAAGGAGCCAGTATATTTAAGAAATGTCAGCACATATTCCCAATAGAGCTTCCTCAAGAAAGAAACCTAAATGAAAACACCGTTGAAAAAAGCCCTGTAAAAAACACTCCACACCTATGCCACAGTAATATTGAGGATGCCTCATATATAGAGCCATTTGAGCTACTATTTCAGGAATGTAAAAAAAGGCAATAAGATATTCTCTTTGAAGATAATGATTTGTGACCCTATACTTAATTCAAGTTTTACCACCCAAATTACCACTGAAATAGCTAAAGAAACATAAAATACAAATATTCCTATTTGCCTTTGTGAAACACAGTAAGGAAATAGCATCAAAGAAAACAAAATCTGAGATTGTTTTGCAAAATACTAGTACAGTGGGATTGACTAAAGGAAGTGGCAAACAAAATATAATTTTAGAAAATGCACAGGAAGTGCTTTCCTAGAATATGTGGGTAGAGGAGTAGATGAAACAAGATTTTCTTGTGTTGATAGTTGTTAAAATTGAGTGAATCATTTTGAATGATTCAATAATTATTCTATTTTTTATACATTTGAAATTTTCTATGACAGAAATGAAAAAGGACCCAGTAGCAATGAGCGTATTAACACCCTGTCTTTTTTTTGCTCAGTTTTGAGTATTTATTACCTTCATTTATTAATATAACTTATTTAATAGTAAATTTATGTAATTTTATTTTTAATAATGGCTCTGTTTAACAACCAGCTCACAAACTTTCTACAAATTTAACAACTGGATCTTCCAAGCTGATAGAAACCAGCTCCAGCATACTACTGGTTGCAAGAGGTTTCATGAACTTTAGACAAACGTTTAACATAAAAGGTAAAACAATAAAAACGAAAGACTTAGAAATGGAAATATAGTTAAAACCTATCTCTTTTTAATTTCATTAACAATAAAGTATACAAAGACATACAAAGACATTGACAGAAGTTTAATTCATTGAAAGTCAATATATACATTTTTCTGAATATATCAGATCATACTTAGTACTTTTGTGATTCTTCCCAATAAGACATAATGCTTAGTACATAACTCTATTGTGTTTGCCCCTAAATAAGCTAATTTATAGTAAATTAATAGTACCAAGTAATTTTTATATTAATATTTTCCAAAATTTATCATTTTAGTTTCCATGACACTTCCATTTTGTTTAGCAATTTTCTCCGTCTAGGAGATGAAGATCAATCTAGCCTTGTCTCTGCTTTGTTTTCCTGCTGGCTTCCTGTATAGTTACATCATGGCTGCAATATATGTTGGTTACCATTTGCATATGTGGTGAGACTACTTAAGGTTCACTTTCTTAAGCAAACTTTAAGTATACCTTATTATTAGTTGTAGCACCCATGCTGTACATTTAGGCCTCCAGAACTTGTTTATCTTATACCTAAAAGTTTATGCTTTGACCAACATCTCTTTACTTGCTTTACCTCCCAGCCCTTGGCACCTATCAATCCACTTTCTGCTTCTATGAATTCAAATTTTTAGGGTCCACAATGATATGGTTTGGCTCTGTGCCCCCACCCAAATCTCATCTTGAATTATAATTCCCGTGTGTCAGGGGAAGGGTCTGGTGGGGGGATGATTGAATCATGGAGGCTTGCTATTCTGACAGTAAGTGAGTTCTCATAAGATCTGATTGTTTGAAAGTATGTGGCACTTCCCACTTTGTGCACGCTCTCTCTCTCCTGCTCTGCCAGGGTAAGATGTGCTTGCTTCCCTTTTTGCTTCTGCCATGATTGTAAGCTTCCTGAGGACTCTCAGTAATGCTTCCTGTTAAGCCTGAAGAACTGTGAGTCAGTTATACCTATTTTCTTCATAAATAACCCAGTCTCAGGTAGTTCTTTATAACAGTGTGAAAACAGACTAATATACATGTATAAGTGAGATCATACATTATTTGACTTTTTGCATCTAGCTTATTTCACATGGAAAAATATCTTCTAGGTTCACCTACGTTGTTGCAGATAGCAAGATTTCTTTTTTAAGGCTGAATGATATTGCGTTTATGTATATGTCACATTTCTTTTTTAATTAATCTGTCAACAGATAGCAAGATTATTTCCACAATTTGTTTATTGTGAATAATGCTGCAATGAACGTGAAAATGCAAATATCTCTTCAGATAGTGATTTTATTTCCTTGGATATACACACAGAACCCCAGATCTTAATTTCTTATGCCATTCTAAATAAAAGGACTCAGGGCTCCATAAAAAATGGCTGATTCTAATGCTTGTGCAGGGAATACACAAAATGACCCTAGAACATCTTATAGTTCCAGAAAGTAAGAACATCCACAAAAATCAAAACAATGGGGAAATATTAAAGGGATATAGGAGCCAAAATAAAAGATACCTAACTGCCAAAACTGAAACAACTTGAGCAGCAAAATAAAAAATAATGCCTATGGTATAATGTCCTTAATGGTATAAAAAGATGGGATAAATAAATGAGAGATAGAAACAAATATTCCATACAGAAAAATTCTAAATAATTTATATAGGTACTACCTGCTATATTAGGTTAGGCTTAGTTCCTCAAATCTTGAGTGTGGACTGTGCTTAATTATTTGCTTTCAAAGAATAGAGCATGAAAAAAAGGGGGAAAGGTAACTTCACAGTAGAGAAATCTGTCAAACATTACCTCTACCAGGTGATCAAACTATTAACACCATTAGCAATTAGTCATCTTAATAGCACGTACATTTCATATGATAGCTGAGAAGGGAACTTCTGGTCTCCCTACTAAAAACACAACCCCAGCCTAATCATCAGAAAAACATTAGAAAAATCCAAAATGAGCAACATTCTACAAAATACTTGACCAGTGCTCCTTAAAATTGTCAAGTCATCAAAAGCAAAGTCTGAGAAACTGTCATAGCCAAGAAGCACCTAAGAATGCTGGATGACTAAATGTGTGATTGTATCCTGGATAGAATCCGCAGAAAGAAACAGGACATTAGGTGAAAACTAGTGAAATGAATAAAGTGTAAAGTTAAGTTCATAATAATGTACCAAGGCTGACTTTTTAGTTTTGACAAGTGAACCATTCCAATGAAAGATAATAAAAATGGGAGAAACAGGGTGAGGGGTACGTGGAAACTCAGTATAATCTTTGCAAATTTCCGTTAATCTAAGACTGTTCTAAATTTTGTAAGTGTGTTTAAATTGAAGAAAACAGAGACAGACGCTAGGAAAAATAGTTTCAGTAAATTATTTAATTAAAATATAGTAGAGATAGGACCTATAATAATGGGGCTTTAGCGAATGAAGTAGAAGGCAAAGAAGATTTGTTGAGAATCTACCATGCACTATAAGTTGTTCTGGGAGCTTTGTTTTATACACTACATTTTACTTACTGCTGTAGCATTATTCTGTATTTAGACACACAGGAAAACACCTCTAAACCAACAAACCAGCTCCAAGTATCTACTAGCTGAGTCTCCCAAATTACAAATAAATCAAGTTGACAACCTTTGAATGTCATTAAGCCCTACAAATCACCTAGTGTGACAGGTATGAAAATGAAGTCTTCTCCAGGTTCCAAAATAAATCACTAAAACCTCAATGTCAGACTTTCACACAAGTGAAAAACCTTCAGAATTCTATAGGAAATTACACCTTTATTTCAAAACCAAACATTCAAGCCTGGAGATTATAAAAGTTATCTAATAATCTAAAATTGTGCTGAAGGATTCAAGGTATTACAGAAGGAACTACTGGAAAGCTAGGATTTAAAGTACCTTATCTGAGGCTAATAGAGGTTTACATCAATGTTTATACTTTTTGGTGAAAATATTTTTATTTCTATAGGAAAAGAAAAGCAAAATAGAAAAATATGGAATGGCTACAAATTAACTATTTCCATTAAGATTACAGTGTCATAAATATCTCCTTCGAAGTGATTTTTATCACCTGTAGATGCCAGGCAAGGATCTCATATTACGTTTTAAAAGAATTATATGGCAAAATCTCATTGGAAAACTATCTGAAATTCAAATAGAACATTCAATACATTTATTGAAAGTTTATCATGTAAAACACTGGGCTAGCTTAATTGGAAGTAAATAGCATTTCAAAAAAAAATGAGTAAAAGATTATGAGAATGTCTTCCGATTGTTAAAAGTAGCAACAGGAATATTGCAGCTGTTGCATCTGTTTAAAGTTGGAGAAAGGACCAGAAAATGACACAACAAGAAGACAGACCCGTCATATGTAAGACTTAATTCTGTCAGAAGATATACTTTTTAACCTTCAATATTTATTTGTATGCTATAATGTGCATTGGATGCTGTGTCAGTTAAGATTTCTTTAACTGAGTAAAAGGATAGCCAAGTAAAATGGCTGTAAAAATAGAATTTATTAATATATTTCACGTAAAGCCATTCACGGGAAGTTGGTTCAGAAGTGGTAATTATAAATTAAAAAATGTCAGGGCTCGTATCGGCTTTCACAATTTTCCCAACTTTCCTGATAGTCACAGGATGAGGGCCGCAGCTTCAAACATCATATCCTTACATAGTCAAGTTCAAAGTTTGCAGGAGAGGTTTAACCAGAAGGGCTGGGTTGCTCAAACCTCACACATTCTCAAGAAAGTTTTGTCTTCAGTACTGGTCCTTGGCTACCTCCTGGAAGATGAACTCTGAGCTCTTGGAATATTCTGCCTCATTTTTCTTTTAATTTTGTTGTGTTGTTTCACATTTCTGAGGCCTTGGGCCATGAGGTACCAGTTTGATCACTTAGTTTATACTAAAAATGCGGTTTATGGCAAATATCTGTTTTTGCTATGGGGAATTGAAGTCTTAAGAGCTGAGTTGACTCACAAAGGTGTTAGGTGCGTATATGATTGAACTCCCACTGCCAACCTCCCCCCACCAAAAATATCCCTGCACATGAAGGCTCTGGTGAATTTCCCTGGTTGGCAACACTTTGCTTGTGTGCCATACATATTCTCTGGAAGAATTAAGAATGTCTGTGTGACTCTTCGAGGAAAGATTACCTAGAATCTGGCACCTAGTTTCTCCTGAATTTTGTCCTTTGCACCTTTTCTCTGCTGATTTTAATCTATATCCTTTTGCTGCAATAAACCGTAACCAGGAGCATATCAGCTTTTCTGACTCCTGTGAGTTTTTCTAGTAAATGGTTGAGCCAAAGGGTTATCTTGATCGAAGTTAGTATGAAATGTGGAATACATCGTGGATGACATTCTTATTCATGCTCTTAACAGAGGGAAATCTTTCTAAGGATTTCTTCTGAAGACTTCTTAAGTTCCATTGGCCAAACCCTGGGCCACGCTTAGCTGCAACTGAGGCTAAATTGAGAATGTGGCAGTTTTAGCTTCTGTCATGTGAGGTAGGCTGTTATTAAGAAAAAAAGGGAAAGAAAATGGCTGTTAACTAGGCCACCAAGAGTGATTACACAGATGCTTCCGGGTTCGTCTGTATTTTTAAATTTTCCCCCTCTCATTTATGTGAAATGCTGCTTTTTAAAAACATTTTTGCATGGGGACAAGTCTCATGTTCCTCATTAATACGGCCTATGTGATGAGCCAGATATATTCCTAGACAAAACTTAAAACTATTAGACAAATGTATCTTAATGGTGAAATTCTGCATTTTGTCAAAGAATTTAATCCAAGTGGATACACAGCTGTACATATGAGATTTGATCTAAACCTGAGTTGACAGAAAGTAAATTAATATTATTGTTTGATTACACCTCAAGTAAAAACTTAAACATTAAATAAAATTCCTAAACTTGATATTTATTTGCTACAAGTTTGTTGCTATTCTGTGATTTTAATCCTTTTTTAGCAACTGAAGAATTTTCATAAATGGATTAAGAAAGCAGACATTTTTCATGAAAGTATATTTCTCATGTATTAGTGTATTGTGACAATTTTTGGTACTTTATTTTGTTAACATAATTGTCATTGTTTTGTGAAAAGATAATATGTGAATTATTAATACTGGAAAAGCAACTACTACCTTAAAATATCAAATGGTGTCTTCAGCCCTTTTCCCTGCCCCAGTAGGGGAAGGGTGACATATTTTTGCCTGTTATAGTCAAGATTGCAGGAAAAGTTCCAGATAGAAGATATTTGGAAGCATGTTTCTCTTCCTAGCATACCCATACCACTATAAAAAGAGAGGGATAGGAAACACTAGTTAACATAATGAAGACAGAGTGAAAAATAGAGGAAAACCAAGAAATTAGAAGTGAGGTATAACTTACTTCTACCCTGTCCCACAAGGGACACAAGTATCCTACTTGTATCAGGGACAAAAGAGTGGGGAGGAAAGTTAGGGGCATGACTGTCCTTTGTGGGACATATTGCTTCTCATTTCTTCTTTTTCCTCTACTTTTTACTGTACTTCCATTATCTTAACTAGAGCTTCCTAGCTCCTTCATGTGTGCAGTATGGGAAGAGTGAATTTGGAGCTTAATTTTATCATCTTGATTTACAGTACTCGGTGACCTTGCAGGGATGAGAAAATGGTGATATACGCACATTAAGAAACCCCAAACACCTCCCTGAGTTTTCTATATAGGTAAATGGCCTGGAGGAAGTTTCAACAGTTTGGTGTGATTCTGAGCGAAACATAGATTTTAATAGAGGGAGTTAACTCCTCCAATGGAGATGCACAATACATATACTTTTGTTTGTGAGCACATGGGACTGTTTTTGAGAATGACTGTGCTAGGAAACCCAGTATTTAAAAAAATATTAAAGGATTTTAGAGAGAGTTCTGTGAACTTTGTGTATCAGAGATCATGAAGCTACACTCCACAGGCCCAGTCAAATCTGCCTCCTGGTTTTGTAAACCAAGATTTAAAACAATGTAGCCATGTTTATTCATTTGCATATCATTTATGACCACTTTCATGCTAGAATGGTAGAGTTGGGTTGCTGCAACAAAGACTATACAATTCACAATGTCTAAAACACTTCCTGGCCCTTTGCAGAAAAAGGTAGCCAACCCCTGGTCTACACCAAAAAGGATGTATTAACAAAGGGCACCTACAAAATGGCACATCCTCCCCGAAAATAATATGGACACAAATCTTCAGATGCCACAAATTTCATACTGTAGAGTTAAACTTAAGGAAGAGAGAAAACTCAAATATGAAACTGTTATTTGCAATGTGATGGTTTTATAAATATCTTAGCTGGAATTAGCTGGACTTAAATTAGCTGGAAATAACTAGATGAATTTGCCTGCTAAGAAGCAAGCTGGGGTTCCAAGTGAGATATTAAAGATAGTTCTAAAAATATAATTATATTTTTGCACATCGGAGTTTTGTGGATCTAAAATTTTAGGTCACAATATTTTTACCTCAAAACACCATGGCTTTGAAATTAGTAAGGACACAGTCACTTTTAACTTGCATTGGTTTGTTTGAGGCTTGAATTTGTGATGTTTTTCCCTCCATTCTTCTTTTCTAACTGGGTTCACAAAGAAAGGAAATAATGAATATTTTTAATTGCAAATTGCCTATTTGATTTATTTTCCCTTGACACCAGTGCCTTTCAAGTATTTTGGGGATTCCAACTTTAAAAATTATGTAACTTAAAAAGCATGGACATGATCAGATGCTGGTAATTTTACAATTTTTCCTGACCATACATATTTTTTTTCTTTTCTTTTTTTTTTTTTTTTTTTTTTTGAGACACAGTCTCGCTCTGTCGCCCAGGCTGGAGTGCGGTGGCACGATCGCTGCTGACTGCAAGCTCCACCTACCGGGTTCACGCCATTCTCCTGCCTTAGCCTCCTGAGTAGCTGGGACTACAGGCGCCCGCCAACACGCCCGGCTAATTTTTTGGACCATACATATTTTTTAAACTTGTGTTCATGTTATTCTACTACTACTTTGTTTAAAGTATTACAATCTCTCTCTTAGTTTTTTCTTTCCTCTGGAATTTATATTCTATGTATATTTTATCTCCTGCATCTGTTCTGTGTGTCATTTTTTGTTCTTCTGTCTCATCATTTCTATTTTTATTCTTAATCTCTGATTATTGAGAAAATTTCTCTGTTTATCTTCAAATGTGCTGATAGAGCTTTTCCAGTAACTAATCTATGGCTCACTAACAAACTGCCTTTTAAGAGGCAAAGATTACCTTTTTGTTCACCAATAAATATTTCCTCACAAAGTTTATTACTTATTATTTAATAATCTACTTTTATAGAAGTAGAATGATATTGAATATTGATAAGGATATTAAAAAGGTATTTTATAATTTTCTTCACTTTCTTATAACTATTTAAACAAATTCTCAAAATGTTTCTTTATTTGAAATTTCTTTCATATTTTAATTTTTTTACTTATTTGCTCAAAGAGAATACTTTTCTTAACTAGTATGTCCTAGAAAATTTGAGATGGTGAAGATAGTTTCCATCAGCTATGACATAAGGTAACTGGGTGACTCTTTTGTGTCTTGGTAAAAGAATAATAAAAAATAAAACATTCAGATTTACTTAAGTGACAAAGGTAGAACCCAGAACATCGGGTAGGTCCAAGAACATTCAATTTAACCATTAACTCTAGTAATATGTCAGAAACCTTAGCTTTGGTGGCAAACCATGTCACTGTAACCTGAGATGGATAAAGAAAACAATCTTTGCCTATTACTAAAAGTAAATCTTGCATATGTGACAGAGGCAGTGTCACCACACTGCCACAACTTTACCCAGAATGACCCTCAAGGCATGCATCGCTGTGATTGGTAGGACTCAATCCCGTTTTGATATTATTTTCAGTTACCTGATGAACTTTCCAGAATGATTTTTGTGATACATACTCTCCCACAGACTTCAACCCATTAGTCCACCTGTTCATCCTTCTCACTACTCTCACTCCAATCAAGAGGATTTTATCTAGCTTGCTCCCAGGGTTCACTCTTATTCCCAAAGCAAATATTTTCTTGCATATAGCAAGTAACCTATAGATTGTTTCTTCCTTTTTGTCTTACTTTAAAAGTTTTCAAAGATTTCTAAAATTTTCTGATGCTTGAATGGCACTCTTTGCCTGATTCGGCATCAGTTCATATTTCTTTCTGCGTACCTCAGTGGATTTCAACAACAAAGAAAAGGAGTACCATTTAATTTTAATTTAAAATGCATAAGATAACTGACATTTTCTTTCTGCTCTTAGTAAACTCAAGTTATTCTGTGATCTAGAGCCTTTGCTCTTTATTAATAATTTAACTGTAGCCAGACTATAATAGAGAAGTAAATATGATGGTGAGAAACAAAATTAGGTAAACCTGAAAATTAATCTAAGACTTGTGATCAAACAAAAGTTTAGGTCAAATAAATTTGAGAAATAGAATTATACAAAAGGAAACACCAATTTAAATATTCAATTTAAGATCATTTTAAAGACAAATAGAAGTTTTTTGAGTCAGATAAGAGGAAGAATGCATTTACACATGCAATTCTCTACCTTTTATAACACAATGCTCAGCTTTTTAAGTTGACACAATATGACAATCTCTTTAATAATATACTTATAATCCTGATTTAATAAACATACAATTTTATTTTATTACATAAACAAAATATGCACTCATTCAAATCATCTTTGACACTTTACAAAAAATATAATCCAGATCAGGAAGTGAAAATCAACCCCAAATATAAAGACACAGTGGAGGGAATGCAGTTTATATAATTTATTGACAATGCAAATCAGAAAAAAAGTAGAATTTTAAAGAAACAGAAATAAGTCAAGCCTCTTGCAAATGAAATAAATTTAAAAATGACATAGCCATAGTTATAAAATATATTAAATTATTCATGTATGGTTCTTCATTAATAATATAAAGTTATTGATATGATGGACGGAGCTTTAGGGGAATATCAATTAAATTTACCAAGAACAATAAAAAGCCGGAAAACATGAATAGACTACAAAGATCAATTTAAAAGTTTAAAGTTGTCTAAGACTAATCCCAGTAAAAGATAGTTATATAAATAATACTTTCAAACTTTGCTGTATAAAATATTATTTTATATAATTATACTTTTAAATTTTATATCTTTAATTGTACATTATACTTTTTAAATATTGAAGAGATATGCATTTCTAAACAATATTCAAACAGTGCAAAAGTCTAGCATATGCTCTAAAAAAGGGAAGTTTCCTATCACTATGATTATTTCATACATTTTCTAATACTTCTAATAAATATAAAGAATAATTGAAATAGCGGCTGGGCATGGTGGTTCACGCCTGTAATCCCAGCACTTTGGGAGGCCAAGATGGATGGATCACTTGAGGCCAGGAATTTGAGACCAGCCAGACCAACATGGCGAAACCCTATCGCTAATGAAAATACAAAAATTAGCTGGTGTGGTGGTGCATGCCTGCAGTCCCAGCTACTCGGGAGGCTGAGGTACGAGAATCACTTTATCCCTGGAGGCAGAGGTTGCAGTGAGCCAAGATCGCGCAATTGCACTCCAGCCTGGGCAATGGAGCAAGACTCTGTCTCAAAAAAAAAAAAAATTGAAATAGGATCTCTAAATATTTGGAAGTAGGTGACAAAGTTTATCCTTATTTGCAGATGTTAAAAATATCCATGTGAAGGAAAACATTTTCAATGTAAAGGTTTCCAATTAACAAGAAGACTCAGTAATATATTTAGTTAAATAAATGAACAGATATCAATCATCCTAGATCAGCAATAATCAGAGAAACACAATCATAAGAAAAATATATCACTCACTTTAGAAAAAAAAATACCCAGTAATAAGCTTAACATGAAACATACAAGACATAGGAAAAATATATTGCTAAATTTTCGTGTTTCTAATATATAACATCTGTATCTCTTACAAATCAATAAATATAACAATATTTCAAACAAATGGGTCAAGATTATGGACAAGCAAAGCAGGAAAGACAGATGTAAAGATATATTCAATATGAATAGCAGTAATGCTAACAGAGTAAATTATAAGATTTTTCATTTGCAAAGATTAAATCATACAATGATAACTAGTGTTGTCTAAGGTAGGAAAATGGACCCCTATATCAGTCCGTTCTCACCCTACTATAAAGAAATCCTTGGGACTGGGTAATTTATGAATGAAAGTGGTTAATTGGCTGATAGTTCTGCAGGCTGTACAGGAAGCATAGCGGCTTCTGCTTCTAAACAGACCTCAGGAAGCTTCCAAACTTGGTGGAAGGCAAAGGGTGAGCTAGGCACCTCACATGGCCAGCACAGGAGGATGAGAGTGGGGGAGGTGCCACACCCTTTTAAATCACCAGATCTCACAATAACTCACTATCCCGAGGACAGCACTAAGGGGAGATGGTGTTAAACCATAGGAAACAACCCTCATGATCCAATAACCTCCCACCGGTCAACACCTCCAGCAATGGGGATTACAATTCTTCATGACATTTGGGTGAGGACACAGATCCAAACCATATCAGGCCCTACGATATCAATTTTTTTGGCTGCATATAAATTAACATGAGCTTTGTAAATGACATTGTCTCTAATTGTTCTCATAATCTTGGAATTCGACATTACCAATTGCTTGTGATTTTGTTTCTAAGAATTTATTCTAAGAAAGTAATTAAAGTGGATCAAATTTTATAATGAGACTTATCCAAGCACTATTTCTAACAGCTAAATATTTGTAAGAAATGTAACTGAAAATAGTACTGAAGTGAGACATATCCTAAAATGGAATATTATATCATTTTTACAGGACTACATTTATTAACATGAAATGAGTCTTGGTAACGAAAACAGGTTATAAAATTTGTATATAATGTGTTATTTTATTATATTCATACATCTAATTTAAAAAGCACATATCGGCCAGGGGCGGTGGCTCACGCCTGTAATCCTAGCACTTTGGGAGGCCGAGGCGGGGGGATCACAAGGTCAGGAGATCGAGACCATCCTGGATAACATGGTGAAACCTCCTGTCTACTAAAAATACAAAAATTAGCCGGGCATGGTGGCGGGCGCCTATAGTTGCAGCTACTCGGGGCAGGAGAATGGCGTGAACCCAGAAGGCGGAGCTTGCAGTGAGTGGAGATCGGCCACTGCACTCCAGCCTGGGCGACAGAGCGAGACTCTGTCCCCCCCCCCCCCCCAAAAAGCACATACCACAACTCACTCTTTGTAATTCATGTTAGTAGGGTTGTGGAGAATTTCAAGCTACACACACACACACAGACACACACAAATATACACACACACAGGCACACACACAAATCACTGTTTTCATTGTTCTTTCTGCTCTTCCTTCAGTGTGTATATTACATGTCATCAGAAAAAAGTGATTGGCCTATTCCATTTCTACTGACATTTCTACCTGTCTCTCCCTTTCTCTTCCTCTCCATCCTTCCCTCTCTTTCTTTCTCTCTTTACCTCTTCTCTCTCTGGCTCTTTCTTTTCTCTCTCTCTGCCGTGTTTGATTTCTCCTCTTAGAATGAGCATATCAGAGTCCCACAATGATCCATTCAAGGACACAGTAATTCATATCCCACTGCCATTATCTTGAACTTTACAGAAAAAGCTGTAATTCTGATATACTGGATTTAAAATTTTTGAAATTCTTGATGGGAATACAAAAACAAAGAGATTTATATCAGATTGATGTAATTGTTTTGGGGAAGCATTAGGTTCTGTCACAGTAACTGTTCTTGGCTGTCCAGGAAACATTTTCACTTTTATTTTTAAGAAATCCTTAGTGAACTTAAAAGAAATAATTGTGAAAGTCCTAAAAACAATGATTGCATTAACAAATGATGGGATGAGGTTAGCATCTTTTTACTCTACTGGCTTCACAACACGTCTATCTGTAATAATTCTTGTCAAAGGTTTCCTTTTCAAACTCGGTACCTGCCTGACCCTTATTCCATGCTTTCGAGAAAAGCAATTATGACTAAATGAGTAATTATTAAACCAAAAAATATGTTTTAAAGATATTTCTGTTTCATATTATTACCTAAGTAAAAATGTGTAACTATTATGAATCAAAATGGAATTCCTTGTATTCAGCAAAGTTGGCCACTTTAGATGGTTGCACTGCATTAGTGTTCAGCAATCCACATCTTCTGAGTAAAGACATTTTATGTAAATGAATGTATTTCTCAGTACCATTAAGCACATCAGCATCTTTTCTACTGCTATTTAGTACAGACGCAGAATGCACAAGAATGGTCAGAAAAGACAGATAGGCTCTAATGACATAATCAAGATATATTCCAATGTTAAAAGAAAAATAAGAGAAACTGGAAGAGAAAGTGATATGAGATCAATTAACATTTCACACCATGGTTGTTTTTACATAACAGAGTGTTTCTGAATGAGTGACCATCTAGCATCTTTGTGACTATTTTATTGTAATAACTCTTCAAAGCCACAAAGTTATTATTTATGGTCGTGAATAAAAAATTTAATACTAGCTCTATTTTTGGATACATACATTCTTTATGGGAAAGATTCCATCAATCCCTGACATAATGAGAAACAAATATTTCTTCGTAATAATGGTGCTATAAGAATGATGCCTTTTCTTTTTTTTATTATTATACTTTAAGTTTTAGGGTACATGTGCACAATGTGCAGGTTAGTTTCATATGTATACATGTGCCATGCTGGTGCTCTGCACCCACTAACTCGTCATCTAGCATTAGGTATATCTCCCAATGTTATCCCTCCACCCTCCCCCCACCCCACAACAGTCCCCAGAGTGTGATGTTCCCCTTCCTGTGTCCATGTGTTCTCATTGTTCAATTCCCACCTATGAGTGAGAATATGCAGTGTTTGGTTTTTTGTTCTTCCGATAGTTTGCTGAGAATGATGATTTCCAATTTCATCCATGTCCCTACAAAGGACATAAACTTATCATTTTTTATGGCTGCATAGTATTCCATGGTGTCTATGTGCCACATTTTCTTAATCCAGTCTATCATTGTTGGACATTTGGGTTGGTTCCAAGTCTTTGCTATTGTGAATAGTGCCACAATAAACATACGTGTTCATGTGTCTTTATAGCAGCATGATTTACAATCCTTTGGGTATATACGCAGTAATGGGATGGCTGGGTCAAATGGTATTTCTAGTTCTAGATCCCTGAGGAATCACCACACTGACTTCCACAATGGTTGAACTAGTTGACAGTCCCACCAACAATGTGAAAGTGTTCCTATTTCTTCACATCCTCTCCAGCACCTGTTGTTTCCTGCCTTTTTAATGATTGCCATTCTAACTGGTGTGAGATGATATCTCACTGTGGTTTTGATTTGCATTTCTCTGATAGTCAGTGATGGTGAGCATTTTTTCATGTGTTTTTTTGGCTGCATAAATGTCTTCTTTTGAGAAGTGTCTGTTCATGTCCTTCGCCCACTTTTTGATGGGGTTGTTTGTTTTTTTCTTGTAAATTTGTTTGAGTTCATTGTAGATTCTGGATATTAGCCCTTTGTCAAATGAGTAGGTTGCGAAAATTTTCTCCCATTTTGTAGGTTGCCTGTTCACTCTGATGGTAGTTTCTTTTGCTGTGCAGAAGCTCTTTAGTTTAATGAGATCCCATTTGTCAATTTTGTCTTTTGTTGCCATTGCTTTTGGTGTTTTAGACATGAAGTCCTTGCCCATGCCTATGTCCTGAATGGTAATGCCTAGGTTTTCTTCTAGGGTTTTTATGGATTTAGGTCTAAGGTTTAAGTCTTTAATCCATCTTGAATTGATTTTTGTATAAGGTGTAAGGAAGGGATCCAGTTTCAGCTTTCTACATATGGCTAGCCAGTTTTCCCAGCACCATTTATTAGACAGGGAATCCTTTCCCCATTGCTTGTTTTTCTCAGGTTTGTCAAAGATCAGATAGTTGTAGATAAGCAGCATTATTTCTGAGGGCTCTGTTCTGTTCCATTGATCTATATCTCTGTTTTGGTGCCAGTGCCATGCTGTTTTGGTTACTGTAGCCTTGTAGTATAGTTTGAAGTCAGGTAGTGTGATGCCTCCAGCTTTGTTCTTTTGGCTTAGGATTGACTTGGCGATGAGGGCTCTTTTTTGCTTCCATGTGAACTTTAAAGTAGTTTTTTCCAATTCTGTGAAGAAAGGCATTGGTAGCTTGATGGGGATGGCATTGAATCTATCAATTACCTTGGGCAGTATGGCCATTTTCACAATATTGACTCTTCCTACCCATGAGCATGGAATGTTCTTCCATTTGTTTGTATCCTCTTTTATTTCCTTGAGCAGTGGTTTGTAGTTCTCCTGGAAGAGGTCCTTCACATCCCTTGTAAGGTGGATTCCTAGGTATTTTATTCTCTTTGAAGCAATTGTGAATGGGAGTTCACTCATGATTTGGCTCTCTGTTTGTCTCTTATTGGTGTATAAGAATGCTTGTGATTTTTGTACAGAGATTTTGTGTCCTGAAACTTTGCTGAAGTTGCTTATCAGCTTAAGGAGATTTTGGGCTGAGACAATGGGGTTTTCTAGATATACAATCATGTCATCTGCAAACAGGGACACTTTGACTTCCTCTTTTCTTAATTGAATACCCTTTATTTCCTTCTCCTGCCTAATTGCCCTGGCCAGAACTTCCAACACTATGTTGAATAGGAGTGGTGAGAGAGGGCATCCCTGTCTTGTGCCAGTTTTCAAAGGGAATGCTTCCAGTTTTTGCCCATTCAGTATGATATTGGCTGTGGGTTTGTCATAGATAGCTCTTATGATTTTGAGATATGGCCCATCAATACCTAATTTATTGAGAGTTTTTAGCATGAAGGTTGTTAAATTTTGTCAAAGGCCTTTTCTGCATCTATTGAGATAATCATGTGGTTTTTGTCTTTGGTTCTGTTTATATGCTGGATTACATTTATTGATTTGCGTATATTGAACCAGCCTTGCATCCCAGGGATGAAGCCCACTTGATCATGGTGGATAAGCTTTTTGATGTGCTGCTGGATTCGGTTTGCCAGTATTTTATTGAGGATTTTTGCATCAATGTTCATCAAGGATATTGGTCTAAAATTCTGTTTTTTGGCTGTGTCTCTGCCCAGCTTTGGTATCAGGATGATGCTGGCCTCATAAAATGAGTTAGGGAGGATTCCCTCTTTTTCTATTGATTGGAATAGTTTCAGAAGGAATGGTACCAGTTCCTCCTTGTACCTCTGGTAGAATTCAGCTGTAAATCCATCTGGTCCTGGACTCTTTTCGGTTGGTAAGCTATTGATTATTGCCACAATTTCAGCTCCTGTTATTGGTCTATTCAGAGATTCAACTTCTTCCTGGTTTAGTCTTGGGAGAGTGTATGTGTCGAGGAATTTATCCATTTCTTCTAGATTTTCTAGTTTATTTGCGTAGAGGTGTTTGTAGTATTCTCTGATGGTAGTTTGTATTTCTGTGGTATCGATGGTGATATCCCCTTTATCATTTTTTATTGCGTCTATTTGATTCTTCTCTCTTTTTTTCTTTATTAGTCTTGCTAGTGGTCTATCAATTTTGTTGATCCTTTCAAAAAACCAGCTCCTGGATTCATTAACTTTTTGAAGGGTTTTTTGTGTCTCTATTTCCTTCAGTTCTGCTCTGATTTTAGTTATTTCTTGCCTTCTGCTAGCTTTTGAATGTGTTTGCTCTTGCTTTTCTAGTTCTTTTAATTGTGATGTTAGGGTGTCAATTTTGGATCTTTCCTGCTTTTTCTTGTGGGCATTTAGTGCTATAAATTTCCCTTTACACACTACTTTGAATGCGTCCCAGAGATTCTGGTATGTTGTGTCTTTGTTCTCGTGGTTTCAAAGAACATCTTTATTTCTGCCTTCATTTCATTATGTACCTGGTAGTCATTCAGGAGCAGGTTGTACAGTTTCCATGTAGTTGAGCAGTTTTGAGTGAGTTTCTTAATCCTGAGTTCTAGTTTGATTGCACTGTGGTCTGAGAGATAGTTTGTTATAATTTCTGTTCTTTTACATTTGCTGAGGAGAGCTTTACTTCCAACTATGTGGTTAATTTTGGAATAGGTGTGGTTTGGTGCTGAAAAAAATGTATATTGTGTTGATTTGGGGTGGAGAGTTCTGTAGATGTCTATTCTGCTTGGTGCAGAGCTGAGTTCAATTCCTGGGTATCCTTGTTAACTTTCTGTCTCATTGATCTGTCTAATGTTGACAGTGGGGTGTTAAAGTCTCCCATTATTATTGTGTGGGAGTCTAAGTCTCTTTGTAGGTCACTCAGGACTTGCTTTATGAATCTGGGTGCTCCTGTATTGGGTGCATATATATTTAGGATAGTTAGCTCTTCTTGTTGAATTGATCCCTTTACCATTATGTAATGGCCTTCTTTGTCTCTTTTGATCTTTGTTGGTTTAAAGTCTGTTTTATCAGAGACTAGGATTGCAACCCCTGCCTTTTTTTGTTTTCCATTGGCTTGGTAGATCTTCCTCCATCCTTTTATTTTGAGCCTATGTGTGTCTCTGCATGTGAGATGCTTTTCCTGAATACAACAGACTGATGGGTCTTGACTCTTTATCCAATTTGCCAGTCTGTGTCTTTTGATTGGAGCATTTAGTCCATTTACATTTAAAGTTAATATTCTTATGTGTGAATTTGATCCTGTCTTGATGATGTTAGCTGGTTATTTTGCTCGTTAGTTGATGCAGTTTCTTCCTAGTCTCGATGGTCTTTACAATTTGGCATGACTTTGCAGCATCTGGTACTGGTTGTTCCTTTCCACGTTTAGCGCTTCCTTCAGGAGCTCTTTTAGGGCAGGCCTGGTGGTGACAAAATCTCTGAGCATTTGCTTGTCTGTAAAGTATTTTATTTCTCCTTCACTTATGAAGCTTAGTTTGGCTGGATATGAAATTCTGGGTTGAAAATTCTTTTCTTTAAGAATGTTGAATATTGGCCCCCAGTCTCTTCTGACTTGTAGAGTTTCTGCTGAGAGATCAGCTGTTAGTCTGATGGGCTTCCCTTTGTGGGTAACCCGACCTTTCTCTCTGGCTGCCCTTAACATTTTTTCCTTCATTTCAACTTTAGTGAATCTGACAATTATGTGCCTTGGAGTTGCTCTTCTCGAGGAGTATCTTTGTGGCGTTCTCTGTATTTCCTGAATCTGAATGTTGGCCTGCCTTGCTAGATTGGGGAAGTTCTCTTGGATAATATCCTGCAGAGTGTTTTCCAACTTGGTTCCATTCTCCCTGTCACTTTCAGGTACACCAATCAGATGTAGATTTGGTCTTTTCACAAAGTCCCATATTTCTTGGAGGCTTTGTTCGTTTCTTTTTTTTCTTTTTTCTCTAAACTTGCCTTCTCGCTTCATTTCATTCATTTCATCTTCCATCACTGATACCCTTTCTTCCAGTTGATCGCATCGGCTCCTGAGGCTTCTGCATTCTTCACGTAGTTCTGGAGCCTTGGTTTCAGCTCAGTCAGCTCCTTTAAGCACTTCTCTGTATTGGTTATTCTAGTTATACATTCGTCTAAATTTTTTTCAAAGTTTTTAACTTCTTTGCCTTTGGTTTGAATTTCCTCCTGTAGCTCGTAGTTTGATCGTCTGAAGCCTTCTTCTCTCAACTCGTCAAAGTCATTCTCCGTCCAGCTTTTTTCCATTGCTGGTGAGGAACTGCGATCCTTTGGAGGAGGAGAGGTGCTCTGGTTTTTAGAGTTTCCAGTATTTCTGCTCTGTTTTTTCCCCATCTTTGTGGTTTTATCTACTTTTGGTCTTTGATGATGGTGATGTACAGATGGGATTTTGGTGTGGATGTCCTTTCTGTTTGTTAGTTTTCCTTCTAACAGACAGGACCCTCAGCCGCAGGTCTGTTGGAATTTGCTAGAGGTCCACTCCAGACCTTGTTTGCCTGGGTATCAGCAGCGGTGTCTGCAGAACAGTGGTTTTTCGTGAACTGCAAATGCTGCTGTCTGATCGTTCCTCTGGAAGTTTTGTCTCAGAGGAGTACCCGGCCATGTGAGGTGTCAGTCTGCCCCTACTGGGGGGTGCCTCCTAGTTAGGCTGCTCAGTGGTCAGGGGGTCAGAGACCCACTTGAGGAGGCAGTCTGCCTGTTCTCAGATCTCCAGCTGCGTTCTGGGAGAACCACTGCTTTCTTCAATGCTCAGATGGAAATGCAGAAATCACCCATCTTCTGCGTCGCTCACACTGGGAGCTGTAGACCGAAGCTGTTCCTATTTGGCCATCTTGGCTCCTCCCCCAAGAATGATGCCTTTTCAAAACACTTTTGACAAGTGAATAGCTCATGTTATTTTTACCATAACACCTTGTGGTAGGTATTCTTATATATTATACCTCCCCTTTCATTTTTTACATATGTTACATTTGATGTTGCTCTGGCATACAAAACTTGACGGTGGTGTATGGAGTTTGAGTGTCAGTTT
This sequence comes from Homo sapiens, assembly GCF_000001405.40. Taxonomy (NCBI): domain Eukaryota; kingdom Metazoa; phylum Chordata; class Mammalia; order Primates; family Hominidae; genus Homo; species Homo sapiens. The sequence goes on along the minus strand of NC_000002.12, from coordinate 76,904,698 downwards.
GCTGACTTCAAAGCCAGTGTTCTTTCCAATGTGCCAACACGCTTCTAAAACATTGATGCAGATTCCTCACTGCTCAGTTATATAAAAATAGCTTCTTTTAGAGTTCTAAAGATTTTCTATACTCCCACTAAGATTTAGATTAACACTGACAGAGATATATAATGTTTCAGTCAGTCACATTTCTCAAGCTCTCTAAGAAGGAACACAAAATATTTTCCCTTACAAAGATATTCCTATAATAATATATGGAATTGTAAAGCGTAAAGTCAGTATATAGGACATGCCTAAGCCCCAGCAAGTCGGAAGGATTTCCTGTCCACTCTGTCTGTCATTGTTTCTTCCTCGAATAACAATCTCTGAATCAAATCTGGTGTGGTCAGTAAAGGTTGTTCATTTTCTACTCTTTAAAAAACGTGGTTCTCAAACAATCAGCTGTTGTTATTCTTCTCATAAAAGAGACATCCTGTGAGGTTGTCACATGCTACTTTGTTCCAGGACAATTGTAATAGAGCAGAACAAGCACTGAATTTAAAGAATTATGTCTGAGTCTCAATTATACTATGCTTCATGAACCCTGAGAAGTAACTTCTCTCCTCCATTTCAGTTGTTCTGAGTAGGTGGGAATCAGAGCTGTCACCAGTGTTGCTGCAAATATTAAATGAGTTTGAATGTGAAGCACTGGGCTTTCAACATTTTCACTAAATTGGATTCCTACAGTTGAAGAATAGTCACTAACTTGATGCTCATTCATTTGAAGTGTTTTCTTTAATTTCTAAAACACTTAAGTTGTTAGTGAATATTCTGTCCATCAAGGGTTCCCATTATAGTAAAAAATATACATAATTGAGAAAAGAAGCATACCACCTTTTCTCGATGCCACCTTTCTATGATCAGCTTATTAGTAACTGGATCTATAAATATTATTTGTAACCCAGTAAAAGTGCCATTTCCATGATTTGTTTGTAATAAAAGTGCTTTATAGATGTTTCTCCTTTTGATTTATCCTAGTTACAAGAATATCATCTTATTGACTACTGCTCAAAGTCCTAATTTCTCTAGATAATAATATCACCAACAAACACCATCAAGATTAGATAAAATAAGCTTTTGTAGTTTTGTTGTTGTTGTTTTGTTTGTTCTTCTTTTTTGTTTTGTTTTGTTTTGAGACAGAATCTTGCTCTGTGGCCCAGGATGGAGTGCAGTGATGCAATCTCGGCTCACTACACACTCAGCCTCCCAAGTTCATGCCTTTCTCCTGCCTCAGCCTCCCGAGTAGCTGGGACTACAGGCGCCCGCCACCACACCTGGCTAAATTTTTGTATTTTTAGTAGAGATGGGGTTTCACCATATTGGCCAGGCTGGTCTCAATCTCCTGACCTCGTGATACACCCTCCTCAGCCTCCCAAAGTGCTGGGATTACAGGTGTCCTCCACCACACCCAGCTAATGTTTTGTACTTGTTTTTCTTTTTTTATTTTTATTTGTTTGTTTTAGTAGAGACGGGGTTTCACTGTGTTAGCCAGGATGATCTTGATCTCCTGACCTCTTGATCCACCCACCTTGGCCTCCCAAAGTGCTGGAATTACAGGCACGAGCCACTGTGCCAGGCCAGTTTTTGTAGTTGTAATGAAATCTGGTTGAAAGATAAGTGAAACAGTTCAACATATATTAATGAATTGAGAAATTGTGGAATTTGATTGACAGTTTAAAATTACATTAACCTTGACCCACCCAATTTATTAGTTTATTATATAAAAAGTTACTCAGAGTCCCTGGAAATAGAGCTAATTAAAACACACCAAGAAATGGTAAGAACTCAAATGAACATGATAGCATTTTCGAAAACTTCATTCAAATGCACCAGGGGAATCTATCAATTTGGGGCCATCTAATGTACAACTCAATAGAATAGTTTAAAACTAGGGCAGTTTGATTCTAGACAAGTGCTCAGTGAAAAATAAAATGGTGGTGCATCACAGAACTTAGAGAGCAAGTCCAGGTAAAATTTAAAATAGGCAAAATTTACTAATGTACACAATACCTCATCCAGGAAAAGTCTCTTTATGTTGTCTTTAGGGTCCACCCCATTACAGCCTCTGGTCTTATAAGGCTCCCATTTCTGGCTACCATCTTCTAGTTCTATCCCCCAAATTTCTAACATTCCAGATTCAGATCCATCATCAAGGTCATCAAAGTCCACATGGCTCACGTTCTTTTCCTCAGGAATCTCTGGTCATGGTAAGGTGGCCTGACACACAAACTTTTGCTAAAGTATAAGTGAAGGTCATTGTTGAAAATATGTTATAATGTTTCAAGTATAATTGGATAGGGGCTGGCTAATTATTTTTTTTAAATCATGGTTATTTAATTTTAAAAAAAGATAGATAAAAAAGGGAAAAACACAAATGATTTCTGACCTGTTTATAATGTGGCAGGTAGGAACAGGAATATCTGGGTGTAGCCAGAGGGCCAGAGTGCTGTAAAAAATAGACAGTGTATTTTCACAAAGACTTGGAGATGGACTGTTAATTTTGTCACTTAAATAGATATAGTTAAGTGGGCTTCTATTGTATTATTTTCTCTTCCATAAAATTCACATTTTAAAAACTTTTCTCTATTCCTTAGCCAGAGGAAGTTAGAAATCTAAACATTTCTTGCATTCTGAGAAAACTATCTTGTTCTTTTTCATAGGAAGGATAATGATACCCCAAAGAGGCACATATGTTAATTTCTGGGACCTGTGAACACTTAGCCCACAGAGCAAAGGAATTAAGATTATATATGGAATTTAGGTTGCTAATCATCAGAAGTTAAAATGATACTCCTCAAATGCACACAGTATGCCTACTTATTCTATGTAAATGGTGCCCAGTTCTGTCAGCTAAGTTACTGCCAGATCCAGTGTGCATGTAACAATGAGTGAATTTTGGTGACCTCGGAACCCCCACTCAACAAGGAGAAGAGATAGTAAAAGGGTACTCAAACAGGATCAAAGGAGTTGTTTTCTGGTCTCCGACACATATCTACAGACAGTAACATGTCATTCTGGGCTTTTATATCTTTCTCTAGATCTCAATTAAACAGAAAAGTCTTTAAAAATTTTTTTTTACAGTGCTTAGAGATACCTTAAAAGTACTAAGAGGTTTTCTCTGAGCCTTCCATGGTCAGCAAAATGGGCGGGAATGAAGAAACTAGACTTAACACTGCTCTCCCTTTTTTCTGTCTAAGTCACAGTGGTCCCATTTTAAATGATAGACTAGATAAAGAAAATGTGGTACATATAGACCATGGAATACTATACAGACATAGTAAGAAATGAGATAACATACTTTTCAGGGACATGGATGGAACTGGAAGCCATCATCCTAAGCAAACTAATGCAGGAACAGAAAACCAAACACTGCATGTTCTCACTTATAAGTTGGAGCTGAACAAGGAGATCACATGGACACAGGAAGGGGAACAACACACACTGGGGCCTGTAGGGGTTTGGGATGGGGGAGGGAGAGCATTAGCAAACATACCTAATGCACGCCAGGCTTAGTACCTATGTGATGGGTTGATAGGTGCAGCAAACCACCATGGTATACGTTTACCAATGTAACAAACCTGCGCATCCTGCACATGTACTCTGGAACTTAAAATAAAAATACAAATTAAAAAAACAATTTTTCTCATTGGACTTCTGCTTAAAAATTTCCTTGAATAGGAGAATTTACTTACTCCAAAAAAAGAGAGAAAGAAATGTTAGAAAATGCATGCATTGGCGTATTTTTAGGTCTTTCAAAATTCTAAATTTTGGTACTTCTAATCAACATTATTCAATCCAATGAGTGTTAATTAAATGTCAGAGGACTCAGAATTGCACTGTTTTTACTTAGCATATTGTGAACATTTTCCCATAATGTTAAATGTTCTTTGTGAAGATGATTAATTTCAGTGATATTCCATTGAATAGATATGCCACCTTTTTAACTATTATCTCGATTTTTATGAAAGTAAAGTGTCCCATTTTTTTCAGTTACTTTAAATGATACTTAAATGGACATACTTTCACATAAATCTTTAACTGCATTTCATGTTTCAATTGAATTATTTGGTAGAGGGCAGTTATTCATTTATTTATTTAAGAAATCTTTATAGAAAGCCATAATATACCAGGAACTATTTTATGCTTTGGCACACAAGAAAGACCAAAACAAACCCATTGCCCTATTAGATATATTATAAAAACATAAATATATAACTTAATGTGAGCAATGACTATTGGTTTGAAAATAAACAAGAATAGAGATAAGCATGAAATAATATGAAGTTTTGAAACCTTTGATACATATTGCAAACTATTTAAATAAATTCATATTTTTATCTACAAAAAACTATATATATCAGTATCCCACACTCTATACGTCTACTAGTATATTTTTGTTTGTTTGTTTTTGGTTTTGGTTTTTCAATTAGTTTTTGAGACAGAGTCTTGCTCTGTCACCTAGACTGGAGTGCAGTGGTGTGATCTTGGCTCACTGCAATCTGTGCTTCCCAGATTCAAGCCAATCTCCCACCTCAAGCCTCCCAAGCAGCTGGGACTAGAGGCATGAGCCATCCATCATGCCTGACTAACTTTTGTATTTTTAGTAGAGACTGGGTTTCACCATATTGGTCAGGCTGGTCTCAAACTCCTATCCTCAAGTGATCCACCCACTTTGGCCCCCCAAAGTGCTGAGATTACAGGTGTGAGCCACCGCACCTGGTGTCTACTAGCATATATTCAGTTATTAAACAATATTCAAGATTGGTATAAGTATGGATGTCATGCAAAAGGCAATGTTGTGTGCCTTGAGGATTCCATAATGAACAAAGAACTTGTTCTAGCTCTCATAGATCTAACTATCTAGTGAATTACTTTTTGTTATAATTGTTACCAATATTTCACCTGTTTTTGCCTTTTAATTTATCTTTGTATTTAATGTTCAGAAGTTGTAAATGCATACGTAATAAAGTCTATCAATATTCCTAGTAATTCCATCCATAGTTTTAATAATTTTTCTATTACTTTTTCCTGCCTTTCCTCCCTTTCAGCTACACTAACTTCCTTACTCCTTCCACGTGTCAGACATGAATTCACATTAGGTCCTTTGCATTAGCTATTGCCTTCATGTAGGATATCTTCTCCCAGGCATCTGCAGGGTTTATTTGTCACCTCTTTCTATTCTTTGTTCAAATATCACCTTCTCCATAAAGCTTAACATGGGTAGTCAACCCTAAAATCATTCACCTCCAACACTTTTTGCCCTACCTCTCAATAGTATTTATGCACTATTATAAAATATAGTTTATATATATATATGTGTGTGTGTGTGTGTGTGTGTGTGTGTGTGTGTGTGTGTGGTTTATTAGTCTTTCTCTCCCTCCAATAGAATTTAAGTTTCATGAGGGCAGGTGTTTTTGCAGTTTTGTTCACTTCTGTGTCCCAGCATCTCTCTCTATATATATTTGTTGAATAAATTGTTAAAGTTTTTTCTTATCTTGAGGTATATGCATACTCATATATATTTCATCTCAATTTTTAGGTTGATCTTTTGATCAATTATTCATTTTGATGTAAGGAGTTACATAAGAGTCTCATATTTCTTCAACTGTGTAGCTTACCAATTTTACAACACGCTTTGCTCATAAACCTTCCTTTCTCTACTGATTTGTGAATGTAAATTAATCAAAGAGAACATCCTTGTATAAACTAGGTTCTGTTTCTGGGAAGATTAACCTTTCAAAATATGTGAATTGCTAAATGAAAAAGCAGAAATTAACAAATGGTCTACAACGTATGTAAAAATTAAAAGTATAACTATATATAGTTTTATATTTTATACAGTCAGTATATATAAAATATAAAATCTCTATTATATATAATGTATAGTGACTATATTTTATATATCTTCTATACCTTTTCTAACACATCCTAGAGCTTTTTAGATATAGTAGATATTTTCCATAAAATTTAATACGTCCAGATGCTCAGGAAACTCTATATGGCTGTGAAAAATAAAAACATTAATGCATATTTGAATAGAGGACATTAATTAAATAATTATTTTGCATTACCACCCATTACTGTACTAACTCTTTTTTTTTTTTTTTTTTTTTTTGAGACGGAGCTTTGCTCTTGTTACCCTGGCTGGAGTGCATTGGTGCATTCTCTGCTCACCTCATCCTCCACCTCCTGGGTTCAAGCGATTCTCCTGCCTCAGCCTTCCAACTATACTAACTTTTATAAATGTTTCGAGATTACTCCTTTCTACAGGTGTGAAATTTTTATTGAAGCAAAGAAATCATTTCAATTGCTGTTTTTTACCTTTCAAATAAGCTATGTAATCTGCTGATTTCCAAAAATTTGATAGGATAAATTGGATAGCAAAATTCCATTTAAAATTGCTAATTGTTAAGATATTAAGAGAAAAGAAGTAATTTGTCAAAGCACTCTCATGAATTTAAAAGCAAGTACATAGTCTCTACATAATGAGCATGTATTTTATTTTCATACAGAGTTTAAAAACAGAAAAAAACAAGGGTATAACAAGATGTGTATAACTCAGTAGATGGCTTACCACTCACTTGTGCTCTCACCCTCTTCAATTCTAAAGAGAAACTCTAATAGGAAACTGAACAAAGGAGCAAATCTGGGCCATCCTGTTAGGACTGCAGTTTACATTTGGAAACATAAAAAGATTAAATTATTTTTCATGTAAAGCGTTTCCTATTTAGATTGTCTTCCCTTTGATGGCTTAATTCTACCAGTATGGAAAACGTCTTATGCTTCTGCCCTCTATGGAATGAGTGGTACTGCTAGTATTAATTGGCCAGGCAGGAATGGAGATGGGGATCAAGGAAAGGAGACTGCAGAGCCAGTAACAATCCTAACTGTGCAATGGGAATTAACATGCCTCCAAGTTCCAGTCACTGAAGGAGATTGCATTTGAAATGTCATAGCCCAGCCAGTGATTAAAAAATAGTATTTGCCTAAGTGTATTACCTTTTAGTTGTATTAATTGGAATTGCAACTTGATATAGGCATGACAACAGCTATAACGGCTACCTTTAACAAAGGCCTAAGGATTTGAGACTCCTTCTTACTCCTTTTCTCTTTTCCTTCATCACATCTAATATTATGCCTGTTTACCAGAGATTAATAAAAGGCACATTTGTCATAACATTATACACTTATATAGCACATACCATATGTAAACTATGCATGAGAAAATTTAGAAAATTGAAGTTGATTCATTTTTGTTTTATTTATGCCCAATAGAGTTGGTAATAAAAATAGCTGTCCCTTACACACAAGCTCTTACTTTTATTTTAGATACAAAGACAGAATTTGAGATGTCACAGGTGTATATGACCATATTTCTTTCCTCTATCCACTCAGGAGTTTAATTTCCAGAGAGCTAAGTTTTCTCTAAATGCAGCATGGAAGGTGATTGCATTATTGACGCTGCCTACTCTGCACGGGGCAAACAAGCAAAATTCAGCAGAAAGCTTGCCTTGTCATCACAAGTTCTCAGAGTACGTGTATTGCTTTCAAACTCATTGGAGCATTGACAGCAGAATTGTCTAAACAATCATCTCCTTTCTGAAATTTAAATAAGCTACGAGTGTCCGTCTTACAAAGTATGCTGGGCTTCCTCATCAGAATATTCTCATTCCCAAATTTAGAACAATTCAAGGTAGAGATTCCAGATTTCTTCTAATTTCCCTGTTTCAAACATTCATAACTCACACTTCTTGCATAATTTTGATTAGTTTGATAGAAGTTGTGTTACATGATTATTTAACTCTATCTTTTAGATGTATCTAGTATTGCCAAACAATGTGTTCCTGGTACAAGGAAACATCATATACATCTCATGCAGACCTCACTGCCCTTAAGACAGTGCAATCAGAAAGTGTCCAATAAACTCTGGCTTATTTGAAACAAAAAGATTTAAAAATAAGACTGACTCTTAAGTATTTAATTAGATAACACTTTTTAACTAAGTGAAAATATAAAAAGACTACAGTTTTAAATAAAGTAATTTCTTCTGAAAAAACTCTCTAAACAATTGACAAGTAGCCTGTAACTTTGAACCATATAAACTTTTGTCAATTCTAGCATATTTAATTTTTGGAATCTTTGCAATATCATGAAAAGTTGCTTCTGACATAAGCCACATGTATTGTTTAAGCTTGATGATTTTTTTTCATAGAATAGGACAAAATTTGCAGTACTCTGGATCAGGGTCAAGTAGAAATTAAAATATGTCTATATCTGATGAAAACTGTCATTTTTGCACTCAAGTTGAAGCACTTTTTCACCTTATTTTACTTTTTGGCCCTGATTGCACAGTTTGAGTGTTTATTATCTAAATTATTTTTGAAGTGATCATTTGGACCCAATATGTGGGAAACATAACCAAGAGGCTAAATCGTGTGTCTGTGTGTGTGTGTGTTTGTGTGTGTGCATAGGAGATGGAGAAAAACTCTAACCAGTGTAAGACACTTTAAATACTTACATTAATTTTATGAAATTTTCCCATAAGGAATATTTTGTAGGGTTCATCTATGTAATAAATAATGATCTTTAATATCTATGGTATAAAACCAAAGTGTTTTTCCAAGGACATAGACTTTACTTGGCACAAATTTGCCCTGTGTTCATACACACAGTAGCACACAAACCTGCTGAGTGCTTTTATTCACCCTGTAAACCTGACAGATGTGATCCCAGTGAGGTTCCACCACCTTCCACAGCTGAGTGGAAGCCCATATGTTATTGAAAAGAGAAAAAGAAAAGAAGAAGATTAATTCAGTTGTCAAGGTAAGTAATCGGGGTTGTGTTACCACCCTCCACAGACTGCATGGAAGTTAGCCATTTTCTTAATTTTTTATAAAAAACAGAATTGGGCTCATCACCACCAATGTATTTTTCACAGTATGTTTATCACTGTGGCTCGTCACATTCCATTCCGATGGCGTGATGAAGGCACAGATTGTTGTCTTAGTTGCGCAACCTGAAGAGTTTGCTGGATTTATGGGTAGATCATGGACAGATCTAGAGTTCAAGGTAAAAGTAGAGGAATATTTAAATCTCTAGCAGTCTGGCTGTTTCCTTTTGCGAGAAGCCACAACTGGGAGAGATGAGCAGTTCTGAGGCTGCATTTGCAGTTCTATGCCTATTGGTGTAGAGGATGAATGATTTTAGCTTGATGTATCATATAAGCCTACCTTTGTTCTGACAACATTTGTGAGCTTGATTTACAAATTTTACAGGCTACACAGACATGGATGAGGCATCATTTTTATAATTACTAAATTTTCGTTCTCATGGATAAAGGGTACAGCAATTGGAGAGTACACTCACTAGTAAAGAACTTAGAGGTAATCTATTTATGAAGCTTATTTGAATATGAAGCACTTTTATTCATGGTAAATTGTCTTCCACAAGTTTTGTATAAATAGAATTATAAATTAACACAGGATGCTATAAATATTAGATAAGTTACAAATAGAAATGCAAATGCAGTGTCAAAAATTTTTAATGGAAGAATACCTACTTGGGATTATTCTACTAAGATTGTCTTTTAAATTTTAAACTATTGAAATGTTTGCCGAAGTATTTTCCTTTGTTTCACTTTAAAATACAATATAATTTCTAATATTTAGTAAATAAATTTTCTAAGAAAGTGAAAGCTGCTATATTATACTTTATTGATAAGATAAAATATAATGCATAAATTATTAATGAGTTGTATCTAGTATAGCTATGTGCAGATATGAGACTATACATTGTAAATAACAATGTGCGCATGTGTATATATGTATTGCAACAGACGTATTATATGCTGTAATTATTGAAATTGTATATTTATATGCAAATTATATGTGATAAATATACAAATACAGATATTCGGTGAGCAAATTTACAATCAAGTCAGTTTTCCAGGGTTGAATAGCCAGGTCACAAAAGAAAAAGTCACTCCAGTTACTCTCAAAAGATTTCTAATAGTGGCTTTATTTGTAATACCATCACCAGATATAATTCAGAGCCTTTGCCCATCCTAGAAATAGAAACATTAACATGACTTTTCAAAGTATTGCCATGTGATTAAAAGAATCATATGGATAATCAACTGACCTGTTGTTTTTGGCTATCGTAGCCACCTAACAGTGTGAAAGTTTCAAGTGATTACAAACAAATTTATGAAATAGTTTAGACATATCCTCAAAACTGGTCAATTTAGAAACCATAAGTAGAAAATACCTTTTAGCTAGATATAGTAGATTATATGAGTCAGTATTTTTACAAACAGCATGCTGGCATCTCTGGTCCAAGGGGACCTACTATGCCATGTTGTCAAATTATGCATTAGCTCTTGAATTCTCATGAGTGCATAAGTATCATAAGGTTTTCTAGCATGTGCATGAATGCCTTAAGTAATGGACTGCCAACTGCTTTCTGAGGGAAACTACTGCATTTTAAAAGAGATTTAATTTTAGAGAATAAAAAATTTTGAATACCCAAGTATTTCTTTCTGTGAATTCCTTCCACTGGTACTCTGTATATTTTTAACATCGTACAGTGGTAAACATTATGACTACATACAATTAATTAACTGATATTTTTCAGTATAATATGCACATTTGACTTTAATTGGGAATGTTATTGACTGTTGCCTTAACTGTGTCAAACTTATCCTCATGTGATATATCTGCTTATGTTTGTGAGGAAAAACTTGTATGCTATGAAAAGTGACTTTCTCCTGATGTTAAACATATGAGACATGTACAAATAAAATGCACCCAAAATGTATACAATTTTGAGTTTTTCAGATCTGATTTAGAGCTTTTTTTATCCTTGGGACACATAGATGAGTCTCTGATTTTTGTAAAATATAAGAAGGGCAGGATGCAATGAGAAAGCTGAAATCTGTTCTACCTCTGACCTTGAGATTTTATTATTGGGTCAAACTTGCCAGGCAATATTCTCATCTTCTTAGGATGAGTTCTCTTTAAGGAAGTTCCCAAGTGTTTTCATTAGATTCTTGGAAGATGCATGTCTTAACTGTAGGAGAGGACTTAGTTTAGACTTACACAATTATTTAGAAACCACAAGTAGAAAAAACCTTTCAGGTAGAACTATCTGTATTTTAGCTAGAATTATCTGTACCAGAAATAATCTGTATTTAGAGCCATTTGGTTGTTAGTTATTATTTATTATTTATTTAGTTATTATTTTTAACTTTTAAAATTAATGTTATCAGAAGTTATCAGAGATTATTAGGTTATTAGAAATGTGTCCACTTCTACTAAAATTAATAATGGCTTTTTACAAAACACCCCTTTCTTGGAAAGTTGCCATTTTTATTTGGATATAACTTTTGAAAATTAGAATTTCTTGTATGTCTTGTGAGCAACACATATTCAATCTCTTTTAAAGATCAAGTGTGAGCATCTTTTTCCTTTAATACAAAATGTAACTAATGGATGTTTTGTGATGAAATGAGAGAATAATTTTACTTCTTTAATATCATTTGATGGTTGATTTATGAATTCAAATTACGTGGTCAGGTTTCCTTTAACTTTTGTATATTGATTTTTTTTTTTTTGCTTGTTTTCTGCTGACAATGATTATGATTGTTTCTCTGTGGTTCAAATTAAGTAATACTCCTCAAATTGTGATTTCCGTCTTTTCACACTTTGGGATTTTGACTCCATTAGTAGGAAAATCTTAAAAATCCCCAAAGCATTAGATGGAGTGCAGTTTCAATGTTTCTTACCACATTTTCATCTGAGTCAATATTTCCCAAATAAATTTTTGAGGAGCACTAGTCCTTGAAAAGTGGCTCAGGAAATAAATGTGTTTGGGAAATGATACATACTTCATTTCCCTTTTGGAGTGTCATGATGAATATTAAAATTGCAGTGACTTTCTGAATTTAAAATACACATTAATCGCCCAACTTTTCCTAAGTGCATTTTACTTTGAATCTCCCTTTCCCCCACTGATTATTATTTTCCTGAAAATTAAACCTATTAACATTCATTCTATGGTTCCTTGGAACATGTTTTGGGAATTCCTGATACATATTACTGTCTTTGAGTTTGCCAAAAAAAATTGCAGTTTACACTTAAATAAGTTTTCAGAAAGCATAAATTAGGAGAAACTATGCCTTATGGGCCTATTTGTTCTTCCCAAAATCTGTTCCAGAAGCTATAAATACATGGAAAGCATATAAAACGGTGCAGGGCACATGTTTCTAAAATAATAGTAATTATTTATGTTGTTCATATTATTACCAGTATTATGAGAGTTTAAACACATATAAGTTCTCTTTCAAATAACCAAATAGCCAAATATCTTGTAAAATAATTTCTAATGGATGCAGCTTCTTACCATTGGAAATTGACCAACGAGACATGTGAGTTGTAATTTAACTGTCCTAAGAAAGTTTTAAACCATTTCTATTTTGAGAGATGAATGCATTCTTCATATAATAAGTATATGAATTCTTCATCTAATTCTTCATAAAATAACTAAGACTGGACTTAAATTTATTTTATTTTTTGTATTTTAAATTCAGTTTTAGTAATATAACAACAATATTAAAATTACTCATTTTCTACACAGTATACCGGATACAGGCTATTCTGCAATTTTTTTATTTTTAATTTGCTAATCTCATATTTTAGTTTGTTATATATTAGAGAAATTATTTTTTCATCTGTGACATATACAGCAATTTTTTCTTCTCGATTTTATTTTGACTTTTGCCATTTTTTGTCATTGAAATGTTTTGTCAAATTAATGAATCTTTTATCTTTTTTGCATCCGAATTGAGTTGTAATTAGAAAGGCTTCATCTATTATCATTTATAAATCAATTCATCTATGTTTTCCTCTAGTACTTATATGGATTTGTTTGGTATGTTTAGATATCTTTTTCATTTGGAGTTTATTCTAATGTGAGGTATGAATCCAATTTCATGTTTTTCCACATGAAAGTCTAATCGTCTAATACCTTTTAGGTAAAAAGTCTGTATTTTCCCCAGTGATTTGAAATGTTACTTTTATAATGCTAAATTTTCATTCGTATTTGGATTTTTTTTGTATAAATTTTAAACTATTTTATCTAGTATTTTTTCTTTTTCTATGATATTACAAATTTGGCTTACTTTTCCAATATTCTAACTGGATCTTATCCAGGAGTAGTTCTGTGAAAATTTTCTCAATTCCAACATCCGATTGCTAAAATACTTAATTTTTTCCTTCCAATATGCTTTTAAGGATGTTGACTAGTCCTTTATTTACTTTGAAATTCCCTATATTATTTCAGACCAGCAATAACAACAGGTAATTCTTTTTAGGAGGAGCGGGTGATTGAGTTGGTCAGCTAAATTTCCTTGAGAACCTCTCCTCTTATTATAATTAACTAAAGATTTTTTTGTTTTGTTTTTTGTTGAGCAAACATCTTGGGAGGAAGAATGTTGGGAAGGGTTTGATGTGTCTTTTTGCTTTGCGTTTCTCTTTACTTTCTGTAGATTCTTCAGTTTTCTTCTTTTCTCCTCCTTTCACTTCATTCTTCCTCTTTTTCTGAAGTGGGACCTTAAACTGACTATTTTCATTCCAGCGAAATGTCAAGACCTTCTGTTGCCATGTCAGGAATCATTCCTCTGACCCACCAGTCTCAGATCTTCTCTAATTTCCCCATTAGGCTGTGCTTCTCTCTTTCTGGGTGTGATTTTCCTCCAATTTCTGCAACTGTTACGCCTCTGTACCCTTATTTTATTCCTAAACCATCTCTGTCTAACCCTCTATTCTGGCATGCAAGTCGCCATTGGCTTTGCTGGTTTGAAGTTATATTTTAGTTCTGTATGAATTAAACTTTGTAGCATTCTCTTTCCACCTATTATGTTTTGGGTGTAGATGTTGTCAGTTATGTTCGTTATTTTTTGTTGATATGTATACTTTTTGGAAAGTTTAGTTGGCTGCTATTATTTTAGAGAAACATGAGTATTTACTGTTTATGCAGTTTATTGTAATACAGTTGATATATATAAAAGCCATTTGCTATTTTTTTCTTATCTGATGTTTATTTTGTTAAGGTATAAATTTCAATGTGCACAAACATATTAAAGTGTTAACTGAGTCTGAGACAATATGAACATTAAACAGTCTTAGAAAATGTAATCAACATTGACCAGATCCTACATCCTCTTTTGGCCTTTGAAGCAACTTTTGATAATTACATAAATCATTCTTACCCATGCTTATAGAACTTGTAGAGTAGATTATTAAGATGGTAAGGACATAATGTCATTTGTTCTCAGCTTTGGCACATCCCTCTTTGCATTTTTTATTTGTAGGAGTAATAGCCTATGGACTAAAAGTATTCTTGAATCTGGAATCATGAGACCTGGATTCTAATTCACACTCAGTGCTAGACCACTAGCTGTGTGGCATTTCATGATCATGAATCTTTGCATTCTCAGCATAAAATTATTGGGTTGCTATGCATGGGTGATGAAATCCAACTCCAAAAATCTCAGATTCCGTCTTGCTTTTGATAGTGTGTGTGCTACAGTTATTTCTTTTCATTGATCTTGGATGGGACATTCATTTCCAAATGATCTCAAATCTTTTTTTCTAGTTATAGAATGACAGAACTCTATGTATATCCCTGCACTGCACTCATACATCTACAACTAGGTCACAGAACAGAGTGTCCTGAGATAAACAGTGTTTCAATACTTGTGGCCATAGCTTGCAATTCTTGATTGCTTGCTTTTGCAATCATCCTACCTCAATCTCACCTCTCTCTCTCCCTCTTTCTCTCTCTTTCTTCTTTCTCTCTACTCTATTATTTGCCTCTTTTCCTCTCCTATATGAAAAAACTACAAAAGAAGAGAAAAGCAAGTAAAATTTTACTGCTATATTATTTAAGCATCTACTAAAAATTTGGCAGGGCCACTGCTCAGGTTAAAGTACAGTCATTTTGTCCTCCTTCTTCTTGCTAATTGGATCATCAGTTAACTTGATTTTCCCTTTGCTTTAATCAGTATCCTTGGATCTTTGAAGCCAAATTATTTTTATATATCTGTTGCCAGGTTTCCACTCTATCATCATCATCTTCATTTTTCAAACTCATATAAATCAAATACTGAACAGTAATAATCTTGAAGAGTTGTGAAAATATTGAAGGAAGGGATACTTTATTTTTCACTTTAATCCCATTGAAAACGAAAGACATATTTCAAGAAAGAACTCTTCTCATTTGTTTTCTTTAAGACTATATGGACAAAAAGGAATATTTTGAAGTCTGTATAAAAATATGTGTAACTCACAATCAATATCTGGCTTCTCAATCAAAGCTGCCTCTAGTTTAGAGATTTGTGGTAAAGCATTTTCAAAACTAAAATAAAAACCTTAGTGTATAAACAGATGAGTAAAATGGCGATCAAGATAACACCATTAACCTTACATTAATTACAGTTAATCTAATCAAGTGCAAAATCAAATCTTTTTACGTTTCCTCCATGAAAAAATACAAAAATAAATGAAATGAAGTAGTATATTTCAAACTCAATTTTGATAAGATTTTTAGCCTTTGTGATGTTGTCATTCTAATTCAGTGTTTAAATGAAAATATTGCCATGAGATGTTTAAGTACATAGGCTACCTTAAGCCCAAAGCTATTTGTTGAAATATGTCTGTTTTATATAGGAACTTTAGATTCATAACATGTCTTAATTGAATAATTTAGTCTCACAGCTTTCTCTTAAAAAGGCGAAAGCTAGCCACCAAATATTTTATAACTACTGGCTTAATTAACAGTTCATAAAAAATTGTTCTTTTGGACAGGGCAACCAGGTGTTAGATGCAAAAAATTAAGCATTATGTCTACATAGGAGCAAAAGTGCAGAACAAAATACATAGTACTAAAAGAAAAACAAAAAAGGCAACGAAAGCAGTGGTCCAAACTAAAATCTAGAAAAAAAACTAATGAATAATTAAAATAAATTTTGAATATAATTTGAAACTGGGTAATTCTCATTGATAAGGTTAATTGCAAAGTATATCTATTAATTTTTTTACTTGAAGTAAGTTTAGCTACTTTTTAGCTTTAAGTGTATTTTTATTAATACTGAGAGATGTGTATACATATTGTATTTTAAAAAGGAAAACTTATGAGTACATATAAAAAAATAAGTTACCATCAATAGAGAATAACTGTTAAACTTTTGAATATGACTTTTCAGATGTCTATGTATGTGTTCGAGAAAGAATACAATATGTATTCTCTAAATATATACGTACAATTGTTCCATGTCATTAAAATATAAATATACTTCTACAACTAAATCTTAATTACATATTAGTATACCATTATAGAAATTATCATTATCTAGTTCCTGTTATTGAACTTCAGGGCTATTTTCTACATTTCATTGTTATTCCAAGAATACATTCACAGCTAAAGTATTTCTTCTTTAAAATCATATCCACCCACAAATATGTATAGGTAATACATATATACACACACATATGTATACATATGTATATATACACACACACTATATATGTATATATATGTATATATATACAAACACACATATATGTATATATACACACACACAGTGTGTGCAGAGATGGACACACCATTTACAGATATTAAGAGTATATATAAATATATACAGAGAGAAACATATAAAAGATTCAGTTCAAAGTGCATATACTTTTAACCATTCACAAAAATAGTAGGACTTTCACTTGATAATTTAGGCATTATCTTTTATCTTTATTGGTCTTGACAATTTGACATCCAGTAAGTAGTAAATTATTATTTTAGGTCAAATTCCATTGGCTAGTAGAAAATTAAAGGATTTTATTTTCTTATGTTTTTCTCAGCAATTTGGATTTTTAAACTTTTAATATATACTCATTTTAAAATTTTTATCTCCCATTGAATCCCATTTTGACATATGTGCACATATATATATAAATACAAACATATATACACACTGTATATATCATATACAGTGTGTATCATATATCATATATGTGTGTATATATTATATCTGTTTGTATATATACATATTTGCACATATGTCAAAATGAGATTCAATGGGAGATAAAAAATCACATATATGATATATATATGTGTATATATAAATATAAAATAAAGGCACTAAATGTTACAAGTTTTGTCAATCTATTGCTGATATTGATTGGTGGTGCTGTTTGTCATATATTTACATCTATCATGGTTTATTTTTGGTATTGGCCTTGGTGCAGGGTTTAGAAAAAAAATTATACACGTTTAGGAAAAGTCAAATAAAATTAAAGGTTGCTTTACAAATTTTGAATACTTTATATGTTAACTTTCTCATGATAATGCTATACCCTCTTGAATCTACTTTGACATATGATACTATATAACTTTTGCTGTTTAATGAGTTAAACAGGTCATTCAAAATATTTTTGAATAATGTATACTTCTTTATGGTAAGGTATTTGCTCGCCTATATCTGTGTTTTTTTTCATTTACACTTTATTTTGTAGATATTTCTGTGCATTCTCGTATTAGCCTCACAGTTTTAAAAAGTAATAATTATGAAGCAATAATAACAGCAATGCATATTTTTTAATTTTTATTCTCCAACATTGTGGGCTACACATTTAAACTCATAGACAAATATGAAAATCAATGTATTATGTTCAAAAAAGTTCATTAAACTATGGATTAGTTTTGGTTGAATCAATAGTCGTCTTGTGCTCAATATTTCATTTAGAGACATACCCTCTCAAAATAAAATATGAGCTTTTCATTTATTTCATTCTTTTAAATCTATCAGGAATGAGTCTTGGTTGCATTGTAAAGGTCCTACACATAAATTGTTAAAAATTTTATGAGGCATTTAATATTTTTCTTCATTAATTTTTTTCAGCCACTTCGCTTTCTAAGTGGTTATTCTTAAAAATATGTAGGAGAGTTATGTTACTATTTGCATTTTTGTAACCAGCCATTTTAACAAATGCTCTTATTAAGTCTACTGATTTCTCAATTTCTTCGCTTGGATTTTCCAGGTAATAAAATATGTCATCTTTAAGTAAATATATATCTCTTTTTTCTTCCATATTAACTCATATTATCTTATTTATTGGTTGTATTACATTGGATAGAACAGTTTTATAAAGGTTCTAATCATGGAAATGTTCACTTACTCTTGACTCTCAAGGGAACAACCTAAAGCAGAGAAACTTAACTAAAGATTGATGAGTATTTAAGAAAATTTATGCACCATCAGATATCACATAGACATGTTGCATGTATGTGCAAGTTTAAGGTTGTCTAATTATGATTAATGAGAAATTCTCAAAAATGTATTGGACCCAAATGATCAATGACTATTGCTCATTGTTAAAGAAAACACTGCATTCATTTGAGATAGGTACCCTTCATTATATGAACAGAAAAATGTTATACACCTTTTAAATTTTGTAATGCTTTTAGCCCCTCAATTTTGTCAGTTTTTGCTTTTCTTTACCTTGCTTTGATTTTCTATTCAGGATGATGATTTTCGCAAATATCTTTCAGCTTAACACTTGTTGTGATAAAATGTTGAGCAATTCTTTAAATTTTAGAAATGAGTTATATTTCTTATAGTGTACCATTCTATGTCTAGTTTTTCTGGAGGTATGCTATTTTTGTCAGATTTATTCTTCCAAGCCATTTGTAGTTTCTTCAAATGAGTTGAAAAGATTCATGTCTTTTTTTTTATGATCTGGAAAACTTAAAGTACAAAAGTAGCATTTATTAGTTGTAAGCTTATATGCATTTTTCATAAAATTCCCACAGGCTGGTGACAATTCTTAGCTTTTTTTAAAAAAAGTATGTTTTTGGCCGGGCGCGGTGACTCACGCCTGTAATCCCAGCACTTTGGGAGGCCGAGGCGGGCGGATCACGACGTCAGGAGATTGAGACCATCTTTGCTAACACGGTGAAACCCCGTCTCTACTAAAAATACAAACAATTAGCCGGACGTGGTGGCGGTGGGCGCTTGCGGTCCCAGCTACTCAGGAGGCTGAGGCGGGAGAATGGCGTGAACCCGGGAGGCGGAGCTTGCAGTGAGCCGAGATCGCGCCACTGCACTCCAGCCTGGGCGACAGAGCGAGACTTCGTCTCAAAAAAAAAAAAAAAAAAGCATGTTTTTGTCAAAACTTTCTTCCTGCTTACCAGTCATCTCAAATCCTGCATATATTTTGGTTGTTGATCATTCAGTTATCATATATTGAGCACATGCTAGCAGGCAATAGGAAAACAAGGATAAGTAAGATAGGGTCCCAGTCTTTCAGTTTACAGTCTAATGTCTCTAAAAAGAAGGTACTCTAAAAAAGGATCACTCTTTTCAAGTCACCATTCAAATAGTTTTTAAATGTGTTTATTATTTGTAGAAGTAATTGTACTTATTAGAGTAAGTTTGGAAGTTAGAGTGGTTTTTAAAATATTTACAGTAAAAATACTATATGAGAGGAAAAATAATAGAACATAATCTTATAAAGAAGAAAATCAGTCAACCCAAGCAGAAGCACTACTAACATTTTGGAATATTTATTATAAGTATTTTTATCTAGGCTTATACTTTATGATTATACCATACATATACTTTATATAATGCAATTCTGCTTACCATCATATTGCAAGCTTTTTTTCAGATCATTAAAAACATTTTGAAGGCATAATGACTATATAAATTTACATCTTATATATGTACAATAATTTTCTTGAAAGTACCCTCTTGGCCATTTAAGTTGTTTACATTTTTTCACTGATGAATATTTTTATTCACAAGTATTTATCCACTGTTTACTTTTTTTACAACAGACGTTAAGAAGTAGAAGAACTAGGTTAGAATTCTCAACATTTTAAAAGCTTTTGACATAACTTATTGCCAAAGAACAGAAAGATTGTACTGGTTGTTTCTCTTTTTTCTCTACCATGCCTAAGTTTGTTTTGTTTTTGTCTTTTTAAACAAAACCACATAAGGTTATTTATATACACATATTAATGTACATAATAATGCTTTATGTACAATTTTACATTCTATATTCTATTTCTTTGGCCTAACAATTTTTTGCATGGGTTTATGCAGTATATGCAAACCTTTTAATAGGTACATAAAGATACTTACATGTAATTA
This sequence comes from Homo sapiens, assembly GCF_000001405.40. Lineage (NCBI taxonomy): Eukaryota > Metazoa > Chordata > Mammalia > Primates > Hominidae > Homo > Homo sapiens. Next base: position 76,884,465 of record NC_000002.12, on the reverse strand, counting down.
TAGTTTGCTAAACATCTGTCTGTCTTTGGAATTTAGTCATTTTCCAATTTTCAACATTATACACAATATAATTTTTGTGTGTGAAAACAGACTGTATAGTAGTTATTTTCTAAGCTTTGAAAACTAGCTTTAAATTCCCTGCCCATTTCTATTAATAATTAGCTCCATGACTTGGGCAAGTTACTTCACTTCATTTAGACTCTTTCTTCTTCCCTAAATAAGGTTATAGTTTTGGAAATATCTCCTTCATAGGATTTTGTGAAAATTCAATGAGAAAATATCTCAAGAAGTCTAGCATGATGCTTGTTACAAAATGCTCAACAATAGGATTCAAAGACACTTTTAAAAATCACATTTCCTGGCTGGGCATGGTGGTTCAACAATTTGGGAGGTCGAGGTGGGTGGATTACTTGAAGCCAGGAGTTGGAGACCAGCCTGAACAACATAGCGAGACCCCAGTTCTACCAAAAAAAAAAAAAAATTAGCCGGGTGTGGTGGTGTGCACCTGTAGTTAAGCTTCCAGGGAGGCTGAGGCAGGAGTATCATTTGAACCCATGAGTTTGAGACTACAGTGAGCTAATTTAAATCAGGTACCAATAAAATATCCAAATCTTGATTAGGTTAAGAGCAGTATAAAAGACCTTTCTCCCAGTCAATTCACAATCATTTAGCACTTGTCTGCAGTGCTCTATTTTAGTTCTCCCAGATCATGAAAGCTGAGATGGCTGAAGTTTTTTTCAGCAAAATTTTCAGTGACTGTGACTCTGCTCCAAGTTTTCTAATTCCTGAGATGGGGATTTGCGAGAAACAGTGGGGGTCAGGGGAAGAGTGGCATATGGTGAGAAGCTTTAACATTTTTGTTTGCTAACAGGAGTCTTCCTCTTCCCAGTTCCTCTGTCCTAGCTTTGCATGTCACATTGGGTAGTTTGGTTAATTTTCCAGTGGGGCATGTGTAAATTGCATTCTCAAACCATAGGATGGTCTGGCTACAAAATCGAGAAATTCCTCTGAGGTCTAAAGAGGGAGGGCTCGGGGCTGGGAAAGTGCTAAAGGTGAAGTGTAGAACTCAGGTCCCCCATTAATCCATTTTTGGTTCAATAAACATTAATTGGGCATTTACTATGTGTTAAGCATATTGTTACATAATACAGCTGTGAATGTAAATAAGATGCAGCCTTTCATCTTCAGGGGCTCATACTAGCACAGACTGATTAAACACACAATACAAGTAGGCTGGCTTGTCACCGAAGAGGAAAGAGACTGGTAGAAAGCTCCACAGGAGAGGTGATGCTGGGGTTTGCAGTGTTCTTATTGAAGATGAGTTTCACATATTGAAGCACAGACCTGGATACATAGCCACTCACTGGAACCAGGAGAGTGAAAACAGCATTCACAGAGTAGCCTGGTCCTGGAGTGTCTATGGCCATGGTAAGGAGTTGAGACTTTACCTGGCTGGCAGAGTGGAGCCAGCTTGGTCTGGTAGCAGCACAGATTGAAAGGAAGACATTGGAAGGATAAATGGCTGTAGCAAACAATCCAAGCAAGAGAAGAAATAGGCTGAAACTAGGATGACAGTTTGAAGAGTAGGCCCGTGGAAGACAGGAGGGACAGGACTCCTGTCTGTAGCTCTGGAGTGCAGATTCCTCCTTGATTTCTCATTTGTGAGACCTGGTGGATGGTGGAGACAATAACCTGAATGGAAAAAGTAAACTCCCTCCTGGAATGTTTCATTTAGAACCCTCCATTTTTAGCAACTGGTACTGTCCTGTTCAGGAGACCAGTCTCCATAAACCACTGTTATGTTTCTGGCCTTACCTTTTTACAACTGACTAGTTGGCTACTAGTAGAATCCTCCCACCTCAGCGTCCCAAGTAGCTGGGACCACAGGCATGCACCATCATGCTTGGTTAATTTTTTTTTTTATTTTTTAACTTTTTATAGAGATGGGGCCTCACTTTGTTGCTTGGATTGGTCTCGAACTCCTAAGCTCAAGAGATCTGCCCACCTCAGTCTCCCAAAATGCAAGGGTTACAGATGTGAGCCACCGTGCCTGGCCTTTTTTATACATTTCTCATTTGAAGTAGGAACATAAGAGCAAGAATGTGCTCTCATTTTCTCCATATCACTTTGTTATTAAAATATAATAATAAATAATGTTTCAGTAAAAGTTAAGTAAAATATTATTAGAACCCTGTTCACTCCTACACAAAAAGTACTTTATACGTAAGCCACAAACCACAGACCTTCACAATACCAAACAGAAAATATTAATATCTTATATAGACATCACTTAGTAGAAAATATTAATTTCTTTTATAGACAAAACTTAGCCTGAAATTCTCTGGCATGAACTTCTGAACGGAAGTTACAGAAGTCTGAAATGCTAAGTGTTATGGAGAAAGGATTTTGTACTAGGAATTCAATTTTACACCAGATTGTGGTTTATCAGTAATATTTATCAAAAAATATGCAATGGATATATATGGATTTAATGAAAGACCACTTTCACCAATCAGGAAGTTAAGTAAAGAGATTCACAGCGTATTTCTGACACAAAAATACAGTTGGTAAAACTTGCAACCATTTACAATTAGAATTCCATAAAAAGTTCAGTGTTAGAATAGGATGGAGTATATAAATCAAACATTATAATACTTCAAAGAGGAATAGGAAAAAAGTTTAACAATATATGCTGGAACAAAAATGAGAGAGAAAATGGGGAAAAAACTGTTATATAACAGGAAGAGTTTGGTACTTTTTTTCATCTTAGCTAACAGAAACTAAAGAAGCTCTATTTTACTTTTCATGGTGGTTATTAGAAAAAAAGAAGTAGTTCAGTTTTTTTTCCTAAAAAGTATCACAAGGAGAATTTAAAACAGACTGTTAAGATTACCAAAACAATCACATTAACATAAATTCAGTATCTGTGAGGAAAAACTGGAAACATAAAGCACAAGAGATTGCAAGAACACATTTAAAAGCAAAAAAAAAAAAAAAGTCTTTAGCAAGCCTCTCAACTCAAAAAAGTCTTATTCTTAGGTAATAGCAGAAATTTCACACATATTATCATTATGAATGTAAGTGAAAAAAATACCACGTTAAAAAGAAAAGATAAAACCTTGATAGGCCATGTGTGAATAGTAAATTCTGTGAATTGTTGAATGTCTAAAATCATTTCATTTTGCCCTCAAACTTGATTGCTAATTAGGCTGTACAGAATTCTGTGTTTGAGCTGATACTTTTAAAATTTGACACATGATAACTGTACATATTTATGATGTGATGTTTCCATATACACAATTTATAGTGATCTGATCAGATAAATTAGCATATCCATAATCTCAAATATTTATTATTTCTGTGTGTTGGGAACGTTCTTTCTTGCTGTTTGAAATTGTATGATAAATCACTGTCAACTATAGCCATCCTACGGTACTATAGAACACTAGAATTTAATCCTCCTATCTAACTGTAATTTGATTACCCTTTAACAAACTCTCCCTATCCCCCACTCCCTGTACCCTTCCCAGACTCTTGTATCTTCGACTACTTTTAAAACTGATTATTTTAAGGATTATAAAGATGTTCTCCATGTCTTCATGGTCACTAATGAAAAATCAAATACCAATTGGATTCTTGTTTGCTTATTAATAAGCCATTGCTGATATTGTTGTAGTTGTAACTGTGTTTGCCCACTCTGAAAAGTTCGTTTAATTACCTCTCTAGTCATAAGCTTGTTTTTGTGTACCAGAATCCAGGGCCTAGGGATCGAATCAGTTTGAAACACCTGACTTCTTCTGGCCCCACAGAGGTTTTTTGTGTTTTGGTTTTTTTTCTTCCAATACTGTTTTGCATACCTTGAAGTACTGTGGGTTGGGTTCCAAATCATCTCAACAAAGTTAATAACATAATAAAGCAAGTCACATGATTTTTTTTTGTTTGCTTCCTAGTTCATGTAAAAGTTATGTTAAACTCTACTCTAGTTTACCAAGTACATAATAGTAGTATGTCTAAAAAGGTGAAAATATCTTAAATAAAAATATTTTACAGCTAAAAATTTCTAAGGATAATCTGAGCCTTCAGTGATTCATAATCTTTTAGCTGGTGAAGGGTCTTGACTCAATGTCCATGGCTGCTGACTAATTAGAGTGGTGGTTGCTGAAGTTCGAGGTGGCTATGGCAATTTTTAAAAATAGATAATAAAGTTTCCCTTGGTGTTTGATTCTTCCTTTCACTAAAGATCTTTCTGTGGCATGTGATGCTGTACCCGCATTTCACCCACAGTAGAATTTCTTTCAAAACTGGGGTCAACCCTCTCAAACCCTATCCCTACTTTATCAACAAAATTCATGTGATATTCCATGTCCTTTGTGTCATTTCAATAATTATAACAGCATCTTCACCAAGAGTAGATTCCATCTCAAGATTCTACTTTCTTAGCTCCATTAGGAGCATCTCCTCATTCACTGAAATTTTATTATGAGATTGCAGCAATGCATTCACATTTTCACGTTCCACTTTTAACTCTAGTTCTTACGCTGTTTCCACCACATTTGCAATTACTTCCTCCACTGAAATGATGAACCCCTCAAAGTCACCCATTAGGATTGAAATCAACTTCTTCCAGACTCCTATTAATGTTGATATTTTGACTGCCTTTTGTAAATCAAGAATGTTCTTAATAGCATTTAGAAGGGTGATTCCTTCCCAGAAGGTTTTCAATTTACTTTGCCCAGATCTGTTAGAGAAATCACTATGGCAGCTATAGGCTTACAAAATATATTTCTTAAGCAGTATGTTCTCAAATCAAAATTATTTGATCCATGGGCTGAAGAAAGGATACTGAGTTAACAGGCATGAAAACAATGTTAATTTTCTTGCATATCTCCATAAGAGCTCATGGGTGACTAGTTCATTGCCAATGAGCAGTAATATTTTGAAAGCAATGTTTTATTACCAAGCAGTAAGTCTCATCAGTGGCCTTAAAATATTCAGGAAACCATGCTGTAAACAGATGTTCTGTCTTCTAGGCCTTGTTGTTCAATTTACAGAGAATAGGCAGAGTAGTTTTAGTATAATTCTTAATGGCCCTAAAATTTTAGGAATGGTAAATGAGCATTGGCTGCAACTTAAAGTCATCAGCTGCATTAGCCCCTAACAAGAGAGTCACCCTTTCCGGCGAAGCTTTGAAGCCAGGCATTGACTTCTCCTCTCTAGCTATGAAAGTCCTAGATGCCATCTTTTTCCAATAGAAGACTGTGTCATCTACACTGAAAACCTACTGTTTAATGTTAGCCAGTTTCACTAATGATCTTAGCTAGATCTTATGTGTAACTTTCTGCAGAGTTATACATCAGTGCTTGTTGGTTCACCTTGCACTTTTATGGAAATGGCTTTCCCTTTAGCCTTTTGAACCAGCCTCTGCTAGCTTCGAACTTTATTTCTGCAGCTTCCTTACCTCCTTCAAACCTTGAAAGAATTGAAGAGATTTAGGGACTTGCTGGGACTGTTCTGACTGGTTTGATGTTCTATCCAGGCCACTAAAATTTCTTCATATCAGCAGTAAGGCTGTTTCACTTTTTTTTTTAATTTTAGATGGAGTCTTGCTCTTTCATCCAGGCTGGAGTGCAGTGGCGCCATCTTGGCTCTTCACAAGTTCCGCCTCCTGGGTTCAAGCGATTCTCCTGCCTCAGCCTCCCAAGTAGCTGGGATTCCAAGCACCCACCACCATGCCTGGTTAAATTTTGTATTTTTAGTAGAGACAGGGTGGGGTTTCACCATGTTGGTCCGGCTGATCTTGAACACCTGACCTCAGGTGATCCACATGCCTGGGACTACCAAAGTGCTGGGCTGGGATTGCAGGCATGAGCCACTGCGCCTGGCAAGTTTCACTTTCCTATAATTCGTGTCTTCACTGGACTAGACTTCTAACTTTCTTTAAGAACTTTTTTTTTTTTTCCATTTGCAACTGGGATATGTGGCACAAAAGGCCTACCTTTTGGACTGTCCTTGCTTTTAATATGTCTTTCTCACTAACCTTAATCATTTTGTTTTAAAGTTAGACATATTGAACTCTTCCTTTCACTTGCAAACTTAGAGGACATTATAGGGTTATTAATTCGTCTAATTTCAATATGGTTGCCTCTCAGGGAATAGGGAGACCCAAGGAGAGAGAGAGAAATAGAGGAGTGGCTGGTCAGTGCAACAATCAGAACATATACATATAACATTTATCAATTAAGTTTGCCATGTTTTATATGAGTGCCGTTTGCTGTGCCCAAAACAATTACGACAGTAACATCTAAGGTCACTGATCACAGATCATCGTAACAGATATAATAACAATGAAAAATTGAAATATTGCAAGAATCACCAAAATGTGACACAGAGACATGAAGTGAACATACGCTGTTGCAAAAATGGGTTGCTCAATGCAGGGTTTCTAAATGCAGAGTTACCACCAATCTTCAATGTATTAAAAACAAAATATCTGGGAACCACAATAAAGTGAAGCACAGTAAGATGAGGTATGCATCTGTGACCTTTTTTCCTTCTTCTTTCTTATTTTTTCGTTCTCTCTTTCTGGAATACCTGTTATACAGATTAGGGGTTTGCTTCACTGATACACTATGTCTTTTAAATGTTTTTCCTCTGACTTTTTCATCCCTGTAGCTTTTTACTCCATATTCTGGAAAGTTAAGCTACTTCAATGCTCGATCCTCAGTTGTTTCCTTTTTATTACTTAGACTTCATATTGAATTTATATCTAGGTGTCACTGATAAAGTTTTTATCATAAGAAAATAGAATTTCTAGAAGTAATAAATGAATAGTCAATTTTCTTGTTATATATTCCTGAAATAAACCGAAATAATTAAATTCTAGTTTATTGTTAGAATGTAAAACAGTGAGGTAAGACATTTTTATTTTTAACCATTGTACCTTGATTTAAAATTCCAATAATCATAGGCATTATTTTATACTTCACCCTAGGTATACTAAATACCACGCAATTGTGAAGTGCTGATCCATTAGTTGATTAACCATTGTTCATAAAAGCAAAATAGTCATTAATTCCTGAAAAAAAAAATCTCAGAAATTTTGCTACCAAAATCATTTGAAAGTGGACTAATTGTTTTTAAAATGTATATACTCTTGTTTTTAAATTCCCAAGAAGTTGCACAAAAATTATGGAAATGTTAACTAATAAAGTAACATTTTCAACCAACTTTTTATTGGACTATTCACTTCAAACTGAAGAAAATGAATAAAAACAATTGAAAGAACTTGCTGAAGAAACAGAGCAGACAGAGACTGCTCAAAATAAGATGAAATCTACTTCCCGCTCTTACAAAAAGTTTTAAGAGCTAGCATTTATAGGACCCATCTATATTTATCAAAAACCCTAATAAATTCTAGATGAGAAAAGATGCCCACATTCATAAAATCATCTAAGCTCAAAGTATACTCTCTAGTGTGCAAACTGTGTATCACTAATATTTTAAAATTTGGAAAACCAGAGATTTGAAACCTTTATTTTAAACAATTTAACAGTGTGACTCTCACTTCATCATCATCTCCTTTTGATTGCCTGGCTTATCAATTTATTAATGTTTACCAAGGTACAGAGTGATTTCTCTTTTTCTAAGCAAAATAAAAAATTGACAGAGATAAAGTACAAATATATAATACAAGTATTATATACTGTTGTTAGTGGTACATATAAGCTGTTGATATATTAAAAAAATGGACCAGATATATCTAAAAGTCATGTTAATAGTGTCTGTCATTTATAAAGAAAGTAGGATGGGAAGAAGCAAGAAAGAAGTAGAGCATAAAGAATTATGCTCTACTTTCTATAAACATCTGTTAACAAAATAGACCCAAGGCATATACGAAAACTCGTAGACATCATATGTTAATTTTGTGTATCAAATACAAAGCTATTCATTATGCTATCCTTTTTTTACATTTTTATCCAAGGGGAAAGAAAATTAAATTTGTTTTATAGTGTAATGCCTTAATAGAGATACTTCAGTAAAAACAACATTCATTGCAACACATTTGCCAGGTTTTAAAACTAGCAAAAATTATATAACAATTTTCTAATCTTCATGCAGTAATGCAAGGTTGTAGGCAATTTTATGCTTCTGAAATTCAGCATTATGCCTGGTACTTTATTATCCTATTATGAGTATCTTTTAAATTGAGATATTATAAAAGAACATTATTTAAAGTAAATTATAGATAGATCAGTATTTAATAGAAATTAATCCAAATCTTATTTGTTGCTCTTAAAAAACTTCTTTTTTTTCTCTAAAATCGTTAGGCATACTATGTTCTTTACTGTGTGTATGTAATTCTTACCTCAAGGGAAAACACCAATTAGACTTGATTAGAGAGCAGATTCCTTGGAGACAACTAGAGAAACCCTCATTAAAGTCAATGATTATAAAGATGGCAACAAGTTAAAGATGGTTTCTCCCATAACTGGTATCCCAAGTCAGTAAATGCTCTCTCTCAGTAGGTGTTCCCATATTGGTGCTTCTCTATGGAAGACACATTTTTATAGGGAAACTCAGCTGAAGTTGAGTCTGCCTGTGGCAGTTGTCCCCAGTCCCACAACACATTGATGCCTTTGAAAGAATAGTTTTCATTGAGGATATGAAATGACTAGCAAGATCTGGCAAACCATGGGTGGAAACCAATCTCAACATAGATACACACCTTAAACTTTTCTATATTAAGAATGACTCCTCAATGGCAGTGGGTAATTAGGTATTAAGATAGTTCTAGAAAATATATAGAAACAGGCAAAGGCCAGGGACTTTTTTCTTTTTTGCTAATGTTTGCCAGTCATCAAAATGCAACTTGCTATTCCCTTATATCCCCACTCTCTGCAATGGCAAAATGGATAGACATGCATCTTAATTACTTAACTGATGTAGTTCATTCACTCATTTACTCAATTCATTCATTTTTCCAACAACCTTATGTCACATATGAGCTATATGTAAAACTGTAAAGGTGACCTCCTGGGAATGTAGAGGGCTAAAAAATCAGTCTGTAGTGTAAAAGCAATATGATGAGTCACATACAAAGTTTATGTAAACCATATAGAAGTATTAAGGAAGGAGAAATTATGGAGAAGTTTCAAGAGGGAAATCAGGATGTGGTAGAAATTAGCTGATAAGTACAACAGACACATCTTTTACTGTCGTTAAATCTTACCACAGAAATGATTATTTATCTTATCTGAGGCAAATGCAGACTCTTCATATGTGCATTATTGAAAAGTAAAATAAAATATTTGTCCTTTAGTGAACCTGTGGCTATTTGATCTATGTGCTACTTGGCCTCATGCAGAAGCTTTCATTTTCTGTCATTGTGAAGTAGAATCTATAGACATTAAAATGACTTCAAAAACTAAATGCCACCCCCATAGTAAAACAGATCAGAGATATTGGCAGGCATATAAGCTGGAGACCAGAAATGCAAATACGTATAAGAAATAAAGAAATTTAAATTACTATAACAAATATCTGATGAATACATGAACAGAATATTCAAATTTTATAACTGTAACATGAGAGCTAAGGCTACTCATCAACTTCAAATAAGCAAAGTTTAAGAAATAAACAACTGCCACTGTTAACAACATAGATCACTGATCTCTCCAAAAAAATAGCCAGGGTCTAGTATCAAGAGCCTGAAAGCTATTCTATTTCTAGGAATTTATTCTGAAGAAGTCATGAAAAACAGTGATTAGGATTGTGTTGCAAGTTGACTACTGAATCACTATCTAAAATAGCAAAACATTAGAAATAACATCAATGATCAATGCCTAAAAAAAAAACTTTCTAAATAAACAGTGGTCCCTTCATGTGATAGGACTTTACACAGCTATTCAAAATTATATTTTCAATATTTAATCAGCATAAAATATACTCATAATTTCATTAAAGCATATAAAATCAGACCACTCATTCACCCCAGTTATTCAATTACTGAATATTTCCGCTTTATTACATGGCTAGCTCTGTGTCTGTTGTAGGAATACAGTGGTAAGACATTTGCCTTGCCCTCAAGGTGATTACAGTATAGCCATAGAATAAACAAAGAAAAGATTCAGACAAATTAAATGTGGTGTTGAGTGTGTCTAGTGAAAGCAAGGTGCTAGGAGAACAAATGTAAAGTTTCACAAGACTATGCTTGTAGAGTCAAAGTCAGACTTCCTTGACTGTTTTCTAAGATGAGACATGAAGGATGAACAGGATTTAGGCAGACACAGAGTGATTGGAGGAATGCTCCAGCCAGAAGAAAATTCTAACGCAAATGTTCCGAGAAAAAAAAAAAGCAGACATTACCTTTACCGTGTGATCTGAATTTTCTATAAAGTACACCAGCATACTAAGAATGAAGCTCTGGGGGGAGTAAATGTTTGATTGCTATCAAGAACTTTTTTTGGACTCCAAAAATTTTTATTAAATCTGGTTTACAATAAATATGATTTGATATTAAGGTAGAAAAATTAACTTTATAAAATTTCAAGGGATTCAAATAATCAGAGGAGACTGACCTTCAAAAGAAATAATCAGTAGTTACATGTATTCCCTATATCGTTCATGAATTTTCCTGTGTTTAAGTACATTAGCATCAGGATTGAGATATCAATCTATCAACCTATTTCATGTGCTTCACCTGTTAAAATTTCTGACTTCAAGCAGTAGAAGTTGATGCTTAACAATAAGGTCATATTGGTAAAATGTTACCCAGAAGCACATCTCACACATGTCAGGGTCACAAAGCTATCATAGAATTTAAAGATGGGGCAAAGTATTAATCTGATTACCTGCATAAATGTCAAAAAAATCAATAATTGCTCAGAGGATCTAGCATATCTTTTTCCAAAGTTGATTTTACAACTATGTTGTATATATATATATATATATATATATATACACACATATATATACACACACACATATATATATACACACACACACGTTATATATATATACACACAGACTATATAATGTATACATATACACACATTATATACATATACAGACTATATATTTATATAATGTGTGTATATACAGATGACTGACTAGGTGATTGGAAATGAAGTTGTGCCAAAGAGGGCTCTGGGCATGACAATGCTAGCCACACTACTTAATTTTCTGCCACTATATTGCAAATGGGTTTCCTCTTGTCTTTAAAATTTTTGATAATTCAATTTCCTTCTTACATAGAAGGGACATGAATTATTTCTATTGTCAACATCAGCACTGTCTACAAAGACAGATTTTTGTGTACCGTTTATGTCATAAATTACTGTATAGTATGCTGGAAGTAGAGTGTCTTAGTTCAGTTGTGTTGTTATAAAGAAATGCCTTAGGCTGAGTAATTTATAAAGGTAAGAGGTTTATTTGGCTCATCATTCTACAGGCTATACAAGAAGCATGGCATCAATATCTGCTTTTGCTGGGGGCCTCAAAAGTTTCCAATCATAGTGGAAAGTGAAAAGGAGCCAGTGAATGCAGATCATTTGGCAAGAGAGGGAGCAAGGGTGAGTGGGAAGGTTCCAGACTGCTTTTAATAACCAATTCTCAGAGGAACTCTTGCAGGAACTAGTAGAGCAATAACTCATTATTACTGCAAGGACAGCACCAAGCTATTCAGGAGGGTTCTGGCACCATGACCCAAACACCTCCTGTTAGGTCTCACCTCCTACATTAGGAAACAAATTTAAATATGAGGTTTGGAGGGTCAAATATCCAAACTATAGCATAGAGAGAGATAAAAGGTATCATACACGCCCTCAGGAAGTTAGCAGCCAAACTTAGGAAACAAGATATGTCTGTGACCCCACCAGCAGTATTAATAATGTATAGTAAGTGCTATGTAAGTGACAAAAACAGCAAGCCATCTCTGACCTGCAGAACCCATGTATGGTTTTGTGATGAGGACAAAGCCATACATGGGTTATGGAGGCCAGAGATGGCTTCCTGGAGGTGTTATCTGAGCACTTCAAAAAGAGAGCAATATAGCCAAGTAGGGAGTAGCACTCAAAGAACCATTACATTGCGTGCAAACATATTTTGCAATGCAATTGTAATTTTCTTTTCTTATTCACTCCATTTGATTATTGTTCTTACTGGTTCAATGTTGCAATATTGTTTTATTGTAATCCTAATATGGATTTCATGATTCTGATTTTAACGTATCCTTAAGATGTGAAAAATTTTAATGTTCCTATATGGAAATTATATTTGCTTGATTTACGTCTTTTAAACATTATGCACTGCTGTTTTAATCAGAAGCATATTGTATTAGTTATCTATTGGTACATAACAAATTATCACAAATTTAGCAGCTTAAAATAGCACATACTCATTACCCTACCGTTGCTGTGGGTTAGAAGACCAGACATGGCTTAGCTAGGTCTTCTGCCTCGGGTTCCCCACAAGGCTTCAATCCAGTTGCTGACTTGTGCTAATATGTTATCTGAAGATCTGGCTGTGAAAGAATCCTATTTCAAGCTCACTTAAGTTGGTGTTGAAAGGATTCACTTCCTTGCAGGCCATGTGACTTGGGGCCTAAATTTTTTGCTGGCTGTCAGAGGTAGTCTTCAGTTCCTTGCCATGTGGGCTCTTCCATAGGGCAGTTGGCTTCATAAAAGCCAGTAAAGGAGATAGTCTATCAGAAAAAACAAAAGTCACAATAGTATGGAATACACAATTGTATGTAATACAGCAACACAGAAGGGAAAGTTACATCCCATCATTCTGTATTCTATTAGTTAGAACAAAGTGACAGTTCCTGCCCATTCATGGGGAGAGGGTTACCCAGAAGTCTGAATGCCAAAAGGAAGATATCATAGGAGATCATTTCAGAACCTGTCTACCATACAAATGTACAGGTTTTATATGCTTGGGATGCATAGGTTATGGCAGAAAAACAAGATTTTCAATTCAATACAGGCGATTCCCAGTGATGGTCTTGACTAGAAAATGTGGTAAGGCTATTTAGATTGCTATATTAGTTACTAGTTGAATGCAGGCTGTGGTCTATACTTTAGATTCTCTGCTAACTACTAGGCAATGATGGTCAAATCCTCAACTCCATTTATGCTCTTTCCATTATCTGTAATATCAGAAGATTGAACTAGAAATCTTCTAATACTAATATTTTATTAATATACATCAGACACAGCAGTTTGAAGCTTTAAGTTTGGTAAAAGGCTTTTCTATTTCTTTTAAATAGAAGTTCATTTCTATTTTAGCATCTCTATATGTATGGAAATTTGGACAATGTTTGTTCTCTACGGTAAAGAATATGCCATATTAAAATATGAGTGGCCATACTGATGTTGTATTGATATTGATTTTTTCCCAAAGATTTTATAATAGACATCATACTGCTTTGCAACCTAATTGTGTTGTCTGTAAGATGTAGCTCTGTAAGCATAGTCAGGAGTAGTGGACTTATTCTGGATTCATTCAGAGAGCAAAGCTTAGTACAAAGATAGGGTGATTAAAGTGTGGATTATTGGGGATTGGCTGAGTTGAAGAATTTCTGTGTGTGTTTTTCTAATATCTCACCATTTAACTGTTCCCATTCATGTGAGCCTTGTGTACAGTGATTGCATTTATATGATAAGCATAGGGTTGCACCACAAGTATGTACTTTCTATGGCATTACAAATAATATTGACTCACCCTTCCTCCTGTGAATTTTTGTGACTTTTTCTACCGAAGAAAATCACTTGGGAAGGAGAAATGTTTAACTTTTCATGAACTTGACATGTGCAGGGGAAGAGAAAAATGAAAGCTGTAGAGATATTAGGAAAGGTATAGGCCTGCTGCTCTGTGTAGCAATAGAATCAAGACACTATACAGAGCTGGCTGGAAAAAAAAGTTCATTGGCCTGCCATATACCTAAGCTTGACATATTGCTCCATTTCCCAAAAATTTCCTTTGAAAAAATGTGGTTTTTTTTCCTTTTTTCCCCCAGTATTTCAGCTCATTCTTTTGGGAAACTCTCAAGGCGGAATTGGCATTTGGGGTGTTATGACTATGCCCACATAATTATTACTCAACCGTACAAGAATTGGTGAGAGATGCCAGGGAGGGTTGTAGTATTTATTATATACAGCACACAACCCTTTACAAAAAGACCTTGTCAGACTACTCAGCAACTTCACAGATCCAAATGCAATCTATATATTCTTCCAGGAGAAGGCAGTAAAAGGCACTGGTATGCAAAAATGCTGAGCAAGCAGGAAACAGTGGAGGGCTTTAGTAGGATAAAAGATCATCTGTCTTTCTGGTGAGAAATAAAAGAAGAATCCTGGCTACTGGTAAGCATTAAAGATCCCAGGACACTCCTCAAAGGACAAGACTGTTAATCCATATGTTTTGGCAATATTCCAATTTGGGTAATTGTTTTGTGCCTCCCTAAGTCTCTCTTTCCTTTATGTTTATGTTGTAGTGTCTCACTTACTGTCCTAAATGACTTATACTATCATTCACACAGAAGGGCATATTTCAAGAAAGCAAATGTAATTTTATTGTTAAAAATTAAAAATAATATTCAAGTTTATAACATATTATTATTACTATTTTAAATTTGTATGTTGTTATCTCCTACAATATTTTCTTGTCATTGGGTATTATTTTCTTTTGTGCCTTTCTTTAAAGTTCCCTTAAAATCTTATAATACAAACTCTGAATCCTATTTTCGAGGTTAAGTAAATGTATTTTGCCTCCAGTTATATTGTATTTTGATTTTAATAGCATAGGTTAACTTACATCACACATAATAACAGCCATGTTTTTAAGTAGATATCTGGAGTTGGCAGACATTTTTTAAAGTTCCCCCTAAAGGTTTGACTTTTTTTAAAAAAATCAATCATCTACCCTTTCCCACCTTCCATTCATTTTTCAAATCAGCCTCAGAATAAGCCAAACAATGTCCCATAAGACTTCTTAGCTTTGCCAGTCTGCATTTATCAGTTTAAGACAAGCCTAATGGAAGAAATATACAAAACTGGTGACTATTCCTGTTGTACAATCTGAAAGACAAAGAAGAGGCTCAGCCTCTTCAACCTGCCACTGGAAATTTTCTGCCTTACCTTACATTTTTTTTTTTCTTTGAGATGAAGTCTTGCTCTCTCGCCAGGCTGGAGTGCAGTGGTGTGATCTCGGCTCACTGCAACCTCTGCCTCCTGGGTTCAAGCGATTCTCCTGTCTCAGCCTCCCAAGTAGCTGGGACTAAAGGCACGTGCCACCATGTCCAGCTAATTTTTGTATTTTTAGTAGAGACGGGGTTTCACCATGTTGGCCAGGATGATCTCGATTTCTTGACCTCGTGATCTGCTCACCTCGGCCTCCCAAAGTGCTGGGATTACATGCGTGAGCCACCGCGCCTGGCCACCTTACATTTTTATTAGCTTTTAAAACACAAAACCCCAGAGAAGTAAAATAAAGCTGTTAACAATTGGACATGCTATCGTGTTAAGTAAATTCCCTATCTTTCCTGAAAGCAATTTTAATAGGGTGGCCAGGAAAGGTATAATAATACAGATACTTGAAAAGAGGAAGGGACAAAGGGTGATTTTATTGGGGTAAAAAAAGACTGCCCAGAAAAGTTCTTAGAATAATCACAGATCGACTTCATGTTCTTTCATCTGGGTCTGACTCAGTTTAAGTTTTTTGATGCTTCTCTTTATTTAAGGGACCAGGCTTCCTCCGGCATGTTACCTATTGCAAATCCACTGAATATTTTTTATTACATTCTTAGCAATATTTTCACATAGAACTAGACAATATGAAAATAGTTTGAACTTCCTTAAGTTGAGGGAAAGCTACACAAGCCTTTTTTATTCTGCTAAATCCTGTCTCTAATATAATCCTAAAATAGCCCCGTTAAATTGCTGATAGATCCGTGGGAGTTTAACATGTGTATTCAAGGGGAAAAATTAACCACGAACAGTGTACAAAGAACATTCTGATTGAAAGGTGCTATATAAATGAGAGAGATTTTTTCCTATTTTGTTCACACTAAAAAAAATTTCTTGAAAACCCACCGTAACTTATGTCCGCAGAGAGATGTTATTAAAATTTTAATAAATGTGATTCAGACCTCATAGGATAGAAACTGGGTCCTATGTCTGACACATTCATAAACTATTAATTTTACCAAACAAGAAAAATTAATATTAAAAAATCTACCTTTGTTTTGAGATTTTTGGATGGAAATCATATTCTAAAATCTTACTATGGTCTGACAAAGTTCAGTTGAAAGGAAATATTCTTAATATCAACAGATGACTTTACATTCCTGATTCAGTTTGTGACACTCACATTAGCCAGGATCCTAATATCCTGTGTAGGACGGAACATCTGAGTCAACAGGAAATGTCTCCACAGCTGACTTGACTCAATAGGGCTTTCTTGGTTAACTTGGCAGTAAGAATCAATAATAAGTTCTCATAGAATTGATCTCTCTAGAACATTCCAAAGGCTACTTAAACCAGCAAAACCTCAGTACTACGTTTCCTGGGACTTAGGTGGACTTTCTTTTCCTAACTAAAATGAGAAGAAAATATAAATACATGTGTATGCATGGGTGTATTAAGGGGAAAGGGTGTACCTGATAGAAAATATATTCTATTCCAGACAACTCATAACTCAGTGTGCTATACACCATCAATAAACAATAAAAAACTCTATTTTACCAGGTTAAGTTACTGATTCTATATTAAGATGGCATCATCAAATAAGGAAAATGTATTCACAGTGATGGAGTATATTGCTATTGGATTTAGGATCACTGTAGCATCAGTTCCACATTAAGCTAATGGCAAGTATCTCTTCAACTGAAAAGCCCCTGAAGGATTTATTATAGCAGCTAACTTCTAACATCCATAAAAAGAAACTAACAAAAAATTAAAACACACACACTTAGCATCCACACTAAATATGTCCAGAGGAAATAAACAGCAAAGATATTTCCATGGTTTTGGCCATAACCCAGGTATTTTATTTTAAATCTTTTATACCTGAACTCATTTGTGTCCAATTTGGTTTACAAACATGATCTAGAAACTTTATATTTGTACTTCTAGCAGAGTTTGTTGTAAAGCCTCAAAGAAACCTGTCTAACAAGCACCACACCACATCCTAATGCTTCTTTTAAAATTTAATTTACTTTATTATCTTATTTTATTTTACTTTAAGTTCTGAGATACATGCGCTGAACGTGCAGCTTTGTTACATAAGTATATATGTGTCATGGTGGTTTGCTGCACCTATCAACCCGTCATCTAGGTTTTAACCCCCACATGCATTAGGTATTTGTCCTAATGTTCTCCCTCCCCTTGCCCCACCACCCCCTAACAGACGTTGTGTGATGTTCCCCTCCCTGTATCCATGTATTCTCATTGTTCAACTCTCATTTACAAGTGAGAATATGCAGTGTTTGGTTTTCTGTTCCTGTGTTACTTTGCTGAGGATGATAGTTTCCAGCTTCATCCATGTCCCTGCAAGGGACATGACCTCATTCTTTTTTATGGCTGCTTGACCCAGCAATCCCATTACTGGGTATATACCCAAAGGATTATAAATCATTTTACTATAAAGACACATGCACTCGTATGTTTATTGCAGCATTATTTACAATAGCAAAGACTAGGAACCAACCCAAATGCCCATCAATGATAGACTGGGTAAAGAAAATGTGACACATATACATCATGGAAACCTAATGCTTGTTTTTCAGTTCAGTCTATCATTCTCACTTGTTTGCTGATTTGTATAATGCAAGGAGACAGAGTTACCTAAAGTGATGTGACACAACATCACACATCAATCAAAGATTGTTTGAAAAAGGATACAGTTCAGAGTTTTAAAAGTTTTACCTTTTGTAAGGAAAAGATTTTAAATCAGTCTTAGAAAAAAAAAATGAAGAGCCAATCCAAAACTGAAAGAAGAAAAAAATACAGTATTGATCCAAATGCTCCTTGCCGAGTCATAAGGAAATTGAAATTGCTCTAAGGAAAGAAAGGTAACCAGCAGAGCTGATGAAAACCCTGAGGAAAATGTTCAAGATGAGATCACTGCATCATAATTGTTTCATGTAGGCGAGCTCTTCAAGGCTTCAAAGAGAAGGATGATGGAAACTGAGATCGTTCCCCAGTGAAAGTGCATATAGATAGGTTTAAATTTACTTCTGAAATGTTTCGTGACTCTCAAAGGGATTCAGTTATTTAATTTTGGATGGATCTGGCAGGGAGGTAGGTAATTGGTGTTTTTCTGTGGGAAGAGAATCATCCTAACCTGGAAGGAATAGTACCAAGTTACTCTATTTTGTTTACATTCAGAGATGGGGAAAGGAATAATACATAGGCCCATCCCCACTTGCTCCTTTCACGGTGGCTACTGAGTAAATCTTATGTGGGGTTTTGACTAATCACCCTGATAGTAACATGTGTTTTCTTAAAAATAATTTAGATTATTTCAACAAAATAATTCTGATAGTCAAAACATTTTTCATAATGTAAAGTGATCTTCAGAGGTCTAGAGATAAGTGTGCTTTAGTTTCTCACTTGAAACATGCAAAGTGACAGTCATAATACATCTTTCATTTCTATTTTAAATAGGGCCATCAGATGATAACAATTCTCTCTTATTTAAATGTGTAGTCCTCACCTTTTATGTAGTCAATATCTATATTATGAGTAAGTATACTTCTCTCTGATTTATTCCTTTGAAGTAGGCAAGAATCTTAGAGATTCCTTTTATTCTAAAATATCATTATATCTTAGGAATTATAGGAAGGAGCTCAAAATTATGTGAGTTCATATGTTCAATGAGAACTTATGTGAAAATCTAGAAAAACAAATGTCTCCAAATTAGGGATCAGCATTTGATGAAAGTCTAATACTTTCTCTGATAAAATGATGAGGATAGACAAAACCTGGATAAGAAATGTAAATTGTTTCTTTGGATAGGACTTTCTCTAATTTTATAAACCTATTCAAAAATAGCCATTGAGCTAGGTGGGCCATGTAAATCCAATGGTGTCATTGGTATCAATTCTATGTTGACTCTTTTTCACTACCTGAGAGCATCCAAACATGACTTCTGAAAAGGGAATCCTAGTGTGTTGTTAGTCACCCATAAATATTTTTTGACTAAATAAATCATATTATATGTGAAGTGAGTATCAGGAGGGACATGATTTCTGCCTATGGAGCCCACAGGGAGCAAAGAGAAAGAAAGGCAAACACACAATGATAAATGACTTCTTAAAACAATGTGTATGCGAAGTGTTACGTAAGTGTTTATTGTGCTATCAGACAACCAACCCAGACAGAAATTGAGGTGGGGAATGTTTTCAGGACCACAGTAATGGTTTTCTCCTTCAATAATGGAAAGAATATAATTAAGTAAGAATCAAGATTTGGGAGGCTGAGGCAGAAGAATCGCTTGAGCCAGGAGATTGAGACCAGCCTGGGCAACATAGTGGTACCCTGTCTCTATAAAAAAAATTAAAAAAAAAAAAAAAACAGCTGAAGTGGTGGCATTCACCTGTAGTCCCAGCTACTCGAGAGGCTGAGATGGGAGAATCACTTGAGCCCGGGAGGTTGAAGCTGCAGTGAGCCTTGATTGCCCCACTGCACTCCAGCCTGGGCAACAGAAAAACAGAGAGACCTTGTCTTAAAAAAGAAAGGGAAAAAATTGAATGGGATTCTAAGAACCATCTGATGCTAAGATCACTTCATTTTTTTTTTTTTTTTGGGATGGAGTTTCACTCTTGTTGCCCAGGCTGGAATGCAATGGCACAATCTCGGCTCACTGCAACCTCCGCCACCTCCTACATTCAAGCAATTCCCCTGCCTCAGCCTCCCGAGTAGCTGGGATTACAGGCATGCGCCACCACGCCAAGCTAATTTTGTATTTTTAGTAGAGATGGGGTTTCTCCATGTTGGTCAGGCTTGTCTCAAACTCCTGACCTCAGATGATCCGCCCGCCTAGGCCTCCCAAAGTGCTTGGATTACAGGCATGAGCCACCACGCCCAGCCCACTTCATTTCTTTAAAATTCCTAACAAAAGGTTTTTAAATGTTTTCATAACCAATCTCAGAGGTGTGGAAATTTCTACCTCCTGGGTATTTCATTCCATCTTTGGATAGCTTGGTTTCATATTGGGAGGAAATTGCTCTATTCCATGTCCTACCTTTTGATCTGAATCCCACCACTTTAAAAACAAATAGAGTTAGTTTAATTCTTGTTCCATATGGTCACATTAAAATACTGGAGAAAGGCTTTCATATTTTCCCCAAGACTTTTCTTCTCCTAGCAAATATCCCTAGTTTCTTTGATGGAATATTCCCAATTTATTTAGTAACACTGATCATTGTCCTCCACGTGGGATGTATTTTGTTTGATTTTCCTCTGTTAAAATGTGGTGAACTACTTATAGTCTGAATCTTTTTAGGTCCCATAGATCTTTTTAAACCAGTGTGTGTAAGATTAACATTTATTCTTATTAAATGAGATGAAAGCTTTTTGAATCTCATGCAGCCACCACTGTATTTCAGGTCCCTGAGTGTTAATGATATGAGATATGATTACTTTGCCTTCTATATCATGAGGAGAATTGTTAAAAATCAAACTGGTAATAAACATGTAAAAAACAATTACTTTCTCTTCCTCTCCATTTTCTATTAATATGGAGGTGTGTGTTTTTTGTGTATAAGTAGCATCTATTGAATATTATTATTTGAAAAACTCCGCACTTAGCTTTAGACAAGGAAAGGGGAGAATAAAAGATAAATAAATATGAAACTCTTCTACTTGCAAATCATAGTGGAAATCATGTCACATTTGATGTCAGAGAGTTCAGGATTTGTATCTTATACCTACTACACTAGCTATGTGACCTTGAGGACATTACTAAACTCTGAATTTAGATTTTCTGATGTGGAAACACACATATACACCAGCCTAAGCTTCTTTACTCAAATACTCATCCCATGCTCTAATTTGGAATTATAAGCACTAAAAGGCTGTATTACTATTGATGTGTCTGGGTCATTATATTATATTAAGAATCCAAAAAATTTAAAAAGTGAGGAAATACTTTCCTCAAATAAGCAAGTGAGTATTCTTTCAGCCTGGCAAATTTCAAAACAGTCATAAGTACCTTACTTATTAGGACATCCTCATGAGGACTGAATTATCTTATGCATGTACCTGGCTCTTGGTAGCTGGATTTTTCTCTCTCCGTAAAATTTTACAATAGCCTGGGGGAAATGGACAAGTCCACAAATAATAGAAGAGTTTGAATGAAAGCTGTGGGTAGTTGGGAGGAAAATGTCTTCAATGTCAGACGTGTTTAAGATGCCAGCTAAATGCTTCCAATTTTGAATTCTGGTGTGGTGACATATGCTTTTAAATTCCATCCTGACAAAAGTAGATAATCGGAGGGTAGAAACATAATCTGGAAATAAGATCTGCTTTGGGTTACAAGACAATATACATATGTTGCTACCCTTAACCAAGAGATTTTCTGCAAAAATAAGAATACATCTTGTCACTGAGTTATCTTCATTTATTAAAGTTACATTTCTCTTTTAGCTCCAGTTCTTCAAAGTCAACAAATATATGTGAATAAGATACTCATTTTCAGCTCTTAGATTGTTCAAATGTGATTCAACAAAATCCAGTTTAACAGAGAAACTGCATTTACAGAGCATCCTCTGCTCTTATCAATGCCTTATTTTATGCATATCACTGTGTGTTTGTGTGTGTGTGCGCGCGCACGCGTGTGTGAGATATTTTCCCTCCTCCTCAAAGCGCAACCTTCTTTTTCTTTCGGTCAGGAAGGTCTTGCTGCTACTATCTATTGTTATTGTATCTAGTCCAGAGCAATGACCTTCAGGGTGATCTTTTCAAGACAATACCATTTCTCAGCATTTGATTCTCACCTCAGAAGTGACAGCTGGCTTTTAACACTCTTTCCATGCACCTCTCTGAGTAAAGAACAAAGTTCACAGCAATTGTAGGTAAAATTAGCAAATAAAAAGTGATTGCTAGGTCTTGAAGATAGCATTTTCTGATGATGCTGTGAATTGCCATTTAATTCAAGCCTTCCTCACCTTAGAACAGGCTGTCACCTGAGAGGAACTATGCACCAAGAGTACCAACAACCACTACCAGCAGGCCATGAAAGCACAGAAATCAAATGATATCAAACACTGTGGAAATTAGAGATGATAGTTCTGTTTTCCTTAATTTTAATGTAGTTGAAATAATGGAACAAACAAGTGTTGTTATTTATTGCAAAGTGAAAATAAAACACTTGCTTTATTTAAAAAAAAAAAGCCTAAATTAGCAAGCCCCAATACCTGTGGCTGTATATAAATATATTTGTACTAAGCACACAAACAACCTGAAAATCTCCACAAAGAATAGTCCAGGCAACGAATGCCTTATTTGGTACAACATTGATTTAGCTGCTTTGGGCCCTACAAAGACCACAAAACCACAGGGTGTATTGATGTATTTCCTGTTTCCATATATGCCTGTGTTACTTCAGATAAGTGTCATTCTACGTTTAAGAGTAAAGCAGACATTCCTTTATGTCATGGGAAATTCAATGCTTCTTTACTCAAATCCTCATGCCGTGCTCCAATTTGGAGTTATAAGCACTAAAAGGCTTTCTTCTTACTGATACATCTGGATTATTGCATTATATTAAGATTCCTAAAAAGAAAAAGGTGAGACCATACTTTTATCAAATCAGCAAGTGAGTATTCTATCAGCTTGGCATATTTCAATGCCTATGTCAAGATTAAGGAACAGTAAAGGCCAAAGCAAAATTTTCAGGAAAGGACAGAGAGTATGGCTGTTGAAAAGATGGCATTTGTACTAGAGCTCAGAAAGCAAAGTACTGCTCACAATAGACCTCTGCAAGAAATTTAAACTGTGAATTAACCAGATGATTTTGATGGAGAAGTGGAACAATTCCATTCGTCTTGGAGGTAAGTGACATATAGTTAGATATGGGAAAAAAAATCAAATCAATTGGTGATGTGCAGAAAGATTCTTAGTGACTCAGTTTAAAAAAAACTAAAAATAATGCAGTCTTTTAGCCTGATATTTCATGTGTTTTATAGTCTTCTGCATTCCTGGAATTTTAGAATACAAGAATGAATATAAAGAACATAAATTAGATCAAAACATTGGATTATTAAGATTGGTAGGGTTGAAATAACTTCACTGTCTAAGTAATGTAGCTCGTCTGAATTTAAACATAAGTAAATCAAAACCTAAAGAGGCAAAATGTTTTATCAAAAAACACTTACCAGTAAATAGTAAGTAAGATCTTCCTATTTTGATTCTAAAAAGGGAAAAAACAGAAAAACTATCACCTCTAGAAAAACTGGATTAATCACTGTCTTAGTCAACTGCCTTGATTTTGTTTTTCTTTTATATATTATTAGTATTTCCATACTATGAGATATTAACACCAGGCCTTTCCTCTGATACTATGCTTTTTTTTAATTTTACAATATATTTTTACAAATCTTTTACTTGATGTGGATTCATTACCCACTCAATATCTGTTTCCTTCTGTTCTCTAGTTCTCTTTAATCACAATATTCTAAATCTGGGGAAGTGTATTTATATTTCTGGAGTTTGTAGAAAGAGATGTTGTATTTAAGTCACTATTTAAATCTCCCTTTTATCAATTTACAGTCTGGTTTCTCTTTTACAGAATTAAGAAGTGCAAACAGAACAGTCTTAAAATCCAAAAACTATAGCTAAGTTCCATTCTTATAGGGGTCTCCTAAGTGAGCCTATAGCAATACACACACACGCACACACACATGCACACACACAGCAAAATTCTTTAAGTGAAGGACAAACCTTCATCTAACCTATGGCACAAGGGGTGGAATATCATAGTGTGCACAGCTAGCCACGAAGGATATTTTCTAAGATAATCTGCACACAGTTTCATAGTAATATCTGGTTTTTGTATCCAACTATGTGGATCTGCTCCACATGTAAACACACTAATTTGTCATCATTATTGACTCTTAGACATCATCGAATATCAAATTAGTAACATGGACTGTTCTGACTGCTTTTTGTTGCCCAACTAAACTCTAAATATCTTCCAAGAGCTAGCCAAAGTAACATGTCTTTGCAATCTTCTCCAAATCATGAGATCCATAGTAATGTAATAGTTGAGGCTATTTGAAGACTGAGAACAGTATATTGTTGTGATATCATTAGAATATATTGTATGTTTGGCATATACTATTCAACTCTTGTACGTACTCCTATTTTCTGTGTGTGTTTTCTTAAGGCATTTTGTCAAAATTAATTCCCAGGCCTTTCTGTATTGAGTGGGAAAGACCCCCATGGATGGTAAGTGATATCCCATAATGAAAAGAAATGGTACTTTTGATGCAACATATTATGCATTCTAGGGGCTATAATTCTGTTACAGAGTTAGTTAAAACTAAACAACTTCATCTGGTCAATTCACAAATGAGAAACCATATATTTATTTATATTCAAAGATAAACTGTACACAAGATTGGAATATTTATGTCCACTGAGACCGAAGAAGTTCAGGTCACAACCAGGGGATACATTTTAGATTATCTGATTTTTCAAATACATAACAAAAGATTTCTATCTAGTAAACAGCTTATGGAGCTAGGAAACTTCAAGTAAAATTTAGAATTATCATTGGTTTTCCAAGGTAGAATACATGGAGTATACGATTGTCCATGTCATGCAAACTTTTATGTAACTTTTTATTATCTATATATTTTGCACTTAATCACATACTGTCATAGGTTAGGGAAATATTGTAGGTTAGGGATACAGGAATTAAAGTGACTTCTAAATTCAACTATGCTATTAACCAGCTCTTGGCTTTTTTCACATCATTTTAACTTCTCTGTGTATCATTTTTCCATTCAAAAGCAATACTATTAACATAAATAACAATTTTCATTTATTGAATATATAATACATCTGGGCATTATCCAATGTGTTTAACAGGTATCATACACTGTATTTCTCAAAACAAACTTATGAGTAGGTGGTGCCATTTTTTCTATTTTATAAATGGGGAACTGAGGAAAAAAAAAGAATATATAACTTACAGAAAGAAACAGTAAATGACAAAGCTGGGATTCAGACTCAGTCTTTCCTACTCCAACACCCTTGCACTCAACCAGTATCCTTCACCCCCTCCTAAGTTAAATATGATACTTTTCAGTCCTTTCTACTTTATGGTATTTTTATGAAGTGCAAATAAAATGATAGCATGGAAAACTGATTTGGAAAATATAGCTATGTTTTAAATGTGAATTCAATAGCAGTTACTCTTCTGTGTGTTGAGATTGAAGAAGCCCCACAGTGTAGCCTTTCCCCTGAGAAAAGCTGCAAATGGCCCACTGCAGAAGAGCTGCAAACTGCCCATCCAGACACCTGGATGGAGATATTTTCTTGATGAATGTACCAGAGTCTTGAAGTTCCAAAGTTCTGAACTATTCAGTGTAGCATAGGGATTTGTAAATGTTGACTCAGATCTAAATTAAATTAGAAAGAAACTCAGGTCAAAATAATACAAGAAATATTTATGAAATTGCAACAATAAAATATTTAAGGTGATAGAGATCCATATTCTCTGGCTAGTACAATCTTCCTATAATTCAAAATTGCCAGAGAATACCAGTTTGCAATTACAGAGCAGTTTTCATAGTAAAATATCTATTTATTACTTGATTCCTCTATCATCACTGAAAGAATACTCCTCTACAGTGAACAAGCTATTTTACCTACTGCAGAATAGTACAGTACCCTTCAAAATTGGATAGACATTGCATATTTCAGTTCCCCATAGAAACAAAACATATAGCCCCACTCCTCCCCGAGGACCTAGGAGAGCTGATGTTATAGTTCCAATCTGAATCCAAAAGCCCAAGAAGCAGGAGAACCTGTGAGATAGTTTCAGTTGGAAGCCTGGCAGGCTGCAGCCAAGAAGAGCTAATGTTTCTGTTTGACTTCAGGTCGGAAAAAGTCAATGTCTCAGTTTGAAAAGAGTCAGGTGGGAGAAATGCTCCCTTACTTGTGGGAGGGTCAGCCTTTTTGTTTTTTCAGGCGTTCACCTGGTTGGATGAGGCCTATCCATCTTAGGCAGGGTAGCCTGCTTTACTCTGTTTACAGATTGAATTGTTATTCTCATCCAAAAACACCCTATAGAAACACCCAGAATTATGTTTAACCAAATATTTGGGCATCCTGTGACTCAGTCAAGTTGACACATAAAACTAACCATTATAGATATCTATTGCCCATTTTCTTTTGCTTGCAAATATGATGTTATTTATACTGTTTCAATTGTTATATAAAAATTGCACTTTGATAAAAATTTTAGGATGTGCTAATAGTGACAAGAATTGCCTGAGGCTGCACTCTAGTACCTGTTGGAGTAAACTTCCCAGTTGCTCACTTAGATCTCATATTTTCTTCATTTTATTCTTAAAAGTAAGTATTTCTTCATTGTTGGGACATTTTGCTAGTTTGTAATGCTTAAAGTAAATGCCTATTTGCCTGTTAGAAAAGATCAACATAATATTATGGAATTAAAATGAATCAGTTAAAACGTGTTTACAAAAGCAAACTTTCATAAAAGCCAAGAAAACAGGCACAACTGCTGACACAAAATTATGTTGCCAAAACAGTAATAATCACCACTATCAGTATAAACAATTATGCAGGACATTTATTTGGTAACTGAAATACGAAAGACTATAATGCTGTGTTAGGTTTTCAGTCTTAAAACCCAAATATCCATTTATAATACAACTGACTCTTGAACAATGAGGGGGTTAGTGTTGTCAATTCCCTGCATAGTCAAAAATCCATATATAACTTTTTGTTCCCCCAAAACTTAACTACTAAGAGCCTATTCTTGACCAAAGCCTTACTGATAACATAATCAGTCAAATAACACACATTTGTATCTTCTATATCTCATATATGTAAATATGAATATCAAAACAAGCCATGTATTGCTAAGGAATAAATATATATGATATATATATTATATATATATTATATATACTGTGTTTTTACAACAAGGTATCTAGAGAAAAGGAAATATTATTAAGAAAATCATAAGCAAGAGAAAATATCTTTATTATCCATTAAGCAGAAGTACATTATCATAAAGGTTTTCATCCTTGTTATCTTCATGTTGAGTTGGCCAAGGAGAAGGAGGAAGAAGAGGAGGGGTTGGTATTGCTGTCTCAAGGGTGGCAGGCATGGAAGAAAATTGGTGTAGTTCAAACCTATGTTGTTCAAGGGTCAACTGTACTTTTGAATGTGTTTTAAAAAATAATGAAAATATTTAATACTAGAACATTAAGAGAGAAATTTATTTTGTTAGTAAATTGATAAACCATTGTTGTAAATTTTTCTTTTATTTTTTTTTGCGACAGAAGAAATACATGTTTGTTTTTGAAAACTTAGAGGGGAGGAAACAGAAAAGCAAGAAAACAAATAAGTAAAAGTCACACAAAATATTACCAATATTCAAAATCTTGTTGTGTATCTTTGTTTCAGTAGGCTTTTTTTTCTTTTTTACAAAACACCATACAGGTTCATAGCACATATTTAGCTTAATGACATATAAGGGAAAGAAAATATTTTCAAGTCATTTAATATAAGCTATTTTTAATGGCAATAAAACATTTTACTGATAAATAAGCAGTAATTTATTTTAACCATTAACAAATATCAGTTAAACATTTAGATTGTTTTCTTCTTTTTCCTATTAAAGTGGCTCTTGTAGACAAAATTTTAAACACAAAGCAGGATTAAATTCTTTAATTGAGATTCCTAGAAATCACATATCTGAGATTAAGGTCTATGTATATTGATAATGTTTATCCATGTAGGCTAATTATTCCTTAGCAGTACATGGTTTGTTTTGATATTTACATATATGAGAGACCTTCTTAACAGGCACTTCAACCATAGTGGATATTATATCCAATATAAAATTAACTAAAAATATATAACTGATAAAAATACCCTTCTTTTTTCAAAATTTATACTTTTTTTTATCTCTCTCTCTCTCTTTTTCTGAGACGAAGTCTCACTCTGTCACCTAGGCTGGAGTGCAAAGGCGCAATCTTGGCTCACTGCAACCTCTGCCTCCTGGGTTCAAGGGATTCTCTTGCCTCAGCCTCCCGAGTAGCTGGGGTAACAGGCGTCAGCCACGATGCTGGGCTAAATTTTGTAGTTTTAGTAGAGATGGGGTTTCACCATGTTGGCCAGGCTGGTCTCAAACTCCTGACCTCAGGTAATCCGCCCACCTTGGCTTCCCAAAGTGCTGGGATTACAGGCATGAGCCACCACTTCTGGCCAATTTATACTTCCTTGAATGCCAGAGTGACTGACTGTCAGTTTATTTCTAATTTTTCTGTAAATTGTTTATTTTAATTCCCCATTTTAAAAACTTCCAGAGTGGGCTTTATCTAGGTGAGTTGTACTACTGCTTCTTACCCTTCAATAACAGCGTTATTTGTGCTTTCTGTAGACACCACCCCACCCTCCACCCAACTGAGGGTCTTGTTATTAAGCTCTCATAGTCCCATGCAATACAGAAATATGCCTACAGGACAGTGATTTCTCTTCCTGTAAATTAATGCCCTCAGACCCACTCTCTAGACTCATCTGCATATATGCTTTCAGAAAATATTTTTACATTTTTAGCATGTTGTTATTTATTCTAATTTTTATTAAAAATCATCAGTCTTTGTACATCCTTTTGGTAGTTTTGTTAAATAGAATGAGGAAGACAAAGAAAGAGATTGGGATAAGTGAAGTCTATTTACTTCGGCACTAATCTATTCCCAGAATGTTTTGTAATTTGGTTTTAACAGAAATTTTATGAAGTGTTTGATATGAATCTATTATTTATCAAATAAGGCAAAATGTAGACTGTATGCTTTCTTTTATAACAAAGTGAAAATTTATAAAATTTGTAATAACTCAGGTTCTGGATTTCATGTTGAAGGATTATCAGTAAGGCAGGGCATTCATAATTATCCATCTTTGTCCTAGATAGGAATCAGTAACTTTTCTTCAGTTATTTCAGCAATAATATTCACTGCTTTAACAACTGATGGCTTACACGGGCCCCATGATCTTGTGCCAGTTACCTTTCCTCCTTTTTCTTGCTAACGTTGCTCCTGATGTCTCCGCAAGCAGGCTCCTGAGCAACCGCCTTTGCTCTTGCAGTCCCCTCTGCCTGGAATGCTCCGCTCGCAGATATCCAATTAGTGAAACATTTCTTCTCTTTCAAAATTTTGGTCAAATGTCACTGACTCAATGCGTCCTATCTGGACCTTCTTATTTATTACTACAATTTGCCTCTTCTGGCCACTAGATTCTTATTATCTTCCTTACTCTGCTCTACTGTTTCTTTCTTTTTTTAATGAGGCTATCAACTTCTAAAATATCACATAATGTAGTTATCTGTTATGTTGATTGTTGATGGTCTTTCTCGCCCTTATAGAATTTTAGCTCTGTGAAAAAAAAAAAAAGGATTTTCTTTTTTATACTTCATTCAATGATGTATCCCAAATGCCTTGGAGAGCTCCTGACATATAGTAGATGTTTAGTTAAGTATTTTTAAAAATAAGTAAGTAGCGACATCTAAGTTAGATAATCTAGAGCAAGCCCAGTAGCTCATTTATGTCATAAGGGACCCAGGCAGTGGTGTGCTGGATGTTCTGTGATTGGTAAATTCAACTATAGTTAGATTATGTATACATTAAAATTGGCAAATGCTACAAATCAGGATTTTTGTTTGTTTGTTTGTTTTTTGCCCTCAGAGAGTAATTTATGTTCACACCTCAGAACTCAGGTTTTTTTATCCCATTTGTTCCACCATCCTCATAGCTTTGTATTTTGGTCATTGTGCATGTTACTTCTGATTGAAAGATGACTACCACCTCAGTGGGTATCATGACTCTATTTAATGATTTATACATTTATTGAGGGAAAAGTAAAAGCAGATTCTCAGCATACTATCTGTATTATCAGACAGTCAAAATCCTTCCAGAAGGCTTTTAAAATAATAATACTAACCCCTCATTTGCCCATACTTATCATATGACTATATGTTAGTTTCACAGAAGACTACAAAAGTAAATTTCTAACAGTGGATAATGTTCTACCACTACTGCTTTACAGTAATCATAGTTCATCTTCTCGTAATGTAATTGCATTTCTGAACAAAATCAAGAATTCGTTGCCAGGAAAGAAGGGGATTATAAAATCTGTAAGATTGCCAACTCAGAGTGACTGCTACTGAAGGAAGAGACCATGATAAATGATTTCTTAAGTATTAAAAACCTTTTAAAGAACAGAAAAATGAGCAACTGAAATTTTGAGAAGTGGCAGAGGCATATGAATTTTAAACAATATCCACAACTGGGAGGAAAAGGCAACAAACATTTTGGCATTGAGAGAACAAATTTCCTTAGACATCACACATAGTAGATTAGGATGTAGGATCTACTGTAGTATGAGAAATGCATTTGTTCTTACAGAAAAACACAATTCTGTATGTGTTGTTTCTTTGCCCTCTGGAAAATGACAATCTGGAATTTACCTTAACACCTTTTGTGATATATTGTATGCCTAATATACACTGTGAAAGAGAGTTTCAAATACAACTTTCAAGATCTTTCTTCTTTGAAATTGGTACATTTTTTTTTCTATCCACAGATTTGCCATTTAGCCTATTTTAAGTAGTACCATAGGGAGGTAACTTTTAAATACATATATGGGCATCATTTTCTTGACAATTCTTCCACAACTAAGCAGTGTTCTCATCCAAAGATAACTCTAATATCTAAAGGGCAAGGACGAGAGTTTGATTTGTTCTTAAAAAAGAAGTCAGCAAGAAAGCAATTGACTTCTACTTAGATGGTGGCAGGTGCTCTCAACAATTTAGATCTTGAAATAAGGGCAGACTTGTATTTAAAAAGAAAAGAAAAAGAAAGGAAAAACAATCTAGAGGGACCAAGAGCCCATTTCAATTCAATTGAGTTCTGTTGATTATATTTCTTGAACATCTCTTGAATCAATTTTTACCTCACTTTCTTCACCACAGCTATGATAGCGACAATAGCCCCTCCCCATTTATTCTCCACACTGTACCCAGCGTTATCTATCTAACACCAAATGTGATTGCATCAAACCTCTGCTAACCAAAAAACAAAACTGAAAAATATGTCTCCCAATATCAAGTCCAAACTTTTCAGCATAGCATAAAACTTTTGACAGGTACCAAGTTATAAAGTCAGTCTCATCTCTCTATATTCTACCTGCTCTAGTACACAGAATCAGGCCCTTTTCCTAGAATAACCCATACTTGTGCCTGTTTGAATATACTGTTTTTTTCTAATATAACAATTCTTCCCTGTCTGAAAGAAAGGTCACTTTTCAATTAATTTCTAGCCTCTGCATTGATGTGTCCTCTAAACCTACTATCCTAATCACAAGCTCCTTTCCACACCTGTTCTTATAATAATATTTAAGTCAAGTTTAGTCCTGAATTAGACTTTGTAATATTTAAGTGTATTTGTTTCGAGTGTTTGTATATCTCACTCCACACTTTGAGTTCTGAAAGAGTTAAGAGTGCCTTATCATATTTGCATATTTCAGGACCAGGAAAGTTGAAATTCTTTTTGTATGAACAGATTAATAAATAATTATTATGAATGTACTACATGGCAAGAAAAATAATCTTTTTATAAAAAGGAATGTATAGACAAATGCTAATTTAATAAATAATAACATAAGATAATAGCAAAATGCATCCAAGGGTTGTACAGACAAAATTCACTAAACTATTCAGAAAAGTAAGTAGATGAAATCTGTTATAATTTTTACTTACAGTTACTGATGGGGATTGGGACTTTATTTGGATCTTCACATAAGCCTACAATTTGCATAGTCAGAAAAGAATTACAGAATGTCTAGGAGGAAAGTAAGACAATGTTATGAAGCAGAGATGGCTTCAAGGATGGTACGAAGCTGTGATTTTGGTGGGAGTGTAAGCTGAATGATACCTTCAGTTTATGCTTGCTGGTAATGAGAGGCTTGATTCCATAGAACAGAAGTTGTGGAAGACTACTAGGTCAGAATTAGAAGTTTGGAGTTGGAATACAACTCCTCCTTTCTTATTGTGCAATTTTCAATATGGTTGTTGTGATAATCACATTCAATAATGCAGGTGAAATTCCCCAGCACATTGAGTAGCAATAGTAAGAGCTCAAAAATCATTAGCTATATCTGAACAGGATTAGAAAAAAAGTGAGGCTTCCTTGAGTCTTTAATGTACATGCAATATGATTCAACGTTATGTAAAAGCTATATTAAAACTCAAGAATCATAAAAGTACTGCTTTTCCTTCTTCCCATTTGCTCGTAAGTGTTTCCTGTGTGATTAACAAATAGGGTCAAAATTTTAGCATAATTCAGGATCAAAAACCTGTGTTTAATTTACCTCATCTCTGGAAGAGAGTGCCACTTTGGGAACAGGGTCTTAGAGGTGCATAAAGAGAATGTCAAAAAAAAAAAAAAAAAAAACGAATAAAAGTTAAAAATCTAAGCATGCAAGTTTCCTTAGAAGAGAACATTTCTGGTCTTTAAGAAATATGAAGATCATCTACTCCCACTCTGTCAAATTATTAATAAGAAAATTGAGCCCTGGGGAGGTCAAGCAATTATCTAAAGCAACAGTTAGTCTAGCAGATGGCTTCTAGAGGAATAGTCTCCATGATTTCTAAGCCTGTGCTTCCTTCTCGTTGGGTCTAGGTGGGCATCTGTCAGCAACGGTAAGGACAAGCCAGGGTCTTTATCTTTAGATCTTTTAGGTAACTCACTTGTGCTCAATACAAACCCAATTTTAAGGAATGAAGAGATGCCCAGACAAAAACCCAAATTACATTTGCAGCAAAACCCCTGCTATTTCAGTACATTAGCTACAGATTCAATAAAGGTAAAGTGGTTGTTAAGCTTTTCAGCTTGAATGGCATCATTTTTTTATTGCACTTGGAAGAAAAATGTGGTGGCACCCACCCAAACTCATAAAACCAGAGCATCTGACAAAAGATGCTGTGAGCCTTGAGCTCCATCATAATTTCAGATTTGGTGTGCTTCCCACTCTGTAAATCACCTGAAATTTACAGCTGCACCTGCAAGCCCAAGCACGAGGCTGAACTCTTAGATAAATAGAATTGCTCACAGTGTTCCCTGAATGTGCACTGTTAGCAAAACTGGGCCCTTAGCCCAAGTGGGGCTTCAGACTTACCCAAACTGGCTGCTCCTACTTAGCCAAAATCAATCGGAGCTTTGGGGATTAAATATGTGTAGACTTAGTGTCAATCTTTTAGATGTCCTAAAGGAGTCTACAATAAGACATGTGGAGAAACACATGAATATGTCACAAATTGTAGGATATTTGATCCATTTCTAACTTTCTCTAGTTTTTCTATTTTCCCTCTCATTTTTAAGGATTCACAAATCTTATTTTGAGAATCAGTCAAACATTAGCAGGATATTTATAGAGAAAATTCTGTATATTATATTGGATCAGGTGCTATGAAGCACATGTGTGAATACACACACATACATATCAGATGGCATGGTGACATAGTCGCTTCAGATGAACAGAGGTGGGGAAAGGACAGTGACAGTTGCTAAGTTCCTACTGTGTGCAAAGTACCTAACAGATTGTGGGACATATGCATAATAATTTCCATTTCTCAATCGCTCTTATATCCCTTGCTTAAACATATCATTTAATCTCTGCAGTAACAGGGGATAATGTACTAGTTATTTGCATCCCCAATTATCAACTGGCAAAATTGAGGATCAGAACTAATCATTTCTTTGTTCAACATCACTGAATTGTCGATGGAACCAAGATTTGAATCCAATTTTTACAGTTCTAATGCAGTGTTCCCACACTCCCAGGTTCTGATATGTCTTCCACACAATTGCTTCCGTTTTTACTGGGCTTCCAGAATATGCATCTCTTTATGGAGAATATTGAACTTTAGGTAGGTCTCGAAAGACAGAAAAAATGTTAATAATTGACAAAGGGAAAAAGACATAGCATGAAAGTGCAGATGGGCAGAAACCGTATGGACAGCAGAAAAAAACAAACCAAAAATCTAGTTTGGAGAAAGTAATGGGTTTAACTTGAAAAATTCTGAGACACAAAATGGAAAAACTGAAGTTCATTTGAGAAAGGTCTAAAATGGTAGAGGGTTCAAAATTCAAAGTCAAATAATTATCTATCAGTAACAAATGATAAGCCACTTATACACATGAGGACATATTTCTCTCCACCATCAGTACCTATGCCCTAGAAATTAACTCCTTTCACTTCACTCCACCAATCAACTACCAATCATCTTTCTTTTCATGTGGAAAACAAGGAGTAATACAATTATACATCAGTTCATTGTATGAAAGGAATGTATCATTAGCACTTACTTTTTAAAAAAAAATTGTCTTCAACTTCTAAGAGATTGCTTACTATTATATTAAATACTATGAGAAACCTTTAATTATAAAATACAGATTCAAATACAAAAAGACTATAATCTTTTCGCAAGCATTTGTTTTAAAGGAATTTTGACTTGCTATGAAAATTATGAATTTTGGAATTTATTTGTTAAGGAAGAATTTGATAGAGACAGTTGATGAGCAGAGTTGTTTTTTTATTAAGCAAACTAGATTGTTTTAAGTCGCCTTTTACAGAAGTATAATTAGCAGTACATTTATTTGATGAAGTCTTTTTCCCATCATTATTCTTATAGTTATTTAATATATAAAATTTATTTTTGACAATTTGTTCTGAGGGAGTATATTTTATATAATTTTCCCCCCACAATACATCTGGGAAATATTCCAGCTCTGTATTTTCAGCCTTCGTTCATTTGCACAAAGATGTTGCATGGCAGCAGAGAAATTTCATTTTTCAAGAAGTGAGATTATGCTGTTCCAAGAAAAGGTGGAGGAGGATCACACTGACAATGCTGAATTTCTTGAGCACAAAAACAGAAAGCCTTGGAGAAGAGAAATTACCCTCCAGATGATTGCCCTTCCTTGGCTCAACCTACTTTTCTTTTCTCTTCTCTGCACTGTCACCCCCCACATTACTCTCAAAGCACAGCAACTATCAGCTATTATTAATACTGTGTGCTCTCATTTAACCCAGAAAAAAAATCTTATTTCCATTATACTTCAGGGGACACTTAATATAAGAAGAGTACCTGAAGGAAAGATAGGGGGAGAGAAAGAAAAAGAGAGGAGAGAGAGAAATCTGGTATAACAGGGAATGTACAGATGGCCTGTGTGACCTGTCACCAGTGGATATTTGGTAATCAGGATTCCTCAAAGTGTTTGGTGTAGCTTATGCCCATCAATGAGAGTTCTTTCATGAAATAAGTTTCCAGAATCTTCCATAACCCCAAAATAATAAAAAGCATCTATTAACATGTAAATTCTTGTTCCAAATATTCTTCAGAAAATAAATTTTATACTTGGATTAAGCAGAGGTTTCCCAAATATTTGTTAATCAGAGAAACTTTTTTTTCTTTTTCTGTAACTTCTTAACATTCACACATTACAAGTTTAAAAATCCTTGTTATAAATTATATACAGATAATATCCATTTGTTTCAAGTAGAATAAAATGATAATAGCAATAAATTCTAAAATAATAATGAACTGGAGATTTTGCTTAAAAATTATAACAAATGTTTCCATTTTTTGAATTAATTTTTGAACTGATTCAAGATAAAATTAAAAACCTGAACAGAAAATGAACAAAGTACGAATTTGAAAAATGTCAAAATATCCTCCAAAAGGCAGTTGGTTTAGAAAGTTTTGTGGATGAATGACTTAAAATTTGAGGGAAGTATATAATTTTGGAGTCTTTAATTAATGCAAAAAAATAAGAAGAGGCCAAAGTTGAACTATTTGCAGATGGTAGATAAAGCTATTGTTTTCAGATATTATGCTTATCTTTATAACTCAAAGGAATCAATTGGGAAAATTATTAGAATGAATTACAGTGTTTAGTATGTTGGAAAATTCCAAGATTAAATACATGAATAACTATTGCTCACATAAAACATCAATACACAGTAATAAAGAGGCAAATTTATTGGGGAAAGAAGTTGTTTTCTACCCCTTCACTCCGCAACCCAAACACACACAAAGAATCTAAGGGAAAAAAACTTTGAGAAAAAAGGAAAGAATGAAGAATGAGCTCTCTGGATGGAAAAATGCCAACATGGAATTTCTTCTAAACTCCATTAAGATTCCACCCTGCCTTGACTCTTGCTACCTCTTTATTATTGGCTAGTAGATCTTCCATTTCTTACTAGAGTGCCCCATAGGGAACACTCAAAAATGTTTACTGAATGATAGGCAAATCTCACTTGTATATGCAAGGAAGAAGATTTAGCATGTCACTTTCTTATGTAAATTAATTTAAATGTTTATAAAATTTTATTAAACATTCAAATGTGATCTAATTTGAAACTTTACAAATGGTTAATACACATAATCAAAAATTTCTTATAAAGTAGTTAATAAAGGTAAAATAAAAGTGAGTGTCTATGGAATGTTTACAAATAAGTAATGGAATATCATTATAAATGAAAATGTTCACTCAAAATTAAATGACATTTCCTTTCTTCTTTTACAAATAGAACTTCTTTTAATTATAAAAATAATTCAAAAGATAAGAAAAACTAAAATAAGTGTTTAAAGAAACCTAGACTGACCTGCTGGCCATACGTCTTTGATTGAGACTGAAATTAATTTTAGTAAACTAATAGGAGAAAACCTATATAGAAAAGGGGTTGGAGGAAGAAGAGAAGATGACAAATAGGAAAGTCATTGGCTCATGAAAAAACTGTAAACTGAAAAGAGAATTATTTTGGAATTTTCAAAATTCTTTTCAAAATTTTTAAATACTATAATCATAATTATTGTTACAGAAAACATCTTTTCTATCGGAAATTATGTTACAAATACAACATTAAGTCTAGCAGAATTTTCAGGCTAACCTGTGTGTGTTAGGAGTGGGTTGCAAATATGTTGAGAGTGGGAACAAAAGAGTGATGAATGACCAAAAGATATAATTTCACAAAACTTACGAGCTTTCCCTGAAACAGTTGTAAAAATGATTCCTTTTTCGTATTTTTTGAAGGACTCCACTTAAAAGCAGACTGCTCTAGTTGGTTCTTGATATCTAATCTATCTGGAGAGCACTGGTCTAATAAATACATACCTGTTGTCTTCCAAAATCTATCTCAAATATTATTCTCCTCAGAAGATCTCTAAACCTCTCAGCTGGAAGAGTTTGTTTTTAGTTACTCTCAGCTCTATTACAAACTATTCATTTGTATTTATCATATGACCTTTTTACTTTCTAACATCATTTAAAATTAATTATGCACACTTGATCTTTCTCTTACCAGATAATGGGCTATATCCATGAAAATTTCTAGGAAACCCACCCTTGCCATTCCTAAATACAAAGATGTTCTTAGTATATAGTTGGGAAAAGAAATGTGAGTTTATTAACATTTGTATGTAAAGCAGGCAAACCAACCAGATGTTCTAACTATTCAGGTATGTTTTTAATTAAATGAGTAAAGCAGGCAAACCAACCAGATATTCAACTATCCATATATATTTTTGATTAAGTGAGTGTTTCTCTTTATTTCTGTGATGAACTGATATAAAATTATTAGATAGCATTTATGGTAGATAAAAGATAGATAGCTAGATGATACTTGGGTAGATATTGAAAGATTCTAACAGATGTTAGAATGTACATATACATGTAAAATGATATAAATGGAATAAAATCTGAATTTTGATCCATTTTAATAATATGTTTGTGATTATTCAGAATACTAGCATTAGTTCTGAGCAAATTATCCTAAGTGAAGTTTGTTTATGGCACCGGGACCAGGGCAACTTGAAGAAAGTGAGGACACCTGGGGCACCTTCTAAGGCGGTTATTCTCAGGTGCAAGTGCAGGGCAGCCCTTGGGAGTGAGTCCAGCCTTAAATGTTGCACCGTAGGTGTCTCGCTTACATCACTCTGGTCTCTGCAACTCCCCGTTTTGGAATTACAGTCATCCCTTGGTATTCGGGATCCCATAGGAATAGCAAGCCATTAGTTCCAGTATCCCCCACATACACTCCAATCTGCACATGCTCAAGTCCCAAACTTGACCCCACTGAATGCGCATATATATGAAAAGCAGGCCCTCCAATTACATGGGTTTTATATCCTGCAAATACCGTATTTTCCATCTGCATTGGGTTGAAAAAAATCCGTGTATAAGTGGATCTATGCAGTTCAAATCTGTTTTGTTCAAAGATCAACTGTATTCCCTGTTTTATCACCTTTGTTCCAGATTTTCAGAGCTTTCCCACCACCCCTAGCTTCTGAAACTTCCCCTCTCCCTAGGGCATTGAACCAGAGTTGTGTTCAGGAGCCACCCTCTCCCTATTCCTTACCAAAGCCCTACTCATTTCTGCAGCATTCATATGAAGAACACTGTCACACTGGAGACACATTTATAAATAGCCATTTTATTTTTGAGTTAAAAAAGACTGAAAAATATTTCATGTTAGCTCCCCTGGTGGTACTTCCATTTAATAGAAAAATGCCTTAATACAGAAGAATATATTTTTAGTGTTCTCAGTGCTCCCCTCTACCTGGGAGCTCACAGGACCAGGTCCCATCCCTTTCCAGCCTCCAGGTCAGGCCTGCCTCCCTCCCTGGAGAATTCTTCCCACAGAGGTCTAGCAGGGAGCCACCACTCACGTTACTGCACCTTGTTTTCAGCCAATAATGAGATCTCCCCTCACTTCAACCTCTGCCTCCTGGATTCATCCAATTCTTGTGCCTCAGCCTCC
Source organism: Homo sapiens (assembly GCF_000001405.40). Taxonomy (NCBI): domain Eukaryota; kingdom Metazoa; phylum Chordata; class Mammalia; order Primates; family Hominidae; genus Homo; species Homo sapiens. Next base: position 76,845,385 of record NC_000002.12, on the reverse strand, counting down.
CAAGTAGCTGGGACTACAGGTGCTCCCCACCATGCCTGGCTAATTTTTGTATTTTTTAGTAGAGACGGGGTTTCACCATGTTGGCCAGGCTAGTCTCCAACTCCTGGGCTCAAGTGATCCTCCTACCTCAGCCTCCCAAAGTGTTGGAATTACAGACGTGAGCCACCGCACGAGGCCACACTTTTACTTTCTTATTTATTGTTACATTTTGCAGTTGTGTCATATGCATTGGTATTATTATTCTGATTGTCTTTCAGTTTGTTTACAGTCAGGTTCTACCTTTAAACTTTTTTTAAATCACAAAACGCCCATTCTCCAGCATTAAAGCAAACTGAAATAAGATAAAGGAAGCTTTAGGTTTTTGTGGCAGGGATTTGCTTTCATCACAAAAATGAATTCATATTTGCAATCCTGCCATACTTGTACAGGCCCTATGAGTAGGCTTTTCAGACTGTCACATTACCGCCTTTTGATTGGTAAATAATCCTTTTTTCATTTCTCAAAATGAAGAGAATATATTCTGTTTTTTAAAAAGACTAATCAATCTCTAAGCTGAAATCCAGCTACACAATATGTATGAGTTTGGTAATATTATACCAGCACTCCTCATTAAAAACCTCTAAGCAACATCCAAACATCATTAAGTAAGATGTTTAATGATTTCAGAAGAGGGGATTAACAGACATAATTGTCAATAGAAAGTATGGTCACATGCTTTTAGAATTGAGACTCAGTAGTTTTAAATTTCATTACTGGAAATGGTACATTGTTTGCTTCTTGGCTTGTTTGATAAACTTCAGTAAAAAACTACATTATAGAGTAGTAAAAAAATAGTTTCATTTAACTTTTGCTGATACAGATATGGAAATTGAAAAACAGAAAAGATGACTCAGTCTCTTAAGAACAGAAATGGTGGCTCTTTTCCAAGTATATTAATAAAGCAATTATTGAGGCCAGGCACGGTGGCTCACACCTGTAATCCCAGCACTTTGGGAGGCTGAGGTGGGTGGATCACAAGGTCAGGAGATTGAGACCATCCTGGCCGACATGGTGAAACCTCGTCTCTACCAAAAATACAAAAAAATTAGCCGGGCGTGGTGGCATGCGTCTGTAGTCCCAGCTACTCAGGAGGCTGAGGCAGGAGAATAGCTTGAACCCGAGAGGTGGAGGCTGCAGTGAGCTGAGATCATGCCACGGCACTCCAGCCTGGACGACAGCGTGAGAGTCTGTCTTGAGGCAGGTGGATCACAAGGTCAGGAGATCGAGACCATCCTGGCTAACATGGTGAAACCCCATCTCTATTAACAATACAAAAAATTAGCCGGGCTTGCTGGTGGGCGCCTGTAGTTCCAGCTAATCGGGAGGCTGAGGCAGGAGAATGGTGTGAACCTGAGAGGCAGAGCTTGCAGTGAGCCGAGATCACGCCACTGCACTCCAGTCTGGGCATGAGACTCCATCTCAAAAAAAAAAAAAAAATGAAAAAAGAAAGAAATTATCATTAATGTTTTAAAGCATGGGCTTTGGAGACAAAAAGGCCTAGTATTGATGTTGTTTTTACTTTTCATAATGAGAAATTTTGAAGATACATATAAGTAGTATTGTAGAATAAACTTCCTTACTGCCTGGACTCAGCTACCATCAACCCTGGCCAGACCTGGCCCATCCTCAACCTTCTCCAACTCCCTTCCTCCAAATTATTTTGAACATATCCCAGAAATAGTATTATTTTGTCTGTTTATTGTCCATCATGTAATTCTAAAAATGGGAATTAATTTTATTAACATAGTCACACTATTACCAGATGTACAAAAATAATTTATTGTTATTATGAAATATTCAGTTATCATTGAAATTTCCAATTGTTCATGAATGAGAACTGGGATTTAGGCCCTACTTTTCCATGGAAGCAACTGACCTTTTGCTCCTCTGTTAAATGAGCTTGAAAAGCCACCTGAAATACTTGTGAGAATTAAATTAGATATATATTATCTAACAGAGAGTCTAGGACTATAACTGAAGTTTTTTTTAAAAAAGGGTATCTTTAGAAGTCAATCTTAAATATTTTTGGAATATACATTTAATATAAGCCCTCAGTTTTTAGGCTCAAGTACAAAAGAATAGACCCTGGACAAACTTCAAACCATACTCTGACCATCTTCTGACTCCTCCCTTGTTTCCTCTCTCTTCTCTGGCCTTTGTAGATTGTTTCTCTACTTCTCCTCACTCAAATTTACCTAACCATGCAAAAAAGAGGATGGCTATCAACTGTTTGTCACTTGGAAATGTAAGCAAGCAAAACTACATTCTAATGTTGAAGGTATTGATTTACAAAAAGAGCCGAAATGTGTAAACCTTACCATTTATTTCAAAGCATAACTGACCATTTCTTTCAAGAAACATAAATTTCTCTTTGCCTCTGAACCCATAGAAGGGACAGCTGACTCCAACTATATATTTACAAAAAGTAGATATTCTCTCCTAATATAGGTGGATCTCAGCAATATATAACCTAATAACTTGCCACTCATAAGAAAATTGGAGGTTATAGACAATGGTTTGATAGGTGCAGCAAAACACTATGGCACATGTATACCTATGTAACAAACCTGCACATTCTGCACATGTATCCCAGAACTTAAAAACAGACAAACAAACAAAAAAAAACTTTTATAAAGTTAAAAAAAGAAAATTGGAGGTTAATTCTCTCCTCTACATACCCATGCAACCATTCTGTTTTTCACTTTCAGTGCAGTATTCAACAAATTATGTGAGTGAGTCAACACTTTATCTTAATATATAGGCTTTCTATTAGATGATTCTGCCTAACAGTAGGCTAATGTTCTGAGTATGTTTAAAGTAGGCTAGTCCAAGCTATGCTGTTCCATAGGTTAGGTGTGCTAAATGCATTTTCGACTTATGGTATTTTCAATATACAATGGAAATCAAAGAGCATCATATGTATGTTTATATGTGTGTGTGACATACATATTTATTAAAACATGTATTATAAGCTATTGACTTACATGATTACAGAGGATAATTTCCACTATCTGTCATCTGCCAACTGAAGTCAGGAAAGCCAGCGGTGTAGTATGAAGGCCTGAGAGCCCAGAGAGCCAATGGATTCTAATCCAAGCCTGAAAAGCAGGGAACCAGAAGCACCGAGGCCTGCAGAAGATTGATAAACCACCAGCCCAAGCAATCAGGCAGAGTTAATTCAACCTTTTGTTCTCTTCAGGCCCTCGGCTGATTTGATGTTGCCCACCCATAATGGGAAGGGCCATCTGCTTCACTCAGTTTACCATATTCAAATTTCAGTCACTCCTGGAAAACAGCCTCATAGACACACCCAGAAATAATGTTTAACCAGCTCTCTGGACATCCAGTAGCTCAGTCTAGTGATACATGAAATTAATCATCACAAGAAATGTCCAAATTTTGCCTTCTATGAGCAGCGCATGTGTGAGCCCATTGTCCCATAGCTTCACTGACATCTTCCTCTCTAGTTTTTTCAGATTTGATATGTGAAAGTAATACCTCTTTTTAAAAAATCTTTAGTTCTTCAGTTTCTAGTATAGTTGAATATTTGATATTTTATTGGTTATTTATTTTGCCTTCTTTCATTTTTATATACTTTTTTACATTTTTCTAATGGAGTTTTTGTCTATTTTGTCTTGAATTCTTTTATATATATATACACAGTAAAGTTTTTTTTTTTTTTCTCCAGGTTACCAAATTGATTCTGAACCTCCTATATTTTTAACTGGAATTGTGGGTCTTGAATACTAATAACCAGTGAAATTATATTGCATTTAAATTTAAGGATTTAGAAGTATTTTATAGTAATCAATTTCCTTCCCATCCCAGTGTAACAAAGGACTTTTAAAGACAGTAAATTGAAAGTGACATGTTCCTGGATGTATGGTCAGAGAAATGATAATTTTTTTTAATTTTATTATTATTATACTTTAAGTTTTAGGGTACATGTGCACAACGTGCAGGCTTGTTACATATGTATACATGTGCCATGTTGGTGTGCTGCACCCATTAACTCGTCATTTAGCATTAGGTATATCTCCTAATACTATCCCTCCCCACTCCCCCCACCCCACAACAGTCCCCAGAGTGTGATGTTCCCCTTCCTGTGTCCATGTGTTCTCATTGTTCAATTCCCACCTATGAGTGAGAACATGCAGTGTTTGGTTTTTTGTCCTTGCGATAGCTTGCTGAGAATGGTGGTTTCCAGCTTCATCCATGTCCCTACAAAGGACATGAACTCATCATTTTTTATGGCTGCATAGTATTCCATGGTGTCTATGTGCCACATTTTCTTAATCCAGTCTATCATTGTTGGACATTTGGGTTGGTTCCAAGTCTTTGCTATTGTGAGTAGTGCCACAATAAACATACGTGTGCATGTGTCTTTATAGCAGCATGATTTATAATCCTTTGGGTATATACCCAGTAATGGGATGGCTGGGTCAAATGGTATTTCTAGTTCTAGATCCCTGAGGAATCGCCACACTGACTTCCACAATGGTTGAACTAGTTTACAGTCCCACCAACAGTGTAAAAGTATTCCTATTTCTCTACATCCTCTCCAGCACCTGTTGTTTCCTGTAAATTTATAATTAGAAACAAGAATTCAGATATCACTACTAATTCCATTCTCTTTCTCTCTCTCTTTTGTTTTCTTACCTATGTTCATACAAAGTGGAGAAATGATTGCACATGTAGTCGGGGCAGCTGTGAAACTCAAGCAGTTGGTTTCTCCTTTTTTTCTTTTTTTAAGTCTTTTTGACTTCGTTTGTTCCTTTAATGATTCTATCTTTTGCATGTGAAGACTAAACTTTTACATTTACTGCACATAAACATTAACCTTTTCTATTTACTGGCATTTTGCTTCATGACCTTGTCAGATGATTGCTGACTTTCCATCAAGGATACTTAAACACCTGTTGGGTGCCAAGAGGCATGTTCTCAGAAATACAAGAGAAGGGAAAGAACAGCTCTGTTATTGCTCTCAAAAGGCCAGGTTTGTAGAAGACAGCTCCTGAGAGGATGCTTTTACCCAAACAATTGTGGAGATACATTTGAAACTTCCTTCAGAACCTATTTGCATTTTCATTGTATTTTATTTAAACTATAGTTTTGGGGAAAAAAATAAATCCAAGTTGATCATTATGCATTTCACTAAAATAAATTTAAAATTAAGCCCCTCCCCCTGTCTTCACGTTATACTTCTTCACAAGAAAATTCATTTTTCCAAGGGAAAACAATGATATTCAAAAGCATGCTGTGATTGGGGTCCACAAAACAAAGCTAAAGGAGGCTTTTCTTGGAGTAGAACAGTATTTAGGCAGCAGGGGGTCTGCCTTATTCATCATTGTGTCTTCAGGGCCAGATTGAATGTGTGACACATAGGAGACACCCAATAATTCTCACTAAGTGAACAAAAGAATTCCAGAATCATTTGATATAACAAGAATTTCCCAATAAGACACTGGCCTTTATATTCTTCCTCATACCCAAGGAACAAATACTTTCTTTTTATGCATTTTTACAAGATTTACCATTAAAAAAAATAAAATTGTATTTAGATGTTACCTAAATTCTTTAAAAGTATTAGAATCATAAACAAACTATTATTTGATAAGGAAATCTATTTATTATGATATATAAAACTACATGCTTTCAAATAAGGTAATTTATTTCACTATATGGGAAAAGCTATGTTTGAATAATTATATTTTCATGACACTTTTTCTGAGTAACCATCTCCAGCATACAAGAATGATAGATTAGAAATGACAGGATCAAAATGAGCTAGCAGGTTGGCTTGATATGCAACTGAGGCTTAATAGATTTGAAAATATTATTAAATATTTAGCTACAAAGAAAAGATATTGCTTGTAAATTTTCAAATTACTATATAGCAAAAGTAATGCATTGATTTCTTGTTACTTTAAGATCACCATTAGAGAACTTAAGGGCAGTAAAATATTTTCAGTTATAAAACAATTGATCATTTTCTCCTTTCTACTGTGAGTTTTGCCCCTCTGACACCTGAGTAGAACTGTGAATGCAATCTTGTGTTGGTGCTTTCAGAGCTTCCCTTTCAGAAATTGTCATTTGAGGATAAAATGTCTGTATCTCTCTACCTCATTGACTCCCCATCTGTTGTCAACAATCATTGGAGAGCACTTCTTATTTTTCTCACGTTGTCCCTTAATTTGTCTCTTTTTAACAGTTTCATAATTAACAGTACATTGTGGTAAATATCCTTGGGAGAAATGCTACAAAAACATTTCAGTGCAGAATAGTTACATTACAGAGGTCTTGAGGTAATCTGGCTCCTATAATGGTACCCACATTCCCTTTCTTTTCATTGAGAAATAGACACATGTATTTCATTGCCAGTATTGTTAGTAAATACAAAATTATTATGTAAACTGAAACAAATTGGAAGGTTAGGTTTATTTTGTGACTAAAAACAGTGTCCTTAAATAACGAATTATGAAATGTATAATAAATATCTGAAATTTTCGAAGATGAAATTCAGGATTTTATCTAGCTCTTTGAGTCCATCCATGAGCTGTTATTAACATGTCCCATGTTCAACGTCAAAATAGAGAGCATCATTTCATCCAAATAACACCAATTTCTTAAAAATGCATTTTTACATGTTTCTGGATGTTATTCCAGGAGAGATTCAGAAAAGAAACTGGCTGTACCATTTCAGAACACAGTAAGTGTTAATAGCAACTTCAAGTAGAGAATGGCATTTTGGCTTCTTTATGTATTAAATAGAGGTGGGATGGGGGAACAGAAAATGAATTCCAAATGTAAATTACAAAGACATTTGAGATAACAAAATCAGAATATGTTTCTGCAAGTTGAAATTCTTTTACACTATCATTAATAATAGTATGCTGGAGCCTGCATTATTTACATTATTTGTCCCTACTCAACAATTTCTAGTTCTTGATTTAGGGCTACACATTAAACTTCTTGCAAGAAGCCTTCTTATATTAACTAATTATAGTTTTAGAAGTAGGAAAACAACTATCAAAAATATTTCACAGAGTAAAGTAGTTGAAAATGTGCTTCAGTATAAGTCAACCAAAATTATTTCTTATGGTGATGTAAATTGAATGATATATGTGATTACGTACCTCTTTTATATTAATTTCTTGACTTTAATGAGACTTTTGAGACTTGTTTATATAAATAGTACTAATAGTTTGAACATACCCCAATTTTTTCTTCTTCTTCCATTCTTTTATTATTATTATTATTATTATACTTTAAGTTTTAGGGTACATGTGCACAATGTGCAGGTTAGTTACATATGTATACATGTGCCATGCTGGTGTGCTGCACCCATTAACTCGTCATTTAGCATTAGGTATATCTCCTAATGCTATCCCTCCCCCCTACCCCCACCCCACAACAGTCCCCAGAGTGTGATGTTCCCCTTCCTGTGTCCATATGTTCTCATTATTCAATTCCCATCTATGAGTGAGAACGTGCGGTGTTTGGTTTTTTGTCCTTGCAATAGTTTACTGAGAATGATGATTTCCAATTTCATCCATGTCCCTACAAAGGACATGAACTCATAATTTTTTGTGGCTGCATAGTATTCCATGGTGTATATGTGCCACATTTTCTTAATCCAGTCTATCATTGTTGGACATTTGGGTTGGTTCCAAGTCTTTGCTATTGTGAATAGTGCTGCAATAAACATGCGTGTGCATGTGTCTTTATAGCAGCATGATTTATAATCCTTTGGGTATATACCCAGTAATGGGATGGCTGGAATCTCTGGGACACATTCAAAGCAGTGTATAGAGGGAAATTTATAGCACTAAATGCCCACAAGAGAAAGCAGGAAAGATCCAAAATTGACACCCTAACATCACAATTAAAAGAACTAGAAAAGCAAGAGCAAACACATTCAAAAGCTAGCAGAAGGCAAGAAATAACTAAGATCAGAGCAGAACTGAAGGAAATAGAGACAAAAAAAACCCTTCAAAAAATTAATGAATCCAGGAGCTGGTTTTTTGAAAGGATCAACAAAATTGATAGACCGCTACGAAGACTAATAAAAAAAGAGAGAAGAATCAAATAGACGCAATAAAAAATGATAAAGGGGATATCACCACCGATCCCACAGAAATATAAACTACCATCAGAGAATACTACAAACACCTCTATGCAAATAAACTAGAAAATCTAACAGAAATGGATAAATTCCTCGACACATACAGTCTCCCAAGACTAAACCAGGAAGAAGTTGAATCTCTGAATAGACCAATAACAGGATCTTCCATTCTTATAATTGCCTAACTTCTGAGGAATCCAAAGGTGACAGAATGATTCCAACTTAATATTTGAGTAACTTACAACATGAGGATTTCAGGATATCATAAATTATTTTGATTAACTGTAGTAACTAAATTTTTGTGAAAATATTCTTGTAACATAAGGGAAAAGACAAACCAATTTCTCTTAGACCGGCCTAAAAAACTCACAGCCATACATATGCCCTAGCCCCAAGGTACATTCTTCTCTTTGCCTTTTTAGGCTTTAAGAAATATATTCTGTTCTGTATTGGCTATATTTTTGGTTCTGAAAATGTGAATAGAAATCCCAGCTGTGCTACTTAGTAAATGTGTGCATTTGGAGAAAATAATTAACATCTCTGAACCTTTATTCCCTCATAGATCTTATTATTGGAAAATGTTATTAGAATTAAGTGATATTTACATAAAGCATGTAGCACAGTCTTTGTTGTATAACTGTTCATTAACTGTTAATTATCATCAATATTATTATTACTGCCTTTACAACTAAAAATGGCGAGGGGTGGGGGAAGGACAAGAGAAGAGAGATATATGAAAGAAAACGAAGGTGAGAAATAACACAGGAAAGTGTGAAAAAATGCCCGGAGTGGAAATTTGCAAATGCTGGCATAGACATGATCAAAATAAAACAAGAAAGAAGAAAGATAATATGTGTTGAGCAAATACAATATGCCAAGAAATAACTTGTCTCAAGCTTAAAAAAAACTTGATTAGGTCTTGCTTTTCTGTTTATGATGAAATCGAGGCTCAGAAAAAAATATGTGATTGGGCCAAAGTCCAACCAATATACTAATATTCTACTGACAAAAAGGAATTAATATTCAGGTAGTTTCCTTCACTGTTATTTTTTTTTTTTTTTTACCGCATACTATAATATCTTGAGACTGGAAAACTGTCTTCAAATACACCTTAGAAAACCTGGGCAAGGAAGAGAGTCATTGGTATTCTGATTATTTTGACTTCTCTCAACTTCTTCCCAACATTGTGACATATACTCTTCTACTTAGTACCAAGGGAAAAAAGAAATATCCCCTGGGATTTCAGAGGTTCTACTATCATTTAGAAATTCAAGAACGTTGCTAATCTATAATATTAAATTAAAATAGTCCTGTGGATTTCACATGATTATTCACTCCAAAATATTTTGAAAAATTTTCTCACTCATATTCATAATCTATTTTCTGATAGGTCTCAGTGAAACTTATTTTTCTTGTATGTTAGTTTATACATAGTTTTAAATAGGATGCTGGTCCACTGAGGTAACCTTCCTTAAGTGACCTTACCGTGACAGGTGGATGTATAAAGAAATATATACCTAAATAAATGTGCAAATAGTCAAGTTACCAAACACATTTGCTATTGCTTTTCTCATTGAGCTTTCTTTCAGGAAAACACTCCCATAATTTGAGACCAATTCTGACAGAGGTTTTACTTATGATCAGAGCATTTATTTTGCTTCAAATGATCAAAGCTGAATATATTATTACAACTCTAAAATAATATAAATGACATTTCTTAGTCAGAAAGTTCTCTTCCTTTCTCTAAATGCAAGAATAAATCAGAAATCTTCACAAATAAGTCACATGTATTACTCTTACTATTCACCATTGATTTTAGAATTTAAGATAAACTAAAGTTGTATTTGTTTTTCTTTTTTAAACTGAAACATGATGTTTCTCACCTTATAAATCTATGCATATGTTAGGAGCCAGACACTCACATTAGTTTTCATTTAGTGTTTTTTTCTCTCAGGGCTATATATTTTTTTAACTTTATTGGGTGTAATTAAGGGATACATACTTAACCTGTACAATTTAATAAGTTTTATTCATTATACTTTAAAGAATGAGCTCTGTTTGGGAATTTAGGTGACTTGCCCAATACACATCAAGTTCTGAATTTGAGGATACATTATCATGCACAAAGAATAAATTAGAAACAAAAGAATGATTCTTTCAAATGTTCGGATGCTATTGGTCTTATGTCTTCCTTATGATATTACCATGGGGATGATCTCTCTTGATGGAATGTATCTTGGAAACCAGAGTTAGGCTGCAAGGATTTTGATGTGTCTTCTTATTAACTTTTGTAGAGCTAAAGGGAAGATCAAACTTTTCCAGTCTTCTGAAAAACTCTTCTTGGTCATGGTCTACAAAATTTCACTTGGCATTTATTCAAGTACTATTGCATAACATAATATGCCCTGGTATTTCTTCTATTTTCATTGAGTGAATTTTATGTAGGAATCATCTTTCCAAAGAGATCTATACATTTTCTATGTGTATCATTTCTTCAAGAAAAGTATAAGCTAACAAACTAGATATTTTTATATTCTCACAAATCTTAGCTCAGAGATAAAGAGTAATCTTTGAATAAGAGTTTGAGCCAAGGATTAGAGAAAGCATTTGTATCCCAAATGGCATATTATCTAAATGACATTGAAAATATGATTATAATTAGAAAATATAAATACGTTGTCAAATGAAGCAAGCAGAAATGGGATGGAGACACTTCTAATTGTACTTAGATCTTAAACATACTTAATTACAAATACAAAGGAGCTATTCTCATTGAAGAATAATTTAGAGTAACGTATATCTTGAAATCTCCTCTTTAGAGTAACAGATATTTTGAAATCTCCTCTAAGTACAAAAATAAGGGCATGCTCTGGCCGGGCATGGTGGCTTACGCCTATAATCCCAGTACTTTGGGAGGACGAGGCAGGCAGATCACCTGAGGTCAGGAGTTCGAGACCAGACTGGCCAATATAGTGAAACCCCATCTCTACTAAAAATACAAAAAAAAAAAAAAATTAGCTTGGCATGCTGGCGGGCACCTGTAATCCCAGCCATTAGGGAGACTGAGGCAGGAGAATTACTTGAACCCGGGAGGGAGAGGTTGCAGTGAGCCAAGATGGTGCCACTGCACTCCAGCCAGGGCCACAGTGCAAGACTCCATCTCAAAATAAATAAATAAATAAATAAATAAATAAATAAATAATAAATAAATGAAAAACAAGGGCTTGCTCCACTAAGTCCTGGTTATCATTCAATAGGACAATATACATCCTTTTTAAAAATTGCTTATATGAAGGATATTTAATGGCATTAGGGAAAAGGGAAAAGTTAAGATAGAAAATACATAAATTGTCTTCATTATTTGTGATTAAATAGCACAGTATATAAGGTACATGCATATTAAAATATTATTTTGCTATTTTCTCTAAGAAAAAATATTTTAAGTTTTACTAATTTAAAATTGTCTCATTTTCACATGTTTTACATTGAGCATGTAGAATATTTTACAATTATGAGATTTCTTTAGGAAGTCATAATGAAGTAAAATAACTTTAAAGAATAACAATTTAGAATTTTACAAATATGTATTTATTAATGTCATATCTTACAATATTATTATATTATTTACTGGTAATATATTATGAATATAAATTTATAAGTGGATATTCTGATACACAGTTAGTTAAACTGAGAAAATGAACCATCAATTTTCTACTGGTTTTTAAAACCCAACCATCATGCGTTTGAAAACTGTTGTATATTAGGACGGCTTATGTATTTTTAACTTTCTTTATATCTAGTTTCTCTAGAGCTGAGATAAAATATGTTTAGTGTAGATAAATTTATGGATTCAGCTACCCTGACCTCTCAGAACATCCATACAAAGTTGGAGGACAAATGGCATATTTACAATCACGGAGTTTGCAGCACGGATATAGATGGATAAGTCACGGAGGATTCTTTTAAAGGAAAATAGGAGCTTTAAAATAAAACTCTTCACCCTTTATGATCACTCCCTTGCAGAGGTCATTTACTTTCATGGTTTCAACCATTATTTTATGTCAAATAACTCCCAAACCTGTATTTCCAACCATAATCACTCACCCAAGTTCCAGATTTGTATTTCACGCACAGTTCCATGTAAATAGCTAACAGTCATTGCAAGCTTTAAACAATTCAACATCACTCTTCCCACCAAAGTAGCATGTTCTACTTTCTAACTTTCCAGTTTTGCTAATAGTGCAAAAGTGTGTCTAGTGTGCCATACTCTCCTTCTCAACATGGACAATTTGGTAGCATAATTCCTCTGGGTCCTGTAGTTCCTGGGTTACACGAGTCAGCATGTTCCATTCATTGACTTTTCCTAGTCCTCCACAGCTTTCCTCTGCAAACCTTGCACCCTAATCTAGCTGTCATCATTCATATCTATAAACTTATAGTTCTCTTTGTTTTAGAAGTTTTTAGGTACGTTAGAAATGTCATCGCTGGCTTTTAATTAATGTTACTACCTTGACCCACAAGCTATGGTTAACATGACAAGTTATGGAAATCAGAATGTTATTTAGATTCAATCTCTAGGTATGGAGATAAGCTCATTTTAACAATCTTTCTTTAATAAACTGGATATGTGTTGAGAAAATGCAAACTCTAATAGAAAAGATAAAAATATTCATTCATCCTCAAGAAATATTTACCTAGGACCTAAAGAGTATTAGTCATCTCTACCCTATTAAGCAGTGTAGACAAAAAAAAAAAAAAAAAAAAAAAGCCCTTCGAGGATGCACTGAAACTGTGTGTTAGAAAATAGACTTCAGGAAATCACAGCATGTGCAGTTCACTTGGTGGCCAGAGAAGTACTTATGTTTATGTGTCTGTGTGTATGTGTGTGTGATCTTTTAATCAATCTGAATACATGTGAAAGGCACCTGCTTTATATTCAACATATTCTAGGCTCGCTAAGGATACAAAGAAGCCTACGACAAACTTCCAAATTGCTTAGAATCAAATTGGTGATAGGAAACTCAGACATGCTAAACAAGGCAAATAAGATAAAATAAAATACAGACATCTCTAAGTATCAAAACTAATTTGTTCCTGCCAGTGTATTATAGAGTGAATGTTCAGAAAGTAGGAGCCTACATTAAATTACTTTACATGGAAAAAACTCATGGGTTTCCAGTGTATCCGGCATCTTCATAAAAATTGGTAAAATATTTTTAACAATCAGTATAACAATGTATTGATGATTTCTGGAGAAGATACTGCTTTTAGGACACCAATTATCACATTATTTAACATTTAGTAACCCCAAAAGGGTATGTGGGTATGCAGAACACAAAAACACTACATTGCGTCAAATATAGATTATATTTCCTTCTGCACAAAAATATAAACATACAATTTTTTTTAAAAAAAGCTAAATTCTCATTAAGGATGGGAAAGAGGTTAGTGACAACAGTAGGATCCCATAAGAGGGGTTGATCTGAGATATTAGTGTTCTAATATTCTTTCTCCCTGATACCAACATTTTCACTGGTGTGTGAACATATTCATTACACCATGGTTTCAATTTAGTTTATGGATTTGGAGTAAACCATTTCAAGTCATTACAGCAAATGTTGAAATATTGAATAATCAGATATCTAGGGATACATCTTTTTATAGGCTGATGGTTGGGTGTTTGGAATTATATGTGCTATAGAATTAAACGGAGAATCAACCCAAAGCTAGAGTAATCAGGAAACATTAGGGAGAAACCATTTAAGTGAGTATCAAAATTAGATAAAGAACCAAAGCAATACCAGGTGGTGTAGAACACAGAGTCAACAATATGATGTCCATGGAGACATGTTATTTTCAAAACACAAATGCGAGCGTGTGCACACGCACACACACCAATGAAGCTACAGAGCAGAAATATCAAATTTACAAATAGTATCCTGTAGTTGCAAAGTCTATATGTATTTATTATATTCACTATACATGTTTGTGTCTTTGTTCATTTCACACACACACATATGCACACATACATTCACATATATAGATACACTCAGAATTCATTATATTGTTAGCCATGACTTAGTATTTCAAAATTACAAATAAAATTAAAGAAAGGCAATCTCTACTAGCAGCATCACCTTAAAACAAGACAGGAGGTAAATCATCATTAACTTTGTAAGAGCAAACACAAATATTCTTAAGAGTAAGTAATTGATTAGTAATTCAAATCCAATTATGCTAAGTTGTAACCACAGAAAACCTGTATAATTTTGAAAAATGACCATAATTTGAAGCATGGCATTGTTTATATTTTCATATTTTCTTTATTAGGTCAGAGATAAATAATAACAGCTATTTTTGGATCTGAAAGACAAACTGGAATTAACATTGTGTGCATTTTACCAATGTCTCACCTGCTCTACTTTAAATTGTTTAATATAGAAATTTTTACCTTTTTAAAATAAGCACAATCTCCCCATTTCTTGTTTTTCCAGTGTTAATTTATAACATTATTGTTTTAAAGACATTTTGATGATAATTAATGGTAATTTAAAATTTTGAGACAAAGACTTTAATTTTAATATAAATATAAAATCTTAAAATTTCAGAAACTAAAAGATGCAAATATTCTACTTCCATTTCACTGTTATGCTCCCTGGGTCACTAGTGCAGAAACACACACACACACACACACACACACACACACGCACACACTGCCACACATAGACAACTTATTTTACACAGCAAAAAGGTAGGCAGGGATAAAATGTCTTTCTAGTCTTATTCTTCCACTACTTCACAGGGATTAAAAAAATAAAATATCAGAAGGTGAAAAAGGTTTAAAAGTGTTTCATTGGTGCTAATAACCAGATTAAAAAAGTGTAGATATTTAAAGAAAAGGCATATAGTTATTAAGGATAAAAGTAGAGTACAAACAACTGGCTTAAAGATAAGATTTTATAGTTTTATTGAACTGTGAATACTTTGATGATGGTAAGGAAAATGTAACATCTTACACTATAGATATGGAAGAATCTGGAGTTGCTAAGATTCTCCTGTGAAAAAAATAGTAGCCCTGGTAATCAGGTTACTGTTACTTCTGACATGTAAAATGATGAGGTGTTTTTTTTCTGTTGGGGAAGGTTCATTTTATAAATCAGTCATGTTAAAGATGCTCAGAGTTCTGTAATACACCCTGTTGGTAGTCTAAGGTTAATTGGATGGGCAATTAGTCTTTGATCATCTGTCAAAGATGTTGTGGAATACTGCCAAAGAAAAAGGTGGATTAAACTAAATGTCCATGCATGTTTCTTCACTCTCCATAATTCTATTATTTCGAGAATAAATTTGGTCAAAATGTCTAAGTGACGGTTATGATTTCCACAACCCTGATGAATTAAAATGCAAGGCAGAGGTCTCACACTTTAGGGGAGAGAAGAGCAAGAAGCTGCTAAAACACCAGAATACATTGCTTGTACATTCTGAAGGCACATAAATAATATCAACATCCCAAAGAAAATTGAAGAGGGAAGCATATTAATTTAAATATAAGCCTTGTCCTCCACATACATTTATTTAACAAAAATGCACTGAGTAATTTATGCACAGCAATGTATTAAGCAGTAAAAATAAATCCATTTTACATGTTATTACAGAGAGTGAGGGGAAGCCCTAACCAATCCAAGGCAATTACATGACAGTATGTAATTAGAGATTAGATGTGGTGCAGATTATAAGAGCTCTGGGGTCATAAGTAAGCAGCTTCTCCATGAAATAAAATGATCAATAAAGATAGCTAAGAGTAGGATTAAACCGAATCCTTAGGCAAGGGAGCCCTTTGTATTTGTGGGTTAGAACAAGAGTACAAATGGATACACTTACCTTGCATCTCCTCCCCTTTTTTTCCTACTTCTAGTTCTTCCTGCACTCGAGGAGCCTTATACACATGTGTATGGACACCCTCAACTAAGATTAAATTCTGCCTATAATTATCTCATTACCCAGCCAACAGTTGCTCTTGGGTTATGTCTTAAGTCTGTGTGGCCAATCTCCAGAGTGGCCAGCCTCAAGTGGAAGCAGACTTTGGGAACATTTGAGCAGAAAATGCAAATCCTGATGTCTAAGACTGTGGACTTGAAGGACACCACAGGTTTTGAATAGGGACATTCCCTTGGTTCCATACCCCTGGTCACATGGGAAGGGTCACAGCTAGAATAATGACAGAGCTAGGCTACTCAAAGCAGATGATTTAGGGAAGAATATAAGATATTTCATGGTATGAAATTACAGAAGGATGTCAAGGCCTAATTTCTGATTAGTTATTAGGGATCAGAGATTAAAGAAAAATGTACAGCCAGGATTAAAGATGGGAATGGCTAAGAAGACTGTAAAGGTGGATTGGGGTAATTAATGAGTTTCGTGCTAGGCTTTTGTACAGCTACTGAGTGAAAAGAAGCTGGGAGACAGAAGATGAATCTGTTTTTAGCTACTGTGAGGAGGCACACTGTGCTCATATGAGCTCACATTAATTAAAGTGCCTTTTCAAGTAAAGAAACAAAGATCTAACTGTTTCTAAAAACACAAAGAAAAATTTAGTTGTACCTAGCATTCATGTCACCCACAACTTAACAGCTGTGGTAAGAAACTGTTAACTTTCTAATGAACCTATACACATTTCTCTTATCCTTTCTCAAAGGGCAGCATTACACTAACACTTGAAAAGGAATTTTTTGCTTTCGTTACAAGTGTCACCATTTCATTCTCTGAACACTTCAAAGCACATGAAGTCAAGAGAATTAGCACTGAGTCTCTTTGAAATGTGCATTACAGTGATATTGCTTCCACTTCATATTATTGCTTCATTTTTAGACACTACACATATAGGATTCCGGCCCAAATAAGATGCAATTATGGAGGAAGCCTTTTCCTCTTGAAGTTTTAAGAGCTTTCCTACTTTACTGCAATTTTGGAGGAAGCAGCAACTCTTTAGAGAACCCAGTAGTGCCCTAAACGGCATGCTTAGGCAATCAGGCAATCACTTACCCTCACATCATTCAATGTTAAAGTGAAATTCACAGGAGATAATTCTATTTCAAAAATTGATAGTAACAAAGAAGTGACCAAATAAATGATTCTGTCTTTCATTAAATGCATAATCAGTGTGTAAACACTTACGCTAAGCAATACTTTTTCAACATAGGCAATACATCTTTTATTCCATCACTATTTCCCAAGAGTAAAAGCAAATGACTTTTCTTGTGTATTTTGAAAATTATTATTTCATTTCATCTATTGTCTTCCCAAACCAGACAATGGTTTTTAGAAACAGTAACTGTGGAAAATTAAAATTCTGATTCCTAGCAATAATATTATTATAACCATCTAGTTCCCTAGAAGAAATAGCTTTAAAATCAGACATGATGGGAAAGAGGAAAACAACCATAAGCACGTAGTATCTTGATAGGTATTGGCATTGCCTCAAACTAAAGCAATGTATTTGTAATCTTATCAGTACTCAATATATTGACCTTAAACACAATTTAAGAAATAAGTTGACTGTTTTTATTATCCTCATATACATCTTTACTACATGAACCTGAAGTTTGGTCAATTTGAATTGCACATTCTCAGAATCAGATAAGAAATGTTTCAATGCTATGAAATACATGTCAATTCATTAAGATAGAGTCATCATTATGTGTAGTTTCCAGCATCCATATGGTCCTCAGATTAAATCTGAGTTGCATTCACAGGAAACAGTGTAGCATGTTGTGCTTTGGTTTTAAGGGGGACTCAAACGCTTAGTAACCATCAATGCATATCTACTGAATAACATATTAAACAACCATTAGGAAATTTGTCTGCAAAGGCCCCTGGCGTTTGACCCTTCTCTTTAAAGACCCCAAATCTTTCTCTTCATGTGCTCAGAAATAATTAGGTCCTGAGAGACTAACCTTGCTATCTAAAATGTCCACAGAGCTGTACCATACACCAACTTTCTGTTCATTATTTTACAATGGAAAATAATGTCATAGGGACTGGAAATACTTAACTTCAGTGTGGCCAGCACATTATCTCCTCTGCAGTCTAACACTATGAGAAGAAGCCAAGTCAAAATCAGAAACCACTTTATTGATTTACCATGAGAACTAACGGTCTCAGGAGAGAGAAATACTCAAAAGTCCATTACATCAGCACATTCTCTTCACGAGAAGGACGTGCACAAGGGTGGCTTGTGAGCTTGGAAACAAAACAAGAGAACTGTCTGAATCAAAGCTTAATGTGCCTGTCTGAGATGGCTGGAAGCCACTCTCATGATTGTGATGAGTTTCCCTCCACAAATGGAAATCTCCATCCCTTTGGCTACAGAACTTTACAGTTATTTTTATTCCAGAGATGGGCTTTCCTTAGGAGATGAAGATATTTTGAGAGGATGGTTAATGTACACTCTGCTGTATAGTACTTGAATCAGTGTGATGCCCATATTTCCTGGTGACTTTCCTTTTATTTCTGCTTTTATGGCTGACCAAACCTTTCTTCTGAATGGCACAAAGTGTTTTTATTATTTTTTCCTTAAGTAGCTTAATGTCGTTCATTTAAAGTAGTCCTAAATCCTTCTGGCTTTTTAGCTATCCTGTCACTTACAGATAAATTTCAAAATCCACTCTTTGCATATATATGTATTTTTTCTATGTAGCAATTTATATTTCAAAGACAATTGATTCTCCTACTTTCCAAATCCTTAAATCCTTAGGGAGTACCTCAGTGTTGCCCTTAATAGTGTCAAGCTTTATTATTTTTTTCCTTTTATGCAAAACTAGATCATATATAAGGGTTTATATAACCTATTTAAGATTACACAGCTGATATGCCATGATGCCTAGCTTCAAAACCAGCTGTTTCTCATTCCTAGCCCTAAATTCTTTCCTACTCTATTAAGCTACTTCTTGGCTTTCCTATAATCCTTACCTTTAGCTTTGTTAAATTCTTTGTCTCATTAAAAATTGTATTTGATAATGATCTGATATATTCATTATTAAGAAAAAATGTTTCTGCACAGTTACCATGACATTTCTGTGGTCCTCTTTGTAGCAAATCTTATGGAAAATACTCGCTCATATACAATCTCGCCTTCCTTATTTTTCATTGTCTCCTGAACTATTATTCTATGTGTAATTCTATTCATTCAATTCCAAGAAACTATTTTATCAAGGTCATCAGTTACTTCGTGTTAGCAAACCCAATGTTCAGGCTTTTGTGGTTTGTAAAAATATATTCAGAAAAATTAAATACGTCTTTTGTAAAATAATTTCTGCTCTTACAGACTGCAACTCCATAATCTCTTGTTTTGCCTCCTGTCTTAGTGCTTGTTCCTTCTCATTTTTCTTTTCCAGCACTTTCCCTTTGACTAACCTCTTAGTGTTTTAGTGCTCCAGGCTCAGTTCCAAACCTTCTGCAGCTCGACCTTTGCACTCTCTCCCTAAGTGACCTCATTCGGTCTCATGAATTTAAACACAATGTATATGTCCCCATTTACATTTTTAGCTCTGCCTTTTTCTTAGCACTTTAGTATATTCAGTAGTCTACTTGACATCTCTATTTAGCTGTCTATCCATCATCTTACCCTAAATGGATACAAAATGGACTTTTTTACTTGCTTCCATAGCTATCACCCCCAGATATCCTCACTTCCGCATCTGCTTTAATCATTTCCATTTCAGTAAATGACAACTCCATCCCCACAATTGCTCGAGTCAAGTAGTTAGAAATCATTTGTAATACTTTTCTTTCTCCATTACATCCAATTCGTCAGTATATCAATTCCCTCTCTATTCAGAATATATCCTGAATCACACCATTTCCCTGCACTCTGACTACTGTCAGAATATTTCAACCAGCCATTATCTCTAGCTTAGGCTATTTGAATAGCCTCTTAACTGTCCTCTCTGCTTTAACTTGTACTCTTGGCAGCCCAGTTCTCCACCCAGCATATAGAAGACTATTTTAGAAATGTAAAGCAGATTATGTTTCTTTCCTTTTTAATCCTCTTTATTTCCTTCCATTCTAACTTTAATCACATTTAGCATTAAATGAAAATATTTTACCCCTTATCTATCTTACTAGAGCATGAACTATGAGACTGAGCTCTAGGTCTTTACGTTCTATCGCCGTATCCCAGCACTTGAAAAAGTTGCCCAGAACATTATAAATGCTTAGTAAAATTTAAAAATAAAGTAAATAATAAATAAGCAGTACCCCAATTGGAAGAATTTGGTACATTTGAAGTGTCATTTGATGGTCACTAGATGTATGCTGTGAAATCTGTCCTGATTACTTTTGTTCCCATTGCTTCTCTAATTGAAAAGAGTTCCATCCTGTGCTTTCACTCAAACTCTATTCATTCTTGATGGACTGTCAAATTCACTCCCAATTACAGTCCTACCATTAGATATTTCCTATGATCAGTCATCTTTATCTGCCTCTGGAATCCCATGAAAGATTGCTAACACTCCTTTGCGGTGTTTCAAATCAGTATTAACTGGTTGCTTATTATGCAAATATCCACAAACAGCCAAATATATACAAATAATACATACATAAAATATAGTTAAGGCCCTAATGAGATTCTCTCTTCCTCTAGGACAGATATCATGCCTTGCTCTTGTCTGCCTACTCTTTCCTTAGTGTTATACACATAAGCAATATTCAAAATAAAGTAGCCTGCTGACTCATTTAATAAATTGAGTGTATATGTGCTACTCAAAATAAGAATTTATTAAATGGCTATAATTCATTGGTTGAACATGAAAACACCTGAAGGAGAACATATTTATATGCATTCTATGACAATTATGCAGATACAAACACAAGTTAAAAATTGTATTCCATTCATGCATTTATGAGTGAACCAAGCAAATTATACAACCAGTCGAAAGAGAATGCAAAACACACACACATTTATAGATCAGGAATATTGAAAGATTATACAAACGGAGGCAAACACGCTTTCCATTGGAGATATTAATAGATTGTTGAAAAAAGTCTATTGAACCTCTACCAGACAAGACACGATTTGCATGTCTATAGATAGGAATTATTTTTATGTTACTATGAGATATCTACAACTTAAAGAGTTTTAAAATATCTCAAAGACAATGAAAGATAAGAATCAGATTACCCAGGTGGATGTCCTGTGGACAGGACACATGTGAGCACAAATTTCTCTCTGTCACTGAAGTCAGCCTTTCTGTATGGGTTAAATGAGTTGAAGTTGAATGGTTTATAATGTTATTTATTAAAACAACAAGACATGCATCATGTATTATAGAAAGTAATACATGCATGTTCTTATGTTTTATTTTTAAGTGCTATTTTATCTAAATTTAACAATATTTGTAACATATACATGGCAAACATTCTCCAACATTTTCTCTGCTCTTTGACTTTTATTTTTTGATATCTAGAAGACTTAATGTGTATATCACTAAAACAATCAGTGAATCCCCTCTCTTATGCTTTTATTTTGTTTATTGTTGTTGAAGAACTTGACTCTCATTCTCAATGAACGGAAGAACACTTACAAATATTTATTGTGGTTTGTCAAATTTTTTATTCTATTACATATAATGCTGTGATTCACGTGGAAATTATTTTGATACAGAAATTGTCAGGATTGAACTAAATATTTTCTTGATAATTAACTAAATGCTCTCCAACAAATGACTTATCCTTACTGCATTAATAAAAATGTAATTTTGCTTGTATACTCAGAGGAATAACTCACTGTTTTAATGTGTTTGTATGTGTGTGTTAGGTATAAATAATGAGTAACAAAGGTTTGTCTCATTGTATGTGTTCATGATTTCTACATGATTATGTATTCATGGCTGATTGCTTTTTATGCAAATTCATTTTTACTAATTATTGAAAGTAGATGGGATATAAGGTAATCTTTATTGCTAATTTTATTCTTTGTAATAGAAAGTAACCTTCAATTTTTATTCAAAATATTAGTTGAATTTGACAATATACTCAATTGATATCAACATATTTCTATATGTAATCATGGCATCAAGATTAATATGTGATCTTTTCTTTCTGTTCAATGTAAAATGATGAAATTAACCCTTTTTATTTTGTCTAATATCTGCTTCTCTCATTTTCTGTGTTACTAGTTTTACCTGTAGTGTTTTTGGACATAATGCATTATTTTTAAATACTACCTTAAAGTATATTATTTTTTCAACATTTTAGAAAGGTTTTGTGCGCATTGTTTTTTATTGCTTCATAAATAACTGAAATAATTTTATTACTTTTATATGGGTAAAGTCTTGACTGGAGAAAGAGTTCAACAATACTGACCATCTTATTTCAAATCCCCTTAGGCCAATGGGCAGGTATGTAATAATAAATAAATAAATAATAAATAAACTCAATCTCTGAAGTTAGTCAGACTTAGAGGTACAACCTCCTTTCACCACATAGTTTGTCTCTCACTTCTGAGTGGCTTGATCTTATTTATATTTTCTGCAAAGTATTAACTAATTTCTCCTTTGTCCTTGATTTCTACATTTGCTAAGCCAGTTCTGGTTAGCGTATTTTATTTTTTGTTCCTCAGAGTGGCAGTGTTTTTTTACATGTTGGTTTAGCTCACTTGGAATATAATGAGCTTTTTGCCTCTGAAAGTTCAGGGTTTTCTTCATCTAAATAAAGTTCATCTTGTTTGTTTTCTATTATTTCTTTTATTGTGATTCATTAACATTACTAGTTTTTTCTTTAGGAAACACAAATTTTTTCTTTTTACTCTCTTGTCCTCTTTTTGATAGCTAATACATTCTTAGTTGGATTTTCTTTTATGTTTATTTCTGTTTTCGCTAGAATATTTTCATTTACTTATCTTCCTTTATTATAATATCTAGCTGTCTTTGTATTTCTGCTTTTTTCTTAGTCAACACATTTTCCCCATCATTTCAGGCCTTAGTATCTCTTGTTTTTAGCTCTAATTTTATTAAGTTCATAATTTATATGACTGATTTTGAGAGCACAAGGCACGTGCTGTTCAAAAAAGAAATGGATTTTCTTGAGTAAATATTTTCCAGAGATAGGATCTCTGTTCGACTCTGGAATATCATATTTTTTCTATAAAATTTTACTAAATATTTTCATGGGCCCAATTTGGTTTGTTTTATTTTTATTGATTCAATAAACATTTATTCAGTTCCACTATTTTCCAAAACAAACATAGATTAACTTTCTTAGTATCCCTCTAAAGAAGTAATTGGACTCTGTTCCAACATACGTCAGGTACTATATGATGCAATGAGGATGCCCCAGGAGGAACAGGGAGAGAGAGGTGTCTCACTGGTGAGTTTCTCTTTGCCTTCCATTTTGGCAAGACTGCTGTATTTTCTTTATGGCTCACCTTAATAAGGTGGGAATGTTGACATTTGGGAAAAAAAACACAATTTTTCATTCCCCCTGCTGGGATAAGCATTTGCTGAGTGTATTAATGCATTATTTTCTACTGTACAGTTAATACCAAAGCATTTAATAAAAAGCCAGAGAAGTCAAAGGAAATGCTCCATGCCAGGCATTGCCAGCAGTGTTGATATTGGTTATTTTTATTTTACCCTGTTTCCTTATTTTCCTTGAAATGAATTTGGTGTCTGGGGTCTTCAATCAAGCTGGTTTTGTACATTTTTACGCCCAGGAGTGTGCCTTTAGATTTCTTGTGATGTTTTAGAAATGATGGCTTTTCTCTTTTAAAAATATAGTAATTTTATTAGAACTCAGGAGGAAAATAAACTAGACATCTGTCCTCAAGTGTACATAATACCCAGGGATGCACTCAATCTTTCTTCTATTTTAATTCCAACTGGATTGAAGGGAGCCAGACATATGCATTTTTAAATCACTTTTTATGATTTTTTTCTCAAGTTGTTGAAGCTAGGTTTTGGGATACATTTAAATAAAGCATTATCATCTCTTCTTAGGTATGTACATCCATAAAAGTTTTGGCTTTGTTTTGCTATATCACACATTATATGCCACATTTTGCTGAAGGAATAACTCTTTTTTTCTTAACCTGGTCACAGACTGCTCAAAAGCACTCTCCCTCTTATGGTTTTGTGTTCATCAGTGTCTTCTACTTATGTTTTGTACTTATAGGATCAGTGGAATATAGACCCTTGCACAGTATCCTGAAATAACTCATAATTTTACATCAGAACATATAACCAGTTTAATTTCAATGCAAAAAAAGAATTTCAGATGCATTAGGTGATGTCCTACCAGTTTGCCCTAATTTTCACAGCCTCCAGAGAACGGGTGAAATGAAATGGAGAATTCAGATGCTGTAACTGCTTCTAGCTACTTTTGCGCCTCAATGATTTTGGATTTTATTAGTGCAATAACACTATTCACAGTTTTTTATAGTATTAAAATATAAATGCATATTATCAGTATTACCAGCTTGATGCTTAAGCATACTTCTCTATTATTTTTAATGGGAAGAGAGTTTCAGCCTCTTAATTAATTTTTATGATCATTGATGATGTGTTGTAAGTAATTCTCTATAGGCAAAACCCACTAAAACAATTATACATAGTTGGTTAGTGCTATCTAATTCCTTCAAGATTAACAACATATCTAAAACTGAATCCATCATTTTTTTATCGCAAATTTCTTCTAGCGATACAGCTCTCAGAAATTATGACCAAAAGGAAAACAGTGATTTATCTTAGATTCTTGTTTTGCCTTCACTCCTACTTCCATAGTGTCCTGGAACAATTTTTAAACACTCCATTATTCTCTAATCCTACTAACATTGCTTTAGTCCAGGACCTAATCTAGCCTTGAGTCTTATTCTTCTAATTTGATGTAGTGAAAGTTAGAAAGCCTAGGGACGGAATGTAAAATGAGAAGAAAGTAAGTCCCAAGGTGGAGACCTGAGGAATGGCACTATAAAGCAGCGAAATGGACAAAGTAGATTATCCAACAAAGACTGAAAGAGTAGTCATGCAACATGAGAACTTAGAAACCATCAATTACATTTAATGATAAATAACAATTTCATCATAGTTGCATGACCAAAAGCTTGGACTAAACAGAATGGGAGTTGAAGAATTAGACTACATGTAGTTTCCTTTTTAAATTTATTTAAGAAATTTTATTAAAGGAAAAGAGAACTGGGGGTGGATATCTGTAAGAACATGTGGGATCCAGCAAGGTTTCTTGTAGCTGCCATTGTTGCTATGATGGGCATTATTAGAACATGGCAGCATGCCAAGGAGGTACAGTGGCTGAAGACTCAGATCACACAGTGGTTGTACAGATGGGCTGGGATTCCTGAAAAAGCAAAAAGTAGGTGGTTTCACCTTTCACAATAGGGCTGTTAAAACTTGAGGAAGGAAGGATGAGTGTACATGAAAATAGAATTTTAGATCTACTGCTGAAATATGAGCAAATTCCCTGTGGCATTATCTATTTTCTCAATGAAAGATCTGATTGCACTGGTAGGCTGAGAGTAACAATCTAGAAGATGAATCAGTTTTAAGAAGAGTGGAGAAAGTAAGCAAGTATTACTGTTGTGTGTGGCAAAGTCTTTGATTTCCAATTTTATTCAAAATTATCTTGAAATAGATATTTTCAAAAATATTATGAAGTGAGAAATCTGTCAATATATTAAGTACTTCACCTATCAACAGCATGTTAAGATATGGTTTGTTAGTCTATATTCCAGACCCAAATGGTCAGTTTTTAATTATAGAATGTTTCCTTGCTCTTTCTTAGTTTCTAGGTTTCTTTTGCTATGTTTTGCTATTTTGACCACATTTTACTTCCTACTTATGTCTTCTGATTTGGGAAGTATGCGTACTATTTTTATGACTGTAGACAAATAATGTAACTTCTCCATGATTCAGTTTCCTCATCTGTATAATGAGAAAAATATTAACATCTGTCTCATATATTTTTAAAAACATTCTATGATATAATATATATAAGGCACATAATAACATGGCAATAAATACTGACTGCTATTATGATTGTTTACCTTTACCTTATTCCTAATTATACAGGGATAGATTTAGCTTTATTTTAGTTATTTTATTTTAATCAAACCTCATTTGTCGGGAAAGTAATATGGAGTTTTAGACACGGAATATTACTTGCTGCAATATTCTTATTTCAATAATTGTTCTGCTCTTTTCTTTGTTCCATACCATGTCGACAATTATTTAGGACAACATATAAACTAGTAAAACTAGTATAACTTTACTAGTAAAACTATTAAAACTGACTTTACTAGTAAAACTAATCAAACTGGTTTTACTAGTATTTAATATACCTCAACTTTTAACCTTTAAAGTTTAGGTAGTTTATGTGATTATTTCAGTTTGTAACTTTAATAATTTTATTTTTAGGATTAACTGGTTTTTTTGAATAATATTAGTAGGAAACATGTATTGCTGCTTTTATGTTTGTGTGCATGTGTCTGCATGTGTGGGTGGGGTGATATATGAGTGAACTTGATCATGTCATGATCAAGACATGACCTTAAATATTAATTGGATTGGATAAACAATTGGTCAATTAATATTGACCTTAAATATTAATTAGACATAGAGTGAGAATTTGCAAAGCATCAGTATTCTATTTGTGAGGAATTGAAAAAGAGAAGGCTGGTAACCACAGTTCTTTCAATGTGTAATAGTTTTTATACAAGCATTTGCTCACTCCAGGAGGAATCTTAGGAGTTTGAGAGACCATTTTAGTTGAGACATTGAGTTTAGTAATGTGTTCAGCCCTGGTTGTGGGAAGAGCATAGCTTTCATGCACTTTATTATTTTTTTTCTGCTTGCAGCTCTATTGAACAGAAATTTGTTATTATGAGAGATTATGTCCTATTAGGTAAATTCCACCATATTATTCACCCACTAAGGGAACACAGCAAATCAATAAAACACCATGTTTTCAGAATACGTATAAAGAAAACATTTAGATTAAACAATAGTCAATTTACTCTGTCTTATTATTTTTGAGATAATACTTATCTTTAGGGGAAAACAAATATGTCACCAGCTTAAATGTATATTACAACGACTAATTCACTGTAGCTTTTGTTTTTCTTTTTCTTCACTAAAAGCTACAAACTACAACTGCCATGCTTCTATTGCCATCTGTATCCTCTTTACTTTTTAAAGAACTTGAACTGGATTTTTATTCATTCATAGTTTAAAAGAGCATGAAACCCCTTAGTGTTATGTCCAACATGATTATCTTATATGAATTATGATATGCTTTATGCTAAATAACACAATTCCTCTTCCCTGGAGAAGAAAACCAATCTTTTCACAGGAAAGGTACTAACATGGCATATCTTAAGCAAGAAGACATTACTCTGCAGCCCAGATTCGTTAACGCAAATTTGATAGGATCGTTAAAAATATCTCTTGTTCAAAGACCATTTAAGCATATTTTAAAGCACTTTTCATTTTAAAATGATACTAAAGGAAGTTTTCCAAGGCAGTTTCAGGGAAGTTGAGTAGTCATATATGGGCATAGCCTCATTCTCTGGCTGCAATTCTGACTGCTCCCAGAACTTCTGGTGCCAAGAATGGAATTACAGAATGCAATCTCACCAATTTACTAGCTGTGTGACCTTGAATAAGTTTCCTAATCTTTCTGAAGCCATTATTTCATTTAAAAATAACTAGTATTTTTGTGAGGACTAAGTGAGGTACTACTCATTCATTTTCCAGCCTCATAACTCGAAAATGTTCATTGCTCTATCTCCTACATGCTCACCCCAACTTCACTTTGCACAGGTTTCATTGTTTTGTCTTTTACTTCCTTAATAATCATACCAACTTGAATATACCAGTGAAACCTCCAACTTAGCAACAACCTAAATCAAATTTATAATCTTTCATATTACCCATGACATATCACTTCCTGCCATATATTAAAATTAATTATCAAGCATGCAATTTCTTGATTCATTGATACTAAAAACAACTGCATGCACTCCTGGCACTCATGGTTTTCAGGCTGTTCTCTCCATGTGAAATTATCTTTCTTTCTCCCTCCTCTCAGTTTGAATCCATGCATTCTTCAGAGAGTAAGGCCAACTTCATTCTTTAGATTTCTTCTGACCTTGCAAATGCATCTGTTGTTAATATCAAAATTTTAAGATTCAATAGAACAATCTGGCTTAACCTGAACACCCAGAGCACAATTACAGGACTGTATCTTTGACTCTATAGACTGCAATACTCTGCATGTACACTTCCCGCAAACATGAAAAGCCATTTATTTTTCTTATTTGGCTTTTATATGAGAAAGCATGTTCTTAAGCACCAAAAAAAAAAAAAAAAAAAAAAAAAAAAAAAAAAAAAAAAAAACTCTTTACCTCTAAGTAAAAGCAGTGTTCAGATAACCCACTTGCACGTCATGAGAAAGGAGAAGGAAGAGGAAACAAGGTAGGCTCGAGGAGCTTTCTGAATAGTGTCATCAGCTGAAGTTTATAAAATTCAGTAAGGTTGATCCAGGTTATGAAACATCTGGGAACTAATTATTAAGAAAATATGTAATAGTGGCTGATTATTAGAGTTACATTGGAGTCTTTTTTAAAAATACAGATTCCAAAAAAAATAAAAAAATAAAAAATAAATAAAAATACAGATTCCATGTTCCACTTCTATAGATTATGATTCCATCATAAATGATAGGTGTGAATATCTGCTTTCCTGGACTGCTTGTAAAGCATAGCTTTCATGACTATTATTTTCTTCTTCTACTTTCAGTTCCGTTGAGTAGATATTTGGATACTTGTGATGAGCAGTCAGCTCAAGATCATTGTGTTAGGACAGGGGTCAATAATTATACTTCAGATGTCGGTGAGATGCATAGTCAAAGCAGCCAGTGGGCACTAGGGGACCTTAGTTCTGAAAGTTTCCTGCATCCTGTGAGACAGGGTCTTCTAATGGTCTATACTAAAACACTTCTTGCTTCTTGTCTCTAAGTCCTTTAACCCCTTTGCATACAAACAATCTTTCTGTATCAGATTCTGTCTGATACCAGCAAGGTCACCTTCTCCAGGTAAACACAGGAAAGCAGGGAGGATACAGTACAGACTTGTGAATTTGATCTCCCCCAGGTTGTATCTGCTAATCTGGGAGGATTAAATAGAGACATGAGTCTAAGGAATTCCAATACCTCCCCATCTCAAAATTAATAATAGTAATAACTGAGAAACAAAATAAAATTTAGAAGTGTATTTTTAGAGAAAAAAAAGGGGAAGATAATAAAATCAATTTCAGAAAGTTTTAGAAGAGCCCACCCCCCAGTTATTGGTGGAAGCTAACATATTCAAAATATACAAATTCATTTCTCTATATTTGTATTCCTTTATGTTTTGTTTTACATTATTCCATGTCATTCTATTCATCTCTGACACATATTTACTTTATGTTACCTGCAAAATCAGTTTTTCTCTGCTACGTTTAATGCTTGCCTTCAGAAAGCAATCTGATATTGCCCAGTCTCAATATTTTTGTGGGATTCAAACTTTTTGCAGTCTTCAAAACAATCCAATCATACAAATCAGCTAATAATAAAAGCTTGTATTATTATTACTACAACTATGACTTTGCCTTTGATTACTAACTTTGCATAGCACTATTTGTCAGATCCTGCCTTAAGCCATTCCAGGTATCCAGTCATTCCAGTTGATAGATATTAATTAATTTCATCATCTCTTTCAGCTGATATCAGCCATACTTCCAGCCCTGCAGACTTTCATAGAGCAGCACAGTGGAGAGACAAATGCAGGACGTTCTCATTAAACTTGAATATCTCGCTTCTGGCAGGCTTGGAGCCAGGCCCCTCCCTATCACGTGAGCAACACAGTCACCCGTTAACCAAAGTAACCTCTTTGGGTTAGTTTTCTGACACTGGCGAGCAAGAAACATCTACCTAATTCACAGATTTAGTCTAAGTTTCAGTGGGCCCATCAGCTATAATCTTTTTGTGTGAAGAGTCACTGACTCATTCAAATAATACTTTTCACAAATTTTATTTCTTTTCTTATTTATTTCTTTTCTTATTTTTAATAGATACAATTGTCCTGTGTTTCGAAAGGCAGAACATTTTTAGAACAAGCACAGTGAAGCTCTCTCCCACACACGTCTCCGCTTCTCATCTCCACCCCGCCACACCTCTCCAACAGCAGGGACCTTTGTTATTAGTTTCTTATGTGTCCTTCCAAAGTACATACAAATGCAAATGCATATATTCTTTTATTTGTTTTATTTCATTTTTTGTTCAGTTTATTGCAGTTAATAATTATTACAGTTAATAACTTTACATATGTATGGGGTATGCTTTTGTGTGTGTGTGTGTGTGTGTGTGTGTGTATGTGTGTGTGTATCTTGAAGCCATTTTAGTATTGCTATTGTTATTACAGTCATCCCTTTGTATCTGTGGGTGGTTGGCTCCAAGACTCCTGAGGATACCAAAATTCAGGGATACTCAAGTCCCTTATATAAAATGGGGTAGTATTTACATATAACCTACACCCCTCCTCTCATAAACTTCAAATAATCTCCAATTACTTATAATACCTAATACAACATGAATTCTATGTAAATATTTGTCATATTGTATCTTTTGCTCTTGATATTTTTTATTCTTGTCTTTTAATTAATTTATTTTTTTAATATTTTTGATCCATGGTTGTTTGAATCCGCAGATGCAGAACCATGGAT
Source organism: Homo sapiens (assembly GCF_000001405.40). Lineage (NCBI taxonomy): Eukaryota > Metazoa > Chordata > Mammalia > Primates > Hominidae > Homo > Homo sapiens. The sequence goes on along the minus strand of NC_000002.12, from coordinate 76,814,455 downwards.
AAGGAGAGTCAAGTGTACATTGTTACAAAATAGATACTCATGTTAAAGAATACAAACAGCCAATAGCTTTTTTCTTCAATAATAAATTAACCTTAGCTTACTACAATTCTTTTACTTTGTAAACTTCTTTAAGCATTTTAACTCTCTTGTTGTAACACTTGGCTTAAAACGCAAACACATTTCACAGCTGTAAAAAGTTATTCTTTCTTTATATCTTATTATATAAGCTTTTTTCTATTTTTCAAATTTAAAATAAACAAATTGAAATAATAAATAGATTGGATGAAAATGGTATTTTACCAAAAACTGTAACCTCATTATAGTCATGAGAACAAGATAAGAAAAATCCCAATTGAGGGCATGTTGAAAAATACTTGACCAGGACTCCTCAAAACGTTCAAAGTCATCAAAAGTAAGGAAAGTCTGAGACACAGTCAGAGCCCAGAGGGGGATAAGGAGATATAAAAGCTAAACATAATGTGGGATCCAGGAACAGGAAAATAAAATTAGATAAAGACTAAGAAAATATAAATGAACTTTACTTAATAATTGCCAAATTGGTTCATAGTTGTGGCAATGTAATACCAGTGCATTAGTAATGTAAGATGGTAAGAATACGTGAAATTGGGTGTGCAATACGGGAACTCTATGTAGTATCTTCACAATCTTTGTGTGAATCTAAAACTATTCTTAAAAAGGTTTATTGAAACAATAACATCCTTTGAATCTGCCTCATCCCACCTCTGCAGAGATAATAAAACCTAAAGCCTATCAATCAGTCCTAATACAAAACTCAAAAGAAAAAAATGTACCAAAAGTTAACTTGGCCTACTTCATCATTTTGTACTGTCTGAGATTATTTTTTTTTACTGTTCGCATGAATTTAGTTTGCACCTAAAATACATAAATTATATATTTTTAAAAAATGAAATAGAAACAGAAAGAATATCACATAAGAACAAAGTAGCAATAAATATTTTTATACTCTGTGTCTTGGGGATCTCCTGTCATGAAATTGTCTTCAGACTTGGGCTTTTATATTTCTCTGACATTAGACAAAGTCAAGCAAGTGCAGGGCTGATAAAAGACATCTTATGAGACATTTGATGAAAGATGGTCCTTGTCTGACAGAAGCAAGATTATACCACTCCTGATGATTTATGTAAAGAAAAATCATTCCTATAAACAATTCCCCAGTGGGGTGATTTCCTGGGTATACCTTTCCAAATGAAATATATACACATATACATGTATTCCTCCTTTAGTGGAGCTGAGGAATTTTTATTTTTTTGAGACAGAGTTTCGCTCTTGTTGCCCAGGGTAGAGTGCAATGGGGTGATCTTGGCTCACTGGAACCTCCACCTCCTGGGTTCAAGCGATTGTCCTGCCTCAGTCTCCCAAGTAGCTGGGATTACGGGTGCCCACCACCATGCCAGCTAATTTTTTGTATTTTTAGTAGAGACAGGGTTTCACCATATTGGTTGAGGAGTCTTTTTTTTAGAGAAAATGGGCAAACGTTCTCACAATCTGACTTGGAAAAATCCTATTTCAATGTATAAATTCAGTGTGGCCACTAATGATAATTAAATATTAATATCATCTTTACTAAGGCACATAAAAGCTGCCTTAATGCAAGAGGAAGAATAAGGAGGAGGAGGGGGGGGAGGGAGAGGAGGAGGGGGAGGGAGAGGAGGAGGAGAAGGAGGGAGAGGAGGAGGAGGAGGAGAAAAAGAGAAAGAAAAAGAAATAAAGAAAGAAAAGAAAGAAAGAAAGAAAGAAAGAGCTTATTTGTAACAGTCTCCTTCATAGGAAAGTGTTGGGGCTGGAAGCAACCCATCTATAACCTAAAGCCAATAATTATACTGAATTAAGTGTCTCTTGGTAATACAGGCTCTTATCAAACCCATGCTGAGCCTATTAAATCTCATTTCAATCTTAGCAAGTATTCCCAGTCAATTTAAACCACAGTTTAGCAAGCTGCCACTCTCAGGCCTTCCCAACACTCTCTTAAGAATGGAGAATTTACTGCCAGGGCCATTACACCTATCAGCATTTGTTAACCACTATTCCTTCTCAGAGAGCATTTCATTGGTTAGTGGCCAGGAAAACACTCAATGAAGTTTTCATTCTGTCAGTTCTTCTATAGTGCCAGGCATATACATAATATAATTAAACATCAAAGAAGTTTATGTGGTGTTTAAGTGACTAGAATGGATCCTAGATCTGAAAATTGGATTAGATATATGGGGTAGGAGGAAGCATGCATTGTTTCATTCCTCCTTCCAGACCTCAAAGGCTTCCACTAGCTGTGTTTATTATTCAGTTACCCTATAAATTTTTCTTAGTGCTTTATGAAGTTCAAATAACTCCATCTATCAAAAGGAGTATAAGTTATTTTAATGTTTTATTGCTCCAGGAAAAAAATAAACTCAGTGTTTGAAATACAATTCTTAGGAAACATATTTAGTATAATGGGAGTATGGAAAAGGGGCTTAACATAAGAAAAGTAAAGGAGTAAACCTATTACATAATAAAAGCAATGAGTAAGATCTAGGAAAGAAATTCAGTTTTACATGTTTTCCTATCCTTCATCCCTGCAAATTTCTAATCTTCCTACTTGAAGGCTTGCTTTCGGCTCTTGAGAATTTGGATTCTAATTGGCTGCCTTCTGTTGTTCAGGACAGGTAAAATAAAAATGAGATGACTTTGTTCAAAAATTATTTCATAGAGCAAACATGGGACCCTTCTAAAGATGGGTGCACAAGTCATACATACATGAAGTCAGCCCTTTTGGTGTTTACAACTCTCTTATGCTAACCCTTGCATTTTACATAAACACACTCACCTGCTGACATGTACATGGCAGAAACAAGGTAGACCTCCTGACTGAAATGAGAGCCAAAGGGAATAGGTTTTTCCATCAGATGAATGGCCTTAGCTAAGCTTGCAATGTAGAGTAGAGGCGATGGTCTGGCTGCCACCTCTGAATTCTCAGACAGCTTGATTTCCTCCCAAGAGTCCCCAGCCAATGTTGTTTTGTCCTTGCTCACACTTTCCTCTTCAAAATGCCTATTCATCCATCTTGGACCTTCAAGCCTCTGCAAGCTGCTTTGTAGCAACTACATAATTGGATAAAATACAAAGGCAAAAGACCTACAGGGTGCTAATGTTTATTTTTTCTCTGCTAAGATTAATTCATGCACTCTTGAAAACATATTCATTGGGTGCCTATGTCAGGAACTCTATATTTAAGCATGTTAGTAATAACCTTTTGCAGCAAAGCCTTAACAGAAAGAAGTTAACTATGGAAATTCCAGGGTTCATGGCTGGTAAAAGGTAAGGAGGAGGCTAAAGTGTGGTGCTGCACAGGGTGGGGTGAGGGGACTTGGTTAGAATAAGGACTTTTCATTTTCCTTTCTATATTTCAATTAGTCACATCCAAACATCTGATTTGTTTTCAGTGAATCTAGTTATTAACTTTTTTTTTAACCAGTGGTTACAATATCACCAGGTGTGCTATTGAATAGTATGGTATTTCTCAGAATAACCCACAGTATGTGTCAATGGTAAGATAGTGTGTAATGTTGTGTAATAACTAGAACTAAACCTCTTAAATTTTAATTCCTTGAGAAAGCACATTCACAGGTAATCTCCATGCTTTTATTGTTTAGCCAATGATTTCAAAGCACCTTTTCATTAAGGGGCCAATAATCCTACTGAAGCAGGAACTTTAATATTTTAGTAAAACAAATAGAAACTAAATAAGGAAGTTAAGTTACAGCAGGTTAAAAACCATAGACTTTTATATTTGGAATATAATTTCTATAGATTTTAAGACTTCTTGGCAAAAGGAACATATTTAGACATTTTTTGTTTATTCATTAACCTGTATTAATACCTCACTATGCAGCAGGCTGTTTACATAAATGATCTCAAAACAATTTTATCAATAATAGCTAATATGCTAAAACAAGCACCTATTCTTACAAGCAAATCAAAAACATAAGAGCAAAAATAATAAAACTCAGTGTGATAAGATTATAAGAAAACAGTTATTCTATTTTATATCCTTTTGGTGAAATTAGGTTATATTCTTTTGGTGGAAGCATAAATTAGAAAAATCTGTTATTGAGGATAATCTTAGAAAATGTTCAAATTTTAAAAATAATTTGCTTTTTAGAATTTACCCTTAAGACGTAATCAAGAATTGGAATTGTCACTTACAAGAAAAAACAAAAACTGTTCAATTAAAGGAGAATTGTTCATCAGTTAGTGAGTGAGTGTGAAGTGCCACTCATTTTCAAGATGTTGGGAATATAGTGATTAACAAAAACTGAAAATATCTCTGTCTTCATTTCATTTACATTCTAGTAGGGGATGTAGAAAATAAAATGAGTAAATCAATATGGAACATAATATCAGCTGGTGATACATGCTATGAAGAAATGTAAAGCAGAATGGAGAACAAGTCACAGCTGATGAATTTTTTTTATAGGTTGGTCAGGGCAGGAGTCTATGAGGTTTGAATAGGAACTGTATAAAGTGAGGAAAGGTACCATGAAGCTATCTTGGGAAAGGTCTAACATCCAGAAAAAACAGAATGTCCAAAGACACTCAAAAGCAAGCTCAGCATGTCCAAGGATTATTAAGCAAGTAACTGTGGCTGGATCCACATGAGAAAGCAGAGAAAAGAAATACATCAGGAAGGCAGCAAAGGCCACTCGTCCAGGTTCTTGTAGGCCAAGGTTTGTATTTGGTTTTTATTTTCAGGGTGATGGTATGGCATGGCAGACACTAAGCAGAAGAGTGCATGGTCTGACTTACATTTAACCAAAGGTAGGGGAGGCAAGAATGGAAGAAGAGAAATTGCTCTCATAGACAAGACAAGAATTAGTGATTGCCTGGCTGAGGGATTAGCAGGGGAAGGGTAGGAAGTATGTAGGTTACAATTTTTCCCCCCAGTAAAGTTACTAGGATTTTCTGAGAATTGGATGTAGTTTATGAAAATGAAGAGTCATGGAAGAGTCCATGGTTTTAGTCCTGAGCACTTAAAAGAAGGAGCTGACATAACTGATAAGGGAACACTGGGGAGGGGGCGAGTGGGAGTGAGGGACTGCAAACATCAAAGTCCACACTTAGAAAAATACTGAATAAAAATGGAAACCATTAAAGCTATTTTATAAGGTGTAAAGCTTACAACACAAAATGTACAATAGGATTGCATGTATGTGTATGTACAGGAGACTGACCACTGATAAAAGGATGTTAATGTTATTTATCACTGGTTGGTGTCATTATAGCTGACTGATTTTCTTCATCATTTTCTTGTCTATTTTCTAAATTTTTTTTTATACTATAAACATGTGTATTGAATCAGGGGAAAAATCGTTTGAAATAGCTTTGAAGATCATGGAGAAAGATAATTGGGGTAAAATATGGTTGAGAAAACCCAGCTGTTTGAAAATCACTCTAAGCATCTGACAAACACAAAACACAGCTGGTGTGGAGGACAGAGATATGATATAATTTGAATTCTTTACTGTCTCTGCTAAAATGGAAAAGAAATGGAGGAAAACATCTTTTTAAAATGGGAAGATTGCCATCTATTTTCTGAGTTGAACTGAAAAAAAAAGTTCAGCAGAAAATGCTCAGCAGTTCCTGTTGTTTCTGAGTTTCCTGATGGAATGTGTTGCAGGAAAGTGGCCTGGCCAGACAACATTCCACCTTATTTGGGCAAGTAATGGCATATTCTAGAATCATCCTACACCAGTTCTAGGAATTTGGAAGTGGACTTCAGAATACTGGTTTTTACCTTTAAGAAAATAAAAGTGTGCTAAAAGATAAAAAATGTTAACAGTAGTTTTGCATATTTGAAAATAGGATAAATTATATATTTGCATCAATAAATAAAAGACAACCCCCAAAATTGTGATTGTGTTTCTTTCGGCATGATTGGATTTCAGGTAGTTCCTGTCTCTCCTTTATAGGTCTATGTATTCTTTTTTTTTTTCCCAAAATCAATGTATATATATTTTCAATGCAGTTGGAAAATATTTTTATTGTGAAAAAGCAATGAATGAACATTATAGGTAATTTTTAAATGAAAGTAAAAGAAAATACATGAATAAGTAAGAAATAATGAAAATAGGCCAGCTGCGGTGGCTCACTCCAGCACTTTGGGAGGTCAAGGCAGGCGGATCACGAAGTCAGGAGTTCGAGACCAGCCTGACCAACATGATGAAATCCTGTCTCTACTAAAAATACAAAATTAGCCTGGCGTCGTGGCGGGCGCCTGTAATCCCTGCTACTGAGTAAGGCTGAGGCAGGAGAATCCCTTGAACCCAGGAGGTGGAGGTTGCAGTGAGTTGAGATTGTGCCACTTGCACTCCAGCCTGGGCAACAAGAGCAAAACAAGAAAGAAAAGAAAAGAGGAAGGAAGGAAGGAGAGAGAAAAGAGACAGAAAGAAAAGAAAGAAGGGAAGGAAGGAAAGAAAAAGAAAAAGAAAGAAAGAAAGAAAGAAAGGAAAGGAAAGAAAGGAAAGAAAAGAAAGAAAAGTAAAGAAGAAAAGAAAATAGGCCGGGTGCGGTGGCTCACACCTGTAATCCCAGCACTTTGGGAGGCTGGGGCAGGCGGATCACGAGGTCAGGAGTTGGAGACCAACATGGTGAAATCCTGTCTCTACTAAAAATATAAAAGTTAGTCAGGTGTGGAGGCACATGCCTGTAATCCCAACTACTCGGGAGGCTGAGGCAGAAGAATCTCTTGAACCTGGGAGGCAGAGGTTGCGATGAGCTGAGATCGCACCGTTGCACTCCAGCCTGGGCAACAGAGTGAGACTTAGTCTCAAAATAATAATAATAAAATAAAGAAATAATGAAAATAAAACTAAATAGAAAATCATGATTATGGCAAACACAAATCCCCAAAGTTGATTTAATTGTATAACTTTGCCTATATATATATATATGTATATATATATATATGTATATATATATGTATATATATATATGTATATACGTATATATATATGTATATATATATATATACGTATATACATATATATATATATATAAAATGAATGTTTATAATGCATATTCTGGGAACATATTTACTTACAACTATCTGTTTCTTCACTATAAAATATTCAGTATTTGTGCCATGCTAAACAATGAGGGCATACCACAATTCACTTAACTTGTCCTTGCAGTTGAAAATTTGTCGTACTTTATAATATTTCAGTGACTATTCCCATAGTCAAACAGTGTTCATTATTTTCTTTGAATCAATTCCATGAAGTAGAATTGTGAAATGACTAAGTAGGGTATTTAGTTCCATATTGGGGTAGGTTTGTAGCAGTTAACACACACCCATGAATGTAGAAGCAGCCTATTTTATTTGATCACACTTCGCCTACAGTGCATGTTACAAAAATGTTTTTAAATTTTCTTCACTGATAATTTGTTGATGTCTCATTAATTTTTAATTGATATTTCTCTGTCTGCCAGTGAATTTTTATATGGCCATAAGTTTATAAGTCATTGGTATTTTTTTATTTATGAAATTCATTTTCAGGTTCTTTGTGCATTTTTCTATTAAGACATTTATCTTTTCTAAGTACCAATATATATTAAAAATCCTAATCGGCTATATGTCATTATAATACATATAAGCTGGTAGATTGATAAACTGTCATTTTCTTTTGAATTTTTACAATATCTTATCACCATTCTAAAATGTAGATTTTAAATTTTATGCACATTTTTAACTTCTCTTTTCAGTATTACTTTGTAATATATTTATTTCAAGTTTATAAAAATGTTCAACTGTTATTCATTTATAAATATGTTTTTTTTCTTTTTAAAAAAAATGTTTTGAGACGGGGTTTTCCTCTTGTTGTCCAGGCTGGAGTGCAATGACGTGATCTTGGCTCATTGCAACCTCCGCCAGCTGGGTTCAAGAAATTCTCCTTCATCAGCCTTCCAAGTAGCTGGGATTACAGGCGTGCGCTACCACGCCCTGCTAATTTTGTATTTTTAGTAGAGACGGGGTTTCACCACGTTGGTTAGGCTGGTCTCGAACTCCTGACCTCAAGTGATCCACCATCCTCAGACTCCCAAAGTGCTGAGATTACAGGTGTGAGCCACCGCACGGGCCGGTTTTATTTTTCATATATGCATCTGGTTTAAGATGTTCAAAATGACATCTTCTAATTTTACAGTTTAAGGTAGGTTCCACTTTTCCTTTTTCTGAGTGCCTAGTTATTTGTTTAATAAAGCCCTTTCCCACTCATTTGAAATATCAACCTCATTGAAAACTGAATTCTTATTGTGCTTAAATATGTTTCTAAGTTTTGTATTCTGCTTTCAATATTTTGCCTTGTTCTGTACGTGCATCTTAGTTTCGTTGATTGTAGCTGTAATAGGCTGAGTACTGGCCCCCAACAATATCAGGTCCCAACCCCTGGAACTGTAAGCCTAGGGTTCTTGTGGTCCTTCGAGATAGAAATCAGGTGAGACCACAATAACAGAGATAGAGAAAGATTTATTAGAGCTTGTGCCTAAGGGAAAACAGCACCTCTAAGGGAAAGAGGAAGGCTACTCCCCAAAGTCAGGATGTGAGGTGTTTGTTTGTTTGTTTGTTTGTTTTATGGAGGTCTGCAGTAAGGGGAAGTAAGAGGAACTACCTTCAAGGCACTTAGAAGTGGGTTTTCTTTCTGGTGGATGCGTGATGGTTTAACATACTGCTTCATACATGGTATGCGTCATTAGTATCTTAAATCTCAACTCTGGTTTAGCATTAAACTAAAGAAAAGATCATTATGAATTGCCCTAAAAACATTAATTTAAATGAACACTCAATTAAGTATATGCTTCCTTGTTCTCACTGGTAGAAGGAGAATTTAATATATTTTCAGTAGGTTTGATCTACATGATGTATGTCCTAAATTTCTGATTGTACTAACTCTTTGTCACTACAGCAAATCTTCAATATGTTTAAATATATGTTACTTGAGCCCCTGAATATTTCAGAACCTCTTTTGTCACCTTTATATAAAATGATAGTTTATTTAAGTAGTTTTTTCTTTTAAAAATCAATGGTTTATCCCATTATCCCTTGCTTTTCACTGGCTGTGGCAGACAAATTGATGCCAACACAATTTTGGTTCCATCATAAGTAAATGTACCTTTCCCCTGGCCATCTCAATTGGGATGTTTGTACACAATTTTTTAGGGCTTTTTCCCACAAGTGGAATTTCATTAGGATATTCTCCACTCATTAAAATTATAGACCATCCAACCTCTAAACAAAGAGGTTAAGGGCCTTGATTCCTGTCTCCATGAGGCTTCAATCTTCATTAAAAGTTTAAGTAGCTTTTCAAGAGGTTTTGAGAAGAACGGGCTTTGTCAGGCCAAAAAATAAAAAATAAAACAAAGGTCATAGTCAATCTCCCGCTTTATGACAATGGGTGCCTATTCATTTTTATCATAAATGACAGGCAACTCAAATATTTAGAAAATTGTCAAAGTTCTGCTATTTAGTGATATGATTTTCTATATTCACCTAAATTATCTTGTGGCAGGCTTTAAAAAAATCTATTAACAAATCAAACTTTGAGCAGTTTGAGAAGTGCTTGTCTGTTTAATAATTTGTTATAAAACAATGATATATATATAAAACATGATATATATATTGTTATAAAACAATGATATATATATAAAACATGATATATCATTGTTTTATATATACATCAATGTATATCAAATATATGTATAAATATATATTTTTTATACTATATATTTACTATATATATAGTATATATATGTACAAGATACTATGCATATGTATAGTATGCATAGTATCTTGTACAGATGTACCCAGTGGAAATGATAAAATATTTTAACAGGGCATGAAAAAGGGCATCAGCCGGTTAAAATAGATACACCAAAAATCAGGACAGAATATGGCTGATACTTAGATGTGTCATAACTTATTTATCCAGTCCTGTATGGTGAATAATCTCCAGTGTTTTCTGTTTATGAATAACACTGAGAAGCTGTGTGTGTGTATGTGTGTTCTCATGTTTTCAAATAAAATTTCAAGCAACGCAATTATCAAATCAAAAGGTAGACATATAACAAGTTTTGATACATAGTCCCAAAGGATTCTTGAGAAATAACAAATTAAAAAATCTCAGAATACAATAGAATGCCTGTTTCTACATAATATCTTCAACAAAGGTATTATCACTCTGTGTCAGGGGTGCCCAAGACCATCTCCAGGTTTAGTAGGAAGACTTGGAGGACTCAGCATGTAGTCACACTCACAGGTCCAACTTACTGCAGCAAAATGGCACAAAGCAAAGAAAAACAGCACTCGGAGTAACTTTGTAGGAAACCAGGTGCAAGCTATCAAGAGGCTGTCCCAGAGTAACACAGAAAGTGCTTAATTCCTCAAGCAATGAGTTGTGACAACACATGGGAAATGTCTACAAGAAAAGCTCACTAGAGACTCAGTCTTCAAGTTTTTGTTGCGTGCTAGTCATGTAGGTACCCTCTATCCAGCACATATTCAAATTTCAGACTTCCACAGGAAAATCAGGTTTTTGGCATAGCATAAAACATATTGTTTGTACAGATGTTTCAGGGACCGTGAACCACTGTTATTAGTTATGGTGAAGGAAACCTTCACAATATCCAAGTTCCCAGATGCCAGCCAAGTGTTAACCCTTGTAACTTGTAGGCAGGATCTTATGAGGATAGCATTTGTAGACATGCCATGTTAACTCTTTTCTTCAAATACTCTTTAAAAAATTACTCTTTAAAAAGCTTTTCACTGATTTTATTTCCTTTGGATATGTACCCAGTAGCGGTATTGCCGAATCATCTGTTAGTTTTATATTTAATTTTTTGAGAAACCTCTATATCCTTTTACACATTGGCTATACTGATTTACATTCCCATCAACAGCGTACAAGGGTTTGCTTTTCTCCACAACCTCGCCAAAATGTACTTTTTTGTCTTTCTTATAATAGCCATTTTACCAGGTGTAAAGTAATATCTCATTTTGGTTTAAATTTGCATTTCCCTGATGATCAGTAATGTTGGGCATTTTTGCATATATTAATTGGCTATTTGTTTGTCTTATTTTGAGAAATGTCTATTCAGATTCTTTGCCCATTTTTAAAATCAGGTCATTTGTTTTTTGCTATTGAGTGGTTTGAGTTCCTTATATATTTTGGATATTAACCCTTGATGATATAAGTGGTTTGCAAATACTTTTATCCTGGAGATTGTCCCTTCACTCTGTCCCTGGCTATGCAGAAGTTTTTTAGATTGATATAATACCATTTGTCTATTTTTGCTTTAGTTACCCATACTTTTTTGTTCATATGCAAAAAATAAAAATAAATCATTACCCAGACCAATCTCATGGAGCTTATCCCCTGTTTTCTACTACTTGTTTTATAGTATCAGGTCCTACATTTAAGTTTTCAATCAATTTTGAGTTTATTTTTGGGTATGGTATAAGAAAAGAATCTAATTTCATTTTTCTGCAAATGAATATCCAATAGCCCCAACACTATTTATTGATGAGCGTGTCCTTTCTCCATCGTGAATTCTTGGTCCCTTTGTCAAAAACCAATTGACTGTAAATATGTGGATGTATTTCTGAGTTCTCTATCCTATGTGTCTGTTTTTAATACCAGTATTGTGCTGTTTTGATTAGTATAGCTTTGTAGTATACTTTGAAGGAAGTCAGGTAGTATGATACCTCCAGCTTTGTTCTTTTGGACCAAGATATTTTGGATCTTTGGGATCTTCTAGGGTTCCATATAAATTGTACAATTCTGTTTCCTATTATGTGAAAAATGCCATTGGAATGTTGATAGGGATTACATTGAATCATTTGTAGTAGTATAGACATTTTTCCGGTTTCCATTCTTCCAATCCATGAACACAGGATATGTTTCCATTAATTTGTGGCCCTTTCCATTTATTTTATCAATTATTTTTGTTTTCAGTATATAGATCTTTTACCTCACTGGTTAAATTTTTTCCTAAGACTATCTTGTAGATATTGTAAATGGAATAGTTTTCTTGATTTCTTATTTGTGTAGTTTGTTGTTAGTATATATAAATGCTAGAGATTTGTGTATTTTGCTGTTATATCCTACAACTTTACTTACTTTATTTATTCTAACAGTTTTTTTTTTTTTTGGTGGAGTCTTTAGGATTTTTTGTATATAAGATCATGTCGTCTGACAATAGGGACAATTCAATTTATTCCTCTCCAGTTTAGATGACTTTTATTCTTTTCCCTTGCCTAATTGCTCGGGCTAGGACTTTCAATACTGTATTGAATAAAAGTGGCAATAGTGGGCATCCTTGTCTTGTTCCTGGTTTTAGAGGAAAAGCTTTCCACTTTTCACCGTTGAATATGATGTTAGCAATGGGGTTGCCATATACTGCCTTTATTCTGTTTAGGTACATTCCTTCTATATCTAATTTCTCAAGAGTCTTTACCATGAAAAGATGTTGAATTTTGTCCAATGCATTTCTGCATCTATTGAGATGATCTTATGGTGTTTGTCCTTCATTGTGTTAATGTGGCATATCACATTTATACATTTTGGTATGTTGACACATCATTGCTTCCTAGGCATAAATCTCATTTGATCGTGGTGAATGATCCTTTTAATGTGCTATTGAATTTAGTTTGCTGATATTTTGCTGAGGATTTTTCATACATGTTCACCAGGGATGTTAACCTGTACTTTTCTTTTTTTTTTATTATACTTTAAGTTTTAGGGTACATGTGCACATTGTGCAGGTTAGTCACATATGTATATATGTGCCATGCTGGTGCACTGCACCCACTAACTCATCATCTAGCATTAGGTATATCTCCTAATGCTATCCCTTCCCCCTCCCCCCACACCACAACAGTCCCCAGAGTGTGATATTCTCCTTCCTGTGTCCATGTGATCTCATTGTTCAATTCCCACCTATGAGTGAGAATATGCGCTGTTTGGTTTTTTGTTCTTGCGATAGTTTACTGAGAATGATGATTTCCAATTTCATCCATGTCCCTACAAAGGACGTGAACTCATCATTTTTTATGGCTGCATAGTATTCCATGGTGTATATGTGCCACATTTTCTTAATCCAGTCTATCATTGTTGGACATTTGGGTTGGTTCCAAGTCTTTGCTATTGTGAATAATGCTGCAATAAACATATGTGTGCATGTGTCTTTATAGCAGCAATGATTTATAGGCATTTGGGTATATACCCAGTAATGGGATGGCTGGGTCAAATGGTATTTCCAGTTCCAGATCCCTGAGGAATCGCCACACCGACTTCCACAATGGTCGAACTAGTTTACAGTCCCACCAACAGTGTAAAAGTGTTCCTATTTCTCCACATCCGCTCCAGCACCTGTTGTTTCCTGCCTTTTTAATGATTGCCATTCTAACTGGTGTGAGATGGTATCTCATTGTGGTTTTCATTTGCATTTCTCTGATGGCCAGTGATGATGAGCATTGATGGTATCTCATTGTGGTTTTCATTTGCATTTTCTGATGGCCAGTGATGATGAGCATTTTTTCATGTGTTTTTTGGCTGCATAAATGTCTTCTTTTGAGAAGTGTCTGTTCATGTCCTTCGCCCACTTTTTGATGGGGTTGTTTGTTTTTTTCTTGTAAATTTGTTTGAGTTCATTGTAGATTCTGGATATTAGCCCTTTGTCAGATGAGTAGGTTGTGAAAATTTTCTCCCATTTTGTAGGTTGCCTGTTCACTCTGATGGTAGTTTCTTTTGCTGTGCAGAAGCTCTTTAGTTTAATTAGATCCCATTTGTCAATTTTGGCTTTTGTTGCCATTGCTTTTGGTGTTTTAGACATGAAGTCCTTGCCCATGCCTATGTCCTAAATGGTAATGCCTAGGTTTTCTTCTAGGGTTTTTATGGTTTTAGGTCTAACGTTTAAGTCTTTAATCCATCTTGAATTGATTTTTGTATAAGGTGTAAGGAAGGGATCCAGTTTCAGCTTTCTACATATGGCTAGCCAGTTTTCCCAGCACCATTTATTAAATAGGGAATCCTTTCCCCATTGCTTGTTTTTCTCAGGTTTGTCAAAGATCAGATAGTTGTAGATATGCGGCACTATTTCTGAGGGCTCTGTTCTGTTCCATTGATCTATATCTCTGTTTTGGTACCAGTACCATGCTGTTTTGGTCACTGTCGCCTTGTAGTATAGTTTGAAGTCAGGGAGTGTGATGCCTCCAGCTTTGTTCTTTTGGCTTAGGATTGACTTGGCGATGCGGGCTCTTTTTTGGTTCCATATGAACTTTAAAGTAGTTTTTTCCAATTCTGTGAAGAAAGGCATTGGTAGCTTGAGGGGGATGGCATTGAATCTGTAAATTACCTTGGGCAGTATGACCATTTTCACGATATTGATTCTTCCTACCCACGAGCATGGAATGTTCTTCCATTTGTTTGTATCCTCTTTTATTTCCTTGAGCAGTGGTTTGTAGTTCTCCTTGAAGAGGTCCTTCTCATCCCTTGTAAGTTGGATTCCTAGGTATTTTATTCTCTTTGAAGCAATTGTGAATGGGAGTTCACTCATGATTTGGCTCTCTGTTTGTCTGTTGTTGGTGTATAAGAATGCTTGTGATTTTTGTACATTGATTTTGTATCCTGAGACTTTGCTGAAGTTGCTTATCAGCTTAAGGAGATTTTGGGCTGAGACAATGGGGTTTTCTAGATATACAATCATGTCATCCGCAAACAGGGACAATTTGACTTCCTCTTTTCCTAATTGAATACCCTTTATTTCCTTCTCCTGCCTAATTACCCTGGCCAGAACTTCCAACACTATGTTGAATAGGAGTGGTGAGAGAGGGCATCCCTGTCTTGTGCCAGTTTTCAAAGGGAATGCTTGCAGTTTTTGCCCATTCAGTATGATATTAGCTGTGGGTTTGTCATAGATAGCTCTTATTATTTTGAGATACGTCCCATCAATACCTAATTTATTGAGAGTTTTTAGCATGAAGGGTTGTTGAATTTTGTCAAAGGCCTTTTCTGCATCTATTGAGATAATCATGTGGTTTTTGTCTTTGGTTCTGGTTATATGCTGGATTACATTTATTGATTTGCGTATATTGAACCAGCCTTGCATCCCAGGGATGAAGCCCACTTGATCATGGTGGATAAGCTTTTTGATGTGCTGCTGGATTCGTTTTGCCAGTATTTTATTGAGGATTTTTGCATCAATGTTCATCAAGGATATTGGTCTAAATTTCTCTTTTTTGGTTGTGTCTCTGCCAGGCTTTGGTATCAGAATGATGCTGGCCTCATAAAATGAGTTAGGGAGGATTCCCTCTTTTTCTATTGATTGGAATAGTTTCAGAAGGAATGGTACCAGCTCCTCCTTATACCTCTGGTAGAATTCGGCTGTGAATCCATCTGGTCCTGGACTCTTTTTGGTTGGTAAGCTATTGATTATTGCCACAATTTCAGCTCCTGTTATTGGTCTATTCAGAGATTCAACTTCTTCCTGGTTTAGTCTTGGGAGAGTGCATGTGTCCACGAATGTATCCATTTCTTGTAGATTTTCTAGTTTATTTGCGTAGAGGTGTTTGTAGTATTCTCTGATGGTAGTTTGTATTTCTGTGGGATCGGTGGTGATATCCCCTTTATCATTTTTTATTGCATCTATTTGATTCTTCTCTCTTTTCTTCTTTATTAGTCTTGCTAGCGGTCTATCAATTTTGTTGATCCTTTCAAAAAACCAGCTCCTGGATTCATTAATTTTTTGAAGGGTTTTTTGTGTCTCTATTTCCTTCAGTTCTGCTGTGATTTTAGTTATTTCTTGCCTTCTGCTAGCTTTTGAATGTGTTTGCTCTTGCTTTTCTAGTTCTTTTAATTGTGATGTTAGGGTGTCAATTTTGGATCTTTCCTGCTTTCTCTTGTGGGCATTTAGTGCTATAAATTTCCCTCTACACACTGCTTTGAATGCGTCCCAGAGATTCTGGTATGTTGTGTCTTTGTTCTCGTTGGTTTCAAAGAACATCCTTATTTGTGCCTTCATTTCGTTATGTACCCAGTAGTCATTCAGGAGCAGGTTGTTCAGTTTCCATGTAGTTGAGTGGTTTTGAGTGAGATTCTTAATCCTGAGTTCTATTTTAATTGCACTGTGGTCTGAGAGATAGTTTGTTATAATCTCTGCTCTTTTACATTTTCTGAGGAGAGCTTTACTTCCAAGTATGTGGTCAATTTTGGAATAGGTGTGGTGCGGTGCTGAAAAAAATGTATATTGTGTTGATTTGGTGTGGAGAGTTCAGTAGATGTCTATTAGGTCTGCTTGCTGCAGAGCTGAGTTCAATTCCTGGGTATCCTTGTTGACTTTCTGTCTCATTGATCTGTCTAATGTTGACAGTGGGGTGTTAATGTGTGGGAGTCTAAGTCTCTTTGTAGGTCACTCAGGACTTGCTTTATGAATCTGGATGCTCCTGTATTGGGTGCATATATATTTAGGATAGTTAGCTCTTCTTGTTGAATTGATCCCTTTACCATCATGTAATGGCCTTCACTGTCTCTTTTGATCTTTGTTGGTTTAAAGTCTGTTTTATCAGAGACTAGGATTGCAACCCCTGCCTTTTTTTGTTTTCCATTGGCTTGGTAGATCTTCCCCCATCCTTTTATTTTGAGCCTATGTGTGTCTCTGCACGTGAGATGGGTTTCCTGAATACAGCACACTGATGGGTCTTGACTCTTTATCCAATTTGCCAGTCTGTGTCTTTTAATTGGAGCATTTAGTCCATTTACATTTAAAGTTAATATTGTTATGTGTGAATTTGATCCTGTCATTATGATGTTAGCTCGCTCTTTTGCTGGTTAGTTGATGCAGTTTCTTCCTAGTCTCGATGGTCTTTACATTTTGGCATGATTTTGCAGCAGCTGATACCGGTTGTTCCTTTCCATGTTTAGTGCTTTCTTCAGGAGCTCTTTTAGGGCAGGCCTGGTGGTGACAAAATCTCTCAGCATTTGCTTGTCTGTAAAGTATTTCATTTCTCATTCGCTTATGAAGCTTAGTTTGGCTGGATATGCAATTCTGGGTTGAAAATTCTTTTCTTTAAGAATGTTGAATATTGGCCCCCACTCTCTTCTGGCTTGTAGGGTTTCTGCTGAGAGATCCGCTGTTTGTCTGATGGGCTTCCCTTTGAGGGTAACCCGACCTTTCTCTCTGGCTGCCCTTAACATTTTTTCCTTCATTTCAACTTTGGTGAATCTGACAATTGTGTGTATTGGAGTAGCTCTTCTCGAGGAGTATCTTTGTGGCATTCTCTGTATTTCCTGAATCTGAACGTTGGCCTGCCTTGCTAGATTGGGGAAGTTCTCCTGGATAATATCCTGCAGAGTGTTTTCCAACTTGTTTGCATTCTCCCCATCACTTTCAGGTACTCCAATCAGATGTAGATTTGGTCTTTTCACATAGTCCCATATTTCTTGGAGGCTTTGCTCATTTCTTTTTATTCTTTTTTCTCTAAACTTCCCTTCTCGCTTCATTTCATCTTCCATTGCTGATACCCTTTCTTCCAGTTGATCGAATCAGCTCCTGAGGCGTCTGCCTTCTTCACTCAGCTTGTCAAAGTCATTCGTTCTGTTGATGGTGAGGAACTGCGTTCCTTTGGAGGAGGAGAGGTGCTCTGCTTTTCAGAGTTTCCAGTTTTTCTGTTCTGTTTTTTCCCTGTCTTTGTGGTTTTTATCTACTTTTGGTCTTTGATGATGGTGATGCACAGATGGGATTTTGGTGTGGATGTCCTTTCTGTTTGTTAGTTTTCCTTCTAACAGAGAGGACCCTCAGCTGCAGGTCTGTTGGAATACCCTGCCGTGTGAGGTGTCAGTGTGCCCGTGCTTGGGGGTGCCTCCCAGTTAGGGTGTTCTGGGGTCAGGGACCCACTTGAGGAGGCAGTCTGCCCATTCTCAGATCTCCAGCTGCATGCTGGGAGAACCACAGCTCTCTTCAAAGCTGTCAGACAGGGACATTTAAGTCTGCAGAGGTTACTGCTGTCTTTTTGTTTGTCTGTGCCCTGCCCCCAGAGGTGGAGCCTACAGAGGCAGGCAGGCCTCCTTGAGCTGTGGTGGGCTCCACCCAGTTGGAGCTTCCTGGCTGCTTTGTTTACCTAATCAAGCCTGTTCAATGGCGGGCACCCCTCCCCCAGCCTGGCTGCCGCCTTGCAGTTTGATCTCAGACTGCTGTGCTAGCAATCAGCGAGGCTCTGTGGGCGTAGGACCCTGCGAGCCATGTGCGGGATATAATCTTGTGGTGTGCCGTTTTTTTAAGCCTGTCTGAAAAGCGCAGTATTCGGGTGGGAGTGACCCGATTTTCCAGGTGCAGTACATCACCCCTTTCTTTGACTCAGAAAGGGAACTCCGTGACCCCTTGCGCTTCCCAAGTGAGGCAATGCCTCGCCCTGCTTCGGCTCGCACATGGTGCGCGCACCCACTGACCTGCGCCCACTGTCTGGCACTCCCAATGAGATGAACCCGGTACCTCAGATGGAAATGCAGAAATCACCCGTCTTCTGCGTCGCTCACGCTGGGAGCTGTAGACAGGAGCTGTTCCTATTTGGCCATCTTGGCTCCTCCCTTCACTTTTCTTTTCTGATAGTGCCCTGATCTGGCTTTGGTGTCAGGGTAATGTTGGCCTCATAAAATGAGTATCCAAAGGAAACGACATCAGTATGTAGAAGATATAGCTACATTCCCATCATGTTCATTGAAATGTTATTCATAATAGCCAAGAGATGGAGTCAACCTGTGTCCATCAATGGATGGATAAAGAAAATGTAGTGTGTGTGTATGTGTGTGTGTGCATATATATGCACATGTATATATGCATATACATGTATATGCATATGGTATATATGTAGTGCTCTCATATTTTAAATACTCACCAGATTATTAACACCTACACAATGTAAATTCTGTGTATATAGTCATTACAATGTTTTATTTAGGAAATAATGACAGTAAAAAATCTTTACATGTTCAGTATAGACTTTTTGTTAATTGTCTTATATAAAGTTGGTTAAATTCATGGATATAGAACTCACAGACATGAAAGATGAACTACATATATATTTCAAAACAAGATATTGTACACAATAAGTATATGAAATTTGTATTTGTCAATTAAAAATGATTTTTAAAGTACAAAACACACTTTTCATTAATTTAATTTCTTTGGTTATTTGTGGATTCGGGCACCTTTTTCTATGTTTGCTGATCATTGCCTATTCATATATTTTGTCCACTTTAATATTATTGTTAGTAAATCTCTCGGTATTGAGCATGTCATATCTGCCGTCTATGTTAAAGGTATTTTTACTTTAGCTTACTATCTGCCATACAGAAGTATCTTTATTTGCATAAAATCTGGTAATATTTTTCTTTATAGCTTTTAGTGAAGTTACAGCCACCCTTAGATTAAGATATTCTTCTATCAGTGTCTACACACTATTGTTTAAATTTAGCATTTAAATCTTAATTTTTCTACAACTGTGGTTCTTAATCAGAAAAATGTTGGCCCTCTAGAGGGACCTATGGCAATAAGTAGGGTCAGTTTCATTGTCTGACTTGGGGGATTGATGCTACTGGCTCTGGTGGGTACAGTTTGTGATGGTGCTACACATCCCACAAAAGTACAAGACAGTACACCATAGCAAAGAATTAGCCAGTGAAAAATGTCACTAATGTCAAGTTTGAAAAACCCTGCTCTGGAATAAGAAGAAAATAAACAAAAAAATGTAAATACTAGGAAAACAGATAAAATTATTGCTTTTTGAAAATGGTATAGGTGCCTGGTTAGTAAAATCAATAAAAAGCATATAGAATTAATAAAGCAATTCAATTAAGTCTAGATAGAATATAGAAGAGGTGCAAATGTTTGCCTATACCAGTAATAAGTGAAATTTTGAAAGAAAGAAAAAACTATTGTTCACAACTATAACAAAATAGCTGGAATATCTGGTAAAGCCGATTAGTCATATAGCAGTATTTAGGGACTGTAGTGGTATACCCAATCCTTTGTTTTTCCTAAGGTTCACTTTCTTTCCTCTCTGACACATAACTTCCTTTCATACTAATGCAGATATTTGTTATCTCCGATCTAAGGACACAGCTCCTTCTCTCTTCTGAGTATAAGAAACAATCAGGTAATCTAACAAGGTCTGATTCAATAAGCTATAAGCTTACATAGTAATCTCTGGTTACTCTGAAGTAAACTCACCTCTGGCCTACATATGAACTGCTCATCAATCATTCCATAAAATCAAATCTTCGCTCCATGTGGGATGTGGCTCAGGAGACTGACAACCGCTTTTACAATTCTTAGTTCCTGGTTGGACTTCCCTAGCCCAGTTTTGGCTTATACAGATTACTATTAGAGACACACAGAAAAATATTCTCCAAAATGTAAGTGGGACATTGTTGCACCAGTATTTTGAAGTCTTAGAAATCTTTTCTGTGTCCCATAGAAGCAATTACTGTCCCACTAATACTGTATTCCCTAGATCATACGAATTGTATTTGTGACCTTCTTACAGGCTTACAGCAACACAGGTGTTTGTTTCTCAGAGGTCTGAGTTTTATCTGAAATCAGCACTTTGCCTCCTGGATCTCAATTCACTGTTTATAAGTTCATACTGGTGGGCAAAATGTGCCCAATTATGATGAAATGGAAGACACTTTGCAAAGGCTGGCAACCTGTGAATCACTGACTCTTCATCTACCATATCCTGTGTTCCCTCTTTTGCGCTTTTTCCTGGTAGCCCTCAAAACTTAACTTACCGAGAGCACAGTGAAGAGGAGAAAGTTCTACATTATTACCAGGGGGCTTCTCATATAAAAATACAATGTAGCTCTTTGATGCCTAGATATTGTCCACAAATAATTAATCAAAATCCTACTTATCTTAAAGTAGATAGAACAAAGTCAGTCTGAAAAAAAAATACTTGATTCTTTTGCTTTGGAAGTTGATAAACGATTTCAGTAATTGGCCAAAGAGTGAATATTTTAGGATTTGTGGCCAAGAAAATCTATGTCCCATCTACTCAACTCTGTCATTGAATAGCCAGAGGCATTTGTTTGCTAACCCATGACCCACACCCTTGGTATCTAAACACTCTGATACTGGGAAAGGTCAAGGAACAATGAACAATATTGACAACACCAAGAGATGAGTGTTTTCTGTAAAACCTAGAGTATAAATAGGTTACACTATTCACCTCATTCAAGGTACCCCTGGGTCTACTTGCCTAAAGACTTGAGGGAAAATATTAACCTGTAATTCCAAGTTCTATGTGACTTTCAGGAAGTTATTTAATACTGCTAAAGCCTTGATTTTTCTCACTGGCAAGTGTGTAATATTTTCAGAGTAGTAGTAGAAAAGAATCAGTGAAGACTTCCACTTTCCATCAAGACAAAGTAACAGAGACAGGATTCACCCTCCACCCCTAACAACCAAAAACCCAGGGAAAATATATGAAACGATGGTTTTCAGGACAGTGGACATTAAGCAATGCAAGAGTGATCTCGCTCCAGTTTACTGCTTTGAATGTGCTTCCAAGCCACAGTGCAGGAAGTAACCAGATACAAGCTAATTTTCTAAGTTGAGGAGAGAAGGAGTTGAAAGTCCTTAGCGCCTGGCATTTACAGGAAAAATGTACTGAAGTAGGGAGAGTGGCACAAAGAATTCTACAAGTCTATAAGAGGGTCTTCATCTAGTATTCAACAGAGAATTGATCATTAGCAGGAGCAACATTACTACCCATAAAGCAGCTTCTCTTGCATCACACACTTTATTCTCTGATTGTTACTAGAAGAATTAATATAACTTACCTTGTGCCATCAGTATATGATTGAATGTGATACACACACACGCCTTCCTAATATACTACAAACTCTTCAGGAATTGATGTATATCCTTCTATCTTTGGATTACCATAGTTCCCAGCAGAGTGTTTTGCATGAAAGATGTGTCAGGTAGATGATTCCTAGAGTGGAACATTAGCCTTCTATAACCACTTTCCTCCATTTTATTATATTCCTGGTCTCTGGGGGTTGGTATTTAACTTAATGTGTAAAGTGGCAGCCTATGACTTTCATCTTAAACAGTGAAGGTTTTTTTAATGGTTATTTTGTTGTTTTTAAGCCGACTTAACATTTTTTAAATTCTGAAACATAATTATACTACAGGTAAAGTATTGTACCAAAAGCCATGTATATGATCGTCTTTTCTTACTCTGTAAGCTCTCTTTTTTAGGACTAGAAAAACTCTATTTCTCTAACTATGGGCATTTATATTTTAAGTATTCTGCCTGCCTCCAGGTTTGCATGCTTAGATAAATAAGAGCTGACTTTCTTTCTGAAATGGAACAATATAATGGAGAAAACTGGAAAGTAATGAAATTTATGACCCAGATCTGATACAAAAACATGAGTGGGTGATAGGCTAAGCTAGTTAAGAATTTTTTGTCTGGTTTTTCATTTTGCTTTTCCTCAAAAATTCTCTGGGGTTTGAAAGTCTATTTCATATTGGAAACTAGCTTATTACAATGTTTTGACTTGATTTCCTGTGACAAATACTGTTGGCAAAATAAGTAAGTATACCTCTGAAACCTGCAGCCTATCTGCTGTATATCTGTAGAATGTAGTTCTACATGTCGATTCTGTCACCAGTTTGCACTGTGGCATTTCTCCATATGAGGTTATAATAAGTACTGAAATTGTCTTTAACTGGTTCTCACAGCTTAAGAAAGTTTTGTGTATAATTCTGAAGCATTTACTGTGTTTCCCCTTGTCCTGTAAATGGAGTAGGATGAGATTTATTGCTCTCCGAATATTTATGCTCAAGTAGAGGTGTGCCATTTCTTTCCTAAATACTCGAGTCCCTTGTCTTCCTTGTTGTTTCTCAGTATCTAAGTGAAGTTCTTGGATTTTTTCCTCTAAATTCTCTGATAAATCATCTCATAATTATGTATGAAACTTACATTCTAATTTTATAGTCAAAATGCCTTTCACTGAGTTTCAAATCTACAAATCTACATGGGAATGTTGGAGCAAGTGTCTTCAGATAAATGATGGTTCCCAATATTATTGAAATAATCTCAGTAGAGGATGGTAAGGTGCTCTGTGAAGCCTTTTCCACCTGTCTTTGAGTCACGTTAGGGTTTTGGCAAGCCACATGCCTGGATCACTTCCAGCTCTAATGCCCTGTGGTTCTATCATTTTCTGTCTTTAGTTTTCACTTAAGAAGAAGTAGCCTTATGTCACAGCAAGATTCAAGAGAATGTCCATTCTGGATCCTGTGAAGCCATCAAAGTAACAGCCAGTGTTATAGCCCCAGTAAATTACCTCTTTATCATTGTAACCATCATCCTAGCTTATCATGTAACTGGAAACATACCTTCTGTGGACCATGTTTTCCATGTTTAAAGTGAAATATGGAAACACATTCTTCCACTATAACAGCTTAGTATTCAGTGACTAATACAACCTGCTGTGGGATTCAGTCAGACAGCATCATTGCCTACATCATGTTTTCTAGTAGAGAAACATGCCAAGTCTGATATTAGATTGTTTCTATGGCAGAAACAGTGAAATTATATCAAATTTGATCAAAGAGTAGATTTACATCAACTGGAAGATACTGACATTTTGCCTGTTAAATTTCACTGAGGTGGTGGGGGGGGGTCTATCCAATTAAGTAACACTACAAGATACTGTTCCCCAAATTCAGATGCTCTAATGCTATCCACGAGAAATAGCAATGGGAATTATTTTATTAATAGCTAATGCTTATCAAGTGCTACTATGTGTCAAACACTATTAGGATTTTACATGTTTTTCTTATTTAAACCCCAAAGTACTTTCTGAAATAGTTTCCATTTTCCTCATTTTAAAGAGGAAGAAACTGAGGCTGGCCCAAGATCATACTGCTAGAAAGGTAAGAAGCTGAGATTCCAACCTAGGCAGTAGGAGTCCAGAGAGAATTAGTTCCTAATCAAGATCTTTCCAACTGAAAATTTAGAACTCCTAATATGTTTCTTTCTTTATTCAGAGGCAAAAAAAAATCCCTCAGAAATAGAGGCAATCCATGAAGATCCTGCACCATATCCCCATACCACCGTACTGACAAAGCAGAACCAATGACTGTCTCATTATTAGTTTGAACTTTAACTCATAGTCCTAGAACAGAAGTGTAGTGGACTAGGCTTAACCTTGTGGTATCCTCTTCATTAAGTCTGGGAAAAACTGCTTTGGTAATTCTAAAAGTAAACCAAAATCTCTGATGCTAGGAAAGATCTCAGACAGTGGTGAAAAGATGAAGGGAATCTAAGAGAAGGAATGAACAAGAGGGAACATTTATCCAATTCCCACAGTAGAACTGTCCTGTAACGACACACACCTCAGGCAACTCATCCAAACAAGCAACCCGTTGTCCTGGGGACTGCAAGACAGGACCAACCCATCTAAAAGTGAAATAGAAGGAGAGCTAGAGATAAAAAAGAAGAGTGCTGATAATTTCCCTAAAGTAAAAAAGACTCAGTTATCTCCCACCCAGGAAATATGGAAAAAATAATAAAATGGGAAGACACCATGCCTTTGTTCTCTGTGACTTCCATCTCTTTGAAACCTTTATCTAGAAGCTTGAAAACCTGGAATTTGGTTATTCCAGATTAACACTCCTCCCTCATGATACAGAGTCTTTCCATGATTGTGAAACAGACTCAAGAATAAATGGGGAGCGGGAACCATGGAGTAGGTTTGACCAGAAGAAATATGTTCACACTAAGTAAACAAACAAACAAATACAACCTATTATAAAAAGGTATGTGGCTGGTGCCACAGGACCTCAGAAACAAACCCTCATTATGTTTTTGAATTTTCCTCTTAATTCATGTATTTATCAAGCCAGAAGCCCTCCAAAGAAGTCCTGTCATACAACGCATGGTGTTCGAGTTACTCTTTGAAGTTGATTGTTTTGGGAAAAGAGAGAGGTCACTAGAGCAGAGGTGGGTGGTGAGGTCAAGAGGCTGCGAGGGACAGCAGTGGTATGGAACATGGAAGTGGAGAATTCTGAAGGTAAATATCACCTACTTGGCCATTTTTTCCTGTGTTCTCCCTGCTGTTTGTATTCCCTTTCATCACTGCCACTGCTAGCACATAAGGTGCCTTGGTGTGAAGAAAACAAAGCAGGCATCCTTTCCAGGTGGTGGCAACCCCACTTGAGAGTGCTCCCTTTGAGGTAGGGAGTGTGAGTGCAGCGTGGGCTGGAACTTAGCATCTCTAAAGTATAGGGTTCCTTTTTTTACTAAGAATCATTTTGTAATAGAAAAAGCACAGCATGCACAACCAGAGAAGCAGGGTGCCAAGCATTAGCTGTTTAACTCAGTGTAAGTTTTATGTCTCTAAGACTCAGCTTTCTCATCTGTACAATGTAGAAAATAAAACCTTTTTCCACCAGTGGTTAGGGAATTAAAGGAAACACTGCATCCAGAAATCATTTTGGAAACTATAAACCCCATAGACACAAAAACATTTATCATTATTATCACAGATTTTAATATAAAAACTTCTCTATGTTTGAGTCCTTAACTATAAAATAGTGTTACTACTTCCTCCCCCCTAAAAATTCACAGGGTCTTCTTTCTGAAATCACATTGATAGAATAGATATAAAAGGACACTGAACAAAGACACACAGTCCTACAAGATTGTGCTATTACTTTTCTCTCTTATGATTACCTTTAAAAAGTCACCATTAAATTTTGATCTAAGCTTAAACTTGCATTATAAACTTCCTTGCACTTATTCTGAAATTATCTCTCTTATTTTTCCTTGGCTATCATTAATCTCAGCCTCTGCTAAGTCTACACAGGTTAAATAGAGAGCATTACACTCTGTATCTTTGCTGACTTCCTAGTACGAGTAAACGTGACCTTGTGTTAAAGCTTATTTTTGTTCTGATTGAGTAAAAGAAAGCTTATTCACTCTCTGCCTTTGCCTTGATTCTGCTCATAATTTTACAATTTCTGATAATGGTTATTCAAGACGGATATCTAGGGCAAATAATGTGACTATGTGACTCCTTTTCTTGTCTAACTCTCAGATGTTGTCCCCTCTCAACCGCTAAGGCATAGTCAATTGCTGTTCTATTTATGTTTCTATTAGACCTTGTACTTACCTCAATTACATATGTTAACACATTCTACTGGAACTATTTATTTACTTGGTTCTCCTACTACAGACTGACCTTCTTCAGTTTAATCATGATTGTATCAGAGCACTAAGAATCAAGAATGCTGTCTCCTAACAACAATAGTAACAACAGTAACATTCATTCATCTTTTCCTACCAGAGAAGGTTCTAATTGTTTTTACATATATTAACTTTGTTAAATAAAATATTTCAAAGTAAAAAATCATTAATATCATACAGACATAAAGCAATTCATGTTAAAGATTTTACTTAATTCATAATGAGGGTGCCAGGCAGATATTCTAATTGGCTCAGAGAAGTCAAAGGAGCACAAATTTGCCTAAAGGACTGGTGAGATGAACTGACAGAAACTGGCTTTTTCCTTGGACAGAAAAGAAAATCAAGTGAACCTCTATCTGTCAGAATATCTATATTGTTTTTAGATAAGAATTTCTTTTCATAGTTGCAAAACAAGTCCCATGGGATAAGAATCAACCCGAATAAGTGTGCTGTAGTCAATGCAAAACTCCCCACTGAACCACAAAGTTTTCCCTATAATAATCCTCACAAAATAGAAAATATTTTTTCAATTTAACCAAAACACTAAAAAAAAAAAATTTTCCTAACTTCATAAAACTTCCTTTCTTTTTTCCTTTCCCTGTTTTTAACCTCCACTCTCCATTTTGAGCTGAACACCCAGTTATTAAATATTTTGTATTGACCTTAGTAGACAATGGGCTTACCATCTGATAATGTTGACATCTGGAAATGTATAAAGTATCAGAACACAATGTATGAGATTATGCAGAGCAGGCTCTATATATCAATAAAAAGAAAAGAGATGAAAATAATTATGACCAGGAAGTTGCCAGTAATAGCAGGCTATATATTTATAATGCAAATCCAAATCTCCTTATGCCAATTGTGCATTCTAAATTATTTCTGGAGTAATCTTTTCCCACACAATCAACATGTTTCCCAGATCATTTTTATTTTCCACATCCTTTCTCTTTTTTCCATTAGAGATGTATTTTCTAACAGATTACTCTTTCCTTTATGACATGAACACAGTCCTTTCATTTCCCTTGCCACATGTATTGTCTTTCTCCAGATATTAATAACAAAGTGGGAATTTTCCTTAGGGCATCCTTATGTACTTCCCTTAGATATCCCTCATGTTCCACAAGTCACCTGACCATTGCTGGAAATTGAAAAAAAAAATGTAGGTAAATTTTGTGCCTAACAAACAGCTTTTCATTGTGTTCAGCCAATCAGAGTGTCAAAAACTTGCTGACTTGGGGGCTTTATTTTTGATGCTATTATTAGCACAAAGAAAAGAAACAGCAAGGAAAGCAATATGAAATTCCAGTTCCTTCTGTATTCTTTAAATGAACTATTTTTGGTTTGTCAACCAAGAAAATGATGCATTTTTTTTTTCTGCAATCTTCTAACTTGTTGACACAATATAAACAAATTGAAAGGGAACCACTTAGAAAGCAGGAATCAAAGAAGTGGAGGAAGTTGTCTGAATGCATCTGTACCTCCCACAGATATTTTTAAAACCAAATTACCTCTCTGCTCTTAGCTTTGTTTTGGTTTTCTTCCTCTGTTTGTTAATGTAGGTAAAAGGTAGCAGAAAATTGAATCAGACAACTCCTTCAAAGAGCTTCATGGCATATATTATATTCATAATTCTTATTAATTCAATTATAACTACTGTTTTTTTAGAGTTCTATGACAATGAAAGAATTGCTATATAAGAACTGAAAAGATAAAAATACTGTTAAAAAAATGTTAGGAGTCTTGGGGGACCAATTTGCCTATTCATCATTTGTGGGTTTTTTATTTTTATTTTTTGCTTTGTTCTATCTGTTATAAATATTCTTAACCAATACAATCTCCGCCATTTTCAAACTTAAATTGATCAATTGGAAAATATTGCTGTAAGTGTGCCTTATTTTTAATCGTTCATGGTTCATTTGGGAAGATAGGCTAGAGACTTTCTTTATAAATTGCTCTATGAATGGAAAAGAATTTGTACTTCTTTTCCTATCAATTATGGCAAAGTTCCCAGATGAAGCTGAAGTTGAGGTGAGGGTTGAAAATGTGAAAATGTAGTTTGCCAAGATACTCATGTAACTTATGTCTTCTGAATTCACAAGCTATTAAAAAGATAGGAGCAGCTAGGTATCATTGAGTTAAATTGCATATTGTTCAGAAGTCCGTCAAGTGCAATTGATTACCTTTTGCTGCAGATATTTCTACCCATGGCTCATTTTGTTTGTGGTCGGCCTACACACAAGGCATTTTCTTCCTTGGGCAACTCTGCAGGTCTGGCTGATCCTTGTCTTTTAAAATACCCATCTTTATAAATAAAGCCAAGAACATGATGGCTTAAAGCCATGCTATAAGTTTAAATATGGATTGTTAAGCTTCTCATACATCAAAATCAATTTTATTTTCCACTAAATATTGGCAACATATTAATTATACAAATATGAGAAGGGTGAAAAAAGTCTTATTTTAATATCTTAACATATACTATCTAGCTACTTACCCTACTTATGGCCTTTTATGAAGAAAGCTATTACAAACATATGTTCAGGTTAAATTACTAGGAGAAAATCTAAACACTAGAAACACCTTCCAAGTTAAATTGAAGATCCTTCCTGGATTACCACTAAAAAGTTGATTAGAGACTGACGTACCCATATGATCTGCTTTTCTATCTCAACTAAAATTCACTCTCATTAAATGTGCCTTTACTGGAAGTGCTCCTGAGCTAGTTTAATAAATACATGTATAAGATTATAAAGTACACTGTTATAAGTTGATGCTCTATTTTGCTTAATCCTTCTTATTATTAATTTTATCAGATCTTGTTTCATGGGCTTTTACTTGAGGAGCAGAACTGTAGTCCCACATTTGAGAAAATTATTTTCTCAATACAAGTACTGCAAATCAGTTATTAAAGTCTTCATTCCTAAATTTTATGCAGACTATTCAATTGCAAATGCCAATACAAACACAATAGCAGCATTTTAAATTAATTGTTTGTACTTCCTTCTTCAAGATCGGTGTAGCAAGATATCTTTGGAGGACTCACATCTTAATAGTTTATTGCAGACTAGATTCAATGTTCATACAGTCATATTATAAGAGTGACAACTATAGAAAGTTTTCCATATGAAATTTGGATAAAATGAAAGTCCTAAATTGGTGTGATACATTCTGAAGTGCAATCTGCCACTCAGTTTATTGTGAATCTCTATTCGAACTGAATTAATTTTGTGTAAAATAACTGCTTCTATGATCAAAGCATTCACTACATGCTGGGCTGAACAGTTAGTTTCCTTTAAGGTATATTTAGTATTTCATTTTTGTGAAAACAAATAAATAAAAAACCATACAAAAAGAATTCAATCTTGACAACATTACTGGCCAGCACAGTTACGGTATTTTATAAAGGTGTTCAGATGTGTAAAAATGATATTAATAAGAACTTAGGAAGCTATTCATGCATGAAATAAAGAGAACATTACATTGATCATTTCAAAATCAGTGGTGCCCCATAGTAAATACAACTTAAGTGAAATTACATAGGATACTTTAGTTTGAAAATATTGCATTTATTTACTTTATGTGGGAAACAAAAGAGAAATCTAAGTATCAGCTTAATCTTATCACCCAGTGAGAAAAACACAGCATTCATATATCTATGTATAATATATCTATGTATATGTAGACATGTACTTGTGTGTGTTCAAATTATTTTAATGGTAGCATAGTAATTAGAGTCCATATGTATGCCTTTCTTATAGCAATCTTGCACCCATTTGACTATATATATGAACATTTTCTCATGATATTAAGCATGCTTTTCCATAATATTTTTCAAAGTATGCATAGGATTATAAAGCATCGCTTAATGTACTATGATTTATTTATCTGAATAATGTATTTAATAAAAGAAATTGGATTCTTTCTCAAAAACATTAATCTAGTGGTACCTATGCTTCCTTTTTGTGTGTGTAATACAATTACAGCCACCACTGAACATTAAAACAGATAAATATTAATATATCATGAATTTGGGGATTGTTTTAGCTCAAAATACAACATTTAAAAATAATTTTCCAAAAATAATTATTTATGTTTTCTCACTTTCACAATAAAACATAGAAAATTCAAGTAGCAACTCTGTTTAACATTCAAACATTTTCTTAACCCTCCAGTTCTACATTTTTACTAATGAATCATCTGGATATTACCAAGCAGTTTTATTATGAGTATTTTATACTGTCAAATCATACACATTCTTCTCCCATCTTACTCTGAAATGTGCAGAATTAACATTGCAATTAAAATATACGGCACTGCTGAATTTCTTTTTTACTTGTCTGATCTCAGATAAGCAAAGTACTTGCAAGAAATATCCAAGTGGAGCAAAAGGTTTGTACGGGAAATAGGGATGCCAAATGGTATTGTGAAATTCATAAATTCAGTAACCTGAGTTTTACCCGGAATTAGTTTTAATTCAGGATTAAATCAATTAATTTCCTTGTTTAGTTTCAGAGAAACTTTTCACATTAGCATGTTAATTCAAAATTTACACTAAATAGGCGTTTGCCATGGGCCAGGGAGGGAGAATACGGGGAGTTACGCCTTAATAGGTACAGAGTTTCAGTTTGAGATGAAGAGTTCTGGAGGTAGATGGTCATGATGTGGCACAACAATGTAAATGTATTTCACACCACAAAACTGAACACTTAAACACGATTAAAATGGTACATTTTATGTTATGTATATTTTACCATTAAAAAAAGTTTTTAAAAATATACTAAATAAAACACAAATGACTTTTCCAACCATTATTTGCCTTTAATTTAAAATTGGCATTGTTTTCATGTATGGAAAGGTGGATTCCCAGATATCACCAACGTAACCTGATGAAAACACAACATTTAGCTTACTGCTTACTATGGGGTAGGAGTCATGGTAGTGAGGAAAATAATGTGATATATTTATTCATTCAATGTTGGTGGAATATGAATTCTTCCCAATATTAATTAACTCTGATAATTTTGTAACTAATGCTTGTCTGAATATTCTTGTACTGCAACTTCCTGCACCTAAGCATGTGTATCTCTAAGGTGTGTGTGTTCAGCTTTATATATATATATATGGCTGAACAAGAATAAAGATTAAAAGGAATTTTTAAGAAATCTACAATCTTTGAATAAAAGCTTCAACAATTTGTTATATGGTATTTGATTAATTCTAAAGAACACTCTATAATTTAAATTACTTCCCCAATAGCGATTTAAATTTTCTAAAATACGTAACTAATTTAAAATCAATGTAATGTACTTGTAGGTGTTAAACAGTTGACCCTTAAACAACACAGGTTTAACTGTGTGGATCCACTTATATGTGGATTTCTTCAATAAATATGTTGAAAAATTGGAGATTTGTGACGATTTGAAAATGCAAACTGTAAAATATAGAAAAAAATCAGAAAAAGTTAACAGGTATCAAAATGTAAGCAAAAAAGCACAGACCCGTGCAGGGCATCATTTGCAGTTTAAAAAATGTAAACAAATGTAAAGATGCAGTATTAAATCATAACTGCTTAAAATTACCAACAGCAATTTATTACTGTACTGCTGTAATAATTCATAGTCACCTCCTGTTGCTATTGCAGTGAGCTCAAGTGTTGTGAATATTTGCTTAAAACATGTTTAGTGCAATATCGTAAACCTTAAATAACATCATGGGACCCCAAAGAAAGCACCACTAGTTATACTGGAACTTCTCCCAAGCAAAGAAAAGTCATAAAATTACAAGAAAAAGCTGAATTGCTTGATATGTACTGTAGATTTAGATCTGTAGCTGTAGTTGCCTGACATTTCAAGATAAATGAATCCAGTGTAAGGACCACTGTAAAAAAAGGAAAGGAAATTTGTGAAGCCATCGCTGCAGCAACATCAGCAGGCCCGTAAATCTTACATGTGTTGCAAAATACCATTTTATCTTTTATTTAAAGTGGAGCTTTTATGCGGGTGCAAGATAGCTATAAGAAAGGCATACATATGGACTCTAATATAATTTGAGGAAAAAATGAAGTCATTCTATGACAACTTAAAGCAAAAGGAAGGTGAAAGATCTAAAGCCTGAGTATTTAATGTCAGCAAAGGATGGTTTGACAATTTTAGAAAGAGGTTTGGCTTTAAAAAAATGTCAAGATAATATAACAGCAGAAGCAGCTTCTGATGATCAAGAGGCAGCAGATGAGTTTTCAGATACAATTTGTGAAAACCATTGAGGAGAAAAAATATTTACCTGAATAGATTTTTAATGCAGATAAAAAAGTGTCCTCTTCAGGAAAAAAAATAGAAATGCCACAAAGGAAATTTATCAATAAGAGAAATGAGAATAGGAACAGCTCCGGTCTATAGCTCCCAGCGTGAGCGACGCAGAGGACGGGTGATTTCTGCATTTCCATCTGAGGTACCGGGTTAATCTCATTGGGAGTGCCAGACAGTGGGCGCAGGTCAGTGGGTGCGCGCACCATGCGCGAGCCGAAGCAGGGCGAGGCATTGCCTCACTTGGGAAGCGCAAGGGGTCACGGAGTTCCCTTTCTGAGTCAAAGAAAGGGGTGATGCACCGCACCTGGAAAATCGGGTCACTCCCACCCGAATACTGCGCTTTTCAGACGGGCTTAAAAAAGGGGCCCACCACAAGATTATATGCCACACCTGGCTCGGAGGGTCCTACGCCCACGGAGTCTCGCTGATTGCTAGCACAGCAGTCTGAGATCAAACTGCAAGGCGGCAGCCAGGCTGGGGGAGGGGTGCCCGCCATTGAACAGGCTTGATTAGGTAAACAAAGCAGCCAGGAAGCTCGAACTGGGTGGAGCCCACCACAGCTCAAGGAGGCCTGCCTGCCTCTGTAGGCTCCACCTCTGGGGGCAGGGCACAGACAAACAAAAAGACAGCAGTAACCTCTGCAGACTTAAATGTCCCTGTCTGACAGCTTTGAAGAGAGCTGTGGTTCTCCCAGCATGCAGCTGGAGATCTGAGAATGGGCAGACTGCCTCCTCAAGTGGGTCCCTGACCCCAGAACAGCCTAACTGGGAGGCACCCCCAAGCACGGGCACACTGACACCTCACACGGCAGGGTATTCCAACAGACCTGCAGCTGAGGGTCCTCTCTGTTAGAAGGAAAACTAACAAACAGAAAGGACATCCACACCACAAACCCATCTGTACATCACCATCATCAAAGACCAAAAGTAGATAAAAACCACAAAGACGGGGAAAAAACAGAACAGAAAAACTGGAAACTCTGAAAAGCAGAGCACCTCTCCTCCTCCAAAGGAACGCAGTTCCTCACCAGCAACGGAACAAAGCTGGATGGAGAATGACTTTGACAAGCTGAGAGAAGAAGACTTCAGACAATCAAATTACTCTGAGCTACGGGAGGACATTGAAACCAAAGGCAAAGAAGTTGAAAACTTTGAAAAAAATTTAGAAGAATGTATTACTAGAATAACCAATACAGAGAAGTGCTTAAAGGAGGTGATGGAGCTGAAAACCAAGGCTCGAGAACTACGTGAAGAATGCAGAAGCCTCAGGAGCCGATGCGATCAACTGGAAAAAAGGGTATCAGCAATGGAAGATGAAATGAATGAAATGAAGCGAGAAGGGGTTTAGAGGAAAAAGAATAAAAAGAAATGAGCAAAGCCTCCAAGAAATATGGGACTATGTGAAAAGACCAAATCTACGTCTGATTGGTGTACCTGAAAGTGATGGGGAGAATGGAACCAAGTTGGAAAACACTCTGCAGGAGATTATCCAGGAGAACTTCCCCAATCTAGCAAGGCAAGCCAATGTTCAGATTCAGGAAATACAGAGAACAACACAAAGATACTCCTCGAGAAGAGCAACTCCAAGACAATAATTGTCAGATTCACCAAAGTTGAAATGAAGGAAAAAATGTTAAGGGCAGCCAGAGAGAAAGGTCGGGTTACCCTCAAAGGGAAGCCCATCAGACTAACAGCGGATCTCTCGGCAGAAACCCTGCAAGCCAGAAGAGAGTGGGGGCCAATATTCAACATTCATAAAGAAAAGAATTTTCAACCCAGAATTGCATATCCAGCCAAACTAAGCTTCATAAGTGAAGGAGAAATAAAATACTTTACAGACAAGCAAATGCTGAGAGATTTTGTCACCACCAGGCCTGCCTTACAAGAGCTCCTGAAGGAAGCACTAAACATGGAAAGGAACAACCGGTACCAGCCGCTGCAAAATCATGCCAAAATGTAAAGACCATCAAGACTAGGAAGAAACTGCATCAACTAACGAGCAAAATAACCAGCTAACATCATAATGATAAGATCAAATTCACACAAAACAATATTATCTTTAAATGTAACTGGACTAAATGCTCCAATTAAAAGACACAGACTGGCAAATTGGATAAAGAGTCAAGACCCATCAGTGTGCTGTATTCAGGAAACCCATCTCACGTGCAGAGACACATATAGGCTCAAAATAAAAGGATGGAGGAAGATCTACCAAGCCAATGGAAAACAAAAAAAGGCAGGGGTTGCAATCCTAGTCTCTGATAAAACAGACTTTAAACCAACAAAGATCAAAAGAGACAGTGAAGGCCATTACATGATGGTAAAGGGATCAATTCAACAAGAAGAGCTAACTATCCTAAATATATATGCACCCAATACAGGAGCACCCAGATTCATAAAGCAAGTCCTGAGCGACCTACAAAGAGACTTAGACTCCCATACATTAATAATGGGAGACTTTAACACCCCACTGTCAACATTAGACAGATCAATGAGACAGAAAGTCAACAAGGATACCCAGGAATTGAACTCAGCTCTGCACCAAGCAGACCTAATAGACATCTACAGAACTCTCCACCCCAAATCAACACAATATACATTTTTTTCAGCACCACACCACACCTATTCCAAACATGACCACATACTTGGAAGTAAAGCTCTCCTCAGCAAATGTAAAAGAACAGAAATTATAACAAACTATCTCTCAGACCACAGTGCAATCAAACTAGAACTCAGGATTAAGAATCTCACTCAAAACCACTCAACTACATGGAAACTGAACAACCTGCTCCTGAATGACTACTGGGTACATAACGAAATGAAGGCACAAATAAGGATGTTCTTTGAAACCAACGAAAACAAAGACACAACATACCAGAATCTCTGGGATGCATTCAAAGCAGTGTGTAAAGGGAAATTTATAGCACTAAATGCCCACAAAAGAAAGCAGGAAAGATCCAAAATTGACACCCTAACATCACAATTAAAAGAACTAGAAAAGCAAGAGCAAACACATTCAAAAGCTAGCAGAAGGCAAGAAATAACTAAACTCAGAGCAGAACTGAAGGAAATAGAGACACAAAAAACCCTTCAAAAAATTAATGAATCCAGGAGCTGGTTTTTTGAAAGGATCAACAAAATTGATAGACCGCTAGCAAGACTAATAAAGAAAAAAAGAGAGAAGAATCAAATGGATGCAGTAAAAAATGATAAAGGGGATATCACCACCGATCCCACAGAAATACAAACTACCATCAGAGAATACTACAAACACCTCTACGCAAATAAACTAGAAAATCTACAAGAAATGGATAAATTCCTCGACACATACACTCTCCCAAGACTAACCCAGGAAGAAGTTGAATCTCTGAATAGACCAATAACAGGAGCTGAAATTGTGGCAATAATCAATAGCTTACCAACCAAAAAGAGTCCAGGACCAGATGGATTCACAGCCGAATTCTACCAGAGGTACAAGGAGGAACTGGTACCATTCCTTCTGAAACTATTCCAATCAATAGAAAAAGAGGGAATCCTCCCTAACTCATTTTATGAGGCCAGCATCATCCTGATACCAAAGCCGGGCAGAGACACAACCAAAAAAGAGAATTTTAGACCAATATCCTTGATGAACATTGATGCAAAAATCCTCAATAAAATACTGGCAAAACGAATCCAGCAGCACATCAAAAAGCTTATCCACCATGATCAAGTGGGCTTCATCCCTGGGATGCAAGGCTGGTTCAATAGACGCAAATCAATAAATGTAATCCAGCATATAAACAGAGCCAAAGACAAAAACCACATGATTATCTCAATAGATGCAGAAAAAGCCTTTGACAAAATTCAACAACCCTTCATGCTAAAAACTCTCAATAAATTAGGCATTGATGGGACGTATTTCAAAATAATAAGAGCTATCTATGACAAACCCACAGCCAATATCATACTGAATGGGCAAAAACTGGAAGCATTCCCTTTGAAAACTGGCACAAGACAGGGATGCCCTCTCTCACCACTCCTATTCAACATAGTGTTGGAAGTTCTGGCCAGGGCAATTAGGCAGGAGAAGGAAATAAAGGGTATTCAGTTAGGAAAAGAGGAAGTCAAATTGTCCCTGTTTGCAGACGACATGATTGTATATCTAGAAAACCCCATTGTCTCAGCCCATAATCTCCTTAAGCTGATAAGCAACTTCAGCAAAGTCTCAGGATACAAAATCAATGTGCAAAAATCACAAGCATTCTTATACACCAACAACAGACAAACAGAGAGCCAAATCATGAGTGAACTCCCATTCACAATTGCTTCAAAGAGAATAAAATACCTAGGAATCCAACTTACAAGGGATGTGAAGGACCTCTTCAAGGAGAACTACAAACCACTGCTCCAGGAAATAAAAGAGGATACAAACAAATGGAAGAACATTCCATGCTCATGGGTAGGAAGAATCAATATCGTGAAAATGGCCATACTGCCCAAGGTAATTTACAGATTCAATGCCATCCCCATCAAGCTACCAATGCCTTTCTTCACAGAATTGGAAAAAACTACTTTAAAGTTCATATGGAACCAAAAAAGAGCCCGCATGGCCAAGTCAATCCTAAGCCAAAAGAACAAAGCTGGATGCATCACACTCCCTGACTTCAAACTATACTGCAAGGCTACAGTAACCAAAACAGCATGGTACTGGTACCAAAACAGAGATATAGATCAATGGAACAGAACAGAGCCCTCAGAAATAATGCCGCGTATCTACAACTATCTGATCTTTGACAAACCTGAGAAAAACAAGCAATGGGGAAAGGATTCCCTATTTAATAAATGGTGCTGGGAAAACTGGCTAGCCATATGTAGAAAGCTGAAACTGGATCCCTTCCTTACACCTTATACAAAAATCAATTCAAGATGGATTAAAGACTTAAACATTAGACCTAAAACCATAAAAACCCTAGAAGAAAACCTAGGCAATACCATTCAGGACATAGGCATGGGCAAGGACTTCATGTCTAAAACACCAAAAGCAATGGCAACAAAAGCCAAAATTGACAAATGGGATCTAATTAAACTAAAGAGCTTCTGCACAGCAAAAGAAACTACCATCAGAGTGAACAGGCAACCTACAAAATGGGAGAAAATTTTCGCAACCTACTCATCTGACAAAGGGCTAATATCCAGAATCTACAATGAACTCAAACAAATTTACAAGAAAAAAACAAACAACCCTATCAAAAAGTGGGCAAAGGTCATGAACAGACACTTCTCAAAAGAAGACATTTATGCAGCCAAAAAACACATGAAAAAATGCTCATCATCACTGGCCATCAGAGAAATGCAAATCAAAACCACAATGAGATACCATCTCACACCAGTTAGAATGGCAATCTTTCAAAAGTCAGGAAACAACAGGTGCTGGAGAGGATGTGGAGAAATAGGAACACTTTTACACTGTTGGTGGGACTGTAAACTAGTTCAACCATTGTGGAAGTCAGTGTGGCGATTCCTCAGGGATCTGGAACTGGAAATACCATTTGACCCAGCCATCCCATTACTGGGTATATACCCAAAGGATTATAAATCATGCTGCTATAAAGACACATGCACATGTATGTTTATTGCGGCATTATTCACAACAGCAAAGACTTGGAACCAACCCAAATGTCCAACAATGATAGACTGGATTAAGAAAATGTGGGACATATACACCGTGGAATACTATGCAGCCATAAAAAATGATGAGTTCATGTCCTTTGTAGGGACATGGATGAAATTGGAAATCATCATTCTCAGTAAACTACTGCAAGAACAAAAAACCAAACACCGCATATTGTCACTCATAGGCGGGAAGTGAACAATAAGATCATATGGACACAGGAAGGGGAATATCACACTCTGGGGACTGTTGTGGGGTGGGGGGAGGCGGGAGGGATAGCATTGGGAGACATACCTAATGCTAGATGACGAGTTAGTGGGTGCAGCGCACCAGCATGGCACATGTATACATATGTAACTAACCTGCACAATATGCACATGTACCCTAAAACTTAAAGTATAATAAAAAAATAAATTTAAAAAAAAGAGAGAGAAATGAGCACCAAGATTTAACATAGGAAGGGATAGGCTAACTCCACTGTTTCGTGCAAATGTAGTCAGATTTATGACCAGGACTGCACTTATCTATAAAGCTGCTAACTCCTGAGCCTTGATGGTAAAAGATAAACACCAGCTGCCAGTCTTTTGCTTGTAAAACAGGAAGGTCTGTTTTACAACAAGAACTCTTTTTTTAAATTGATTCTATTGATGATTTGTCCCTATTGTCAAAAAATACCTTTCCAGTATATAATTGCCCTTTAGAGTTCTTTTGATATTGAACAATGCCCCTGGCTGCCCAGAGCCTCATGAGTTCAGCACCAAAGGCATCTACATGGTCTACTTGCCCTCAAATGCATTTCTGATTCAATCTCTAGATCAGGGGATCATAAGGACCTTTCAGACTCATTACACATGGTACTATATAGAAAGGATTGCCAATGTTGTGGAAGATAACCATGATTGAACATTATGAAAGTCTGGAAGGATTACACCATTGAAAATGTCATGCTACTTACAGAAAAAATTGCAAAAGCCATCAAGCCCAAAACAATAAATGCCTGCTGGAAGAAACAATGTCTAAATGTTGTGAATGAATTCATAAGATTTATGATAGAGCCAATCAAAGAAATCATGAAGAGATAATGGATATGCAAAAAGTCAGGGGAGGGTTTCAAGATATGTATCTTGGAGAAATTCGAGAGCTAAGAGACACCACACTAGAGGAATTAAAAGAAGACAACTTTATGGAGATGAGTGCTTTTGAACCAGTACCTGCTACGGAAGAAGACATAGAAGAAGCAATGCCAGAAAACAAATTTACATTAGACAATCTGGCAAAAGGATTTCAATTATTTAAGACTAACTTTGACTTTGTTTACTACGTGAACACTCCTATGATACAAGTACTGAAACTTACGCAAACAGTGGCAAAAATATTGGTACTCTATAGAAATGTTTTTAGAGAAATTAGAAAGCAAAAATGTCAGACAGAAATTATGATGTGTTTCCATAAAGTTACACGGAATGTGCCTGACTCTCCTGCCTCTCCTTCCACCTCCTCTACCTTTTCTGCCTCTGTCACCCCTGAGACAGCAAGACCAACCCTTCCTCATGTTCCTCCTCCTTAGCCTACTCAATGTGAAGATAATAAGGATGAAGCTCTTTATCATAATCCATTTTCACTTAATGAATACTAAATATATTTTGTCTTTTTTAAATTTTCTTAATAATGTTCTCTTTTATTGGCTGGGCACGGTGGCTCATGCCTGTAATCCCAGCACTTTGTGAGGCCAAGGCAGGCAGATCACGAGGTCAGGAGATTGAGACCACACTGGCCAACATGGTGAAACCCCTTCTCTACTAAAAATACAAAAATTATCTGGGAGTGGTGGCACGTGCCTGTAATCCCAGCTACTAGGGAGGTTGAGGCAGGAGAATTGCTTGAACCGGGGAGTCAGAAGTTGGAAGTTGCAGTGAGCCAAGATTGCACCACTGCACTCCAGCCTGGCCACAGAGCAAGACTCCATCTAAAAACTAAAAATAAAAAAAAAAAAAGTTCCCTTTTCTTTAGCTTACTTTATTGTAAGAATACAGCATATAATGCATATAATATACAAAATATATATTGACTATGTTCTTGCTAAAACCTCCAGTCAAAAGTAGGCTATTAGTAGCTAAGTTTTCGGGTAGTCAAAAGATATATATGGATTTTGACTGTGGTGTCTTTCATCCGCACATTGTTCAAAGATCCGCTATATATTTTTTTCTCAAACAGCTATAATTATCTCAATTGAAGATGTATTTATCATTAACGGAATTTAAGAATTCTGGAAATATGTTATACCAGGTAAATAAAATTTATTGATTCCAGGATCAAACCTCTGCTACCATTATTCGTAATTTTGTCTACATGGTAAAAAAAAAAAATGCCAAAAACTTTGAGGAATTGTTCAATTTCTCTTTAGATTTCTATTTGTTTACTTCTTCCTAAAATCTTTTTGATTTTATATATTTTATTAATGTGTTTTTCTGTGTAAAGATTACATCTTAGGAAATTTTAAATTTATTTTTAAATTAATTTAAGGGGAATTTTAATAATTTATTATTTATTTTTTATTTTTAGTTGTTCCTTTGCTTTGAATCACTTTATCTAAAATTAACATTTTTCTTTAAATTCAACTTCTAGAATGATAAATGACATCACTTTACTATATGAAATCATAATGAAAAATGTGTGATTTTACTTTTTCACATATATACTGCATAATATACTAGCTTTCACTGAAATGTTATGAGTTTTGTCAAAGAAGAATTGTACTGAATAAAGTTAAATGGCAAGAAAGAGTTTATTTAAGACTACTGCAATAAGAGAGAAAAATTAAACAGAACTTTGCTGGAAGCAAAGGCAGAAAAGTGTGTAAGCCCTGGACTGAGCTAGTGAAAAACTACTGGAGGCCATTATGGTGGAGAATGATAAATGTGATTAGGCCATCTGGGTTTGCTACTTGGGGCTTATGGAAATTAGGCTCCTATCATTCCCCAGAGACTGGAAGATAGAGGCGCCATTATTCCTGATGATTACATTTCAAAGAGATGTCTCCCAGGTCCTTGAGAAAGATATTCCTGGTTTGTAAAATTGGCAAGAGTTAGGGAAAAGGCACACAATAGTACTCCTTATCCTTGGGGGATACATGCAAGACCTTCAATTCGTGAATGAAACCATAGATAGTACCAGACTCCCATCCAAGTACTAAACAGGCCCTACCCTGCTTAGCTTTTGAGATCAGATGAGATCAGGCGCATACAGGGTGATATGGTAGTAGACCCAAACTCTATATATAGTATGTTTTTCCTATATATTCCATACCTATGATAAAGTTTAATTTATAAATTAGTCACAATAAGAGATTAACAACAATAATTACTAATAAAATAAAACAACTATAACAACAGACCGTAATAAAAGTTATACAACTGCAGTCTCTTTCTCAAAATGTCTTATTGTACTATACTGAGAGTAACTGAATCCCTAGAAAGGAAAAATGTGAATAAGTGGGCACTACTGTACCTCAAAGGAGTGGAGAAAGAAATTCAAATTGTAAGTTTTCTAAGTTAATGCCCCTTTAAATGGAGGTCAGGGGCTTATAGGCCAAAAAAAATATCTGTCCAAAGGTTGGTCAAATTGAGACTGTCATGTTCAGTTTTACAACTAGGTTATGATTTTTAAAACATATTTGTCCCTTTCAACATTTATTTTCTATTATTTTAGTACTAGACTACCAACTTTTATTTAGACATTGCTCAGTTTCCTATTCTCTTTGCCTATCACTACTTCTTTCCCATTTAATTTTTCTTAGTCTGTTCAGGCTGCTATAACAAAAAGTACCCTAGACTGGGTGGCTTTAATTAAAAAAAATTATTTCTCACATTTCTGGAGCCTGGGAAGTTCAAGATCGAAATGGTGGCTGATCTGATGTCCTCCCTCTTGGTTCATAGATGGCCGTCTTCTCAATGTGTCTGCATTTGGTGGAAAAGAGTAGAGTCAGAGAGCTCTCCGGGTTTCTTTGATAATGGCACTGGTCCCATGATGAGAGCTCCACTCTTATGATCTAATTACCTCCCAAAGGTCTTACTTCTTAATACCATCGAATTGGGTGTTACGATCTCAACATAGAAATTTAGGGAGATACAACATTCGGTCCATAACACCATTCTTACATAATTCCCTTAAATCTTGGCATTTGTGTCATACCTACTCCCTATGTTTTGATGTCTATTTTGGTTTATTATCCCTCTCTTTTTGATAAGAGAAACGCTGGACTGCAGCTTTCCTCAAAAATCACCTGGGTAGGTGTCCCTCAAACTCCTCATCGTCACATAGAGTTAGAGTCCTCCAGGATGTGAGGTTGGTTGAAGGGGCTGTTGAATCAAGAATTCTACAGCATTAGAGGCAAAGGAAGGGACCAGTCCCTTGGGTATGTGAGGAGAAAGATCTTCTGCCTGCAGTTTAGGTTCACCTCTGCCTTTGATGTGCCTTCCAGGCCAGACTTAAACTGATGTTCTTCTTTTCTTTTTCTTTTTTTTTTTTTTTTCTGTTCACCTGGCAAGAATTTGAGGTACAGCACGCAGTCTTCTTGCTGCTTCAGGCAAGTGTTTTAGCCAAAGCCCGAAGCAAAGGCAGTGCTCAGCCTCAGCTCCTCCAGGCAGCTACTTAAAAAAGTGGTGGGAGCTCAGTGGTTAAAGGGGTTCCTCCTGGAGCCCTTGCTACTGTCCCACCTCACCTCCATTCC
Organism: Homo sapiens; assembly: GCF_000001405.40. Lineage (NCBI taxonomy): Eukaryota > Metazoa > Chordata > Mammalia > Primates > Hominidae > Homo > Homo sapiens. The sequence goes on along the minus strand of NC_000002.12, from coordinate 76,771,443 downwards.
TCATTCTTACAAACAAGGTCATTTTCATGGGATTTTGCTTCAATCTTATCTAAATCAGATGGAGTAGTTCTGAGTCAGCCATTGTTTTCTTTCTTCTATCTCATTCCTGCTGCATTAAATCTCACCGAAACCCTCTAAGGTCATGGGACATGAATGGGACTTGATACTGTTTCCGAAGAGCTGATACAGCGATTCCAACTCCTGTGGCTCTCCCTTCATCTTTTTCTTCCTTTAATCATTTCTTTGAATTGAAAGTGAGGAATCAGTGATTGTGTCACTGTATTTTCAACAATTCGTTACCTTGTAAAAAGTTTTTTTCAGGATTAAATCTGGATTAGAAACTAAAGTACAAGAAGAGGCAAATATTAAATGTTAAGGAGCTAGGAATAACATCATTAAACAGACATCTACAACTGTAAGGGCTTGCATTTGACAGTCAAATAATCAAATTATTCTTAGGATCTTTTCTAACGATTGTATAAATGAGGAGCATGTGGTAGCATTCTGTTTTTTGAGGATTACAGAGAAAAGGCTAACTTGAACTCTTGGAACATGTAGCACAGTGTGAGTACTTAGTTGACCTAGAAAAGCTCTCCAAGGGATCGAGAAACAATTAGAAATTTAAATGCATGAAAATGGAGACATATTTTATGTTATGTCAGATGTTTCAATTGTACTACTGGGGGGTAGAAGACCTTCTGTGACTTTGCTGGTGGTTTTTAAAAAATGCTGAATATGTAAAAGGAGATGTATTTTACATAGCTTTTACTTTTAATCAAGAGATCTCAATGTATTTTACAGGTAGTTACTCATCTTTTAAAAAGAATTAAAATGACCTCCAAACCAGAAAGAAACAAGCAAAAATACTGGCCTTTTCATCCCGAAATTAAAACATTAACAAACATTTAAATAGAGAACACATATTTGATATCAACTGTGTTGCAGATATAGGTGGCTGGGGGTTACATAGGTACAAGACACAAACCTTACCCTCCAGAACATTACACTACTCCAGAAAGCAGTTCCTCTGTGGTCCCTGGTAACAATTTTTGGAAAGTAAAAATCACCACATGGTCAATACAGATGATGGAGATGGGAGTTCAGAACAGCAAAAAGTTACTGTTATTAAGAAATGAGTTTACCGAAGGAGCTAATATTTTGTATGAGTTTTGAAAGACAAGGATTTATGACATTGCAGAAAATATAGCAACCATGATCTATTTCACATGTATTATATTATTAATCCTTTAAAACTTGGCATTGTTCATGAAAAAAGTCCATTTTCCATCTAAGCCCCTTTTTGAAACTTACATTTCCCTTTTATTTGGTAACTAGTCAATTGACTTTCAGACTGATTGACTACATCTGGTGAGTCTTCATCTCCCACTCTAAAAGCAACAGTATGCATCAGAATAATGTCAGGCCTGCTCAAACAGATTCCTGGGCCCAAGCCCAGAGGTTTGATCGAGTAGGTCTGGGATGGGGATAAATGATTTATATTTCTAAGAAGTTTATAGTTGATGCTATTGCTGCTGTGACTTCTCAGCATTCTGAAAAAAAGGTATTATTTTTTGTTATAATGCACTTTTTTATCTAGGCATGGCAGAAACATAGGGCTTCTATTTTTCCTATGAAAAATACAATTTCCATTCTGGTAGATAATTTCCGTGAAACAACTGATCTGTAAAGCAGTGCTTCACAAACTTTAATATAAATACGAGTCATCTGGGGGGTCCTGTTAAAATGCCGATACGAATTCAGTATGTTGGCGTCAGACATGAGAGTTTGCATTTCTAATAAAATCCTAAGTCAGGTGAATTACAGTAGGTGGACCAATGTGATAAAGAACATTGGACACACTTAGCATAGGATTTTAACAACCATATTATTGTTTTCGTTATTATTTTTGTTTTTTTTTCAGTTGCAAGTGAGCTTTTATTTAGAGACGTCTCAAATCCGAAATTCATTTAATTATTTTCCCAGCTTAGCTTATATTATCACTGTCAACTACTCCCAATAGAGAAGTTTGTGTTCACAGAAAACACAGACTAAGGCAAAAGCAGGCCTTAAATATCTTCCAAATTAATTTCTTCATTTTATTTATCAGGACATTTTTCTAGTCCTACATGTGATTGGGAATAAGAACATAGTGGAATCATTAGAGATCACTTTTCTGTGTGTTTTTCAGGGTAGATTAAGTCTAAGTAAATAGGAGTTCCTTAAATAGTGGTGGCAGTTTATGAAACCAAGGGAGCAGAACGTTCCTTCTAGTCCTATGAAGATGTTAATGACCTTCACCTGCCTCTTTTTATGGTCATGAAATGAAATACATTCTTTATAGCCCCACTGTTCCTAAAACTATTTAGTGATTATGAGGAGGCCCTCAAAGAAAGTTGAGTCATTTCTTAAACTGTGCCACAAGATGCTTCGTTTGGTATCTTTGTTCAAACCTCTTTGTAACACTAACTAGAGTGATGTGTACATCAAGAAAAGACATTTCTTTGTGTCAGTTTTATGTGAATTTCAATATAGCATGTCCCCAGCACATTCTATAGCCTACAAATAATGAAAAAAGCAATTAATCTCTCCAAATCATTCAGAAATATTTACCGGTTTCATGCAGGAGGAATCAGATCCTAATTTCAGTGAAGTCTCCGCAATGCCTAGTGAGAATATCTTTGTTCTCGTACTGCATGAAAGATATTTGGAGAAAGTTGCCATAAATAATAAGGGATTTTTTATTTTCCTAATTTTTGAGGATATATTTGTACCTATAAGAGGAAAAAATAGAAGAGCTCTTTGAATTTACAATCATAAACTTCCAGTCCTAACTCTTTCCATATATAAATTTAGGACATTTATGTTGTGCTTTCTCTCAATTAGCCATAGAAATTGGGGAAAAAAATGTTTTCCCCAAGCATGGATAATTTGTGTATCTCTAGAAAGAGTATTTATACCTCTTTGAAGAAACCGTCACTTCCTGGGTAGTTCTTTTGCATGCTTTAAACTCTGGATTGACCTAATGAAAAGCCAATATTTATTCTAAAGAAAAAATCTAATTTCACTCATCCACCAATGCATCAATTTATCACAGTGTTGGCCAGACTAAGCTTTTGATATTAAGTGTTGTGTGTATTTGTTGTGAAAAATAGATAGAAGAAGTTACCATTCTTAGAATTGTTGCATGTAAAGAAACCAATATACTTTTCCTCTATTGTCATAATTTCTTAGAGAAGAGAAGCTATTACTTTCAAATAGCAACATTTTATATTTTCAAACCAAAGGCCTTACATAAATTATATCACTTTGTCTTTTAAAAAAGATTCTATCTCTATATAATATGCACATAAATTAAAACCTGCTTTTTCTGTTTCCTGAGTATAGTCTTTAAGAATCAATCAATTATGTCACAAATTTCTTATGAAATTGGCTTATATTGTCATTTCAAGGGACTGGCACTTAGAAAATTAATGTTTAAATGATTTTATGCCTAACATTTCATTAAATCCCAGGAATAGGCTTAATTAATATTTTATAGATTCTTTCTGCTGCTGATGGTTTGCGTGTCATTCTGACTCAAAAGACAGAACTCAGTCCATTTTAACATTTAGGTGCCAGAGACAAACCTGCATTTTGCAAAAATAGGCAAGAGTAGATGTGAAGAGGCATGTAAAAATAAAAGAAGAACAAAGGAAGAGAAAAAGGGAAGCAGGACAGGAGGAAAGAAGTTAAGGAAGAGAAGTAAAAGAAAGAGAAAATGAAATGCTATGCAGAGTGGGAGCATGGATTGCCATCAAGACTTGCCTTGAATGCTACCCTGAAAATCTGTTTGTGATTCACACTTGGATGATAAACTACAGCCAACTGTAGCTTTAGATATTATAGAGTGGTTTATTTCTGAAGGCAGAGTATCTACACGAGATAGTATTTGAGCACAAGTCTTAAGAACCACTTTCAGTATGTGATCTTGGGCAAGTCATTTCACACCTGTGCCTCAATTTTACCATTTTTTAAATGGGAATCCTATTACTACCCGAATTATAGCATTGCTGTGAACACTAAATGAGTTTTCAATTCACATAAAGCACTCATAAAGATGGGTGACACAGAGACATCACTCAATAAATGTTAGCAATTAGTACAGATGAAAGAAGTTTGTCATTTCACCTCTAATGTAATACACAAATTAAGATGATGTTAAACGTCCATATAAATTGCTGCATGTGCACCTAAATTACATGTCAGTCAGAATGCCAGAAAGAAATACTGCACACTCAAAACTTTGAATAAAAAGAGAATTTAATAGAGGGAATTTTGTAGAAATAGGAGTAGTGTTAAGGGGAGGATCTGCAAAGGGTGGTGAAAAATTCAAACAGAAACAACAGGAATCTCTTACCACTCCACTAGGCCTGAAGAGATAAAGTGAAGATGCAGGGTTATCAGATCTAGGTAGGAGCTGTAGCTGTGAAGGAGGGCTTGTCTAGAGGGCTCATCTAGCAAGATCTATATTTATAGCCTAGGGTTTCTCAGCAGCTGCACTTTTGACATTTTAGATCAGATAGTTCTTTTTTCCTTGGGGGTAACAGGGTATTCTGCACATTGTAGCATGTTTAGAAACACCCCTTGCCTGTACCCACTAGATGCCAGTAGACCTCAATCTCCACAACCAAAAATGTCTCCAGACACTGCTAAAAATTCCCTAGGAGGAAAATTGCCACAGGTTGACAACTACTGCTGTAGCAGAAACCAGTTACTTCAGAACTGTAGCAAGGCAGGAATGATTAGCAAGAAATAAATACTACCTCTCCTATTGGCACTGGGTGCCTCTTACTTACAGAAATGAATCAGCCAGACAGCAAGAGAACTTGATGAAGGAATCTAGTCATAGAACAAGCCTCCTTGGGCACAATGCAGGGCAGAGAAGGGCAGTTAAAAGAACTGAAGGGGTAAAAGGTTAGCCAATATGCAATCCAAAGACATGGATTAATTTAGAGTTGCCTGGACTCCATTTCAGTAGTCGTGGTCCTTTGGGATAACATAGAAAGACAAGGAGAACTGCACCTTAGAGGATCTTAAGAAAATGTATTAATGCCGTGGTCCCCAGTTGGATACCATGAGAAATAGAGCCTAAATATATATAAATGGCTCCAGTTTGGATTTCAATTGTATGTTAAATGTAACTTAGCACAAGAAAGGAACAATTCGCCACATGTATAACCCCCTCCCAGTTCCAGCCTCATTTAAATGTTATAAAGATCTGTACTATGTAATGGAGAAAGAAGGAAGATGTTCAAGAAAGGATAAATGATCATGCTTCTGTAGGCTCTTCCCTAAATTCAGAGGTACTTTCTCTGGAGAAAGATCCCAGTATCTGGAGGAAGCTAATATAATGATCCTTGTGGTCTTCCTCTCAGTCCAGAGTCTATAAATTAGATAAATTCCACTAAAGCCACCACTCAATTATTAAATTGCAGAATTTCACTCATCTCTCTTTCAAGAAATGTTTTTGGACACCTGCAGAAGAACTAACAATACTTTCTCACAAAATGCTTCATCAGCTGCAGCTACATTTCCTCCATCATTGTGACATCATCCACATATCTTCATACAAAGCCTTACCAGGCCATGGTGATGGTGCCTATGTTAGCAGGCTCAGGCTCTCAGAATGAAATACCACAGATGGGTTGGCTTAAACAACAGAGGCTTATTTCACAGTCCTGGAGGCCAGAAGTCCAAGCTTAAGGTGATAGCAAGGAAGGCTTCATTCTGAGGCCCCTTATTTTGGCTAGTAGACAGTAGTGATCTCAAGTGTGCTCACATGACCTCTCCTTTGTACACATGGGGAAAGAGAAAAAGGGAGAAAAAGAACTCTCTAGCATCTCATCTTGTTAAGGGCACTAATTCTAGTGGATCAGTTTTCCAACTTTATGACCTCATTTAGCCTTAGTTACTACCTTAGAGGCCCTATCTCCAAATGTAGCCATACTGAGGGTTAGGACACATAATATTCTGCTCCTCTTCCCCAAAACTTTACGTTCTGTTTGCATGCAAAATAAATTTATTTCATCCAAGCATCCCCCAAAACATTAACTTTTTCCTGTATAAACTCCAAACTCTCAAATAATATCACTTAAATCAGATATAGGTGAGAATGGAAGTGTATAGTTCATCCTGATGCAAAATTTCTCTCTAGCTGTGAACTGAGAAACTACACAAATTACGTGCTTCCAAAGTATCATGCTGTGACATGCATAGAATAGACGACCTATTCTAACAGAGAGAAATGAAAGAAAGGAAGTTGTGATGGGTCCCAAAAAATTCCACTACAAGGCAAACTCCTTTAGATATTAAGTCTCAAAAATAATCTTTTTTGGCTCAATTCCTGACTTTCCAGTCCTACATGGGTGGTGGTCCATTTTCTGGACCAACTTGGGTGGTGACTCCACATCCATGACTTTAGGCGACAGCTCCACTTCCACAATTTTCCAGGCTGGGGTCCTGCCCCCAAGGCTCCAGGCAGAAACAGCCTGGCTTGTTGAAACCAAGGAGCAATCAGTCTTTTCCCCTGGACCTATGGTGGGAGGGGCAGCCCAGATGGTCTCTGAAGAGCCTTTGGGTCATCCTTCCTTTTTCTTCCCTTTTCTAGAAGGAAAACTTACATTGGCAGCTGGATAGCTCTATAGTCCTCTCCTGGTGGGATCCAAGAAGTTCAGCAGTCTTCTTCATTCTTTCCCACTTTCTCTGTCTCCCTTAGTTCAAACTGGCAGTGTTTCAGTTTATATAATTTTTTGTTTGTTTTTTTTGTTTTGTTTTGAGACTGAGTCTAGCTCTGTCGCCCAGGCTGGAGTGTAGTAGTTCTATCACGGCTCACTGCAAGCTCCGCCTCCCGGGTTCATGCCAGTCTCCTGCCTCAGCCTCCGGAGTAGCTGGGACTATAGGCGCCCGCCACCACGCCCAGCTAATTTTTTGCATTTTTAGTAGAGACAGGGTTTCACCGTGTTAGCCAGGATGGTCTCGATCTCCTGACCACGTGATCTGCCCGCCTTGGCCTTCCAAAGTACTGGGATTACAGGCGTGAGCCACTGCGCCCTGCCTCAGTTTATATAATTCTTAATCACTTTATCAAGTAATGGTCCAGTCACAGCCTTATTGTTCTCTTTAGAACATGCTTTCTCTTTTTTTCTTTTTTGCAATATGCATGGGCTGAGAATTCTCCAAATCTTTAAGTTCTGGTTTCTTTCTGATTAATAATTTCTTCTTCAATTCATGTCTTGCATCTCATTGTTTTACTATAGGCAGTCAGGAGAATCCAGGATTCACTTGCAATATTTTGCTTAGAAATCTCCTTAGCTAAATATTCAGTTTCATCACTAACAATTTTTCTTCCTCTAAACACTACAACACATTCAACTGAGTTCTTTTTACAAAGACTCCAGTGACCAATCATCTGCTCCTAACTTCTGTCTGAGACCTGACCAGAATGACCTTTATCATCCATACCTCTACCACCATTCTGTTTATGATTGTTTATATCTTCTCTAAAAAGAATATATATAATACATCTAGTGGGTAGAGGCAAGGGGTGTTTCTAAACATGCTACAATGTACAGAATACCCTCTAACCCTCTTCTTTATTTGTGATTCCGCACCAGAATTAACTTTAACTTCTTCTATATTTCTACCAACAAACTCTTCATGACAACCTAGTATTTTTCTAGCATGTACCTCTAAACTCTTCTGGCCTCTACCCATGACCCAGATCCAAAACCATGCCTACATTTTTAGCTATTTCTTGGAGCAGCACTCCACTTCACAGGACCAAAATCTCTATTCATATGTTTGGATCGTCCTAACTCATCTGCATAGGCTAGGTGGCTTAAACAACATAAATTTGCTCCTTACAGTTCTGGAAGCCGGAAGTCCAAGATTAAGGTGCTATTAAGGTAGGTTTCACTCTGAGAACTCTTCTCTTAGGTTGTGGGTGACCACAGACTGTGTGCTCACATGACTGTTTTTGTCCAAGTACAGAGAGAGAGCTCTCTGTTATTTCTTTTCATGAAGACACTAATTCTAGCAGATCAGGAACCCACCTTGTGACCTCATTTAACTTTAATTACTTCCTTAGAGGCCCCATTGCCAAATACAACCACATTTGAGATGAAGGCTTTAAAAAATAAATTTTGGAGAAACACAAATATTCAGTCCACAGTGCAAAGAGTGTTAATGCCACTAACTAGACAAAGGGTATGAGAGCACTGTTTTTTTTCCTGGAATAGGGGAGAATAAATTCCCTAGTAAATATATGCCACCTTTTATGTTCAATGTGTCACAAAATCTTTTGTAAACCTTTTCATCACTTCCTACCTCCTCAATCCTAGGCGATAGAAAGGAAGAGAATGCCATTCTATCATTTGTTTTATTCTCCTCAATCTTCTGAGACTCTACTTGCACAACCAGTTAGTTCTCTCTTTTCCGTCAGTCATATTACATAAACTCTACCCATCAAGGGGATAGAAGTGAAAAGACACTAGTAGCTTGTTGATGTTATGTTATTTAAACACAAACTTCCTGCTTCACATGACATAAACACTGTTTTTTAAAATGCTATGTAATTTATGGCTTTCATTAAAGAGTTATACTGTGGTGTGTAGAGCCATGTTCCCACCATGTTGCCCAGGCTGGTCTCAAATTCCTGGCCTCAAGCAATCCTCCCACCTAGGCCTTCCAAAGTGCTAGCAATTCAGGCATGAGTCACCACACCTGTCCTACTTAATTAGTCTAAATCAATGAGTTTTGCTGCATGATGAGTTAAAACAATCATGGAGCCTTTTCATGTTTTCAGAATGATAAATACAAATTATCTGCTGTCCTTACAAATGGCACTTTGAGTTTCCATATAGAAGCCACATAAAATTAAATCATAATACACAGCAGAGAAAGCGACACACATTCATTGAAGTAGTTTGGGGTGAAGGGTAGTTAGTAATGAAATCAGAGTTTGAGAGGTGAGGGTAGAATTTTTGGTAGGAAAAGCAGAAAAAAGATTAGGGCAAAGAAAAACAAAAATAATATTATAGAAATGGTGTGGAGGAGGTCTAGATGCCCAGAAGAGCTTATATTCTGGGTGATGGCCAGGAAAAATAACAAAGTACAGCGTGGTGAATTTATCTAACTCCCCTGGAGTATGTCAAACAATCTGGATATTCAATTTAGCTTCATTCTGAAATAGGAGCTAATGGAGGTAGTCTGTAAAGGTAATGCTCTGTAGTGATGGAGAAGTGCAAGCATGTGACCATGAGGGTACATACTGGAGCATGGTATAACAGTTAGAGCCAAGTAAATAAGCCCTGTGATCTTTGGCATGGGTAGCGGCTGTAGTTGGGGGTGAGTGAGTGGACGATTTGAGAACAGCTTTTGCAAGCTATTCTCTGTAGTCTCACACATACAGATCATCTCCTCCTATGATTTACTACAACAAATGGCGAATTTCATGAATTATGTGACAATGCTTATTATTTCCAGTGTCAGAGGACATCCTTTTGTAGTCCCCCTACATATTAATATTTGAGCATCAGGTTGCTTTAAAGCAGAGATAAATTTAATGATCCTCCCCTAAGTGTCTCCTTGTCATTATTGCTTATTTGCTAACACTTTGGGGTTTTAATTCTTTTTCTTTTCCTTTAAATTTATCGCTTGATGGAAATAATTGGGAGGTTTGAATATTTTTCAACAGTGAGAGTCCTTATTAGCTTTTAAGTAGATAAAAATATCCTTTCTTCCCTATAGTGCAAAGTGGAATGGGCTATTACTACCATCTCAGTAAATTAAATTACTTACAAAAAGAAAAGAAATAGATTGTGAAAGTGTTTGGCCAAAGGAGTTCTCCAGCTGACTGAACATTTATGGGCACTTTGCCATCACTGCAAGGTAAATTCACCTACAAGTAGCTATTTAGAAAACATGTGTATAATGATGGCTGTTAAACTTACCCAACTGAATTGCACCTAACTTTAGACAAAAGAATAGAATATATACATAACCAAATTGATGGTAACTAAGAGGATAGCAGTTTAATCACCAGCAAGGATATAAATAGGGCCAAGTGAAGAGGCTCAAATTGGTGATACAGAATAATTAGTGGTAATGAGCTTAAGAAAAAAGAAAGTTTAGTTGGAGGCTCAAAAAACACAGGTGTGCACCGCATTTGGTGGTTTTTGATTGGGAAGCAGCCTGCTTTGTTTTGAGTCAAGCAATCTCCCGGCAGGCATAGGGAATTAGTTAAATCATACTGTGTACGCCCTGCTGGGCCTACATCTTTAGGCAAAAGCAACCTAAATTTAACATTAAGCGGTGTTGTCAACCTAGGTTGCACATTTGAATCACCAGGGATGCTTTCTAAACATAGTGTGGCCTGGGCCATACCCTAGAAATTTTGATTTAATTGATCTGGGATAGGGACCAGACAAGTGTTTTTAAAATCACTACAGATTTGTCAAAGTTGCAGCCAGGACTGAGAACCACTGCTCTAAAGGCATTTCGGATGGCTGAAGAAATCTCAAATGACTCCTCTTGGCTTCTGAATCGGGGTGGCAGGGGTTGTTTTGTTTTTCAGCAGCAGCTGAGAAAGCAGCCAAATTCATGACCTGTCCTTACACATCCCAGGCCTATGGTTAGTTTTTACTGCTCATTAGAAGGTAGAGATGATTTTTTTTGCAAAACGCTAAGTCAGTGTTGGGCTGGAAGGTGAGGATAATGGCTAAAGTGATCAAGCGTGTTCCATTCTATACAAGGGCAAGTTGTGGGTGAATTGGATACACCGAGATTTGACAATGAGTAGCTTTTTGATGTGTACAACCTGGGTAGTAGGCTGTTTATTGTACATATGTGGCCAGCTACCAGGGTAGCAGTAGCAGACGTGCTGTCTGTATATGGAAGCTACACGTACCAGCAGTCTATCTCTTGCTGACTTCATAAGCACCCATTCTTTGGCTCAGAAACCACCTGATAGTCATCTCCTTCCCTCTTCTTTCCTTCCTTGCCACTTTTCACACATCTCCAATATGGCATTTCACCACAAATGAAATTACATTACAAAAATCTGCTTATCTTTGTATTCCATATTAGACTACAGGTTCCTTAAGGTTATGGACAGCTTTAGTCATTCTAATATCTTTAGCTTTCCTCACAGTGCCAGGTATGCAAATATTTGTAGACTGAAAACGGTGGCCTGTGATTCTAGATGTCCTGTTTTAATTTGAAAGTAAGAATGGGTGGGAGATCGTACAGAAAGGAAAAGGAAAGTGAGACGCTCACAGCTTTAGAGGTAAACTTCTTCCAAATACAACTCAATTCTCTAATAAATATCTCTCAAATTCATACATTCTTATAGCACATATTTATTGAAGCATTCTACACACAGCAGCAAACTTGTCATAGAAGTTTTCTGACATCGTGAAGCTTACTTTGGGGTAAACTATTAGCAAAGGAGAAACATGAGCATCATTAAGAATATTTAACATTTAAAAAAATGCTATGAAGAAAATAAACAAGGAATTGAAACAGGAAATGGTTTACATATGTGAATCAGCGTGGGGTGACATTTTAAACAGGTGGTTAGAGAAGGCCCCTCTAGAAGCATGACATTTACGCTGAAACTCAAGCCCATTGCAGAAAAATGGGGTTGGAGGGGAAGGAGATCCCAGGCAAAGAGAATAGTGAATACAAAAGTCCAAGTACAGGAGGAAAAGGCTTGGTGAAATTGAGAAATACAACGAAGTCTTATTTTTGACTTCTACATACACACACACACACATATACAATAGCTGGAAAAAAAACATTGTTTATGATTAGATAACTCGTGAACCTGACCCCTTTTACAAAATCACCAAAGTTCTCCCAGGCCTTGAGTTATAAGCCATCATACACCCAGGGGCAGGTTTGCTGGCTTAAGAGTGTCCCTGTAAGATCGTCTCTAAAAGGTCAGTGGGCTTTTATCCTGCCAGATCATGTTTGATCTAAATGACCTGAATAGTAACTTCAGCACTCCCAACTGAAGGTTCAAGTCTGACTTCCAAGTACCAAGGTTACGTGAGTCCAGCTCATTGTCTGGGATGCACTGAGAGCTTTATTCTAGAGAAGACCTGGATCTTCACAGTGAAATCTGCAGTGCCTGCCAGCTGGGAGTGCTTTTCTACCTCGGCTTTACTGATTTGTATTATGCAGTCTAAACCACAGGGAAGTGGAATTAGGTTTGTCTCATTCTGTCAGTTCTTAATAAACTCCTTGAGTACAGCACCCTTACTTTATTCTTCTTTATATACCCAGCTCCTAGCACAAGGCCTAACTCTCAGAAAATTGGCCCACAACCTAAATGATTTTAGTTTTTTTAATGGTTAGAAACAAAAAAATCAAATGAAAATAAATATTTTTTAACACATGAAGATTAAATGAAATCCCAAGTCACTGTTTGTAAAGTTTTATGGAAACAGTCATGTTCATTCATTTATGTTTTGTTCAAGCCTATTCTCTCATGATAAAGGCAGACTTGAGTGGTTGTTACAGACTGCAGTAGTTATGGTAGAGACTGTATGGGTTGCAAGTCTAAAATGTTTACTATTGACCCTTTATAGAAAACGTTTGCCAACCTCTGTGATAAATATTTACCATGTGAATAATGAAATGAATACATAAATAAATGAACTATTATGGCAAATTCACTTTCATATAATTACTCCTTAATAGCATACACTCTATGGCAGGGATCCAGGTATTAACCTAGACCTTTACACATTTTATTTAAAATATGAGACCAGTATTATTTGTGAGTCATTCTGCCATGTTGTTCCAAAATATATTCAATCAGAATAAAAATTTTAATTGCATTTTCTAAATGGGCTTCTCCCCTTTTTGTAATTAAAAATACATCTCAATGCCTCTTTTCATGAAGACCAGCCAGTCTTCCAAGAAGTTACATTTGTACTCTATTAGACTCATGGTAATCATTTCACTGTATCAAGCATGTGTATGTCCTCTGCAGTTTTCTTCCTTCTGTGTCAGTCTGTAGGTTCTAAACTTTTACCATGGGATATGCAATTCTGCTTTACAGAGGTACAGGATAGAAAGAAATTCAATCACTTCACTTACATGTGAATTTCATTTCACTTTTACATTTGTTAACTAATTTCCTGGGTTTTACTGAATGCCCACTGTACTGTCAGATTGGAGGCATTGGGAGGGTCACGAAGTGAATATATGTTCAAAATCTGCAAAAGGCAAGCAAATCAGTTGCATCCTTCTCAGGCAAGATGCATGTTCTTAAGTAAAACAAGTTAAGGGCACTAGAAATGGTTTTATATAGATCCAAATTGAAGACTACACAAATTCATATGGAAACTGAAATAGGCTACTCTAAATATTGGAGAAACTGCAAGTGAACTTGAATGGAAAACTCTGTAATGCCGATTACACCTTCTTAGTACTGGCATTCCTGCTTTCATTTCCTTTTTCAAATTTCTGAGAAGGGATTAAAACAAACATATCTTAAATTGATCCTGTTGTATAGGCTGATAGGATTTGTTTCTGTTTGTTTACTTTTGCATGGTTTTAATTTTCCTGGAGGGAATTTGTGCCCAAGTAATAATCACTGTTTTCCGTTTTAGGAGAAACTTGTCTTCTGTATGTCATTAAAACTTCTACAATTATTTTTTTCACAAAGGAGAAAGTTATGTGATTGGAAATTCTATCATCTCTATTTTGTAGTAAGTACTTTGGAGGCAAATTTATGTAGATTCACTTAAACAGGTTGTTTGCTTACAATGCACTATTGGGGAGACTTTACTCGTTCTAATTTAGAGGCCAGAGCTACCGAAGGAAAGCCTTTAGAAATTAATACCAGCTAATTAATCCAGCTCATTAGCCTAAAACCTCACTGAATACTGCGAGTGCTGCTAATGTAATAAGCTTCCCAGTTAATGGAGTCAAAGCTAACTTCAAAGATGGCTAGTACCTCATTCATTAACTTAATCAACTCTCTGGGCACCTCATAGACAACAAATCCTGGTAGGAGAGCAATAAAGATGGAAATGGATCTTTGTTCTCTTATCCCCTGACTGACTTAAAAGTTAAAATTTGGATAACTGTTGAGTACACAAATAGTACATGTTCCCACCTCTAAATAACAACAGGACAAGACAAACAAATGCTATAGAGAAATTTTTGTCAAAATGAAAGTTTAAAATTGTCCCAATAGTCCAATCAGTGTAAAAAGCCAACATCTAGTGTGTTGAGTATTGTACATTTTGCGTGCTCAATCTGCTATACACATTTTAGCCCATAAGAAAAGAAATGGAAATGAGGCATCAATTTGCACCACTGTCTTCTTGTTTTCCTTTTAAGATTTTCTAAAATAAATGTTAATAAATTTAATGAATTATTCCATAAATTAGATTATTTTTTAGATTTATTATTTATTCCATCTTCAAAACAAAATAAAGAAAGGGTATGATTATTGTTCTTTCATTCAGCAAATATCTAAGTATCTGAGCAACGTTTTAGATGAGGGAGTTCAATGAGAATACATTTTAAATTGTTTCTATTTTCATTCATTTTTAGTAAATCTTGCCTTCCTCGTCTTCTTTCGAATTCTGGAATTTTTCTTATTTCTGCAGATTTTTCTCTATTATAGCTTCTCTTTAGGGAGGGAGATTTTTGTGTATATCAAATATTAGGAGCTCAGAGATTGCATGGGCCTCCATTTAAAGAGAGGTTTGGTTTGATGAATGAACCAGTTGACTATGACATTGGGGAAAGAAAAAACTGCTACAGGTGAAGGCAGATGAACAAGAAATAAAACAGTAGGGAGAGAGATTTTGTTTTAGGAAGTCACTTGAAGAATTACCTTCTTTAAATATGATGATAGAACAAATCAAACTCTTTTAAATTGTTCAAAGAGGTTTATTCTAATTCAATATGAGAGAGCACAGCCTGGAGAAAAGATAAACCCAAGAAGCCTTGAGTAAGTGGTCACTAGGCAGTCAGAATGCAACTCTGTTTTATACAATTTAGGGAAGCAAACGTTACAGGCAAACTCATGAATCAATACATGGAGGTCATTCATTGGTTTGGCCCAAAAAAGTCAGAATATACGGAAGCCAGGGCTTACAGGTCATAGATGGATTCAGAGATTCTTTAATTTGCAAATGATTGAAGGAACAAAGCTATGTCTAAAAACTTGAAGTTCATAAAAAGGAATGTTTAAGTTAAGATAAAGAAGTCTACCAATTATCATGTGATACTGTGCTAGAGTCAGGCTGTGAGAGCAAACCACAGCATACTGGGTCAAAATGATCTGTAGGGGTGCATGACTTAATCCTTGCCTGGCATGGCCTTAGGTCTTGCCTATAATTTGGTATCTTATTGCCACAAAGCATCTGCTCTTTCAGTCTTATGATAGCTTTTTTAACATTAATGCTGGTCAATTGTGTTTAAACTTCCCCAGGGAGTGGGTATAATGAGGCATGTCTGACCTCCTGTTTTGCCATGGCCAGGAACTCAGTTTTTTTCTAGGTCCCCTGGGCCAAAAGAAGGTCTGTTCAGTCAGTTTGGAGGGCTTAGTTTAATTTTAGTTTACAAATAGAATGTGAGTTTCTGGGTTCAGATATGCCCTTGCTTTCCTTAATATTCTATAACGTGAACCCTGTGAGTAAGGCTGAGGCTCCTTTTCTTCCTATAACTCCAGTGCTCTCTCTCATTTTACACAGGTTCAGGGAACTGCTCAAAACTCTGCATTTTTCTCCTTCTTTACCAGCCCTGGATACACCATGCTAGTGAGAGATTCATAGTTTTGCAAATAATTTTTCTCCAGTTTTTTCTATAGCTGCATCGAACGATATGCTAGAACATTTTTTGTTTAGTATATTGTCCTCTCTGTCTTGCAGAAGTTTCTAAGAGTTTTGGTTTGGTGATGAAAAAAGAAACACGAAAAAACTAAAAACACTTCATTTTACAAAACATTGGGATGGGAAATTGGAGTTAGTAATCACAGATCAGGACTCAAATTTCCATCTTAATACAGAACAGTTAACTTTTGAGCTTAAGGTACTTTCTCAAAATAGTGTTGTAAAATAAGTTTTCTAGTCATCAGAATAATCAATTTTTAGTTGTCTGGGAGCTGTCTTATCTTTGCAAAACTTCCTCCCCATGACCAGAACTGAGAAGTTGATTCAACTTAATCTATATAAATATTGAACATTGTAAGTATAGTAAAATGGTCAGGGATAGACTACTAAGATAAAATAATCAAGATCTTTTCATGTATTAATGAAAGTGGTACCAGGGACCACATGATATAGTCCTTTTTGGTAATGGAAGCTGCTCTACTGGTTTTACTGTATAACAAATCACACCAAAGCTGATTGGCTAACAACAGAAAACATATATTTGAGTCTGTGGAGGTTGGCAATATGAGCTAGGCTTAGCTGAGCAATTCTACATATCTAGGGTCTTTTGCGGACTTTGCTGTTGTGCACATGTGCTTGTGATGAGCTCCCGTGAGTGCTGCAGAGACTGGCTGGTCTAAGATGCCAGTCATTCCACATAGCCTCCATCCTCTGGCAAAATAATCTAAGCACGTTCACAGGGCAATGGCTAGATAGGTTAGGCTCCTGGAACTCACATAATGTCACTGTCACTGTGTTATAGTGGTCAAGAGAAGTTACAAGGCCAGCCTGTATTCTAGGCAAAGGGAAGTAGACACCTCACCTATTGGTGAGGGGTGCTAGAAATAACTGTAGCCATAATGTAATCTACCATAAGTGGAATACGTAAAACTTGGGAGCTTTCACACTTACATGTCTGTCAGGTGCAGGAAGCCATTTGGCAGCCAGGATATGAAGATAACATGCTGAAACTATCAGGCATGTTTGATTGACAGGACCCTGAGAGGATGCTGATGACATTGTGTTCCTAGGTTCAGTTGTTCCTAATACTCAGTGCTATCTTTGCTCATCCTTTAGTTTAGCCATTATATCCTTTCTTGTATTCTATGAGCCAATTAAATTTCCCTTTTGTCTAAGTTAAATGAGTTGAGGTTCTATCAGTTTAATAAAAGTTCTTGAAAAAAACCAGTACCCAAACTTGTTTACATGTACTTATTCCTTGTCCATTCTTGTCACATACTAATATAGCCAGTAGAATAACAGCTAAGTTATATATTCATTTAGCTATGGACATTCATTTTAAAATTAATTTTACTTTCAATAAGTGAAGTGTCTATCTTCATTAAGCAATTCAACTGCATTGAATTCTTTATCTGGATTTATATAGTGGTACTTTTTAAATGCCCTGAGTAGTTAGACACTATCCTTTAATTCTGAAAATTAGAGATGAAATGTCATTTAGAAAATTGAAAATCAACTTTTTATGACTTCAATTGAAAGAACTCATGCTGAAATGTGAACAATGTTCGTGAAAAGTTAACAAATAAGACCAATGATAGTCCATGGTAATTTTAAAATGATCCGACTCTTAAGCGACTTACAACTAATGCTAATACCTTTGAGAAAAGAGGGTCACAATATCGGAATTTCATGCTCATAACAAAACTGAACTTCAAAAGCCTTTCACAATCATATATATCAAGAGTCCATTTCACATTGCTCTCACATTTACTATACAGACATGTTCATTTCTCACTTTAAATATAATTATGGTAGATTTAGAATTATGGGATTTGAATCAATTTTCAGATTGTGAAACTCCACATAGTCCTCTATAATTACCCTGCCTCCCAACATTGAAAAATACGCTCTCTCCCTAACTTCTCTTTTTGAATTACTAACACTATGAACCCCTATAATTGAAAAAAATGTGTCACTTTTAACTTCTTCATTGTATTTGAAGAAAAAAATACTCGAGCTGAACAATAAATGATGTTTTTAGAAAACCAGAACATACACAAAAGTTTCTTAGCTTCTTAGCACAGAAAATAGGACTGAAGGGCTTGTTAATGAGCCAATCTATGAGCCATCATGTGCTAGCATCTCTCTAAATGGAAACTGTAAGACAAAAGACATGTCACCTTTCAAGAAAGACACTGTCAGTGTTGAGTAAAACCAGAGTGTGACTATGGCCCTTCAGTGTATTCCTTCTTTGTTCAGTATCAGGGAATACTTTCAGCATCTTCTGAAATTTATAGAGGTCAATGAGTTGTCATTATTATCCCTATTTTCAGAGGAGTTACTTGAAACTCAAGAGGATTAAAGTGACTTATAATTAGTCATAATGGTTCCTCCCTTTCACAACCTACTTCAGATTTAAACTATCCCTGAATGAAAGAACAATTTAATGTGATTTATGTTAAAGTGCTCATATACTTCAGAGTAGCAAACAGCAGAATTTCAGAATAGTAGAATATATTTCTCTATGTGATTTTTAAATTCTGTGCTCCACATCCATTATCTGTAAATAAAGTGCAGCTTCCAATGCAGTCAATGAGCAGTCAAGTGTTCTAACGAGGACATCTTTAAATAGTGTTGTTCTGCTGTGCTATAGAGTGGAGCTCATCAGAGAGCTGATGGAACACAGAACCATTTGGAGAGGCTCTGAGAACACATTTACAAAAATACCAAATCTGAATTAAGCAAAACTTAAGAATACTTTGTTTTGACTACTGGAAAGGAAACAATGACACACACAGGGACCCAGGTGGTTAATGTACTGTACACTATTACTGTAAAGTACAAGACCTCAGCCTCTGAGCTCCTCAGAAACCACGAATTCAGTTGATTACATAGTGCCCTATAGAATACACTTGAAGAGTAAAAGAGCAAATATTTCAGATACTCTTTCAAAGCTTGCCAATGCACTTGGCTTTTGAATTCTTGCTATTGGTCTGCTGTGCAGGAGGGAACTTTACAATGGTTTTTACTCTCCAAGAGGTTTTAAGCCTGCCTCAATTACAATAGAGAAAATGACATGAGCCCTCTTTTAAGTGCTGTAAAAAAATAAACTGCAATTGTAATAGCAAAACAAATTTTCTCAGTTCAGAAATGGTGTAATATGTAAACGTAAAGCTTTGCAGTTAATGCAGGTCCCTTGACTTTTAAGTCAACTTAATTCAAAGACAAATACCATGATTTCTTAGCTATGAAATTGTTATCTCCCACTATAGTTTAAATTAAAAGGCTTTAAGTAAACATTGCAAATTCAACAATGTTCACTTATGAGCTACTTATTTTCATCTGTAGATTCACCTGGTTGTGCAAAAAGATCCCTAAGGCCCTGATTTCATCTCACATTCACTGTTCTATACATGTTTGTGAATTCAAGTATCTCTTCTTTGTGAAGACCATTGACAGAGCTACAAGACGGTGAACAAAACCACAACCCATGTTTAATGTTCATGTTGATGTCTTTTAGTAATTTGGCTAATTTGTAGAAAATTAGTCATGTATTTAAGTTAAAGTGTAGAATAAATGTTCTATAATCAGTGAATGTTGTTTCCATTTGGAAATAATTTGCTGAATTTTTATGTGATTTTCAAATTATGTTACTTCACCAGTTAACAAGAGAGTACGAATGGGCTGTATTACTCTTAGGAAATCCCTTTTGAAAGCATTCTTCCCACTGAAATGTCAGCACAAAGTGTCTTCTTACATTTCGATGCTTTCTTGGAGTATAAGTGACCCATGGCACCAATCCCACATATCTCCAGGAATCTGACACCCTGAAAAATCCTATGAGGTTTCCTAAAATAGGTCCCGCTGGCAAACATTTTACGTCTGAACCTGTACTGATTGAAAGAGGTCTCATTGAATAAGATATAATAAAAACAAAACAAAACAATAGACTTGGGGTGAGGGAGATTAGAGCTAACTTTTATTTAGTATCTAGTAATTCGGCCATGTCACTTTACAGTCTGTTCCTAGCTCTCTCTGTCAGCACAGAAATTAAGGTCCAATTTTTAAAATATCACTATCAATCACAACTCTGACCTAGTATGTATTTTTTGCAATTCTCCTTTTTACAGAATAGAATGGCATATTCAAGATTTTATCAATAGCTTGTTTGATGAGAAATACTCTTGTTACTATTTTGTAAAAGACTTCCTGAAAATAGTTTTTACCTTCCTTTAGAGGTAAAACAACAACAAATCAGAAACAAAGCATTACATATTGATTTAATTTTCCAACTCATTGTGAAAAACAGTGAATTATACAAGTTAATAGAAGTGAATAGTAAAAACAGAATGGGAATTTATCTAGGCTATTGCCAGTCACTGTAAAATAAATTGTAATCTGAATATGTGCTTTGATCAAGTATTTTTTCAAAAACATGGTCTACCATGATTCCCAATTTTCAAACTTCAAAATGTGTCCCAGTACACACATTGATATGCACATACATAAATTTAAAACAAAACTCTTATGAACAACTTATCTTTATACTCTGATACTTTCTATTCTAGCTAATTTAATTTTTTAAATGCTTATTTGGATTCACAAAATTGATTTCATAACCTACTAATGAGTTGCATTTGCGCATAGAAAACATTGCTTTAATCTAAGACTTAAAAACTGTGAGGAGGTGACTTTCCCCTTAATAAGCAGAGAGGTGTTAAAAACATAATTCTCATAAGAATAGAGAGGGAATTTGTGTCAACGTTGTATTAATCACATTAATAAAAATACCAGCAAGAAAATACTAGAGCTAGTTTTAAGAGCATTTGAGGAACTTGCATAGTAAACAGACGAATGACATCTAAAAATAAGTTTGCTGAATTATATTTAAGACTGGTTAACTCCCTGCAGTATAGGGAGCCATAAGACCTCTGGTGGTTAACTCTAGTAAATTATAAAATCAAAACAACTTAATTTCTGCACTTTTAGATACAGAAGGATTCAAACATAGTCCAGTCGGGAGACTGACAAAATATCAGTTATTTTAAGAAAGAAATTTTAGAAAGAATGCTAACTGGATATAGAGTTATTAACCAAGTTTATGCAAAGGCTAAGATATTGCTGTGGTATCACAGAAACAGCAATGTTAGGAAGTAGCTACCACCCCTACAACTTACAGGGCTGAGGGAACGAAAGGAAGATCATTAAGACTTAAAAGCTTGGAGGAGAAGCTTTGTGGTGATGAACCTCAAATCTCTCTGGTGCTAGTGCTGGTGTCTCTGAGGAGGGCTTGATGAGATCAAATGTTGGATATACTGCAAATGTTGGAAATACTACAAAGAGGCAGCACCTGCTGCTGTGGGAATAAATTGATATAGCCAGAATGAAGACATGCCATTAGGATAAATTCCTGGAGGAGGAAGAAACAAAACAGGAAACCAACAATGGGAGCAATTCCCTCTCCCTGCCAAGTCTTGCCATCTCCCTCCATTGGCAAAGCCTAACAGGAAACCACAAATAAAACAGATATGTGGTTTGCAAAGTCCAAACCTCAGCATCCTAAAAGCAACCACAGAAGGGAACTTAGAGCTGAGAGTCAATAGTTTAAAACCTGCCACAACATCTAACCTTACAGGGCAATGGAGCCTTTGCACTTTTCTCATCTGTGGATTGTTCATCAAGAGTGTCAAATTGTAACTCGCAAGTATGAGAAATATTCTAGCATGAGAACAACAAGTAAGCAAGTATCATTTGCTTTTTCCTAAATTTGGAATATATTTATCTTTATCAGAAATTTATGGCTTAATTAAAAGCTCCACCAAAATTCAAAATTATTATAACTGATATTTTCTGCTTTTTATATTAAATGAATTTCTGCAGACCATTATTCAGGTCTGTTACGCTAACATTAGACACATATTTGGCTTGTTACCTTGAAAACCAATAATAACATTACATATTATGAACATAAAGATGTGCCTTCTCCCATGATTCCAGAGTTCTTTGGTCCAGTATTGATATGTGATAGAGTGTTAGAATTAATCTATAGGAAATTGTGATTATTTTTTAAAACTAAATAAAAGTTACACATGATGATAGTAAAGATTTCAATTGTGTATAGGTATCAAATAAAAAGTTACATATATGTTTATATATATAAATAAAAGTGTAAATATATTTATTTACACAAAACAGATCATACCATACATTCTTTTGCACCTTAATTATTTTTCTACTTAGTACCATATCTTGCCGTATTACAACAGATAGATCCTCCCCTATATTGTTAAGATCTACATTCAAATGTAGGATCTACATAATCAATTTTAAAATTCCCTGGGCATTTAGGTTGTTTCTAACTTTCTGTTATTGCAATGGCTAGCTAGCTAGCTAGAGCAATGAAAAGTTGAAAGATACTGTTTTATGTACAAAGTCTATACACATAATATGCTGACAAAACAATATTGAGTTAAATAGTAATCATCATTTTGTTAATGTTTATTTGTAGTTGAATTTGTAGCTGATGACTTGAAACAGCATGAAAGAGAACAAAAATACAACCTGATGAGTGCTGTCCTATCTTTCCAAAGCAATTTTATAATCCACCCATCTTTCTATTTCTCATATCCAGATGCCACACCACATGAAGCCCTTGCCATATTACAGCTATGACCAGCCTGTGATCGGGTACTGCCAGGCCCACCAGCCACTCCATGTCACCAAGGGCTATGAGACAGTGTCTCCAGAGCAGGACGAAAGCCCCGGCCTGGAGCTGGGCCGAGACCACAGCTTCATCGCCACCATCGCCAGGTCGGCAGCACCGGCCATCTACCTAGAGAGAATTGCAAACTAACGCTGAAGCCAACTCCTCACTGGGGAGCTCCATGGGGGGGAGGGAGGGCCTTCATCTTAAAGGAGAATGGGTGTCCACAATCGCGCAATCGAGCAAGCTCATCGTTCCTGTTAAAACATTTATGGCATAGAGAAAAGAAAAAGAGAAAAAAAAACTGCTTGAAGAGGGCAGCGAATGCACCTGCAGCATTACCGGGAGGACTGCAGAACTTTCTTTGCTTTAAAACATAAAACAAACAAAAATGCTCCCGGATGTAAATAGTAAGAGTGTCAAGTTCTTATAAAAATAGATTTCACCCTAGCTACATATAGGTTTGTTTGTATATTTGATTTTTCTACACTGCATGGTTCCTGGGCTGGAGAACCACAGGGGAGCAAATAAACAGGGGTGGGTGGGAAGCTAGGGAAACAACCGTTTTCCTCTTTAGGTGTGTGTAATTCTCACAGATTTTATTTAAATTGCTTTCATTTATTTTTTCTTTAAAAATGCTGTTTGTTCTTGTTTTGTTTGTTTTAATTTTTTTCTTTCCTGGTCAAGTTTCTAATACAAAACATGAGCATTAAAGCTTATGTTGTACCAAAAGAAAATGTGCTTTACCACGGACCACGGAGAAAGTTGACCACAAAGTTTGACAAAACTACTGGAAAACCCAATAAGTCTGGGTGAATGACCCTTCATGACAAATGCCATATATGGTACATGATAGAAGGAATTTTGTTTTGTCCCATTGGCAGCCCTCACTGTGTAGGATGCCTGAGAGAGCCATGAAGATCTCCGAATGAGAAGACCAGCAGAATCATTCTCATGTGGACTAAGGCTATAAGAGAGATATGACCATGGGCTCAATGAATGAAACTGCCAAGCTGACAAATTTCTAAACACAAGATAATGTGTAACATTGCTTTTTAAATTAATTATCAATTAGCTTTTGTGTAGTTTTTATCAATAAAAGAAAAAATATTGAAAAATAAATATATTATTTTGTGGTTGGTATACCACAGCCCACCTAATGCTGAGTGCTTTATCTGTATATTGTGGAATGCTTCTAGTCTATATCAGGGTACTTCAATAAGAATCAGTTGGTATCTATCAAGTGTTTTCTGTGTGTTCCATGGTCAGATAGGAAGGCCCTGTGAAGTGCAGAAAAGGAATATGAGACGTGGTTTATGCCTGGTATGGTTTGTCTGTGTCCTTACCCAAATCTCATCTTTAATTGTAGTTCCCATAATCCCCACATGTTGTGGGAGGGACCCAGTGGGAGGTAACTGAATCATGGGGGTGGTTACCCCTGTGCTGTTCTGGTGACAGTGAGTAAGTTCTCACAAGGTCTGATGGTTTTATAAGGGGCTTCCCCCTTAGCTCAGTTCTCATACTTCTCCTTGCTCCAGCCATGTGAAGAAGGACGTGTTTGCTTCCCTTTCTGCCATGATTGTAAGTTTCCTGAGGCCTCCCCCGCCATGCTGAACTGTGAGTCAATTAAAATTCTTTTCTTTATAAATTACACAGTCTTGGGTATGCCTTTATTAGCAGCATGAGAATGGACTAATACATGCCCCAATACACTTCACAATTATTTTCAGAGCTATGTGACCTTACTCTAAATAAAATTATATAATAATATGAGAAAAAGTAAGTATCCATGGAAGGGTTAGAGGTTGTCAGACCTTATAGAAGTGAAAGAACTGTGTGGAAATTGGTTACTAACTAGGAAGATGGATAGCATCACCCATTTTTTTTAACAAAGGAGATCACTCCGTGCACATCAGTTGTGACATTTTCTCTCAACTTCTTTCATGTTGTAATGCTACATCTTAGCAATTCTCTAATTGTGGACATTCTCCTGATGTGTCCACTGGTGTAATTTGCCTAGTTTTATTTTTAAAACTAAATTATACTACAAAATTTATGTCACCCTTTATTTGGACAAGTTTCATGTTTTAAGGCATGCTTACTTACAGTGGCCCTGCTGAGTGTTCCAGAACCAAGTTAATAGCTGCCATCCATTTAATTCCAAATTCTGCTGAATTAATAAAAGAGCCTTGTAAATACCATCACATCACAGCAAACTAACTGAACATGTTTTGTTTTCTCTCCCTCAAAGAAGGTCTGTTTTACTACCACTTTAAACAAAGCTTGAAGTTAAATTCTATCCCAAAGGATACAAATAGTATGTCACATTAAAGCAAAATTCAATTGAGGGAAGTTTTTTTCATGTTGGAACACAGGGCTATTGCTGTTGAATTCTGTTATCTTTCCTCTTAATATTATATTCTGGGTTACATGTGTTTTCTTTTTTTTTTTTTTTTTTTTTTGAGACGGAGTCTCGCTCTGTCGCCCAGGCTGGAGTGCAGTGGCACGATCTCGGCTCATTGCAAGCTCCGCCTCCCAGGTTCACGCCATTCTCCTGCCTCAGCCTCCCGAGTAGCTGGGACTACAGGCGCCCGCCACCAGGCCCGGCTAATTTTTTGTATTTTTAGTAGAGACGGGGTTTCACCCTGTTAGCCAGGATGGTCTCGATCTCCTGACCTTGTGATCCGCCCGCCTCGGCCTCCCAAAGTGCTGGGATTACAGGCTTGAGCCACCGCGCCCGGCTACATGGGTTTTCTTAATCATTCAAGTAGAATCAATTTACTAGAAGTTCAAAAATTAAAGATAATTCTTTGGCATTGTGATTTTGTTTTCAGAAACTATTCAATACATTTGGAATATGTCTTCCCAAATTACAAGGATTTTTTGGTGGGGGTCTTTCTGAACTACAAGGATTCTCTTAATCCTTCTTATCTTCTCTATCTATCCAATGTCCCCCATATACCTTATCCACCACACCACCCCTTCCAGAATTGATTTATGAGAGGTCACACGTGAAAAATCTCGATCAAATTTGGCTGATGTCAGCTCTAATTTTAATTCTGTTTCTTATAATCAAAAAGTCATAAATACATAAGACTCTTCATGTTATTTAAAACTGCCATATTTGGCCAACAGTTGCCTCAAGGTTAATATGAAATAAGTGAACTACTAGCTAAACAGATAGTATTATAAAAAAGTTGTGTCCTATTTATATGAAAACTTTCAAAGAACTTATTTAAAATGTAATTTACATATGCCAGAACAGTTTACACTGAGCTCCAGAAATCTATGATTAAAACAAACAAACAAACAAAAACTCAAACCAAATTTACTTTAGCAGGCTTGGAAAAGTCCTCAGTTGAAAAATTCAGGCTTTATACTGTATGAAGGGTCAAGCAAGTTTTCAGATAAAACAGTGTGTGTGTATATATATGCTATTTATATACACATACACAAATAAATAGTATATATATTTATTATATATACAAATATATGTATATAGTGGTATTTCAACAAAGGGGTTAGGAAGAAAATAGGATTATTCATCACTTAAGCCCAAAAGTCAATTATTTTTATGCTGCAACCCTGGTGTAACCAAGGAGGATGAAAGGCTTCTATTAGTCAACACTCAGGATAAATTATCTTCTGGGCCTAAAAATGATAGGGAACAAACTTGTCTATGGAGGGCACTTTCATCCCTTTTTTTGTTAATTATCATGCTTTGCTATGCAAACTGATTGCCCCAGAGTCCTTCTTCCTTTACATGGAAGAGTGTAATTGTGAATTGTGACCCTAGATAATGTATAGATTTTTTCACTTTCTTCTAGAAGTGAGGAATTATGTTGATTGTACTTATTTTTTATGTTGAAATGTTAAAGAGCCCTCTCAAAGAAAGTTATGCTTTATTTCAAGACTATCCTAATTAGTAATTTGATTTTACACTATAATGCTTATTGAATTTCTGAAGGCTATGCAGGTTGTAATTTCAAAGTTGAGGAGTCTCATGGAGTATTTATAGAGCAAGGGCATTAAAATCATGCCTAAAAGCAATTGTGAATGTGACAGAATACAGATTGGAACAATCAACTATCCAAACATTCTGATTAACTTTTTTCATAAATATTCTTTGTAGTGCTGAGTTTGCTTTACTTATTTCAAGATGCAATAAAGAAACAGCTTAGAACAGAGGACTGATTGGTATATGTTTAGGTGTAACTGTGGTTTAACTTCGCATCTTATTGTACCTCTACTCACAGATTGGCGGGCCTAACCCCAGCATGTCTGATCCAGGTCTGATATGGGGTCTGAGAATGTCTTTCTATGTCCCCAGATGATGCTGAGGCTGCTGTACGTGCACTACATTTTAAGAACCACTGCCATAGAGTGTAGATACTTACATCTCTTTAGGTTGAGGACTCTGTATGAAGACTCAAAATTTGCATTTAATATTTACTTAGAATTTAATGTTAAATTAATCTTTAAAGTAAGAATTAATTTAAAGCACGTAGTAGTTTTATATGTTCATGCAATGTGAAAGGCTCGTATCTTTACATACAGAGCATTTTCTAAAATATGCTGTGTAACACTAACAGATGATGCTCTCTGTGAAAGCAAAGAAGCGAAAAATAAACATCAGTAGCAGTAACAACAACAACAAAAGAGGTTTATATGATCAAATTAAATTCAGAAAATATTGCATATGATATGCTCCCTTTGGGAACTCACAAGGCAATTTAACATTTAAACAATATCAGACATACTGCAGTCAAGAAACCCATTTAACTTTGTTTAACCTGGAGTTTTCTAAACATATTAAACTACAGTATCCTTCCTTAATTTAATATCTAAAAAAAATCCTGCAGAACTAATTTTCTATAGAACTCATTTGGGAAATGTTAATTTAAAGAATGTTATTTCTTTGACCATCAAGAAAAGCATGTACCTTTGCAGATAACTATTTCTACATTTACAAATGACACAGTGTACACCTATTTCTGAGATGCATGTGGATTTTTTAAAATCAAAGACAATATATTTTAATCTCTCTAACAATAAAGCAAATGTCAAATATACCTGGATTAAATGAAAATGAATAATTAAAATGATGAAAATTTGATATCATGAATGAGAAGTAGATCTCTCCATAGACAACATTCCTATTCCATTGGGGATTAGACTCATTGTTTCTAAAGTGTAAGGCATTTTAAAATCAAAATAAACCACCAAAAAGTGCATGAAAATGTGGAGAGCCTTTATTATCTGAGTTAACAAGTTCCTGGTAAGTCACTGGGCTTAGATGATGTCAATCATTCATCTGTTTTCTGGGCCAGAGGTGCCCCTCAGACAGGTGATAGTAATGCTTGCCGGAAGGGAAGAAAGAAAGACCAACACGAACCTTGGCTCATCGTATCAAAGTTATTTCCTTATAGAAGCCAGGAAATTGATTATGGTTTTAGAATAAATTTTAGACTTACTGTACTCATTATTGTTTCCTTTTCAAAATGACATAAGAATAAAAATGAGGTCAGATATGAGCTCAGATTTTGTACTAGTTAAGAAAGCTATTCTACTGAAAATAATGGAAGAACTATGTAATAACAAATCCCTGGAATCAAAACATCCAAATTCTTGAGTTTGGCTATAACTCTTTTGGGGGATATTCACTTGATTTTAGTTAATGGAGGAAATACAACTGAGGATAACTGATGTCAGGATTAATTAGGTAGTTATATTAGTCTACTCTGACTTTCATAACAAAATGCCATAATCTTAAACAATAGAAATATATTTAGAAATATATTTTCCTTATAGTTTGGAGGCTGTAAAGTTCAAGATCAAGCTCCCAGGAGGCTTCAGTATCTGAAAGGGCCTTCTTCCTTGTTTGCAGACAGCTCCCCTTTTCTCTGTGTCCTTATAAGGTAGAGAGAGAGTGCAAGCTCTTTGATATCTCCACTTACAAGGAAATTAATCCCATCAAATCAATTCTTCACTCTTATGACTTCATTTAACTGTAATTGCCCCCTTCTAGACCTTATATCCAAATACAGTCACTTTGGAAGTGAGGATCTTTAACACATGAATTTTAGGGAGACACAATTCTGTCTATAGCAGGCAGGAATGCATAGACACATACACACAAACAGCTGCAACATATCTATGAGAATGAGCCAACTGATTTTAAGAAGAAAAAGTACATAAAAATAGCCAGGTTATTCTAGCAAATGAATGCTTGAAGGAAAGATTAGCTGGAATTATGAGTAGGTCTGAACTCCAAATGTGTTTATAAGGAAAGACTATATGGTTTGCTTTTCTGTTTTAGACACATAGAGTATTAAAATATTTCTTAGTAAGGTCATAGAATATTTTAATTAACAAAATTTTATACAGAATTTCAATGTTTTCAAGTAGATCTATTGCTTAGAAAAAGCATTTCCCAAGCTGGTTTTTCACTAGTCCCAAAATGTACTTTGCACAAAAAGGGATCTAAGGTCAAGTCAAGCTAAGGGGAAAGCTTCATATTTTATCCACCAGCCCAGATATTCTCAGTACTCATTAATATATTCAAAGCTTTGTGAATTTCTGTAGTAAAGATGCTATTTTAATTCAGCATTTCCCAATTTTATTGGATTGTGGAATATTCTTCATTTAAATGAATGCTATTGGGAACCTGCAGAGTTAGTTTTCCCCAAAATACATTTAGGAACACATTGTATATCTGATGAAGGGTCACCTAAGAAAGACAAATGGTAACTTTTAGTGTCCATGTAAAGTTCTAACATTTACCAATGCAAGTTTCTGGAAGCGTTCAGAGCTTGTGACCAGAGTATGTTATGTAAACAATGCATAGAACATCAATTCCTATATAAGCTGAGGATCAGAATGCCCAGTATTTTATCATGGTTTGACTAAGATTGGGACATAGTGTTTGTTAGCTATGAAATTTGCCCAGAGTTTGTTGAGTAGTAGCATATTAAGATGTTGGAAGTCATAACAGAATTTGTGAATAAACTGGAAAATTTTAGACAAAATAAAAGATTCAGTTAGGGCAAAACATTTCTGTCTTCAAAGATTGAGGTGACTAAAACATAGATAGTGAGAGTATGCTTTTTCCCTTTTCCAAATGCAAAAAAAAATTAGCTGGCAGCTTTTAGTTAAAATGTATTCATTCATTAGGCTAGTGCTTATTGAGCATTACCATGTACCAGCCACTCATCTTTGTTCTATTAGAGATTACAGTATCTCCTGGGATATTTTACAGACTAGAAAATTATCAATTATACTGCATACCAAAGATGCTACAATAAGGAAGAACTGGGTAAAATTGAAACATACTACAGTAGCATAATTGGAAAGAGTGGAAGTACTGCATGGAGGGTTGATAGGGTAGAAAGAGTATTCCAAGGGCAATAGTCAACCCAGAGATAAGAAAGAACATGAATGATTCAAAGAACTGGAATACAGTAAGCAAGGGAAGAGGTGGTCCAAAATGAAGTGGAAAAGGTAATTAGAGGATAGATAATACAACACAGGGGCAACTATATTAAGGAGCTTGGGCTTGAACTTTAGGAGTCTATAATTTATACTACTAGCAACCACGGGGGAGGGGGGCGGGGTCATAGTGGTTCTTACTGATTCAATAAACCTATTTTGACTTTTCTATGAGGACTGGATGGAAGGAGCCAGACCAGAACTTTGAATACCAGTAACTTTTAGAGAAGTTTTTGTAAGATAGCACTTGAGAAAGGATGAAGATATTATCTAGAAAGATTCCAATGGGAATTGACAGAAGAACAAAATTAAAAGGATAATTAAGACTCATAAAGTGCTTATCATCTACCATGCACTGTTCTAAGAATTTGATTTTATTAACCCACAAAAACCGTTTTAAATTAAGTATGTTTCATGGGCCCCGTTTTACAATGAGGTTGTAACCAAGGAGAGGTTAAGGTAGTAAGTGATAGAACCATCATTCAAAGCCAGGAAGTCTCCTCAAGAGAGAAGAACCCTTAGCACCTATGCACTATGGCTTCTTAACACTTAATGTGAGAGTTATTTAGAAAGTAGAAATGGTAGGTCTTGGCTGTTGGAAGCAGGCAATGATAGAGAAAATGGGCAGTAGTTACTAAGGAAAGCGCCCATATATCTGCCTTGACCTGTTGATATTATTCTCTGAGAAAGCAGCCACAGGCAGGACAACCTTGTATGTGGTATAACACAACAAATGCCTTTTTAGACATATTGAGTTTTAAAGGCTTAAAAACTTTCAAATGGTACCATTCAGTGGCCAGGGAGATATGCAGATCTGAAACTCAGAAAAAAAAATGATCGTTCTGTATATGTTAGAATTTGAAGCTGAATCCTAAGAATCAAAGAAATGAATTATGGAGGGTGTGTAGATTCAGAAGGGAAGGAGGACCATATCATAACCCTGGATAACTGTAAAAGTACTGTGAAAGGAAAAATCTTGGGCCCTCAGAATCACTAAACTAAAAGGAAAATTCAAGCTGAAAACTGCTCAGAGCAAACCTGCCTTCTATTCTATTCAAAGTCATCCTTCTGCTCCCTTAGATGCATATTCTGATTCAGAATATCAAAAGAATCTCAAAAGAATGCAACCATTTGTCTCTTACCTACCTGTGACCTGGAAGCCCCCTCCCTGCTTTAAGTTGTCCCCACCTTTCTGGAAAGAACCAATGTACTTGTTACATATATTGATTAATGTCTTATGTCTCTCTAAAATGTATAAAACCAAGCTGTGTCCCGAACACCTTGGGCACATGTCGCCAGTACTTTCTGAGGCTGTGTTAACCTTGGCAAAATAAACTTTCTAAATTAAGTGAGAACTGTTTCTAATTTTCTGGGTTTGCAGTACCATCAAAGAAGAATCAGAAAGATTACCCAGAGAAATAGCTTGATAATAAGAATGAGATTCCATTGAAGCTAAGGAAAGAGAAAATTTTTCTACTTTGACAAGTAACAAAATGACTGTCTTGCAAGTAGTGAAAACTTGTTACTGGAAATATTAATGTTGGATATCTGATGACCACCTGCAGGGATAGTGTACAAAGTGGTCTGCATTAGTTAGAATTTTGAACAAAGTGACATTTTGATTCCTTTTTTCCTTTTTTGAGATAGAGTCTCACTATGTGGCCCAGGCTGGAGTAAAGTGATATTTGCAGGCCTGACTATAGCTACTACAGCCTTGAACTCCTGAGCTCAAGCGATTTCCTGCCTCAGCCTCCCCAGTAGCTGGGACCACAGGTGCATACCACCGTGCCTAGCTGATTCATTGCAACTATAAGATCTTATGATTCTGAACGTTTTTTCCATTCTGTGGGAGATAACACATATCCCCTGAGCCCCAAACTGTGATGACTTTTCGTACCTGAGATGAGAAGCACATCCTGGAGTTCATTTTCTCCTTATCAACTGTCTGCCAATTTCTAATTTGTTATGCAGGTATGGCAGACAGGAGAGGTAAAATGAAATACATATTATTTTCGAAATTTT
Source organism: Homo sapiens (assembly GCF_000001405.40). Classification (NCBI taxonomy): domain Eukaryota; kingdom Metazoa; phylum Chordata; class Mammalia; order Primates; family Hominidae; genus Homo; species Homo sapiens. The sequence goes on along the minus strand of NC_000002.12, from coordinate 76,739,334 downwards.
CCAGTCCCTAAATTAAACATTGAATGACTGGAGAGCTTATGCTGTTCTTGTTTTAAATTGCCTATCAACTACTTAAGGGCTTTCCAACTTGCCGAGACTCTGGAGCCCGACATACATTAGGTATGTAATAAAAAGAATAAAATTGTGATTTCCAGGGGCTGAGGGAAGGGAGAATGGAGAATTGTTAATCAGCAGGTATAAAATTTCACCTATGCAAGATGAAAAATTTTTAGAAGTTTGCTATATTGCGCCTATATATAACAATACTGTATTGTACACTTAGAAATCTAAGAGCGTCTACTTATAGTCTCATATTGTGTTCTTATAATGAAATTTTTTAAATAGAAAATGAGGCTGGGCACAGTGTCTCATGCCTGTAATCTCAGCACTTTGGGAGGTTGAGGCAGCTGGATCACCTGAGGTCGGGAGTTCGAGATCAGCCTGACCAACATGGTGAAACCCTGTCTCTACTAAAAATACAAAATTAGCTGGGCGTGGTGGCGCATGCCTGCAATCCCAGCTACTCTAGAGGTTGAGGCAGGAGAATCGCATGAACCCGGGAAGTGTAAGTTGCAGTGAGCCGAGATCACGCCATTACACTCTAGCCTGGGCAACAAGAGCAAAACTCCGTCTCAAAAAAAAAAAAAAGAAAGAAAGAAATGAATAAAACAAATCCATGTTATAATTTTCGTGTTTAAAATTACTGTCAGGGCCGGGGGCAGTGGCTCAGGCCTGTAACCCCAACACTTTCGAAGGCCAAAGTGGGTGGATCACCTGAGGTCAGGGGTTCAAGATCAGGAGTTCCAGCCAACATGGTGAAACCCCATGTCTACTAAAAATACACAAATTAGCTGGGCATAGTGGTGCACGCTTGTAATCCCAGCTGCTTGGGAGGTTGAGGCAGGAGAATTGCTTGAACCCAGGAGGCAGAGGTTGCAGTGAGCCCAGATCGTGCCACTGCACTCCAGCCTGGGCAACAGAGTGAAACTCGGTCTCAAAAAATAAATAAATAAAAATAAAAAGAAATAAAATTACTATGAGGATACCGTTTTTGAATAGCATTTTTTAGTTTTTTAACTTCAGCATACATTCCAACTTTTATTCCATGGAGATTTCTTACACCAAGGACCGTCAAGGACTTTGCCTGACAGTAAGAGAATGATTATTTGAGTAGTGCATGATTTTTACTTTTTTGATATTAAACATCTATGTGTGTAACAAATCTCAAAGCTTGTGTAAAGAATCTTCTTAGATCTTGAAAGTTAAATTGTCCAATTTCTTATTAATATTCACAATCCTCCCATACACACATAAATTTCTTTGAAAAATAAGATTAACTGTGTTGTTTATATAATGAGACTGAAATAAACTGGATCAGATTGAGAAAAACTGTCATAAACTCTGACTCCATTTTGATGTTTGGCATCTGACAACTTTCATGCTGCACTCTTCACCACTCCCCTTCTGCCCAGTGTCTAGGTAAGTTGATAGGAAAGCCTAAGTGCTCTCTTTTTTGGTGTCAGTGGGAAGTTCAAACCATGCAAGCCTCAGGCTATACATAGGAACCTACACTCCAGCCCCAGCTTGTAAGCACCATAAATCCCAGGCCTTTTTCCTCGCTCTCAAGACCATTTTTAGACCAGCTTGGGAGCCTGCCCTATTCTCCACAGAAAGATTCTTCATGTTAATAAGAAACCTTTTTATATCCTCTTGGTGCATATGAGGCATCATTAAACTCAACATCCAAACCAAAAAACAAACAAACAAACAAAAATACCCACACAGAATAAACACTGCTTGCAGGTTCTAAGAATTCTGGTCCCCTCTTTGGGCCCAAAAATTATCCGACAAATATTTAATATCAATTCTATGCCAAGAACACTTGATAATGGCCATTTTTTAATGGTCTATTACACAATCAATATTTTTCTCCTTCCAGAAGAATGATTTTCATCTGCTTCCCCCTTTATTCTCACATGTCACAACTTATAATTCAGGTCTTCTTTCTCCTAATAAGTAGAACAAATGAATGAACATATGCATGGCCCATGGAAGACTTCTTTTACAAATTTGTAAAGCTTTATCAACTAAATTTATAAAAAAAAACACACACACACACACACACACACACAACTTTATCTTATTCTCTATAGAGAAATTTGGGAAGTGTTGACTAGCTGCTGCTTGGATGACATAGTTTTCCTTTTCAAATACAGATATTTTAAAAGCCTTTGATAACTCATTTTACTGTTCATATGTGCCCAAGAGTAAGTGGTAGAGACTATGCCATGCCTTCACCAGATCATTTTCTTTCCCCGTAGAACACAGGAAAACTACCATTCTCAGTATCCCTGATGGTTAGATTTGAGCCACGTGATTGGGTTCTGGGGAGTATAAAAATTAGTGGAAGTGATTTGTTGTTTGCAACCTGTGGCAGTTAAGAATAGGTAGGTGGGAATTCTCCATTCTCTTTTTTTCTTGTCCATGTAGCTGGTGAAAAGATCCTGGCTCCCTGAGTTATTGTTAAGTAAAAGGTTCCAGATACAGCCACCTAAATACATTCAACAATCCTGGAAATTAGAGTATTGTGCAAAAACAGATTTCAGGGATTTTGTTACTGCTACAAAGCATAGCTTACTACGACTAATACCAATACCAAAATATCCACCCAAAACAATTAACTTATGAAGTAAATACAAGGATGTCTCTGTGACCCTGAAATGTTGTTAACCAGTTACTTTAGTATCCAGTGAGAAACATCTTACATATTTGCATTGTGAAAAAATTATTCAAGTAAGCATAACAAAGAAGACTTTTATTCATAACCATCAAGATAGGCATAGGGACCAAGACAATGGGATTTTGCAGTGGGGGAAGTAGATTGGGCTGAACTCTGAGTACAGCATAATCAAGTGGAAATTTGTAGCCAAAGAGCAGGTCTGGGGCCAGTGGATGGAAAATTACTAGAGGAAACATCAGAGGTAAAGGAGATTCTGGGTAAACCAACCTACCAAGATTCTTGTTGAAGACAGGCCAGGGTGATTAGACAACACCTGGGGGATGGTGGAGGATGAGAAACCTGATCAGCTCTCTGAGATACTGGGGGATCAGATATTGAGAATAGGAGGTTCTTGCTAAACTGACTTAGCAGGGTTCCTTGCTATTGCTGGATTTTACAAGGAAGTATACATATGGGCCTAGGATAAAGTTTAGAGCTTAACTAAAGTGTGGTCAAGCAGAAAATCTTTTGCAACATCCACTGATACGGTATTTTTAATTACTCTTTTGTTTTTTTTTTTATAACAATTCTTTTTTTAATTTGCTACCCTCAAAATCTCTTGATTGTTCTTACTCATCCCAATGTCACGTTTATTTTTCAGAATTTTATTGCCCGGTTCTTTTCAAGCCCTTTGTCGTATTTCTCCATTTTCAATGTTACCTTTTCAAAGAATATCTTAGCCTTTTGGAATCTATCTTCTTAAAATGAGTATATCAAAAAGGGCAGGACAGAGGTACCCTTGCTTGGCACTAGAAATTATCCCCAGAGCAATCACAGAAGTTGTTTAATAATGTATCATCAAAAGTAAGATAAATTACTTTGCCTGGAGTATGTCTTTAATTTGTATATGTCTGTTCTCAAGGTCCTATTTCTTATTTCAAAGAGCAAGGTAAATTGCCTACATGTAAGCTAATGAACTAGCTATTTGAAATCATTACTTCTTTACAATTAGTGCTGTTGGATCCCCAAGGATCCAACTCTTGCTGGCTAAATGTAATTTTATCCTACTCTGTGTAGAAATATGGAAAATGTTGTCTAGCTACTGCATAGATAAAGTAATTTTCCTTTTCAAGTATATTTTCTTTGTGAAAATATATTGTCAGGCTTTTATAACGCTTAAATTTCCATCTTTTTTTGTTTTAACAGAGAACAGTAAAAACACATCAAAAATTTTGAAACATGAACCCAAATATTAATTTGATTTCTTCAAGGTGTCAAAAAGCAAATAATGAAATCTAACGCTCTGAGTTATACATGGCAAATGCTAAAATTGGCTTTAATTTAGTAGCAAATAGTCACCCTTTGAAGCTAGAATTATGAATGGTTTGTAAATATCTTTTGCAAGAAATTGTGGTGGTGGTGATGAGACAGATACATTTGGATATTGCAAATCTGGAAATATTTCCTAGAGACATGACTTTTCCCACAACTTTTTAGATTGAATCACAAATCAGCAATAGTCTTTTCTGTTCCTTTATTTAAACTGAGATTCTGAGTATGAAAACAGAGTCACACTGAATGTAATTTTCTTTTTCTAAACTCCTGTGATTTATTTGTTTTGATCTGGAAGTTAATCAGATAACAACTCATCAATATCTTTTATTATTGTCTTACATTTTTATTGATTCTATATTATTATTTAGCATTATTTATTTGCAAGTCTTGGTTCTCCACCTAAATTGTAAAGCATTGAAGAGTTTTATGCATAAAGCTTGTTGCACAGTAAAGTGTCCCTAAAATTTGCCTTCTAAAATATATGGCAAGTAACTCCCCACAATTTTATATAGTTCTGCAAACCTATAGGGAACTCCCAAAATGTATATAACACATGCCCATATCCATGTTGATCACAATTAGGTTGTGATCCCAAAAATATTATATAAAATCTTAGAGTGTACTAGACTAACACAGCCAGTGATGGCAGCATTTCAACTACTCAACTACTCCCTCTTATAATTATGCAAACAATATCTAAGTATTTAAGCATCAACTCATTGAATGAGTTTAAAGAATTTTTCTAGGCGAAGACAGGCCAAAATGATGAAGACACAGAAATTATTATAGAAACTCCTGGCCACAGTGAGGACCAGATTGTTTCACTGGACATTTTTGGTTCACAGAGACAAAAAAGACGGAATTCAATGATTGTAGTAACCCACAATGGTCTAGCAACTGTTAGTTAGTTGGTGAAATGGTACATGTCTTAATAAGAGAAATATGATTTTCCATGGTATCCATGACAAATTGTGCTTGCGGTGCTGAAGATTTCATGGTGATTGACTGGTAGATTAGCATTTAGGAAGGACAGCTTTACAAATGTTTACATTTGAGATTGAAATACATTTTATTGATTGACTTCCAAGTAACAGAAAATGTTTTGAAATTCCTTTTTTCACTTACTAAGATCTTTCTTGTTTTCTCTCTAGAAATGACTAGAAATTTATCTTTCACCAAATACTGAACAGATTTTAACTGTGGATGTGGTATAATAAAAAAAATGAACTGTGTATTTGGTCTTTGCCTTGATTTCTAGCACATAACTTCAGAAAAGTTTGGATTTTTCTGAGTGATTTTGTTATGTGAATGAGGCAACTCTTGGCAAGGCCCCTAGACAGCTTCAGGATAGAGGCTGGTTGCCAGAAAATAACACCACTTTCAGCCCCACTCCCCTGTTGATCTCTGAGGAGGGGAGACAGCCTGGAAGTTGACTTTAATCACCAATAAACAATGGTTATTGTTGCTCAACAAAACTCTTGAATGAGATCTGAGAAGCTTCCCAGTTGGGGAACACATCAACTTACCAGCAAGTTGAAAGGGTGCTGCACCCAGAGAGGGCATGGAAGCTCTGTGTGCCAACCCCCTTTCCCCAATACCTTGACCTATGCCCCTCTTTCATCTGGCTTTCCCTGCATTGTGTTCTTGATAATAAAAATGTAATCATAAGCATAGTGCTTTCCTGACTTATATGAATGGTTCTAGTGAATTATTGAACCTGAATAGAGGTGTGGAAACTCCAAAATTTGAAGCCAAGTCAGACAGAAGTGTGGGCTGCCTGAGTTCCCTACTTAAATCTGGCATCTGAAGCAGGGGCAGTCCTGTGGAACTAAACCTTTAACCTGTATGGTCTGCACTAACTCCAGGTAGCTAGTGCCAGAATTTGACTGAACTATAGGACACCCAGAGATCTGGTGTTAGAAAAACAGTGGCATAGCAAGTAAGCAGTGGATGGCCCGTATTTCTCATATTTTTTCTCCTACAGTGCTATAATTGCCAGTCTTATCCACATTAACTTTCAAGATCCCTCAGAAACAGTTAAATAAGATATTGGGGAGCAAATATAGTAGAAATTTTTTTAGAAGTACTTTTCTCCCTTATCATGAGATTACTATTAATGAAATGTCGAACATGTGTAAAAAATAGGGTAATATAAAAAAATACTTTATAATCACAATAGTCCAGGAAAAAAAAACAAAACAAAAAAACATCTAGTAAATACTTTCAAGACTTGGATATATGGTATTTAAAATACACAAAAAGTTTTTAGAATTTTTATAATTGCTTACATACTGACTTTGGCTTGCTTCTCATATATTATTAGAATATTTTATTTTTCCATGTCAAAAATAGTCTTCTGACTCTATTGGTTCTCCAAGCCATCACAGGGAGATTCCTTACTTCACTGCCCTAATAGGTACTATTTCAAAGACTCCATGTTGAGGTTTTCGTAAGCCCCACAGTTGCTCACAACAAAGCTGGAATCAAAAGAGTGCTAAGTTATTTTGTGCGTGTATATTTGTATAGTATTTTTTGTTTGTTTGTTTTTCAATCTGTATTCAGAAGGAATTGGATTTAGCCCAAAACAGAAATACGGGGATATTTTCATTTTTGTTAATATTTAATTCTTATGCATCAATCTGATTTATTTTTATGTATATCTAAGTACTTTAATCACATTCACATAAATGCATCTGTTTATTAGTGTTTCATTTGTTGATGCCTAAAAATGTATCTAGAATTCATTTGGGTTGATAACCACCTGGTTAAGAACTCTGGATCAGCAGTCAGACAGAACTCAGGAATTTGATGATGTTCTTAAACTCTACAAATCTTGGATTTCTCATCTGCAAAGTGGAGATGATTATATGACTTACCTCTTCAGATTACTGTGAGACATAAATGAGATATTGAAAGTATTGGGTTTAACACAAGCCTAGTAAACACTCAATAAATGTTAGCTCAATATATATTTTTTCTTCAAAGTGTTAATTAATCATCTCAGGACCAGCTATGAAATAACTTTTTCTCACTGATTAAAAATACCATATTTACTATGCAATGAACAATTATGTAACATCATAGTGTGAAATACTAAGATCCATTCTTTTACTGGGAGTTTACAAAATATGATAGGAATCATCCTGGAGAAAATCAGCCCATTCGAAATAGAATTATCAAATTATCCAGGGCCATGTTCAAAGTATGTCTGGTTCCTGCCAAGTGACTCTCAATACACGGCAGACACAAAAGAAGGGACCTTGGGAAAAGTCAAAAGAAATACTTTGAGAGAAGGGGACAGAACCAGGAAGAACATCTTGCGGGCATAGAAGTTTTGTATTGAGCGTTACTTTTTTATCCTCCAACCCTCACTGTCCCAGGCCAGAGTGATGAACCTCTATGCTGAGAGATGTCCACTGAACGTTCGCTAAATTTAAACTTAGCAGTTAGTGCACCGTTCTTTTCTGAATATTTCAGAAGGCTTGAAGCTCCATGGACTGGCTCCCAGGAGCCACACCCTCATAAGGACAAAACTGCTATGTTTTCCAAAGTTATTTTGTAAGATTCTTTCCAAAATGTAAGTACTACTGTTACTTAAGGGGAAGATGAGGATCATATCTTCACTTGGAACCTAAGAAAGAATCAAAGAGAATAAATAACCTGGTATCAGATGAGAAAGCACAGAGCCTATGAAAACTGTTCCTGCAGGTATAGTGGGGCCAGATACAGAGTGGCACAAAAAGAAGCATGAATGAAGAGCTGCGAATTGGTCCTGACGGTGCCCTGAGTCCTGCAAGGGGCCACAAATGCCAGCTGTGTGGCTTAGAATTAAATTCCCCATCAATAATCACCAGTGAGGGGACTTCCACCAACACTCAAAACGTAATTCTTTATAAATAACCATCTTGCTCAGGAAGCTTGTCAACATAGATATGCAAATACTCACATAACAAGTCATAAGCAAATGAGAAGGGGCCCTTTGAAACTCCAGCAGTCACAAGAAGAAGCATCCCACTTCCACCCTGTCTAACTTGCGAGAAGATGGCAAAGAAAGCAGGTTGCTGATGGGAAGATGACATACTCCTACCCTAGCTTCCCCTCCACAAGTTTGGCCTGAAGTTGGGGATGAGAGAGTTGTAGGGGAGAGGGGAAACTGAATTATTCAAGTAGGCTGGTTCTCCGGTACCATCAGTAATATAGTGTAATGAATTTAGTCAATTGACTGATTGACAATTTAATGAAATTGACTAATTCCATTAAATTATATCATCAATGGTACCAGAGGAACAGCCTACTCGAATCACTGTAGTTTTTTTTCATGATAAAATATACACATTCTCACTATCATTAATATTCTTTTGAAAGGTAATTTAGACCAATGATCTTCAAAGTGTGGTTTCCATCTCAGCAGCGGTCACACTGCCTGGAAGTGTGTTAGAAATGCAGATTTTTGGGCATCACCCTGAACCTGCTGAATCAGAAATTCTGGGAGTGAAAGCCAGCAAGCTATGTTTTGACCAACCCTCCAGGTGATTTTGACGCACATTCAGGCATGAGAACCACTGTTGGAGGCTACTGTTTACTTGTTTTTTTTTTTTTTTTTTTTTTTTTTTGCTTTTTATCTACTTGTTTATCTATTCACTCTCATGTTAATGATAAAACTATCAGTTTAGAAGAGGCTAGGTATGATACAGAATCCAATAATTCTCAAATCTCAGTGGTTTAAAATAACAGGTTAATATCTCGTTCATGCTACATGTTCACTGTGCGCTGGTAGGGTGCTCTGCTAGTCAGTATTAAGGGGCTTAAAATGATGGGGCAGTCACCATCTCAGGCATTGTTGCTTGTCTTGCCAGAGCTAAAACCTAAGCATACAGTAACTCCCCCGAATGAAAGATCAAGAAAGTCATGAATATGAAGAAGAAGCTCTACATTTGTGTAGCGCTCTCAGAGCAAATAATGTGCCTGCCTTTCTACTTGGAGTACAGCTCAAAGCTACCTTATGTTCAACGTATGTAACTGCCCACTGAAACCCAGTATGGTTTTATACTTCCAAGTCTTGTTTATCACAGATTCATCAGTGTGGCATCATGAGTCTCAAAAAGAAGTGTTATGACAGATTTATTGCTTTTGGCCCCGAAAATCACATTTAACCATATATTCAATTTACAGCATGTACATTTATAGACATGGTACTGCAGAGGAATTAGTTACTTGTGGGCTTTAGATCATTCTTGCAAATATAAAATGGCCAAGATCTGGCTATGCAATGAATCCTAGGCAGCCTCAGATCCATTTGTCATCAGCTTCTAATATGATGTAAAATTCTCTAACCAAGAAAAAATATGTGGTAAGCATTATATACAACATTTTGAACCTTATCTGCTAATCCCTTCCAGTGGTTAAGTAATTCAGATACACAACAAACAGAGACACACACATATTCACACCTGCTTCAAATATTTCAGTGTAGTATCTTATCCAAGTTCATCAATAGTCACGCACAGTTCCACCATCATGTTTTGAGTCTCCTGTCTGAATAAACTATTAATATTAAATAAATTAAACCCAAGACTGGATTAAAGTAAGAGAAATTATGATGAGAACCTGAAGAAAATAAATACCTACAAGTGTAATGGGGGGAAATAGAGGAAATAATAGAAAAAAATTGAAATTATAATCAATTTTTTTATTCTGTATCTTGGACCTGAATCTTGCATCTTTTTCTCTTTATTTCCAAAAGTTTGGAATTCAGTGAGACATTTCATGAAAAATTGAGATATAGAGACATCCTCAATATTCTTTCAATGCATCCAAAAATAAGGCAGAAAAGATGGGTAACACATTCTTTCCAAATTATATGGGAGAAAAGGCAACCAAGGATTCACTGGGGAAATATACTTAGTTCATCTCATTTATTCTAGAGAAAAGGATTTCAGATTTAGTATGAAGTTAGCTACTAACTGGCAGATTTGGTCTGATAGAAGTGCGAGTAATTTCTGTCAGGTGAAACAGGTAACCCCAACAGGTAATTTATGGCATGTTGGGTACTAAAGAGTTTTCTATCTAACTCAATAATTTTATTCTAACACTTCTTTGTCAAATTGACTATAAATGCTACTTAAAATTTTTTTAACCAGCCATGCCATCTTCTAGCTTCCTCATTAATACATTAAATGAAATATTTTAATGTATTTATTGTTTCCCTTAGTAGAATCATAATTTACCTTTTTGAGAAAATATACCTGAGGAGACAGCCAAGATGGCCAAATAGGAACAGCTCCGTTCTACAGCTCCCAGCCTGAGCGACGCAGAAGACGGGTGATTTCTGCATTTCCATCTGAGGTACCGGGTTCATCTCACTAGGGAGTGCCAGACAGTGGGCGCAGGACAGTGGGTGCAGTGCGCCCTGCATGAGCCAAAGCAGGGCGAGGCATTGCCTCACTCGGGAAGCGCAAGGGGTCAGGGAGTTCCCTTTCTGAGTCAACGAAAGGGGTGACAGACGGCACCTGGAAAATCGGGTCACTCCCACCCTAATACTGCGCTTTTCCGATGGGCTTAAAAAACAGCAAACCAGGAGATTATATCCCGCACCTGGCTCAGAGGGTCCTACGCCCACGGAGTCCCGCTGATTGCTAGCACAGCAGTCTGAGATCAAACTGCAAGGCAGCAGCGAGGCTCGGGGAGGGGAGCTCACCATTGCCCAGGCTTGCTTAGGAAAACAAAGCAGCTGGGAAGCTCCAACGGGATGGAGCCCACCACCACAGCTCAAGGAGGCCTGCCTGCCTCTGTAGGCTCCACCTCTGGGGGCAGGGCACAGACAAACAAAAAGACAGCAGTAACCTCTGCAGTCTTAAATGTCCCTGTATGACAGCTTTGAAGAGAGCAGTGGTTCTCCCAGCACGCAGCTGGAGATCTGAGAACGGGCAGACTGCCTCCTCAAGTGGGTCCCTGAACTCTGACCCCCGAGCAGCCTAACTGGGAGGCACCCCCCAGTAGGGGCAGACTGACACCTCACATGGCCGGGTACACCTCTGAGACAAAAATTCCAGAGGAATGATCAGACAGCAGCATTCGCAGTACACGAAAATCCTCTGTTCTGCAGACACCGTTGCTGACACCCAGGCAAACAGGGTCTGGAGTGGACCTCTAGAAAACTCCAACAGACCTGCAGCTAAGGGTCCTGTCTGTTAGAAGGAAAACTAACAAACAGAAAGGACATCCACATCAAAAACCCATCTGTACATCACCATCATCAAAGACCAAAAGTAGATAAAACCACAAAGATGGGGAAAAAACAGAGCAGAAAAACTGGAAACTCTAAAAAGCAGAGCGCCTCTCCTCCTCCAAAGGAATGCAGTTCCTCACCAGCAAGGGAACAAAGCTAGATGGAGAATGACTTTCACGAGTTGAGAAAAGAAGGTTCCAGACGCCAAACTAATCTGAGCTACGGGAGGAAATTCAAACCAAAGGCAAAGAAGTTAAAAACTTTGAAAAAAATTTAGACGAATGTGTAACTAGAATAACCAATACAAAGAAGTGCTTAAAGGAGCTGATGGAGCTGAAGGCCAAGGCTCAAGAACTATATGAAGAATGCTGAAGCCTCAGGAGCCCATGCGATCAACTGGAAGAAAGGTTTTCAGTGATGGAAGATGAAATTAATGAAATGAAATGAAGCGAGAAGGGAAGTTTAGAGAAAAAAGTATAAAAAGAAACCAACAAAGCCTCCAAGAAATATGGAGGCTTTGTGAAGCCTCCATGTGAAAAAAACTATGTGAATAGACCAAATCTACGTCTGATTGGTGTACCTGAAAGCGACGGGGAGAATGGAACCAAGTTGGAAAACACTCTGCAGGATACTATCCAGGAGAACTTCCCCAATCTAGCAAGACAGGCCAACATTCAGATTCAGGAAATACAGAGAACGCCACAGAGATACTCCTCGAGAACAGCAATGCCAAGACACATAATTGTCAGATTCACCAAAGTTGAAATGAAGGAAAAAATGTTAAGGGCAGCCAGAGAGAAAGGTCGGGTTACCCTCAAAGGGAAGCCCATCAGACTAACAGAAGATCTCTCAGCAGAAACTCTACAAGCCAGAAGATACTGGGGGCCAATATTCAACATTCTTAAAGAAAAGAATTTTCAACCCAGATTTCATATCCAGCCAAACTAAGCTTCATAAGTGAAGGAGAAATAAAATACTTTACAGACAAGCAAATGCTGAGAGATTTTGTCACCACCAGGCCTGCCCTAAAAGAGCTCCTGAAGGAAGCACTAAACATGGAAAGGTACAACCGGTAGCAACAGCTGCAAAATCATGCCAAATTGTAAAGACCATCGAGGCTAAGAGGAAACTCCATCAACTAACGAGCAAAATAACCAGCTAACATCATAATGACAGGATCAAATGCACACATAAGAATATTAACTTTAAATGTAAATGGGCTAAGTGCTCCAATTAAAAGACACAGACTGGCAAATTGGATAAAGAGTCAAGACCCATCAGTGTGCTGTATTCAGGAAACACATCTCACTTGCAGAGACACACATAGGCTCAAAATAAAAGGATGGAGGAAGATCTACCAAGCCAATGGAAAACAAAAAAAGGCAGGGGTTGCAATCCTAGTCTCTGATAAAACAGACTTTAAACCAACAAAGATCAAAAGAGACAAAGAAGGCCATTACATAATGATACAGGGATCAATTCAACAAGAAGAGCTAACTATCCTAAATATATATGCACCCAATACAGGAGCACCCAGATTCATAAAGCAAGTCCTGAGTGACCTACAAAGAGACTTGGACTCCCACACAATAATAATGGGAGACTTAAACACCCCACTGTCAACATTAGACAGATCAATGAGACAGAAAGTTAACAAGGATACCCAGGAATTGAACTCAGCTCTGCACAAAGCAGACCTAATAGACATCTACAGAACTCTCCACCCCAAATCAACAGAATATACATTCTTTTCAGTACCACACCACGACACCTATTCCAAAATTGACCACATACTTGGAAGTAAGGCTCTCCTCAGCAAATGTAAAAGAACAGAAATTATAACAAACTGTCTCTCAGACCACAGTGCAATCAAACTAGAACTCAGGATTAAGAAACTCACTCAAAACCGCTCAACTACATGGAAACTGAACAACCTGCTCCTGAATGACTACTGGGTACATAACGAAATGAAGGCACAAATAAAGATGTTCTTTGAAACCAATGAGAACAAAGACACAACATACCAGAATCTCTGGGACACATTCAAAGCGGTGTGTAGAGGGAAATTTATAGCACTAAATGCCCACAAGAGAAAGCAGGAAAGATCCAAAATTGATACACTAACATCACAATTAAAAGAACTAGAAAAGCAAGAGCAAACACATTCAAAAGCTAGCAGAAGGCAAGAAATAACTAAAATCAGAGCAGAACTAAAGGAAATAGAGACACAAAAAACCCTTCAAAAAATTAATGAATCCAGGAGCTGGTTTTTTGAAAGGATCAACAAAATTGATAGACCGCTAGCAAGACTAATAAAGAAGAAAAGAGAGAAGAATCAAATAGACGCAATAAAAAGTGATAAAGGGGATATCACCACTGATCCCACAGAAATACCCACTACCATCAGAGAATACTACAATCACCTCTAGGCAAATAAACTAGAAAATCTAGAAGAAATGGATAAATTCCTCGACACATACACTCTCCCAAGACTAAACCAGGAAGAAGTTGAATCTCTGAATAGACCAATAACAGGAGCTGAAATTGTGGCAATAATCAATAGCTTACCAAACAAAAAGAGTCCAGGACCAGATGGATTCACAGCCGAATTCTACCAGAGGTATAAGGAGGAACTGGTACCATTCCTTCTGAAACTATTCCAATCAATGGAAAAAGAGGGAATCCTCCCTAACTCATTTTATGAAGCCAGCATCATCCTGATACCAAAGCCGGGCAGAGACACAACCAAAAAAGAGAATTTTAGACCAATATCCTTGATGAACATTGATGCAAAAATCCTCAATAAAATACTGGCAAACCGAATCCAGCAGCACATCAAAAAGCTTATCCACCATGATCAAGTGGGCTTCATCCCTGGGATGCAAGGCTGGTTCAATATACGCAAATCAATAAATGTAATCCAGCATATAACCAGAACCAAAGACAAAAACCACATGATTATCTCAATAGATGCAGAAAAGGCCTTTGACAAAATTCAACAACCCTTCATGCTAAAAACTCTCAATAAATTAGGTATTGACGGGACGTATCTCAAAATCATAAGAGCTACCTATGACAAACCCACAGCCAATATCATACTGAATGGGCAAAAACTGGAAGCATTCCCTTTGAAAACTGGCACAAGACAGGGATGCCCTCTCTCACCACTCCTATTCAACATAGTGTTGGAAGTTCTGGCCAGGGCAATTAGGCAGGAGAAGGAAATAAAGGGTATTCAATTAAGAAAAGAGGAAGTCAAAGTGTCCCTGTTTGCAGATGACATGATTGTATATCTAGAAAACCCCATTGTCTCAGCCCAAAATCTCCTTAAGCTGATAAGCAACTTCAGCAAAGTCTCAGGATACAAAATCAATGTGCAAAAATCACAAGCATTCTTATACACCAACAACAGACAAACAGAGAGCCAAATCATGAGTGAACTCCCATTCACAATTGCTTCAAAGAGAATAAAATACCTAGGAATCCAACTTATAAGGGATGTGAAGGACCTCTTCAAGGAGAACTACAAACCACTGCTCAATGAAATAAAAGAGGATACAAACAAATGGAAGAACATTCCATGCTCATGGGTAAGAAGAATCAATATCGTGAAAATGCCCATACTGCCCAAGGTAATTTATAGATTCAATGCCATCCCCATCAAGCTACCAATGACTTTCTTCACAGAATTGGAAAACACTACTTTAAAGTTCATATGGAACCAAAAAAGAGCCCGCATCGCCAAGTCAATCCTAAGCCAAAAGAACAAAGCTGGAGGCATCACACTACCTGACTTCAAACTATACTACAAGGCTACAGTGACCAAAACAGCATGGTACTGGTACCAAAACAGAGATATAGATCAGTGGAACAGAACAGAGCCCTCAGAAATAGTGCCGCATATCTACAACTATCTGATCTTTGACAAACCTGAGAAAAACAAGCAATGGGAAAAGGATTCCCTATTCAATAAATGGTGCTGGGAAAACTGGCTAGCCATATGTAGAAAGCTGAAACTGGATCCCTTCCTTACACCTTATACAAAAATTAATTCAAGATGGATTAAAGACTTCAACGTTAGACCTAAATCCATAAAAACCCTAGAAGAAAACCTAGGCATTACCATTCAGGACATAGGCATGGGCAAGGACTTCATGTCTAAAACACCAAAAGCAATGGCAACAAAAGCCAAAATTGACAAATGGGATGTAATTAAACTAAAGAGCTTCTGCACAGCAAAAGAAACTACCATCAGAGTGAACAGGCAACCTTCAAAATGGGAGAAAATTTTCGCAACCTACTCATCTGACAAAGGGCTAATATTCAGAATCTACAATGAACTCAAACACATTTACAAGAAAAAAACAAACAACCCCATCAAAAAGTGGGCAAAGGATATGAACAGACACTTCTCAAAAGAAGACATTTATGCAGCCAAAAAATACATGAAAAAATGCTCACCATCACTGGCCATCAGAGAAATGCTAATGAAAACCACAATGAGATACCATCTCATACCAGTTAGAATGGCAATCATTCAAAAGTCAGGAAACAACAGGTGCTGGAGAGGATGTGGAGAAATAGGAACACTTTTACACTGTTGGTGGGACTGTAAACTAGTTCAACCATTGTGGAAGTCAGTGTGGTGATTCCTCAGGGATCTACAACTAGAAATACCATTTGACCCAGCCATCCCGTTACTGGGTATATACCCAAAAGACTCTAAGTCATGCTGCTATAAAGACACATGCACATGTATGTTTATTGCGGCACTATTCACAATAGCAAAGACTTGGAACCAACCCAAATGTCCAGCAATGATAGACTGGATTAAGAAAATGTGGCACATATACACCATGGAATACTATGCAGCCACAAAAAATTATGAGTTCATGTCCTTTGTAGGGACATGGATGAAATGGGAAATCATCATTCTCAGTAAACTATTGCAAGGACAAAAAACCAAACACCGCATGCTCTTACTCATAGGTGGGAATTGAACAATGAGAACACGTGGACACAGGAAGAGGAACATCACACTCTGGGGACTGTTGTGGGGTGGGGGGAGGGGGGGAGGGATAGCATTAGGAGATATACCTAATGCTAAATGACGAGTTAATGGGTGCAGCACACCAGCATGGCACATGTATACATATGTAACTAACCTGCACAATGTGCACATGTACCCTAAAACTTAAAGTATAATAATAATAAAAAATAAAAATTAAAAAAAATGGAGAAAATATACCTAACAATATGATTAAATTGAAAGCAAATAAAATTTTTGTTTGTTTTTGGAGACAAGAGTCTCACTCTTTCTCCCAGGGTGGAGTGCAGTGGCATGAACTCAGCTCACTACAACCTCCACTTTCCAGGTTCAAGCGATTCTCACACCTCAGCCTCCCAAGTAGCTGGGACTACAAGTGTGCACCATCATGCCCAGATTACTTTTGCATTTTTAGTAAAGACGTGGTTTCACCTTGTTGACCAGGTTGGTGTTGAACTCCTGACCTCAAGTGATCCACCGGCCTCCCAAAATGCTGGGATTATAGGTATGAGCCGCTGGGCCCAGCTACAAATGAAATGCTTAATGCTTGAGGATGATCCTCTTATTGGAAGGCTCAGAAAGCAAAAGACTTTAAAATAGAAATGTATTCTTCTCAAACCCAGGAGCAAAAAAAAAAAAAACATTCAGTTCACTTGGCAAGAGACACGTTTGTAGAGGTGAAGGCAGTGTGAACATGGCCTAGGGAGGGAGAATAGGTCAAAGACATAGAGCGACAAACATGTTGCTGGAAAACATTTAGCTGGAAAACATTCCAGCTAAACCATGACTGTTTTTCACCAAGGTTAGAAAAATCAAGTTTGGTCCAGGAGATTGACCCTAATTCAAATAGAAGCATAGAAAATATGGAGGATAGGGATAATGGAATTGATCTCATTTAATATTGCCCATATTCTTTAAATAACTATACCCACTGAGAGCAAAGTCTTAAGTGAAGTATGAGTAGAATGCACTGAATTAATTACTCCCATGGCCCACATCAAGAATTGTGCTAAAATGGCAACTTCATGTACACCTGGATGATAGTGGAAGAATTGAGTCTCTGTCTTGTAGGAATTCTCTTCTGTAGAGAGACTGATATTTTGAAAGCAGAGGTGTCTGGAAATCAATCTGTTAAACGTCAAATTATAGCTCCTGAATTCTTCAGAAGAATTATGGGAGAATGGCTAAATACATGAACTCTGCAGCCACACTGCTTGCTTTCAAATGTTGGCTCCATCCCTTAATAGACCTCTGTGACCTTTAGCAGGACAATTAAGTGCCCTCTGCCTTTCCACACCATGGCATTATTATCTAAGGTACTTAGAGCTGCACGTGGTACATAATAACTGAATATTATTTATATTATTTTTCTCTTCCACATTAGAATTACAGGGTCAAAGTTCATGCCTGTTTGGAAACATCCAATCTGATTATGGCAATTAGAATGGGGTTGTTTGGAAACATCCAAACTGATTATGGTAATTAGAATGGGGCTACAGTATTTTGAAAGAGCAGTAAGAAGTGAAGAATGTTGACCTGCAGAGGCCCTCAAGCACTTTCTGTTGGTTCTACCCTCTTGCTGGGAGGAGTGAAGATCTGATCCTTTTCACTGTGACTCAATCATTAGGACTTTACTGCATATTAAGCAACGTGGCAATATGTGAAGACGACTAGGGGATAAAGTAGTGCTGCTGAGACTCCCAATAACCTGTTACTCTCCAGGTTCCGGGAGCAGGACAATTAATTAAATATTCATGAGATGGGAAGAGCCTTGCCCCAATCTTTACTAAATTATTGATGTCCCAAAAGTAAAGTTGTTGTGGAATGCCTACAGTTTTCAAGATGAGTATACCAACAGGTATAGTGAATCTGAGATATTGGTATTGCCTTTACAGTTTTTTTCACTGACACATTCTACTTGTATATATTTATGTTCTAAGGCACACTAGGCTAAGAATGGTTAACAGTAAGGTATTGTATATTACAAAATAGCTAGAAGAGAGGCTTTTTAATGTTCTTGCCACACAGAAATGATAGATGCATGGAAGGATGGTCACACTAAATATCCTGACTTGATCACTACACAACGTATGTATGTAGTGAAGCATCAAATTGTAGACCATCAATATGTACAATTTTAATGAGTCAACTGATACTGCCTTTTAAGTAAGATGAACATAAATGCTGGTGCATCTTGGTCAGTCCCAGCTTACACAATCTGGATGCCTTACCTCGTTAAACATTAATTCAAATAAAAATGGCTAGATATGGATGGTAAATTATATTTTTATGTCCTGGCATCGTCAACAGTGAAATCAATAGGTAACCCACTACATTTATGATGGAGTTGTATATAATATCAAAACTTGCTTCATGGATAAGCAGGCTTCAGTTGACATTAGTTGGAAGAGAACTGCTATGGCTGTCCCTTAAGAGAACTCCTAAAACCCCTCTCAAGGTGACGCTAAAAGAAAATAGAGAAGAGAAATTATCTCAGGGGTCAGAACTTGATTGACAAGAACTTCCTCCCAATTAACGGGTTCAATTGCTAAGGAAATCAGCCAAGGTAATGCATATGATATTCCCTATTGTCATCATACGTATTTTTGACATTCGAATTGATGGGCCTTGCAGCATCTGATGGTGGACACACACTGCAAGAAACTGGGAATTCTTCAGAATTCAGTGGGAACAGGAGTTCAATAGCTAGAGTTGCCCTGGAACTTCCTCCCTTTTTATCTTTTTCAGCTATTATACTTAGGATTTATGGTTAGTACTTAAAAAGTATTATTTATCTCCCAAGCTAAAATTAGTATTTTTCTATTAAAAACTATGAGTAAATAAAGGTAAGGAGAGAATAGTTACTGCAGGTAAGAAGAGGAAGTGGGAGAGAGAGGAATGAGAAAAACAGATTTTAAGTTCCCATGAATCCCAGCTTTGACTTATTTTAATGTGAATTCTACTCTTACAGTGAAACTCTCCTTCTGCCCTTTTCTTAGCATAGCATATTGGGAGACTTCTCTTGAAAATAAAGAGAGTTGATTAGATCTGATTTTATATGCTATTTCTGTTGAAAAATTGCCTGATTCAATAGGATTGCCTGAGATTAAAGTGAGGTTGTACATGGAAACAATACACCAATAGATGCTTTTTTTGGGGTATAATTTCATTTACACTAATGAAATAGGTGTAAAAAATTGTATTTATAGTTTAACCCCAATCTTGTTTGTATATCTGTGTATAAAAGTCTTTGAGGATTTTTCTTTTAAAATTTTGGTTTGGAATTATCTCATCTTCAGAACAAAATAAAAGGGGGGGGGGGATTTGATTGTTATCTTCTTTTTCCACAGCTAAAATTTTATTTCTGTGAAGGTAATGACCAGCTTGTTCATCATTATATCACCAGCATTCAGCATGTTGTAAAATGAAAGAAAGAGAGAAAGAAAGAAAGAAAGAAAGAAAGAAAGAAAGAAAGAAAGAAAGAAAGAAAGAAGGAAGGAAGGAAGGAAGGAAGGAAGGAAGGAAGGAAGGAAGGAAAGAGTATGAAACATGTAATTATATTTCTTTAAAAAGCACATTTAAACACCATTTGACAATAATTTCTAATCGAAAATCTGCTGCTTTTGAAAATATTTTCTCTACAAAAGGTATTTAAAGATAATAAATCAATAGACAAAGAGTTGTCATTTTTTATTACAAAAGAAAGTACAAAAAATGACAAAGCAGTGTTCCTCAGGTGAGCAGCAGCATGAGATCCACATGTGTCCCCACTTCACTTCATGGTGCAGAGGCGTGGGTGATCATATCGTTCCTTGGTTCTGGAAAGCTGAGCAAAAGAAGGGAGAGCAGTGGGTGGGGTCACAGGATGACCTTCTATATGAGCTCCCTTTGAATTTTATTTTTGGTCTCCTTGTAAGTTTCTCTTGTTTAAATGCATGAACATATGGAGCTGTGGTTCTCAACTTGGAATGATTAACTCTGCCCTACTCTACTCCAGGAAACATGTATAATGTCTGGGAACATTTTTAATGGTTGTAAATGGTATGTGGGGTCTTACCAGCATCTAGTGAGTAGAGGTCAAGCATACTGTTGACCACCTTACAGTGGACAGGAAAGCCCTCTGCAACAAAGAATTATTTATCCCAAAATGTGGAGAAGCTTTGATATAGAGTGTTCTGATGTGATCAAACACCTATGAATTAGCGAGTTTGATACATAAATGATTAAAACTGAAACAAATGCAAGAAGCTCTGCTGTAGGCAGAGATTGACTCACTGGAAGTTCTGCGCAGTGTGGCCACAGAGAGGTCTGGAGACTCCTGTAGCAAATAAACTGAAAAAAGCCACGAGGTCCCAGAAGTAACTGCATTAATTGTTAGGGATCTGTTATTGATCTGGCAATAAAGGAACCTCCTAAATAAGTATTTTTCAAACTGCAGATTGTGTTCCATTACCTACAACCCACTAAACAGATGAATTTGATGAATCACTGGTCACATAAAAAAATGAAATAGAAGAAGTGAGAAAGAGAATAGAAAATATTAAAATGTATGTCATTATTATGAAAATTATTTTATTAGACTTTAAAAGATATATGTGCATAATTGCTTACAATGAAAAATGTATTTCCTAGTATTTATTGCAGCTAAAATGTTAAAACAAAAACACGCCCCATGATTTACCAGTTTCCTCAGAAGCATTCCCAGTATATGAATCAACATTTGTCCTCATTCAAGGACCTATTTTTATAGCCTACAAGTAAAAATAAAATTGGGTGCCATCTGCAAATATGTGTGATAATATATAGTTATCAAACAACTAAAATGACTGAAAAATGGAAGATATCTACCCAAATGATAGTAATACATATTTTTGATGATGCTTAACCTTTGCCTATTTCAGTTTTTCGTACCATACAAAAGCTCTATTGTTAATTTATGTTACTTTTCTAATCAGTACATATAGACATACATAAATCTTATTATTATGGAAAGCTATATCTGATTGGGAACAGAAGTTTTAGTGTGTTCGAGAGGGAATGATATGATAAGGAAGCAAGTGTTTAAAAGTGAAGGGAATAGCGTATGAAAAAGAAACCAGAACATTTTTGGTCTTGCTTTTAAATAAACTCTATAGGTTTATGGGCTAAATCCAGAAAAAGTTCACGTTTACGAAGAAAACTCCAAGAGAAAACTTCTGAAATTATTTTTAAGATAGGAATATTTCTTGTTAATGTATGTAGGACTCCAAAAATATTACTTGGGGACTTGATGTTCATTTAATGTTATGAAGTATTAATTATTATTAAAAATTAGCAAACTCACCATTAATAATCACCTCATTTAAATAACTAAAAACATAAATACATACAGAGCTGCTAAAATGAAAACTAAAAACAAAGCCCCACAATGCCTTGTTGCTGTTTTTGCCAGCCACAGCAAACTACGATAGATTACTCTGGAGCTCAGTAGCTTTAAATGAATTTCCAGGAATTCAAATACTTATGGTAAATGGCCAATCATTAGAATGCGGTAATATATAAATCACAAATTATTTATGTGTTATTACATGAGATAAATTGTTTGCAAATATTTACAAACTATTTACCAGGCGTACTAACCTTTTGAAATGATTTATCATGTAACAGAATACATAACATTATGATGAATAACAAATCCTTTATAAAATATTTACAATGTATCAGTTGCGTTAATATTAATTGGTATACTCATTATTCCAAGTAATTGGTAAGTGATTTACAAGTTAGTTGCCAGCGAGGCAGATGAGGCTTTACGGCTGGATACAAATACATTCTAAGAGAGCATTAGGTGATCCACTTTTTAGATATTCTCCCTTAGTTTTTCTGTTGAAAACTGAATGCAACTATTATATATTTGGGCAACAGTAGAATCACTATTTGTGGGAATTAGTCAGCTGGCTATAATCTGGTAAATAGATCAAGATTAAGAAGTTGTAAGATTTCCAGTAAAGGTAGAGAGCAGCCCCAAGTCACAGTAACTTAAAACAACACACGTTAATTTCCAGCTTCTGCTACAGGGTCAGTGCAGCTTGCTGGGGTTCTGCTTCCTTTGGGAGACAATTCTCCACGCTTCACTCACATTTATGCACAACGTGTGAGCAGAAGCATGGTATGACTTTACTCCGGACTATCTTCGCAGAAATGTTTGTATAATGAGCTGCCTTGGAAAATAGAGATAGTGTCTCCCTCTGAAGTAAAGAATAGGCTAGTTTACTATCTAGTAAAATAATTTCTCCTTTCTGGGACAAAGTCATTTAGGTTTGTTTAATTCATTATGGAAGCATTGAGTTCTCTAATTCAGAGTTCCCACACATGTCTTCCTCAACCTGAGCTCCTTCATATCACTCCCATGGGACTTGGGGAGCTAGGAAGGTAAACTGTCATGAAACATAACACTCATTCTGTTTACCTGTCCAATGAGTCATAATATTTTACACATTATTATTAAGTAAGTAATAGAGGGGGCATCATTAGCTTGCAAATGGGATAAATCTCTGGCCCTTCACAGTTCTTGGTAGTTCCATGTTGTTTTACTCTAGAAACCAGGCTGGTAGAGTAGCCCCTCTCTGGGACATTATCAGATAAGTAATGACTAATGAAATTACTGTCAAATTTCCTGCCTGGAAAGAGAAACATTGTTTCTTTTCACATTTTATTGCCTGAAGCGGGGTTTCTCCACCTTGGCACTGTTGACATTTGGGGCTAGATAATTATCGGTTACAAAGGGTTGTCCTGTACAATGCAGAATGTTTAAGCAGCATCCTTGTCCTCCCTACCCACGAAGAGCAAGTAACAACAGTTCCTTCTAGTTATGACAACCAACATGTCATATTGACAAATATTGACAGATATTGACAAATGTCCCTTTGGTGGCAAGATTGTCCTTGAGTGAGAACCACTGGCCAAAAGCAAGTCCCACAGTCAGACGTAATTTCTACTGAATAAAGATACATAATCTTCCCCTTGGGAAGGGCATTGCATGGAGAGGCACCAATTATGGAAAGGCACCAAATTGGTTGACCACAGGGGAATACTGATGTCAGTTGTGTAAGTTAGTAGATGATGATTGGTCCTATCTAGCATTGGCTAGCTCAACAAATATGTAAAAGCTTTACTCAGTGGAAAAAATATTCCTTGTCTTGACAGTCTTCACCTCATTGTGGATACTCCTTATTTTCTCACTGGTGAAATACAATTGCAAAGATTCTGCACCGTTCTCATGTTTCTTATTCTGAATTAAAGAGAACAGAAATTAACTGACATGTATTCTGGTTCACCTTGACTTCCACTATACGCATATACATTCTTCAGTGAGGAGGATTAAACAGAAAATATAATGTTTCAAAGAAATGGAACAATTTGAGGAAGTAAAGCCATTGTCCTAATATGAAAGATGAAAATACAGAGTTTAAATATAAGACTTAGGGATAAAAGTTTCTGAAAATTGAATGTAGATACAGTGCACCAGCTGATTTACCATGAAGGTAAATGGAGATACATTTATCAAAAAGCTAAATGGACTGTAAGCTTCAGGATTCCATATTTTTATGGTTGTCTTCTAAGGAGTATTGTAAGCGTGTGCCCACATATTCACTGATTTCTATAAAATTTGCAAAAGTAATTCAGACTATTATATTGTTATGATTACCCCTTCCTTACCCTTCTTCTTCTTCTATTGGTATTGGAGTGGCCATTGGCAGTTGGATGTATAGGATTCAATGGATGGAAATTAGGGCCTATATGGTAAGTTTTGGGGGGAAATGAACATTTCTATATTAAATGACTTAGAATATTTGTTTACTTATGAATGGCATCAGCAAATCAAAGTAAATAAGCAATACCTGTGATTATTTTTTTACTAATAGACATGAAAAATATTTAATATCATCACAGAGTTATAATAGCTATCTCATAATATCAATTGTTTTTTATGGTGGTAAAATCACAGGAATTACATTTTGTTAGTTAATGTAATAACAAATACACACATATATTAATATAAGTGTATTATTTCAATATCTGCATTTCTATAAAATTCATTTATTTTATTATTTCATGCATGTATTATTCTGAGATGATCACAGGCTTCAGAGTGCCAAAGAGGTTCACGACACCAAAAAGGTTAAGTTTCCTTAGGCAAAGAGGAAATTTTGTAGTGAATGTACACAGTTTAGGTTTAGAGGAATATATTTATATGTTTTATAGTCAATTCTGTGCATAATTGTTATGCCTTCCTGCCCCAAAGTAGAAACGGCTTTTACGAAGAATCCTACCACCCACTTTGCTGACTGTCTCACAGTTGAAGGTGTAGAGCCAGCAGTCAAGTCACAAAATGACATGGCTTATGACACCGGGCATTAAAATATGTGGATGGTGGAGAAGAAGGAATAACTTTTGAAATGTGCAGAGCCAGATGCTAATCTGTGCAAAATTCTTCTAATCATCAGATTTATAAAACCATATGCAGAGGATTCAGGTCTCATTGGGCCTAATTAAAACAGAAATTTGCTTCTGTCAGAATATAATTTTAAATGTGACACATTTTATTTATTTTGTAGGAGAATTGTTAAAAATAAAAGTGACATTAATTATTACAGTTGTAAAACACAATTCTATAACACAGGCCGGGCGTGGTGGCTTACCCCTGTAATCCTAGCACTTTGGGAGGCCAAGGTGGGTGGATTCCCTGAGCTCAGGAGTTTGAGACCAGCCTAGCTAACACGGTGAAACCCCGTCTCTACTAAAATACAAAAAATTAGCCGGGTTTGGCGGTGGGCGCCTTTAGTCCCAGCTACTTGGGAGGCTGAGGCAGGAGAATCGCTTGAAACCGGGAGGCGGAAGTAACAGTGAGCCAAGATCGTGCCACTGCACTCCAGTCTGGTGATAGAGCGAGACTCCGTCTCCAAAAACATAAATAAAAATAAATAAATAAATAGTAACACAAAGAGTATATCTGAGTGTAAAGATGCATGTATTTGTACCTAAGTGGTAATAGATTACACTTCTCATGTATCTTGACCCAATCAATGCTGTGGTTGCACCTGTGCTGAGAAAGAACCTAAAGAAACAAATGTTCCTGTAATAAATCTCTAGATGTATTCATCAATAAGTCAATATAGTCAATGTAGAGAGTGTAAGAGTAATCTGATTACATGGTTATGTAGCTCAATAGAAGTGTTGATTTAAAATGCATTTCCATTTTTCCTATGCATGTGTTAGTTTTAGACTAATTTTAATTATCTTCAAAGTTATTAATTACACCAAAATTCATATGCAATGAAAAAGAAGAAAATGGGAGCTGAATATGTGAAGTGGAAGAAAGAAAACTGACGGACATTATGATACAGGAAAACAGTGGCCTATTTTACCTTCACTGAAAAGAATTGTGTAGTTGTATATGAACAGATAGTATAAAAATAGGCTGTAATCTGGGGAAAAAAACACATGTTCATGAATGTATGTAAATACGTGGAACATCTCATCATATAAAAAACACATGTGCACAAATGTATGTAAATATGTGGATCATCTCATACATGATATACAGTTATGAAGTAGTAGTGTTATCTCTAAGAACACAAAATGGGTACCTGGGAGAAAGGAGAGAGAGAGATTTTTTTTTTCATATATACCGTTGTGTATCTTTTGAATTTTACAACATTCCAGAAGAATTCGCTACTTAAGAAATACATGTATAAGTAACTTTTTATTAACCTAAAATTTTTAAAGAAAGGTTCAAAACACAAAATGCATCTATATGGTAATTATGAGGCAATCCACACAAAAATAATCATAAAAGGATTAGCACAACCATATCAGGAAAACCATATTACCAAACCAATATTAATGGTCAAAATAGTAATCCAGGTTAAAGAAATAAGATTAAAAGGATTATATCACTTACATTAAAATTTTACTCTAGAGTGAAAATATTTTGTCATAAGCATTTATCCAATTAGATATAACATCCAAATGCAAGAAGCCATTACCCAAACCCCAATTTTAGTAGAAAATTTTGATTTAGCTTTGTTAGACTTGAAAAATTAAAAAGAAACAAACTGAATATGAAAAACCAGAGTTGGAATATTATGATTAAAATAATGTTGTTTTAAAAGTTCCTTATTAAATACTGTACCCTACAGAGAATATATACTGTTTTTAAGTGTCTGAGAATGTTTTTAAACAGTGAGGTAATAAAAAATACCTTGTGGAGATCATATTATCATACTTCCACTAGATGATTCCAAAAATTAATTTAAAAAAAACACTGAAATAATCAAGCTAGTTGGAAACCAAGAGCACTATCCTTAATAACTTTGGGTCAAAGGGAAATCAAAACTGCAATTCTAGGCTTTATAGAAAAAATGAAAATGACAAGAGTATGTATCAGAGCATTCGGGATGCAACTAAAGGTAAAATGAGATGAAAAATAGTAGCAACAAATACTTTCATTATGAAACGAGAAAGAATAATAACAAATGAAGTCAGCATTCAATTAAGTAGGTAAGAAGAAAGGACAATATGATCTGTATTTCTAAAGACTATAACTAAAAATATAAGGAAAAGAGATTTAAAATAAAAGGAATAATATAAATAAATGAGTGAATTGGGAACTATAATAATTTAAGATTTGATGAAGAAATTCTGGCATCAGTTATTTAAAAAGATTAGTATAATAAACAGCCTTCTCAGTAGGCTATTCAGAAATTACTGATTCAAAGGATGAATAATTAGAAATGTTATATAACCACAGAGAATTGCAAATTGAGATGACAGGTGAAAATTGGATTTTTTTTTTTAAGATGGGAAAAGCTTGAGTGTTTCTAAATTTGAGGGTAAGAGGCGAGTTGAAAGAAATGTGTTGAAGGAAGACAAGAGGGAAATCAATAGGGCAAGGTCTCCAAGAGCGCAAGAGCGCAGGTTGAGAAATAAGCTATGAAAGGAGGAATAGCTTTTCTATTATTACAAGGAGAAAAAAAGTGGGTGGGTGCAGACTCAGGTAAACTGGTAGGGGATGTGGTGGAAAGTTAAGGGAGTTCAGAGTATAATAGAGCTGCTCTTGTCTTGTGAAGTAGGCTACAGGGCAGCTGCTGTAGTAAGAGGAGAAATCTGAGTTTTGAAAATAGAGGTGGACGTTATAATTAGCCATTGTAAAGAGTATAGTTGGAGAGCTCTCTAGGGAAACAGCATCTAATTGCTGAGTAGTGACAAGAGAAGCAGGAGACAGCATCCCCGTGTGTTGGAGCCAGACTCCCCACTGAGCCATTGCCTTTGCCAGGTTGCCACTGGTAAGGCTTCCCTGAGGACCAGAAGTTCTGCAAAGGCAGAGAGCAAGTCAGACTTGCTGAGTTTCTCCAATGCCTGCTGTGTGGAGAATTCTTTCTAATCCCCACCCAGCCTGACTGGAAAACATTCCCAGTCAGATTTGGTTTGGTGCAACTGACTAGGGGCCCTTAGAATGGCATTACTTGGCAAGAGACTATTAGGGTGAAGTGAAGGCATATAACTTATAAAATACCTAGGAATTTACCTAACAATAGATGGGCAAACCTTGTATGAAAACTGGTCCATACGTATCTTCCAAGACAAGAAACTTGAATAAAAGAAGTATTGAAAGTTACCAAGTGAGAAATAATACTGTATTGATGCTGATTTTCTCTAAAATGTTATGAATTTAATATTGTTATATTTATAATCCCAATGATAGTTTTATGTTTTTGAAAACAAGATGAGGACTCAAACATGTGTAAGATTAGGAATAAGAAATTGAAAAAGAAGCAAGATAAAGGGAAAATTACATCTTCAGAAATTAAAAATACAATTAAGTTACAGTAACAGAAGAAGGCTACACAGTTTCCAGAACAGAAAAATGGCTCACATAAAACCTAAAAATCTCAGAAATAGGCTCAACAACATAAGATTATAAGTGTGTAGAGGTATGTATGTATATGTATGCAGGTATGTATATAATTTACCATTCCATAAAGTTGTCTTTTTCAAATTCTAGAAGAATGTATATCACCTACCTACTTATACTGGGAAGATGATAGTAGTTTGTATCTAGTAGTTACTACAACAAAATAAAGCTTCTATTTCCAACACGTAGCAAAATAAAACCAAAGTGAAAAAGTTCAAATGTGAAATTTTAAATAAGCTAACAAATGTAAAAATATTCACATAAATTGCATAAGAATATTTAAGAGTATATGGAAAATGCTAAAGGCAGAAATCATAAAATAATATTTTTAATAAAAAATAAACTTCTATAAAAGAAATATCTCAAAATTAAAAGTCAATTTGTCTTTCAAAATATTTTCCAACAAAAAGACCAAAGCTGAAGGCATCAAACTACCCAACTTAAAACTAGACTACAAGACTACAATAACCAAAACGGCATGATACTGGTAAGAAAACAGGCACACAGACCAATGCAACAGAATAGAGAGTCCAGAAAGAAGGCCACACACCTACAACTATATGATCTTTGACAAAGCTGACAAAAACAAGCAATGGTTTGAAAAGGACTCCCTATTTAATAAATGGTGCTGGGGTAAGTGGCTAGCCATATGCAAAAGATTGAAATCAGACCCCTTCTTTATGCCATATACAAAAACTCAGGATAAATTAAAGTAAATCCCAAATACTATGCTGGACATAAAATTAGGTAAAGATTTCATGATGAAGATGCTAAAAGCAATTGCAATCAAAACAAAAATTGACAAATGGGATCTAATTAAACTAAAAAGTTTCTGCACAGCAGAAGAAACTATCACCAGAGTAAACAGACAACCAACAGAATGGGAGAAAATTTTTGCAAGCTTTGCATCTGACAGAATTCTAATATCCAGCATGATATGATTTGGCTGTGTCCCCATCCAAATCTCATCTTTAATTCCCACGTGTTATGGGAGGAGCCCAGTAGGAGGTAATTGAATCATGGGGGCAGGTCTTTCCCATGCTGTTCTCTTAGTAGTGAGTAAGTCTCACGAGATCTGATGGTTATGGGAACAGGAAGTTTCCCTGTGCGGGCTCTCTTCTCGTTTCTGCCACCATGTGAGGCGTGCCTTTCACCTTCCTCCATGATTGTGAGGCCTCCCCAGCCATGTGGAACTATGAGTTGATTAAACCTCTTTCTTTTGTAAATTCCCCTGTCTTGGGTATGTTTTTATCAGCAGCATGAAAAGGGACTAATACATAGCATCTATAAGGAACTTAATACAAGGAAAAAACAAACAACCCTTTTAAAAAGTAGACAAAGGGCATGAACAGACACTTCCCTAAAGAAGACATACATGAGACCAACAAGCACACATGAAAAAACTTTCAATATCACTGCTCATTAGAGAAATGCAAATCAAAACCACCATGAAATACCATCTCACATCAGTCAGAATGGCTACTATTAATAAGTCAAAAAAAAAAAAAAAAAAACAGATGCTCAGGTGGTTTCAGAGAACAAGGAATAATTATACACTATTGGTGGGAATGTAAATTAGTTCAACCATTGTCAAAAAATCTATGGCAATTTATGAAAGAGCTAAAAACACAACTACCATTCAACCCAGCAATCCCATTACTGGGTGTATACCCAAAGGAATATAAATAACTATATTAAAAAGATACATGCATGTGTATGTTCATTGAAGCACTATTCACAATAGCAAAGACATGGAATTAACCTAAAGGCCCACCAGTGGTAGACTGGATAAACAAAATGTGATGGCTGGATGCACT
Organism: Homo sapiens; assembly: GCF_000001405.40. NCBI lineage: Eukaryota > Metazoa > Chordata > Mammalia > Primates > Hominidae > Homo > Homo sapiens. The sequence goes on along the minus strand of NC_000002.12, from coordinate 76,709,232 downwards.
GGCTCATGCTTATGATCCCAGCACTTTAGGAGCCCGAGGTGGGTGGATCACCTCAGGTCAGGAGTTTGAGGCCTGGCCAACATAGTGAAACCCTGTCTCTACTAAAAATACAAAAAATTAGCTGGGCATGGTGGCGGGCACCTGTAATTCCAGCTACTTGGGAGGCTGAGGCAGGAGAATAGCTTGAACCCAGGAGGTGGAGGTTGCAGTGAGCTGAGATCATGGCACATATATATCATGGAATGCTATGCAGCCATAAAAAAGAATGAGATCATGTCCTTTGCAGGGTCATGGATGGAGCAGGAGGCCATTATTTTTAGCAAGCTAGCGCAAGAACTGAAAACCAAATACAGTACGTTCTCACTTGTAAGTGGGAACAAAATGATGAGAACACATAGGCACATAGAGAGGAACAGCACACACTGGGGCCTATCAGAGGGTGGAGGGTGGGAGGAAGGAGAGGATCAGGAAAGATATCTAATGAGTACTAGGCTTAATACCTGGGTGGGGAAATAATCAGTACAGCAAACCCCAATGATACAAGTTTACCTATATAACAAACCTGCACATGTACTCCTGAACTTAAAAGTTATAACAATTGCAACATAAACAATTCCAAATGTGTAATATATCCTATGTATGAAGATTTCTAAAAAGATAAATTGGTGAGTCCATTTATGTAACATTATTGAATCGGAAAAATTAAACAGATGGAAAAGAGATAAATGGTGTCTCGTGGTTAGGGATGGTGATGAGAGAAGGGTGGCTGTGACTATAAAGTGTTACCAAAAGTGAAATTTCAGTTCTGTATCCTGAATATACCGTGGTTATGAAAAATAATAAAGATGATGTGGAACTATACACACACTATACCAACATCCTAATTTTGATATTGTTTCATATTTAGGTAAGATATAAATATTGCACAAACCTAGGTGAAGGTTATATGGGAATTTTGACCTGTTTCTGCAACATTCCAGGAATCTATAGTTTTCTTAAAATAAAAAGTTTAAAAAGTAAATAAGATAGAAAATCATGAGAAAAATGGTCAAGGTTTTATAAACAAAAATTGTATACACACATTTACACACAAATACAAAATAAATAAAAATACCCTGGAGGAGCCAAGATGGCTGAATAGGAACAGCTCCGGTCTACAGCTCCCAGCGTGAGCGATGCAGAAGATGGGTGATTTCTGCATTTCCATCTGAGGTACCAGGTTCATCTCACTAGGGAGTGCCAGACAGTGGGCGCAGGTCAGTGGGTGCACGTACTGTGCGTGAGCCGAAGCAGGGCGAGGCATTGCCTCACTCGGGATGTGCAAGGGGTCAGGCAGCTCCCTTTCGTTCCCTTTCCTAGTCAAAGAAAGGGGTGACAGACAGCACCTGGAAAATCGGGTCACTCCCACCCTAATACTGCGCTTTTCCGACGGGCTTAAAAAACGGCGTACCAGGAGATTATATCCCACACCAGACTCAGAGGGTCCTACGCCCACGGAGTCTCGCTGATTGCTAGCACAGCAGTCTGAGATCAAACTGCAAGGCGGCAGCAAGGCTGGGGGAGGGGTGCCCAGCATTGCCCAGGCTTGCATAGGTAAACAAAGCAGCCAGGAAGCTCGAACTGGGTAGAGCCCACCACAGCTCAAGGAGGCCTGCTTGCATCTGTAGGCTCCACCTCTGGGGGCAGGGCACAGACAAACAAAAAGACAGCAGTAACCTCTGCAGACTTAAATGTCCCTGTCTGACAGCTTTGAAGAGAGCAGTGATTCTCCCAGCACGCAGCTGGAGATCTGAAAATGGGCAGACTGCCTCCTCAAGTGGGTCCCTGACCCCTGAATGCTGAGCAGCCTAACTGGGAGGCACTCCCCAGTAGGGGCAGACTGACAACTCACATGGCCCGGTACTCCAACAGACCTGCAGCTGAGGGTCCTATCTGTTAGAAAGAAAACTAACAAACAGAAAGGACATCCACACCAAAAACCCGTCTGTACATCACCACCATCAAAGACCAAAAGTAGATAAAACCACAAAGATGGGGAAAAAACAGAGCAGAAAAACTGGAAACTCTAAAAAGCAGAGCGCCTCTCCTCCTCCAAAGGAACGCAGTTCCTCACCAGCAACGGAGCAAAGCTGGACGGAGAATGACTTTGACGAGCTGAGAGAAGAAGGCTTCAGATGATCAAATTACTCCGAGCTATGGGAGGAAACTCAAACCAAAGGCAAAGAAGTTAAAAACTTTGAAAAAAGTGTAGAAGAATGTAAAACTAGAATCACCAATACAGAGAAGTTCTTAAAGGAACTGATGGAGCTGAAAACCAAGGCTCGAGAACTACGTGAAGAATGCAGAAGCCTCAGGAGCCGATGCAATCAACTGGAAGAAAGGGTATCAGTGATGGAAGATGAAGTGAATGAAATGAAGCGAGAAGGGAAGTTTAGAGAAAAAAGAATAAAAAGAAACAAGCAAAGCCTCCAAGAAATATGGGACTATGTGAAAAGACCAAATCTACGTCTGATTGGTGTACCTGAAAGCGACGGGCAGAATGGAACCAAGTTGGAAAACACTCTGCAGGGAATTATCCAGAAGAACTTCCCCAATCTAGCAAGGCAGGCCAACATTCAGATTCAGGAAATACAGAGAACACCACAAAGATACTCCTTGAGAAGAGCAACTCCAAGACACATAATTGTCAGATTCACCAAAGTTGAAATGAAGGAAAAAATGTTAAGGGCAGCCAGAGAGAAAGGTCGGGTTACCCTCAAAGGGAAGCCCATCAGACTAACAGCGGATCTCTCGGCAGAAATTCTACAAGCCAGGAGAGACTGGGGGCCAATATTCAACATTCTTAAAGAAAAGAATTTTCAACCCAGAATTTCATATCCAGCCAAACTAAGCTTCATAAGTGAAGGAGAAATAAAATACTTTACAGACAAGCAAATGCTCAGAGATTTTGTCACCACCAGGCCTGCCCTAAAAGAGCTCCTGAAGGAAGTGCTAAACATGGAAAGGAACAACCAGTACCAGCCGCTGGAAAATCAATCCAAAATGTAAAGATCATCGTGACTAGGAAGAAACTGCATCAACTAACGAGCAAAATAGCCAGCTAACATCATAATGACAGGATCAAATTCACACATAACAATATTAACTTTAAAAGTAAATGGACTAAATGCTCCAATTAAAAGACACAGACTGGCAAATTGGATAAAGAGTCAAGACCCATCAGTGTGCTGTATTCAGGAAACCCATCTCACGTGCAGAGACACACATAGGCTCAAAATAAAAGGATGGAGGAAGATCTACCAAGCCAATGGAAAACAAAAAAAGGCAGGGGTTGCAATCCTAGTCTCTGATAAAACAGACTTTAAACCAACAAAGATCAAAAGAGACAAAGAAGGCCATTACATAATGGTAAAGGGATCAATTCAACAAGAAGAGCTAAGTATCCTAAATATATATGCACCCAATACAGGAGCACCCAGATTCATAAAGCAAGTCCTGAGTAACCTACAAAGAGACTTAGACTCCCACACATTAATAATGGTAGACTTTAACACCCCACTGTCAACATTAGACAGACCAACGAGACAGAAAGTCAACAAGCATACCCAGGAATTGAACTCAACTCTGCACCAAGCGGACCTAATAGACATCTACAGAACTCTCCACCCCAAATCAACAGAATATACATTTTTTTCAGCACCACACCACACCTATTCCAACATTGACCACATACTTGGAAGTAAAGCTCTCCTCAGCAAATGTAAAAGAACAGAAATTATAACAAACTATCTCTCAGACCACAGTGCAATCAAACTAGAACTCAGGATTAAGAAACTCACTCAAAACCGCTCAACTACATGGAAACTGAACAACCTGCTCCTGAATGACTACTGGGTACATAACGAAATGAAGGCACAAATAAAGATGTTCTTTGAAACCAACGAGAACAAAGACACAACATACCAGAATCTCTGGGACGCATTCAAAGCAGTGTGTAGAGGGAAATTTATAGCACTAAATGCCCACAAGAGAAAGCAGGAAAGATACAAAATTGACACCCTAACATCACAATTAAAAGAACTAGAAAAGCAAGAGCAAACACATTCAAAAGCTAGCAGAAGGCAAGAAATAACTAAACTCAGAGCAGAACTGAAGGAAATAGAGACACAAAAAACCCTTCAAAAAATTAATGAATCCAGGAGCTGGTTTTTTGAAAGGATCAACAAAATTGATAGACTGCTAGCAAGACCAATAAAGAAAAAAAGAGAGAAGAATCAAATGGATGCAATAAAAAATGATAAAGGGGATATCACCACCGATCCCACAGAAGTACAAACTACCATCAGAGAATACTACAAACACCTCTACACAAATAAACTAGAAAATCTAGAAGAAATGGATAAATTCCTCGACACATACACTCTCCCAAGGCTAAACCAGGAAGAAGTTGAATCTCTGAATAGACCAATAACAGGAGCTGAAATTGTGGCAATAATCAATAGCTTACCAACCAAAAAGAGTTCAGGACCAGATGGATTCACAGCTGAATTCTACCAGTGGTACAAGGAGGAACTGGTACCATTCCTTCTGAAACTATTCCAATCAATAGAAAAAGAGGGAATCCTCCCTAACTCATTTTATGAGGCCAGCATCATCCTAATACCAAAGCCTGGCAGAGACACAACCAAAAAAGAGAATTTTAGAGCAATATCCTTGATGAACATTGATGCAAAAATCCTCAATAAAATACTGGCAAACCGAATCCAGCAGCACATCAAAATGCTTATCCACCATGATCAAGTGGGCTTCATCCCTGGGATACAAGGCTGGTTCAATACACGCAAATCAATAAATGTAGTGCAGCATATAAACAGAACCAAAGACAAAAACCACATGATTATCTCAATAGATGCAGAAAAGGCCTTTGACAAAATTCAACAACCCTTCATGCTAAAAACTCTCAATAAATTAGGTATTGATGGGACATATCTCAAAATAATAAGAGCTATCTATGACAACCCCACAGCCAATATCATACTGAATGGGCAAAAACTGGAAGCATTCCCTTTGAAAACTGGCACAAGACAGAGATGCCCTCTCTCACCACTCCTATTCAACATAGTGTTGGAAGTTCTGGCCAGGGCAATTAGGCAGGAGAAGGAAATAAAGGTATTCAATTAGGAAAAGAGGAAGTCAAATTGTCCCTGTTTGCAGACGACATGACTGTATATTTAGAAAACCCCATTGTCTCAGCCCAAAATCTCCTTAAGCTGATAAGCAACTTCAGCAAAGTCTCAGGATACAAAATCAATGTGCAAAAATCACAAGCATTCTTATACACCAACAACAGACAAACAGAGAGCCAAATCATGAGTGAACTCCCATTCACAATTGCTTCAAAGAGAATAAAATACCGAGGAATCCAACTTACAATGGTTGTGAAGGACTTCTTCAAGGAGAACTACAAACCACTGCTCAAGGAAATAAAAGAGGATACAAAGAAATGGAAGAACATTCCATGCTTATGGGTGGGAAGAATCAATATCGTGAAAATGGCCATACTGCCCAAGGTAATTTACAGATTCAATGCCATCCCCATCAAGCTACCAATGACTTTCTTCACAGAATTGGAAAAAACTACTGTAAAGTTCATATGGAACCAAAAAAGAGCCCACATCGCCAAGTCAATCCTAAGCCAAAAGAACAAAGCTGGAGGCATCACACTACCTGACTTCAAACTATACTACAAGGCTACAGTAACCAAAACAGCATGGTACTGCTACCAAAACAGAGATATAGATCAATGGAACAGAACAGAGCCCTCAGAAATAATGCTGCATATCTACTACTATCTGATCTTTGACAAACCTGAGAAAAACAAGCAATGGGGAAAGGATTCCCTATTTAATAAATGGTGCTGGGAAAACTGGCTAGCCATATGTAGAAAGCTGAAACTGGATCCCTTCCTTACACCTTATACAAAAATCAATTCAAAATGGATTAAAGACTTAAACCTTAGACCTAAATCCATAAAAACCCTAGAAGAAAACCTAGGCATTACCATTCAGGACATAGGCATGGGCAAAGACTTCATGTCTAAAACACCAAAAGCAATGGCAACAAAAGCCAAAATTGACAAATGGGATCTAATTAAACTAAAGAGCTTCTGCACAGCAAAAGAAACTACCATCAGAGTGAACAGGCAACCTACAAAATGGGAGACAATTTTCGCAACCTACTCATCTGACAAAGGGCTAATATCCAGAATCTACAATGAACTCAAACAAATTTACAAGAAAAAAACAACCCCATCAAAAAGTGGGCAAAGGACATGAACAGACACTTCTCATTTATGCAGCCAAAAAACACATGAAAAAATGCTCACCATCACTGGCCATCAGAGAAATGCAAATCAAAACCACAATGAGATACCATCTCACACCAGTTTGAATGGCAATCATTCAAAAGCCAGGAAACAACAGGTGCTGGAGAGGATGTGGAGAAATAGGAACACTTTTACACTGTTGGTGGGACTGGAAACTAGTTCAACCATTGTGGAAGTCAGTGTGGCGAGTCCTCAGGGATCTAGAACTAGAAATACCATTTGACCCAGCCATCCCATTACTGGGTATATACCCAAAGGATTATAAATCATGCTGCTATAAAGACACATGCACACATATGTTTATTGCGGCATTATTCACAATAGCAAAGACTTGGAACCAACCCAAATGTCCAGCAATGATGGACTGGATTAAGAAAATGTGGCACATATACACCATGGAATACTATGCAGCCATAAAAAATGATGAGTTCACTTCCTTTGTAGGGACATGGATGAAATTGGAAATCATCATTCTCAGTAAACTATTGCAAGAACAAAAAACCAAATGCCGCATATTCTCACTCATAGGTGGGAATTGAACAATGAGAACACATGGACACAGGAAGGGGAACATCACACTCTGGGGACTGTGGTGGGGTGGGGGGAGGGCGGAGGGATAGCATTGAGAGATATACCTAATGCTAGATGATCAGTTAGTGGGTGCAGCGCACCAGCATGGCACATGTATACATATGTAACTAACCTGCACATTGTGCACATGTACCCTAAAACTTAAAGTATAATAATAATAAAAAGGGAAAAAACATACCCAATAATCACATTTTATTCCTCAGTAATCAAATCATTCTAATGAAAACAGTAAAGATAATCTTGCTCCTTCTTAATTTTTTAAATTGGCAAAAAAATATTCTTTGGTGGGAGAAAGTGGAAATTCTTACACTCTACTGCCAGTTTAAGCTCTGAGAAACCACGTATCAGATATAAAAAGACTAAAATTGCACATTCTTAATCCTAGCAATTCTTTTGTGTTGTTTTTCATAAGAAAATGATAAAGGAAGTCTTTATATATGTAATCTTAAGGTTATATATTAAAGTATAATTTATAAAAGCTAAAAATTTCAAAAGCCCAAATATGGAACAAATGAAACCTGGTGAAGTGAATATCAAAAATTTATTAGAGTAATAATTTGCAAAGGTCAATGATCCATATGTTTTGTTATAAAGTAATTGTCAGAGATGTAGAAAAAAGACATACATCTGTGCATATGTGTATCTGAAAACATATATCTAAAATTATTTTGTGATGGAATTATCAGTAATATGTACTTTGTATTATATCAATTCTCATCTTTGTTCTACTTTCTTAAATAATATGTATTTTCTTAATTAGAAAAATGTTATTTATTTTAGTTTAAAATGTATTTAAAGAAAGAGCCTATCGTATCCACATCAAGTGGTTATAAAATTCTATTTTCAAAATGCATTCATGGCTGTTTCACAAGCTAAAATGACTTACTTCATGTACAGCAACATAAAATGTTACTAGCAATTTTATACTGACTAATGCATAAATATGACATTGGACATTATCTGTTATTTTAAGATTTGTTGGCTTTTTACTTGTATAATTTAGCCAGACTATGGTGTCTTCAGGAAGAAAGCTCACACCTTTTCCTATTCTTGTCTGAAACAACATCGCCAATCTAGTTAACAGTGAATAAGAATATTAGAGACATGTGTGACAATTGATGTGGAAAAATTAGCTTCCTGCTGGCAATTACCCATCAAGAGCAGATTGACTGATTGCCAAAGTTGAAACACATGCAAACTGTCAGCCATCACAATAGGGCAAATATCCCAGGACTTTGGTGCAGCGTCAGGTAGAAATTTTGTTTTCACTGCTGCGAACCTGCCCTCGATGCTACACATTCATAATCTTCTGCCATCAAGCCAGGTCTACACATTCGGATACGTCCATCATTCCAGCAGCCAAATATATGTCCTGTCAAATACATTCAATGGCTCTCAAGATAAGTTGGACAAGAAGTGACATGCTCCACATGATTGAGTAGAAGGGCATATCATACACAATTTCTGCTGTCATACTTTGTCATTCTATTTAGGTGAAGGACTTAACCTTGACATTTCCTAAGTTCAGATATTATGGCCAAATAATAGAAAAGACAAATGTAAAAACTATTTTAATAAATTGCATATAAAATACAAGTATGATGATAAACTAAGTCAAATAATGAAATTAGTTCACTTTCTTTTGTAATGCATAAGTGAAGTTTGCTGATTTGTTTTTTTTTTTTTTTTTTTTGAGACAGGGTTTCACTCTGTTGCCCAGGCTGGAGTACAATGGTGTGAATCTCGGCTCACTGCAACCTCCACCTCCTGGGTTCAAGTGATTCACCTGCCTCAGCCTCCCGAGTAGCTGGGATTACAGACATCCACCACCACACCCAGCTAATTTTTGTATTTTTAGTAGAGGTGGGGTTTCACCATGTTGGCCCGGCTGGTCTCAAACTCCTGACCTCAGGTGATCAACCTGCCTCAGCCTCCCAAAAATGCTGGGATCACAGGTGTGAGCCACCGCACCCAGCCAAGTTTGCTGATTTTTAATGTTGAAAACAAGTGTACCAAGATTCAGTGATAAGAAAATCAAAATGGAAAGCAGGTGAAATTCAACTTCAAATTTTGCCTAAATTACCAAAGTCATCCTAAGATGGAGCATCCTGCTGTTATGTTTGTAGGTATTATCTCCTTTAATATGAAAATGTGTTTCTCATTACACAAATGAAATATCTGTAAATCAACAGGTCATTGTATTCAAAGGGCATTAATCAAAATTCTGGGCAGGGGAAAACATCTATCCGTGGCAGATAATACATTCTTAGCCATGAGAAGTAGCTGTGTGAGTGTTTCCTTCATCTCAGATTTTTTTGAAGTCTCTATGGACAGAACTGGGTTGGTGTGGTCTCACCAACTTTTCCAGCTAAAACTTCTTTTACTCTCTATCTCAGTGACATGAGAAAGGTGAAAACACTTCTGGTTCCCTCTGAAGCTTCTCTGTAATTGTTTTATAATATTTCATTGGAAGACAGAGAGAGAGAGGAAAAAGGAAGGAAGAGGGGAGAAAGAGAGAGAGAGCAAGAGAGAAAAAAAAGAAAACTAACTTCCTCCTTTTTGATACCATTCAGTTATTATTCTTGGGGCTGTTAGAAAATTTTACATGGGCAATCACCTTTAAGATTATATCTGTTACTTAAGCCTACCTATTTTGGCCCATCCAATATACTGGAATCACAGATTTTTGACCCTTCTCTCAGAAAACTTTATACTGTCCTCCCTGTAACACCCACACCTGTCATTTTTGTCATCTTACACTTCTCTCTGAGTTTCTAAAATCTTCGATTTTAACATATAATTCTGAATACTCATCCCCATCTTACTATATTTATATCTCCCTCACTCCCATTAGTCCTGTCCTTTGAGACTTATAAAGAAAACTGTTTTTTCTTTTTCTTTGATCTTATGGTTTTTATAAACTTGGATCACTCTAATTACACACTCAATTTTTCCCATGTCTTCATACTAATACTTGTCAACATGGTTTTCAAAATTGACTCACTTTTCTTCCTAAAATACATTCTTGTGAGAGAAACTAGTGAAGAGGGAAAAAATGTGCACAAGTGTAGAAAAGACCATGGTGCTTGATATAAAAAGTGGTACCCAGATTTAGAGAGAAGAGCTTGAAAATGCTTAGTAGAGCTGAGGTGAGTGGACGAGATTCCAAGAGAGTGAGTCAAAAAGGAAAAACAGCCAGACTTGGAAAAAAGTAACTTCAGCCTTCATTTATTTGTTCATTCAATAAGTATTTATCAAGTATCTACTAGGATGCAGACAAAATCTAGACACTTGGATATTAACAGTGGACCAACCAAAAGCTCTGCCCTCTTGTACTTTACATTCTGGTGCAGACAGTCAGAAAACAGTAGACATAATAAGCATGCAAATTATACAGTGTGTTAAAAGGTTAAATAATTCTATTTATTTTTTTAAAAAAGAAGAAAACAAATGTAGAGCAGAGTAAAGGGCTATGGAGCAACAGATAAATTCATCTGGGTTGCCTGGGCAAAAGGGCAGTTTGGGCACTGTATCTGAATCCAACTCCTCAATGGTGTTCTTTCCCCTGGTAGTGAGAGGTGACAGCGTGCTGGCAGCCCTCACAGCCCTCGCTAGCTCTGGGCGCCTCCTGGGCCTTGGCGCCCACTCTGGCCACGCTTGAGGAGAACTTCAGCCCACCGCAGCACTGTAGGAGCCCCTTTCTGGGCTGGCCAAGGCTGGAGCCGGCTCCCTCAGCTTGCCAGGAGGTGCGAAGGGAGAGGCGCGGGTGGGAACCAGGGCTGCCCATGCGGCTTGTGGGCCAGTGCGAATTCTGGATGGGCGTGGGCTCGGCGGGCCCCGCACTCGGAGCAGCCAGCGGAGCCGGCCCCGGGCATTGAGGAGCTTAGCACCTGGGCCAGCAGCTGCTGTGCTCAATTTCTCGCCGGGCCTTAGCTGCCTCCCTGCGGGCAGAGCTCAGGACCGGCAGCCCGCCATGCCTGAGCCGCCCCCCTACCTGTGGGCTCCTGTGCACCCAAAGCCTCCCCGATGAGCCCAGTCCCATTGACCACCCAAGGGCTGAGGAGTACAGGCACACAGCGGAGGACTCGCAGGCAGCTCCACCCGCGGCCCCCATGCAAGAAGCACTGGATGAAGCCAGCTGGGCTCCTGAGTCTAGTGGGGACTTGGAGAACCTTTATGTCTAGCTCAGGGATTGTAAATGCACCAGTCAGCACCCTGTCAAAACGGACCAATCAGCTCTCTGTAAAACACACCAATCGGCTCTCTGTAAAATGGACCAATCAGCAGGATGTGGATGGGGCCAGATAAGGGGAAAAAGCAGGCTGCTGAGCCAGCACTGGCAAGCCGCTGGGTTTCCCTTCCACAATGTGGAAGGTTTATTCTTTTGCTCTTTGCAATAAATCTTGCTGCTGCTCACTGTTTGTGTCCACACTGCCTTTATGAACTGTAACACTCACCACGAAGGTCTGCAGCTTCACTCGTGAAGCCAGCGAGACCACAAACCCACCGGGAGGAACGAACAACTCCAGACGCGCTGCCTTAAGAGTTGTAACACTCACCGGGAAGGTCTGCAGCTTCACTCCTGAGCCAGTGAGACCACGAACCCAGCGGAAGGAAGAAACTCCAAACACATCCGGACATCAGAAGGAACAAACTCCGGACACGCCGCCTTTAAGAACTGTAACACTCACTGCGGGGCTCCGCGGCTTCATTCTTGAAGTGAGACCAATAACCCACCAATTCTGGACACAGTAGGAGGGTGGACAAATTCCCAAGAGTTCCAGAGTCTCTGGGTGCTGCAAAGCTCCCTTTCTCAGACAATCTTTATAGAACAGTTTCTAGGCATGTCTGCCTGACATTCCAGTAACCTGTGTTGCCCCCATTGACTCAGCTGTTTTCATGATGATCCTTAAAAAGGAAGAGAAACATTGATGTGGAGATCTACCCTGGATTGCAAACTCATAATGCATATCCCACAGAATGTCCAGGCCTTATCATGCTTCTCTCTGGAGAAAATGCTTGCTTTGTGAAATTCTTGCTTTCTTGTCTTTTTGTTGATCCCAGGTTTATAAGATTTCTGAAAAATGCATGCTTATTAATCCAAGTAACACGATGTTGCAGAACACGTTCTAAGCCCTGATGCACACGAGATGGCAACTACAGAAGGACTTTTCTTGCTTAACAAACATTTATCTCTTCCCCTTATACAGTTTTGAGATTTAATGTACATAGTCTTTTTCATTTAATTTATAATATAAAATTATTATGAAGTGCCTTATACATATTTTTTAAGTATTCAAAATATGTATCCATCAGAAAAACCCCACTAAGTATTTTAACAGAGAACTTCATATAGGGAATTGGTAAAACAGATATTTAAACAATGAAAAAAATAGGTGAAGGAGGTACTGAGTTAGCAGAGATGGTAACTGCAGGAAGTTGTTTCCACTGGTAGGACGGAGGTTGGAATTATCAGATCCTAGTAACTTAGAGGAAGTTTTCCATGGAACTGGGGTTCTGACTCCTTAGGAGAGTCATTGCAGATCAAGGGCTGGTGTCTTAACATGTTGAGGAAAGTCAAACTAAATTAAAAAAAAACTATTTTCAAAAAGGAGAAAAAGAAAATAGAGAAAGAATACCGTTTTTAACAAAAGATACTGGAAAAATGCCATGTCCATATGCCAAAAAAAAAAAAAAAAAAAAGGAAAGAGACAAAGAATCTAGAAGCTGTTTTGATTTGATACATTTTACAAAAATTAACTCCAAATTGAACATAGACCTAAATGTCACATGCAAAACTGTAAAATTTCTAGAAGAAATTATAGAAGAAAATCTAGATGAACTTGGGTTTGGTGATAAATTTTAAACAAAATACCAAATGTGATCCACAAAAAAAAAAATGGTTGGTTGGATTTCATTAAAATTGTCTGTTCTGCAAAAGACACAGCTAAGAGAATGAAAAGAGAAGTCACATACTGGTAGAAAATAGCTGCAAAACATTTATCTGATAAATAACTTATATTCATAATATCCAAAGAACTTTAAAAACTTTAAAAAGAGCCCTTGAAAGTTAAATCAGAAAACCAACAACCGAACTAAAAATTGGGAAAAAATCTCCACAGACACCCGACTAAAGAATATAGACAGCAAATAGGAATATGAAAATATGTTTAATATTATATTAGGCATATTAAATATGCTTTTTTATACACACATATATAAGGGAATTGGCAATTAAAACAACAATGAGATGCCACTACACACTTATTGGAATGATTAAAATCCAAAAACCTGATCATTCTAATTACTGATGAGGATACAGACGAACTGTCATTCATTGCTGCTTGGAAAGAAAAAGGCTACAGCTTCTCTAGAAATCCTTTTGGCTGTTTTTCACAAAACTAAATATAGTCTTATCATACAATCAAGCCAATGTGCTCCTAAGTACCAACCAACTGATCTGAAAACGTGTCTCTTCATCAAAATCTGTATGTGAATGTTTATAGCAACTTCATTATCACCAATCAACCAAGATGTCCTGTAACAGGTGAATGAGTAAACAAACTGGGATACATCCATGCAATGGAATGTTATTCAGTGATAAAAAGAAATAAGTGATGCAGCTATGAAAAAGACACATGAATCTTAAAACTTACATCGCTTAGTGAAAAAATACATTATGAAGAGATAATGTATTATATGACACTTGTACATACACAATGTATACATTCTAAAAAAGGCAAAACCACGGTGATAGTATAAAGATTTATAGTTGCCAGGGGTTTGTGGATAGGGTCGAGATAGTTAAATCGGTGAAGAATAGGGAATTTTTTAGGGCTGTGAAACTCTTGCACTTGCGTAGAAGTGCACTTATAATGGTGGAAAAGTGACACTGCACATTTGTCAAAACCCATAGCACAAAAAAACAAGTCCTAAAGTATGCAAATTTAAAAAAATCATTTAGGTGTTTAATAAGCCTGTGAAGTAAAGGCTCTTACTTTCTGCATTTTCAGATAAAATTGTCTGTTGTAGAGAGGATTAGTATCTCTCCATCTCTCAAAGTCAGAAAGTTAACAAATGGCCAGCAGAACTGAGAATGGAGATGAAGATTTCAAGTCAGTGACTGCAAAGTGACTTAGGAGTTGGTAAATAAATGACAGTTTTCTTGAGGAGACTGAATGCTTCAGGGTCCAGAACCTTAGAAAGTGAGTATTTTAGAAATCTTAGAAAGTAGTGGCATCATAGATCACACACAAGAGGTAGATACAGTTTTTTGTTTAAACTACCTGTAGTGGAATATTATCTCCCACACTGAATGAATGAACAAAAAAAATAGTGAATTTGTGACAAATCTCAAAAATCACTTTTCTTCAAATATAAGTTCATTCTTAAGAATACTATTTAATTGGCTAAATTTTTAGTTAATTCACACTGGCCATGGAATTACCAGTTTCTATCCACCTCTGGGAAGGGGGAGGATTGGAAGGAATAAAGATTGCTTGTGTTTGTTTATTTTAATTGATTCTGCAGCTGTTTGTGCTTGTGTGTATGCCTTTCAAAGCCCACAACCGGACAAGTAAAATTAAAATCAACACTCTTGACTCAAAACATGTAGAAGTGATAAAATAAGAATGACAGCATAATAAATTAAGAAGACAAAGAAAAATTAAGAAAAGAGAAAGACACAACAAGGAAGAAAGGAAGGGATAATTCTGGGCTAGAGAAAGTAAGAGCAGAGATAGGGTGAATAAAAAGTAAGTGTGAATGGATTACATGGAGGAAAAATCATCCAGGATGAATAAATCAGCAAATGGAAAATTGGGATAACATGTCTTATTTGTTCAAATAAAAATTTCCAAACAAGTTCTTAGGTAAAGACTTAACAAAAAATACTCTACGGGCCCGGTTGCAGTGGCTCACGCCTGTAATCCCAGAACTTTGGGAGGCCGAGGCGGGCGGATCACGAGGTCAAGAGATCGAGACTATCCTCTATCCTGGCCAACATAGTGAAACCCCGTGTGTACTAAAAATATAAAAATTAGCTGGGCGTGGTGGCACGCGCCTGTAGTCCCAGCTACTTAGGAGGCTGAGGCACGAGAATCGTTTGAACCTGGGAGGCAGAGGTTGCAGTGAGCTGAGATCACGCCACTGCACTCCAGCCTGGTGACACACACACACACACACACACACACACACACACGACCTACCAAAGGAGGGAAGTGGAAAGATACTTTCAAGAAAGCCCCATAAACCCAATAAATATGTGGCCAGTAGCATTTTATCAGACTCTGAGTATATGTCGATAAGAACATGTTTTCGAGACTGTAATGACATAATAGAATTGGGGGTAGAGGAGTGTTGGGCCACTAAAATGGATTGGCTTAAAGCAATGACTTACTGTGGCTATCATAAGCAGTTGAGAAGGACAGTAATTAAGACAAACTAGAATGGGATAGTTTACACTTCCATGATGTATAGAAAAATTCATAAAAGGTATTCAAGTATACAATGTAGAGATTATACCAAATGATCCTTAAAGATATTATTTTCAATTTTAAGTTTTTTTTTTTACTTTTGTGACTATTGCTATATTTTCTTTTAAATATTATTTTGATAGCATCAAACAAGCAATTAAATAGATTCTTCAAGCGCCTGGATCAAGATGCTGTGATATTCAGGTTGTCTGACTTTGCTAATGCAGTTATTCCAAAAGATGCAAAAAAAAAAAAAAAAAAAAAAAAAAAAGAAAAGAAAAGCACACACATTCAAAAACCAAAGATAAGGCTGGTATTCAGAATCCATGCTGCCTAATTCCGATATTAAAATAATGCTGAAACAGTATTATTTTAATTAAAAGGTACATACTGGCCTATAATATGCTCTACTCTCTGGTTTTGCTATACTGATGTTAGCAAATAATGTTTAACAGTTGGTGTCTCAGCCCATTAGCTTCTCCATCTGGTTATCTTATTATAGTGGCTCAGTAAATTAGTCAATGTTCTTATAACCTCCAGGAAACCCAGAACAGGTCATGACTTTTGCTAGATTGACTGGAAATTGCTATCATTAGGTGGCGTGTCTGTGTTCTCTCCAAGAGTTAATGGGCACAACTGTAAAATGCGTCTGGGCCTGCGGCCTGGTTGTTTTTCTCTCTCTCTGTGTAGACCCTGGAGCAAAGCAAAGATGAATGACCAAGGCATTTGCAGGTTTATTCCTGAAAATACTCCATTAGCCTCAACAGCTCTAGCTTTATCTTAACACTGAATTGCACTTGTCCATTAATATAATACCTTGAGTGGCTTGGTTCTGGGATGCTGTGTGACGTGTAAATGCCTAGCAGAGATATTTTAAGTCTTTATCATTACTATAGCTGCCATGTGGCTGTAGATGACATCATTTGGGATCAGATCCCTAATAGCCTTTATAATATTCTGTGACTTTTCCTTTTCATTTCTGAATGAGCATCTATTATATTAAACGGTTGCCAATAATTGAGATAACTGTGATTTTCTATAAACATTTTTCTTTTACTTGTAATATCCCACCCTATGGACTAACCATATAAAAGTAGAAAACTCGAACATTGTCAGTATGTTTTATAAATTGTTAACTATAAGAGAGAGACATTATAGTACACACAAAAATTTGGGCCAATCTGAGGCAAAATTTAAGATTATAATGTCTACGATGTAAAACTTCGTATTATGATAATCTATATAAAATACCTAGCTCACTGGTTAAAATATACGGCGGCACAGTAAGATAAAGAGACTGCAAGCAGGGATTAGGGAGAGGAGTAGACGTGGCTGGACGTCGCTAAGGAATTTGCAATGATTACTTTAATTTCGGGAGGTAACAAGATCAAATCAGTGCCTTGGGGAAGACTGAGCTGGCAATCTAGAGAAAATAAGCTTGTTTTTGGAATTCCGAAATATAGCATCACATTTGCTACATGGAATAGTGAAAAAAGGAACTACATAAGTTTAACACACAATGCGACTTGCAAACAAACTATAAAAGTACTGAAGATGGTGTCCTTACGTAAGTATCAATCCCATTTGAAATTACAATGTGGCTTTTATGTCTCAAATTGGAGTATATTTACAAAATAAGGAACTCCTAGAATGGAAAAAGAATATAGTGTCTAAACTTTCTTCTAATGTACCATTTTCCTCCATAATATTTCTGTCTTCGCCTGCTGTGATGAAAATCTTACCATTTAACAAAACAGCAAATTTTAGTGTGGACACAGCTATTTGGGGAGGAAAAAACCCTTCTTGCTTGTGTTTGAAATGTTAAACATCCACCTACTAATCCTACTTTTTTCCCATGAAATAGAACTTACATCTGTTTGACTGTATTCTGTAATAGGGATGCTTTCCTGTGTTGAAATGCATATAAATGCATACTTTTATTGATATGAATTTATTTATGTCACTGTTTGTGAGTGATATATACATATGTCTTTTACAATATGGATAGAGAGAGTATGAAAGAAGACACATAATTGAATGGACCAGCTTGTGTTAAACCTGCCTGGTTTCATGTCCTGAAACATTGAGAAAGGGAGCAGTTTGCTTTGTTTTATCAAATTGTGTCAAGTAGTTTTACTTCTCAAAGGCTGCTACCTCTGGTGTGTAGGAGACAGTAGCAGCAGGCTAATGCACCAAAACAGCATGGAATAAGTGCAGGGTCAGCCAAACCTGATATCAATGCCAGCAGGGAAAAAAAAAATCACCTCAACTCAAGGAGAATTCATTTAGCTGCAGCTATAGCTGTGCTTTAGGTTGTGATTTCTGAATCTGTTGCATTGGGACATTTCCTTTGAGTTTTATTTCTTATTTCTGTGGGTTTTTTTTTCTGTCCTCAATTCTGATTAAAACTGTTGTGGTATCATCTAATTCAGTTTACCTTGCCACTGTGCTGCAGAGCCCCTGAGGAAGGCCTGGTGGAACAGAGGACTCCAGTGAGGAACTGACTGTCCTGTGAAAACACACTTCGATAAGTCCACCGGACCCTGACGATGGGTGCAGAGGAAAAGCTGGGTCACTGAGGACAAACTGAGGCTCTTGGCAGTGTGATGGTCTTCCTGCACTCTCTATTTGTGTTCTTTAGACCCTGTGCATATACTCATTGTGTACTCCAATCTTTTCTGCTTTTAAAATCTATGAATTCGGTCTAACAGCGTTCATTGAACAATGGAAGGATAACACTGAGTGAGGCCACTCCTGGTCTCAGAATGCACCTCCATTCTTTTCAGAAAGTCCATGATCGCTCACCTGTGGTCAGAAATAAACACATACATGTAGACAGTATGGATTTTTTTTTTTTTTTGCTGGTTAATTAACTTTCCTTCTGCTACAACAAATTAATAGTTATAATAATAATAGCCACCAATACTGAGTATCTCATATGTGACAAATACCATACTCAAACCTTTACATTCATTTCTCATTTGATCCAAAAAAAGATATTTTATTTAAAATATTTAAATATTAAGAATGTTTTATAAAAACATTCTATACATTTAGTTATATCGATAGATGATAGATACATAGAAAGTATGTATTATATATAGATATATAGAGATAGAGATGTATTTTGTATGTATCTAAAAATATACATTCATATCAGAATATACTTAGAAATTATTTATCCTTTTCATGGTTTGCTCCAATTTTCTACTGCCTTTTTGTCTGTGCCAGCCTCTAAGTTTCATGTTAGAGGTTGTCCTCTTAGGCTTGCAAATACTCGGTCGTTTTGTTTCTGTTTAGAAAGCTCATTGCAGCTTTATAGATACGGGTTGGGATGTGAGTTTCTTTGAAAGATCATCTCTTTCGGCTGTTTAATTAAGGCCTCTCTGATATCAATTTCCTTAGGTCTTTCTTCTGGAGCCAGTCAGATTCCACAGAGAGGACATTTTCAATATTCCACCAGAAGGGTGTAGACCTGGCTCAGAATATCACGGAAGTGGTAGTACAAGAGGGCTGGTTGTCTCACCATGTGGCATATGCTCATTTAATTCCCTGCTTTGATGTACCTATACCTGTATCAATTGTACTTTCTAAATCATTCTCTAGTGTGCTCTGCCTGGGATAGGAAGGGGCAGTCCCCAGCTGCACAAAGTTGGGGTAAGAATTTTTTCTTGTCAGGGTACTCCATATTTATAATACCCAATTTCCATTACCTGCTCTCATATCTTGTTCTGGTTTTGCTCTAGATTGGAACCCTTCTGTTTTTAGCGTTATCTTTACCCTGACTTCTTGAAGACCTGCTGCTGATAATTTCAGAGGTGTTCTATAATTTCTCAGCTTTTTCCACTTTGGTTCTATATGATAAGTCAGTTACAATTCACCTCTTTACTTTTAGATTTAAAATGTTACTGTTAATTCCCTTCTTTTTTCTTTATGAGATTATGCCTTTAAAAAATAATCCTTTAATGATATTATCTTGGGTTTCAGGAGGGACTAAAAGTTGATCTGAGAGTTTCATCTATCATTTTTACCAAAAAATATCAAAAATTCTTCTTATTCCACAATACTTTTTCAAGATGCCCTGATTCCATAGTTTGACATTAATAGTATTAAAGTATAACATCATAATATTATAATTAATTATATTTTCTGCTTCAGTTGTAATAAAATGTGGTCTTCATGGCTCAGCTTGCAATAAAATATGTGTAATGAAGTGTGGTCTTCCTGGCTCAGCAGATCAAGAATATGGGCAACGGACTGGGAAATGGGGGGCTAAGCTCTGCCTGAACAAGTGGTAGTAACATTTCAATCTGCTGATATGGCACTTCCCTTGAGAAGTATCCTACAGGTTCCTAAAAGGGCCTTGCTTTGATGAAAATGAGATTTGTTTTAAGGTTGAGAAAGGCTTTCTTAGAATTGAAACTGTTATTGCAACCAACTGCATTTCTTACTGATACAGTCTCATAAGGAACAGAATAAATTAGAAGATAGAAACTTGTCTAGGCAGGAAGAGGATTTAATTTTAGGATACGGTCTCAACCTGCAATGCAGCTGATCCCATACAAGCAGAATCCTATATGGAAAGAAAAGCCCTGATGGAGGAAGGGCTTTACTTCTAGGAATGGAGTCCCATTACCTGCAGAATTTCAGTGGAAGGATTTGACTTGGAGAGTGCTATGGTCTGAAGATGTTTGCTTCTCCCAAAATTGATATGCTGAAATTCTGACCCCCAAGCTGATGGTATTAGAAGTGGAACATTTTGGAAAGTGATTAAGTCATGAGGCTGGAGCCTCATATGGGAATAGTGGGCTTCTAAAAGAGATACTAGAGAGCTTCCTCACTGCTTCTCCCCCGTGAGGTTAGAGTAAGAATACAGCTGTCTATGAGGAAGCAGTCCTTCACCTAACACTGAATCTGTTGGCATCTTAATCTTGGGCTTTCCAGTCTCAAGAACTGTGAAAAATAAATATCTGTTGTTTATGAGCTACTCAGGATACAATATTGTGTTAGAGCAGCCTGAATGGACTAAGACCAAGGGTCTAGGCACCAGTGTGTGGCACTGTGTGTAGAATTCAAAGTCCTTTTTTCCTTTTAGGGTGAGTGATTGCCATGTGAACCCAGAAAAAGTAGAGGCATACGCTAAAGTAGAAAAATAACATCAGAATAATATACTTGCACTGACTTTGGAGTAGCAAATTCCCAAAGCCCCGGATAGGCATAGTTTTCAGAAAAGCACTTGATTAAAGGTCACAGCTTGAGGAAGGCCAATCAGAAATAGCACTGGGACACTAAAGCGTTGGCATCTTTTCTGAGCAAGAATATTGAGTCAGGGATGTTGTCTATTCAAATTAAGGAGGAATCTCTGACAATAAAGGAATTAGGAATGTACCCCTTAGACAGGAGCTCACACTAAATCCAGCACTGAAATACCAGAAAGAAAGAAGTCAAAGGGGGATATGAGGACTTTTAAATAAGAAAAATGATCAGAATAATGAATACTATATCCTCAAGAGAGCAGTTTTGAAATGAACTCTTAGATTTGTTTTCTAGAATCATATTTTAGAATTCCTTCAAGCACAGGGCTAACACTCTGATATTTACATATGATGTGTGTCTTGTTGATTCACTGGAACCTGAGAAATGAGGGAGACATGTGATTTGATGTTAGAATGATCACTTGCTACTGGAGGAGCAACAATGGTTCTATTAGATACAGTGCCAACAAGACGGATTACGGGCCCTCTGCATGGAAATTGGCAGTATAAGAAAAAATACGTGTAAAGAGTTATTTGAACATATGTTACAATTTTAATTTGCCTGTGGAAATAAAAGGTTTTCTGACATATTGAAGGCCAATTTGGAGCATTTTCTAGTAAGTTTGTTATAATATTCGGGATATATTGTCATCTGTTTCGTATTGGCTAATGAGCTTAGATAATTCAGACGAGCATCTTTTTTGACATGAGAGAGAAGAGGTGTGATTTCTTGTCTTTGAATATGATTCTTATATCTTAAGTTATACTAATTGAAGACAATGTCATGGTGGTTATGCATATATATGGCAAAGAGTAAAACTTTAGCTTGAATGTCAGCTCTGGGGCATTCATTCAAGTGATTTAAAATATTCCTACCTCAGTTTTCTCATATATAAAACAGGAATAACAATTTTATTTATCTCACAGGGTTTTTTGAAGGTTAATGGAGATAATACAGTTTAAAACATTAACTCATTTATTTGCATGCCCACTAGTGTTCTACCATTTGTGTGCACCAGAGTTATCTCAGTAATTTTCTTTTTAACATTTTCGAATGAACCAAATAACTTTCATGAGGGGTTTTTCAGGCCACACTGCTCCAGGTCCTTGTTTTCTGCTAATAAACAAGGCTTGAAAGGGAATTTATCAACGCCTTTTACATTGACATGTTAGGCCATTTCTACATCGCTATAAAGAAATACCTTCAGAACAAGGATCTCTGAGAAAAAATAAAAAAAAATAAATAAATACCTGAGGCTGGGTAATTTAGAAAGAAAAGAGGTTTAATTGGCTTATGGTCCTGCAGGCTGTACAAACATGGCTCCAGCATCTGCTCCTGGTGAGGACCTCAGGAAGCTTCCAATCATGGCAGAAGGTGAAGGGGGATCAGGTGCATCACATGACAAGAGGGGAGCAAGAGAGAGAGAGGAGGAGGAAGTGCCCCACTCTTTTAAATAACCAGATTGCATGTGAACTCACAGTGAGAACTCACTTATCACTAAGGGGATGGTACTAAATCATTCATGAGGGATCTGTTCCCATGATCCAGTCATCTCCCACCAGGTCCCACCTAGGACAATGACAATCACATTTCAACATGCAATTTGAAGAGGATAAACCTCCAAATCATATCAATTGGTTAGAAGGAAAAAGCCTAAATTCCTAAAATTCCTCTCATCTAGGGTTGCTGGTTTTAGCAAAAAGCAAAACAAAAAGACACAAAAATAGGATGCCCAGTGAAATCTGAACTTCGGAAAAACAATAAACACGTGTTTTGTGCAATATGTGAGGTAAATGGGGGACCACTAAAACATTATTCATTGTTTAGCTGGGTGATTGGGTACATTCCAGAAAGAGAGTCTGATGTGTCCACTTGAGTTAATTGGCTACCTCTGCCCTCACAGTAAGAGTAGCCACTGCTTGTCTCTACTCAATATCTTATGAGGTGAGAGATTTAATTAAAACATGGCTGAAACCCAACCTCAATACTAATCCTGACCCTAAATACAGTAACCCAGCCAGTTATAGAGGTTTCTGCAAACGGCCTCAACGAAGGCCAGGTTGCATTGCACAGGAGAACACCCATATGAGTGAAGGCTTTGGTTGGTTGGTGGTTATTCCGCAGTGTCTTAATTAACACACGCCTGCCTAAGATAAGGGATGCTTGACATGAATGTTACATCTTTGATGTTCTTTGATTCTTCAGTTTAAAAACTTCGCCCACATTTTGCAAGGAGTAATTGTTTTCTGAGGGTTGTTTTCTGAATTTTTACATTGCTTGGGAAGCATGTGCAATTGTTTCTTCCTTGTGCTAGAGCAGTCTGCCTCTTCTGTCCCCCAGCACTTTAAACTCATGCCAGACAAGAGAATGATAATAAAACTAACCACTTGATAGCTAAAACATATGCCAGACACTCTCTATGACAAGTTCTATCAGAAAGATTTTACAGACATTGCCCCACTGTCCTATTTGAGCTTACAAAAAATTAATAGATGAGAAAATTGAGGCTCAGAAATGTTAAATAATTTCCCCCATGAGTATGCAGCCACTGAGTGTCAGAGTCTGAATGTAATCTCAGGTTTGTCTGAATCTGGAAGTCATAATGTTTACCGCCATAATATATTGCCCTTCAATGACAATATGAGATTATTTTCTTTAGCTTCTGCATTGGTCCTCTAAGGACATTCCACAAACATTTAATGAACATTTACAAATGTTGGTCCAGGCGTTAGGCTCTGCGGACACAGATGAATAAGACATGATGGTGTCTGCCCTCCATGACTAGCACAAAGCTGCCATGTATTAGGGGCTCATGAAATATTGGTAGAATGAACAAGTAAATGCATCTCAATAACTTAATATTTAATGGATTTGACATTATTAAAACAGTGTATTAGGTTTATAAAATGCATGCATATGATAATCTATACCACATCATTGAAGATTTTACTTTAACAAAATTTACAGAGAAGCTCATTTAAAGCTTCATTTTTCTTTTATGATGGCGTCTGACCTTGTAATATCATTGTAAATAGCTGGGTGATCAGTCTGCAGGACCCACAAAATTTCTGGGATGAAAGAGACAGGTATGATAAAACTGTTCTGTTAGCTGTACTACTGGGTTAGAAGAAGCAACAAAATCTTAAATGATGAAAGAACTACGCAGCAATCAGGCTGTGGAGAAATGCACCTGGAAGTAGAGAATAACATTGAAAAAAAAAAAAAACTTGATGGGAGACAGTCTCCTAATAACTTACATCTGTGCCAAGGGGAGAAAATCAGGCAATTTCCACTGAGGTGGAGAGGAGGCTGTGAAGAGTTTTCTCTTTGAAAATCCGAAGGTCAATAGCACATGTATAGTGCATTTTTTTTTTAGCAGAATTGTAAAGGGACGAAGGAAAGAACACTTACTGGAACATCTGCTGTGCAAATCACTTCAAGGAAAATAAGCAGGCGGCAGAATGAGCACATCTGCCTGATATGCAGCACGTGCAGCGAGGTTGTGGGAAAAGAGTAGCAAGACATGGCATAATAAGGAAAAGCTTTGAGGGCTCATGCGTCCTTCAGATTTCCCCTGAGCTTTGGAGGGAGGAAATGAAGACGGGTTAATCATCCAGAGGGTGTTTAAGATAGGGAGACACTCCTCTCAATCTGGCTACCAAATGGAAAGCTGCCTGTTTAGGAAATGTAATCACAGCAGCCAAAATGTAAGAACAGATTAGAGTCAGTTGATCATCATATGTGTGAAAATCACTCTATCAAACAGCTGGGGCCGGGGGTGGTGATGAAGCTCCAATAACTTCTTTTGTCTAAGGGAGCAAGTCTTTCTGGAGAACCATGACATTTTCAACCCCAGCAGTGTCCATACAACATGACTGAACTCTTATGTTTTGTGACAGAATACACACTTACATAGAATTCTAAATCCCCTCTGCCTTTTTTTCCCAAACCGAGCTCTGTGCCATTTTACATAAATGGGACTCTGTCAATAAATTTTGGGAACCCTGTCAAAGAGCAGAATTAACTACAAAATTACTCTGGAATATTACTATGGATTTCATTGGCAACATGTTATCTGCAATCAAAGACTTCACCTCCTCCTGTCTGGACAGACTGTAATATCCCATAATTCCAGTTAAAACTTGGCTCAGAAAATGATGTGAATTTCATTCATACTAAGATTTAAATGACAAATTTATCAAAACACTTTAGAGTTTTTTCTTTGACAATTATTTGTAGAATTTTTTGCTTGTCAACATCCTAATTTCTGGAACCTGCGAATATGTTACTTTACATGACAAAAAGATTTTGCAGATATAATTTAGTTAAAGACCAAACATTTAAGGAAGAAACTATACTAATTCTCCACAATCTCTTTCAGTAGAAAGAAGCAGAGGGAATACCCCCTAAATAAGTATATGATACCATTATCCTACTACCAAAAATAGACAAAGAAAACTACAAGAAAAGACTACAGATTAATATTTTTCATGAAATTAGATGCAAAAACTTCCAAGAAAATATTAGCAAATAAAATTCAACGATGTGTGAAGATAATTATACACCAAGACAAGTGAGATTTATTCCAAGTACGCAAGGCTAGTTCAATATTGAAAACTAATTAATGTAATAACATCAACAGACTAAAGAAAAATTACAGGATTATAAAATAGAAAAAAAGTTTGACAAAATCCAATACATGTTCATGTTCATGACAAAACACTCAGTAAACTAGGAATAGAAAACAACCTTAACTTGACAAAGAATATCTTCAAAATACCTATATCTAATATCATATCTAATGGTGATTAACTCGAAGCTTTACCACTAAGACCAGGAAACAGGGAAGATGTCCTCTCTCACCATTGTATCCAACATCATACTGGAAGTCTTAACTAGTACAATAACACACAAAAAAGATATGGTATCAGATTGGGAAGCAAGGAATAAGACTATTCACAGATGACGTGATTTGTATAGTAAATCCGAAAGAATTATCAAAAAAAAAAAAAACTCCTGAAACTAGTAAGTGATTATTACAAGGTTGCCTGATACAAGGTTAATATACAAAAGTCAATCACCTTCCTATTTACACCAGCAATGAATATGTGGAACTTGCAATTACAAACACAATAGCATTCACATTAATTTTCTCCCAAATGAAATACTTAGGTATACACCTAATAAAATATATACAAGATATATACGAGTAATAATACAAAACTGAAAAGAGAAACCAAATAACTAAATAAATGGAGATATATTTCATGTTCACAGATAAGAGGACATAATATTGTCAAGACGCTTTCCATCTTAATCTATAAATTCAGTGCAATGTCAGTAAAGATCCCAACAAGTTATTTTGTGGATAGTGACAGACTAATTCAGATGTTCATGTGGAGAGGCAGCAGATCATAAACTGCCAGGATGACAGGCATATTCATGGAGCATCCCATATACTTTCCCCATGTAAATAAAAATAAATGAATAATAATATAAGACAGAAATAAGTAAAAATTAAAAACATTTTCCTATTTCTAGAATAGTCATATACTAAAGTAACTGGAGATATCAGGAGTCCATCTAAAAGAGAAAGATTAATGAAATATAATTTACTCCATTAAAATTTACAACTAAAACAGTTTTGGTACTTGCATGAAGAAAATATCCACAATTGGCCACTAAATAACAAACAAATAAATTATGAAAACAAATTTAGTCTTCATAAATAATAAAATCACGAATAAAAGTATCAGGATTGTGTAACTTTTTTTATTTAATTCATAAATTTAATGCAGTTGAACTTAAAATTCCCCAAAGGATTTGTTATAGGATTTGTCAAAGTGATTCTTGAGTTCATCGCAAAGAATATTGAGGTAAACTTTGAAAAGGAATGACTTAAATTGCTCTATACTGCCCACTGTTTTAATGCATTCTACAGCAACAGAAATCTAAACCATGCAGCACTTGTGACAGCACAGACAGGCAGGCAATGAAACTTAACAGAAATCTTAAAATATCAAAAAGGATTATAATCAAGTTAGACTTTAAAGAATTAATTATTCAACATTCTGTGCTATGTATTTAGCTGCTTATATTGGAAACATATATTAAACGGAATTTTTACTCTCACTGTGCATGCCAAATTTCAAATAATTTAATATATGTAATAAAAAAGAATAATAATAAAACATAGGAAATGTTTTTGTTAATAACCTTTATAGAGAAAGCCATTCCAGAGGTAATGCCAAAGATAAACTATAAAGGAAAAGTAGTTATTAAAAAAATATTCTAGGCCAGACGTAGTAGCTCATGCCTGTAATCCCAACACTTTGGGAGGCCGAGACGGGCAGATCACTTGAAGCCAGGAGTTTGAGACTGGCCCAGCCAACATGGCAAAACCTCATCTCTACAAAACATATTTGAAAAATTGGATGGGCTTGGTGGTGCGCACCTGTAGTCCCAGCTACTCTGGAGGCTGAGGCAGGAGAATTGCTTGAAGCAGGTAGGTGGAGATTTCAGTGAGCCAAGATCGTGCCACTGCACTCCAGTATGGGTTATAGAGCTAGCTCTCAAAAAGAAAAAAAAAATTTTTTTAATGTCACAAATCATCAAAAGCAATATTAAGACACAAACAGCAAGCTGAGAATTATGGGAAGGATTGAGAAGGGAAAGGAACCTGTCATAGAAAATGAAAAAAGGGACTATGTCCAAAGTTGCTTGCTACTGGTGGGTTTGTGGTCTTACTGATTTCAAGAATGAAGTTGCGGTCTTTCGCGGTGAGTGTTACAGCTCTTAAAGATGGCACGGACCCAAAGAGTGAGCGGTAGCAAGGTTTATCTGAAGAGTGAAAGGACAAACCTTCCCCAACATGGAAGGGGACCCGAGCGGGTTGGCACCGCTGGCTGGAGTGGCCAGCTTTTATTCCCTTATTGTCCCCACCTATGTTCCATTTCTGTCCTATCAGAGTGCCCTTTTTTCAATCTTCCTGCGATTGGCTACTTTTAGAATCCTGCTGATTGGTGCATTTTGCAGAGCGCTGATTGGTGCATTTTACAATCCTCTTGTAAGACAGGAAAGTTCCACAAGTCCCCACTAGACTCAGGAAGTCCAGCTGGCCTCATCTCTCAGGACTTCCCATGAATGTGGCACACATAGCCACTCACATCCTCCAACATCCTTGCAGCCTGTCTCAAAGCCAGAGACCACCTTCATCAGGCTCTCTTAAGCAGTTGGGGCCCAAGATCTCATGAAGAGAATGGTATAGTAAAAAATAAAAGAGACCAGTAAGGTGGATGCATGCCAGGCTTTTGCTGTTCCTGCTGCTTATCCAGGCAAGTTCAGTTGTGGAAGTGATGGGTTCTCTGGCAACAGCCGTCATGATGGCCCTAGTTTCTACTCCATAGCTTTATTAAGATGTCCAGGGCACATGCTATTCTCGTGTGTGTTGGAACTTGAGCTACACTGGGACAGTAGCTTTCCTGACTCCCCAGTTTTCAAATTGTTTCACCAGCCTCCCTGGTGAGCCAGCTTTGCAGTGTGATTCTCAGGGTCATTGTGTTCTCTCAGGATCCCTAAAAGCAGAAGCTGGGTGAGGATTTGGGTGATTGGTTGAAGGAATGTTCTTAAGAAAAGACTACTTAAGGAAGGAGAATGGGAGAAGGAGGAGTCTAAGCACGGATGTAACCTGTGCTGAAGGTGACTTTTATCTTTGCAGGAAGTTCTGGAGCCTCAATTACACCACCTTGAGGCAAGGAGTCTGGCTTTTTGTATCTCGTGTCGGTTGGTTATTGGCTGTTAGCTCTGGGAAGAAGGATGGTCTAACTTCCAGGATGAGGTTGTTATCCAGCCAAAGAAAATTCTAGGGAGACAGGCAGCTGTGAGCTTACAACTCACAGCAACTGGGACATGGTGTACCGACTTGTAAAGGAAATGTGGCATTTGACCAATAGCATCCACTATATTATACATGTCCAGTTTCCAGTCCATTTTACTAGGTCTTCTACTCATTTTATAAGTATGTAATGTCCTACAGATATGTATATACACACACATATAATTCCTTATATATTGCTTAAAAGAGCTTTAGTAATTTCTGCTTTGCACAACTAAATTCTAAGAAAAACATGAACAATGATTCATGATATAAGAAGTAGAAATTTCCAATAATATTATTAATGTTGTTCAGGCTTACTAGTAAACCAAAGAGTGTAAATTAGAAGAAAATTTATGAATGACATTTTTCCTATGTAAATAAGAGAAGTTAAAAAAGATTAAGTTCAGCTTTAGAAAGGTAAAGAGAATTGGGCATTCTCATAATTGCTGTTGATAGCTTAAATTGGTACAGTTTTTCTGGAAGAAAACTTGGTTAAAATATGTCAAAAAATTAAAAACTGCATCTTTGACCAACCAAATCTACTTTTAAAAATTGTAAGAAAGCAATTTTAACTATTCAAGAAATTTACTTCTAAAATAAATGTAAATTTATATATGCAACAATTTCATCCCGGCAGTATTTATAATAACACAACATTTTATCCCAGCAGTATTTATAATAACAAAACAAAACATGTAAGTTAAATACCTAATGCTGTCTGGAATGTAGTAAGAACTACGTATTACGTATGTGTGCATATATATGTATATGTATGTGTATATATAATATTCAATGAACTATCTATAGTTGTATATATGTAGGAACTATTTTATATATATTCACTGCATCATATATGCATATAAAAATATAAAGCCATTAATATTATAGAATTCTATTACTCTGCATGTTGTTAAGTAATGTATGTGAAAAAGCAGCCTACAAATTAGTATGTAAAAAATGGTATTTTTGCAAATATAGTCATGTGTGTATAAAAAATATCAGGAAGAACCAGTACCAAAATGTTTATAGTCCTGACCTCTAGGTAACAGAATTATTAATATAAACAATTTTATTTTATCTTTCGCTTATTTTTACTTTCTAATTTCTTCTACAATGAGCCTGTATTACAAGTGTAATTTTTAAAAAATTTACTGTATTATGTTTAAAAATCAAAGACCACCTGCTTATTAGAACTATCCTGTTAGTTGCAGGACTCAGGTGGCTGTGTTGCTAACTCAACCAAAAATTTTATATGGGCTTTGAAATCTTTTTTTCTTTCCTTTTCCTTGGTTTTCTGAATTTGACACAAAAGACAGAAGGAACAAATGACTTGTCAATATTGTTTGTCATGCTTTTCCAGATAGATTGTTCACACCTAAATCTGTGGTGTTTACCTACCCAGTGGATCCAAAGAAGCACTGTCAGGAAAATACAGTGTTGTGAAAGGTGTGATGATTCAGGAAATGGAATTTATCATCTATCAACAGACTGCAGTTCAGAGAGCCAGGTAGCCGTAGCCTTCAGATTGTAATAGGAATTTGAGCTGTGAGTTTCATCCCTGTATTCTGTTTTACTTGTTCTTTTGGAATTAATGAAACAAAAGTTGAGAATTAACTGCCCCTCCCCCAGCCCCTGCTCCGTATTGTTATTTTAACCTTGTTCACTGCATCAGCTATTTCCTGTGGTTGATTCAAAGTGGGAGCAAACTGTGGATTCATACTACATAAATTCATCGTCTCCAAACTTATGTAGCTATTCTGGAACATTCTGCAGGGTTGTCTTTTATTATGACCTGCTATAAAACCTGATGGTGTGTGTACTGTAAACATAGAAAGGTCTAGCTAACAAATGGGGCTCTAGCAGTTTTTAAAAACCCATTCCTGCTTTAAGATACTTTACTTGTGTGTTGGAGCATGCACTTTATTTAGAAGTTCCTTTATTATTATTTTTAGGGTTTTAAAATTATTTTCCTCTCAAATGCCACAGAATGTCTTACCACCCATCTGCTCAAGAGGCATAATTATGAAACTGACAGTCTTTTTTGACACTTCCCTGAAGTGGGAGGAATGAACACATTTTCATTCAGTTTGGGAGACCAAATTTTTGGTTTTCTTCTTTTATTGGATGGAGCCTTTTGAAAAGGTTCCATATTACGTAAGTATTTGCAAGATGTGTACAAAAACAAGGACTCTTTGGAAGACAATAGCCTTGTTGACATTCTCAACCATTTATTCCACTAATGGAATGGGTAAGTCATTTCAGCCAACAGCTGGCTACCGCCAGCCAAACATTTAAGTAAGTTTCATACAACAGAGTTGCCTACAAATGTGCCTTTTCAGAGCAATGTAGCCGATACAGGACACTGCAATAGTTTAAGTTCCAACAGTGAATAATAACTACAGTATTTATGAATAACCTTACAAGACAATACAGTAAAAAATGGGAAATGATATTTGCTTAAAAATACTGAACCTTTATTGTTTCTAATCTATTTTTAAGAAACACTACAACATTTTCTCTACTGAAAGCACTGTGCTTCCATGGATCTTCATCTCATTTATTTTTAAAACAATCTTTATTAGGACACTTGAGGTGGGTCAGCTGCTTCAAAGATTATGTTGGGACAGCCTGATATGTGTTCATGATAAGCTGAATCCATTCAGTATGGCCTATGGTCACTTCTAACAAGGTAATAATTCTACAGATGACTTTCACTATCAGTAAATCAGAATTTTTGTGACTAAGCGACCCTTCAGAAATAGCTACTTTTGTAACACTGGACAGATTTCAATTCTGGTAGCAAAAGCTCTGAGTAACAAGTTGTGTATTTGTAACAAAAATAACAGTTTTATTTTAACAATGCACAAAAAATAAAACAAAATCAATAAAAACACAGAGAGGCAGAGATAAGGGCATAAGAAATTATTTGGGAACTTAAGAGTATTACAGGTATTCAAGAAAATGACTCATTGTAAAATACTAAATGTGAGACTAGATCAATCAAAACATTTTTTAAGATACCAACAGTGTGATATACAACAAAGCATGGAACATAAGCCTTGGCACCCTGGCAAAAGCTGGAGCCCCAGCTAATAATGTAATTAGGAAAACAAAAATATGTGAGAAATGTTAGAATTACATAAGAGTTCAAGATTATGAATGTTTGAAAGAGAAAAGGTGATCAATAGCGTATCTCATTAGTGAAGGCTTAAAACTGGCTTGATGGTATCATAGGCGGAGGTTATGGAGAAAACCTGATATTACATATGTTCCTGTAGGGCACCTTGATCTTTTTTTTTATTATTATACTTTAAGTTTTAGGGTACATGTGCACATTGTGCAGGTTAGTTACATATGTATACATGTGCCATGCTGGTGCGCTGCACCCACTAACTCGTCATCTAGCCTTAGGTATATCTCCCAATGCTATCCCTCCCCACTCCCCCCACGCCACCACAGTCCCCAGAGTGTGATATTCCCCTTCATGTGTCCATGTGATCTCATTGTTCAATTCCCACCTATGAGTGAGAATATGCGGTGTTTGGTTTTTTGTTCTTGCGATAGTTTACTGAGAACGATGATTTCCAATTTCATCCATGTCCCTACAAAGGACATCTAAAGGCCCCTTATATGATATT
Organism: Homo sapiens; assembly: GCF_000001405.40. Lineage (NCBI taxonomy): Eukaryota > Metazoa > Chordata > Mammalia > Primates > Hominidae > Homo > Homo sapiens. The sequence goes on along the minus strand of NC_000002.12, from coordinate 76,677,012 downwards.
CTCTCTATCTAAAATATCTTCTGCCCCAGTAAGAAACATTAGCAGGTCATTACCGTACACCAGTATGAAGTAACAAGAGCCGGAATGAGAATGATGACAGCAGTCAGAAAGATCATGGTTCCTTTGATGAAATACGCTGATGATGCAGAGACTGTGTAAGTATTAGAGATGATTTAAAAGTAAGAAAAACATGACTATAAATAAAAAATGGTAATATTACTTTCAGTGTCAGTTTTGATTTTTAGCAAGATGTTGGATTTAGATTTGGGGTAGAAGGCTCTTTTACGGTGGAGCCTCTAAGCACATATATGCATTGAGCAGTTAAAATTTGGGTTTGTATTTATGAGAGTATGTGTTTCACGCCCTTAATATAGTTCTTTACACTAATAGAAACCTAAAAATAGTTTTAAACTGATCTAATTGAGTCTTAGAATAAGCCACCTTCTTCTGCCACTGAGATATTTTTAATTCCAAAATGGTTTCTCGTGTTTTCATCTCTGTGTGTGTAAGAAGGAGATAGAATATATGGCATAGCTTAAATCATTTTATAAATGTAGTTTAATATCAAGGACATAGTATGAGTCAGGATTCAGTTGCATATGGAAAACAAGTTCTCTTAAACATGAAGAGATTTAATCCTGAGAATTAGAGGTTCACACAAATCACTGGAAGGGTAGCTGAGATTCATGGAAGGATCTGACACAGAAACTCCATAGAACTGGCCCACCGAAAGAAAGGATGATTCTGCTAAAATCCAGAACCTTGAAAATGGGGGTAGCCTCTGACCCAGCTGCTGGGGTCCAGATCTGGGGATAGGGAGCTACTGTCCAAACTGTTGGCCCCAGGGCTCTGTTACAGCTGCTTCATATGCAGCAGCAAAATGTTTTAAGGGCTATTGCCTGTCTCCCTACTTAGCTTAATTACAGATTCGATGCTCAGGCAAGTGCATCTAAATGGTGGGCCCTAAATTACATCTGGAACCCCAGGTGCAAGGGTGTCTGGGAAATGTAATGTTTCACTGTCAGCCCCTGCAAGGAAGGAAGATCCCTGTAAAGAAGTTTGAAACAAATGGTAAACAAGGCGACATAGCATATCTACTACAACAGACACGCATAATACACCAGAGAATGTCTCTAATGCATGTTACTGAAGTAGAAGGGAGAAACTAGTGGACAATTGCCAGCCAGTGTCAGGTATATGATCATTGAGGAAAGCAATGATTACTGAGTTCGGAGCAGCCTCGGAAAGCATTAGCATAATGACAAAGACATGGAAATTGGGGAATTTCATAAATCCTGTAGTATAAACTTGGAGACTTCATTCTCATCTTTTCCAAGATTCCTTTAGTAAGGTGATATAATGCCAGAATTAAAACCATTTCAGACCAAGGCCAGGGTTTTTCTGGACCATGCTCTTTTCTCTATTGCATGAGTAAAGAAGGTGAAGAACTCCATTAAAGAGATTGAATGGATTGATCCTAGAACCATGGTGATGTAGTTTATTTCAACTGATCTTTCCAAATCCAATTGTGCTGTATGTTCTCAATGCACTTGGAAAATGATCATTCCATATGATAAATTCATACTGCAAATCCTTGTAATGTGCCAAATGAGCTTTTATGTGACATAGTAACTTTTAAAGCTTGCCAAAACTCTGAAATGTTGGAAAAGGTGTTGCTAGCTTTCAACATGTGCTAATTGGGTTTGCCTACCCAGATGGCATAGAAGAAGAAGAAGAAGAAAAAAAAAAAGAAATGAAAAAAAAAAAAAAAAGGTTACTGTTTCTAAACTGTTCTAATCAGGAAAAAGAATAGGGATAAACAATACAAAAACAAATCATTTAATCTCATTCTGTATATTGGTGAATATAAAGGGGGATTTTTATTTATGTTTTGAGGAATTTGTGTGTACTGTTACTATTTAGGGAAAAAAAAATAGAACCACAACAGCATAATATGAATAACTAAGCTCCTCTAAGTTTCTGAGCTTAGTTTTCAGAATCTCTAACTTAAAGTGAACCATTCAAATTTTACAATTATATAAATGGATCTAGTGTAGCTGCTTAAACAGAGTTGCATCTTTGTGTGAAAATTGGTAGGATTTCTTGTTTCTCTATAAGATTTTTGTACAGAGTTTTATACCAATGATAACTTCATCCTTTTCTTTTTTTTTTTTTTTCTTTTTAGGCAGGAGTTTATACTGTGCTTAAAATCTACCAAACTGAAATACAGCTAATTTGTCATGGATAAGTGACTAAAAATCAGCTATCTGAAGACAGCATGTCAGTTTCTGTTTTGAAGGGCTGTGCTTTTTAATGTTCTTATTGACCCATGATCATGCGTTTCACTATTTTGTGTGAATAGTTTACATATTGCCAGATATTTCAAAATAATTTATAGCATCCAAATTTTTAACAACAATTTTCTGCCAAATCAGTCACCAAACCAATTAAACTATGTCATATTTCATTGGTCCTTCTTTCTCATATTATCTGATATTTGATTTTGTGAGAAGGCCTATCAATTTGACTAAGAATTTATAACCAAGAGGTCTGACATTCTTGAAAATTAGTTAATGATTGATTTGGAAAACAAACAAGATCATTGATTGAAGTCAATGACAATTATAATGAAAGTTTAACTTTGAAAATTAAGTGAAATTTTTGTGAAATTGTCATTTTGATGAGAAATCGTAAGTACATTAGAAGCTATGTTTTCATGTATGTCAGAATATTGAAATATTTTTTAACAGGACTCCCACCAACTTTCCCTCTGTGAAAGAAATGTGGCATTGCAGGAGTCTAGTAGAGAAGATTATTACAAAGTCACATTAATGCTCAGTCATTTGAAAAGTCAAGGACTAACGATTATACCATGCCCTGGTGCAGAAAATGATTATTACTACCCTGGATTTAGGTTTAGGGGCAATTGTGTGCAGTGGCTTAGGGCAAATGTTACCAGAAAGAAGGCCTTCATCATAATACAAGTCTTCTCTGTTGTAGTCAGAAGAACAAAAATGTATTCTATTTAAAAATATTTTTACATGAATGCAATAAGTACTGTACATATACAATAAACTTTTTAAAAAGGAAAGAAAAAAAGCATGACTATTATAAAAGCCATCATTTATTTTAATCCCTGACAGTCAAGTTTTTATTTTTATTCTAATCACACAAGGTAATGCAGGGCACTAAAATAAAATCACAGATACATAGAGATTTAGAAAAATAGATAAGCACGGCCGGGCGCGGTGGCTCACGCCTGTAATCCCAACACTTTGGGAGGCGGAGGCGGGTGGATCAGGAGGTTAAGAGCTTGAGACCAGCCTGGCCAACATAGTGAAACCCCATCTCTACTAAAAATACAAAAACTAGCCAGGCATGGTGGCACACGCTTGTAGTCCCAGCTACTCGGGAGGCTGAGGCAGGAGAATCGCTTGAACCCGGGAGGCAGAGGTTGTGGTGAGCTGAGATCACGCCACTGCACTCTAGCCTGGGCAACAGAGCGAGACTATGTCTCAAAAAAAAAAAAAAAAAAAAAAAAAAGAAAAGAAAAGAAAAATAGATAAGCACATCAATGGATAGGACCATATTAAATACCTGTTAGTAAAAAATCTTCAAAAAGTAAGTAATCTCCAAAGATTAATTAAAAGCTGGTACACTTTTGAAGAAAAATGTTAACATACTTAATAAAAAAGAACACTTCAGAGTCAATTAGAAATGTACCTAATTGTCTCTATAACATAAAAAGTTACTTAGAATTTCTGATACTTTATCAGTTTTAGGAGAGAGTAATAAAATGACTTTCCTTTTTCTGTGTGTGTTAGATAAGTTAAAGCATGCAAAACTTGTTTCAGTATTGCCTGGCATATGCCAACTATTTGATAATAGTTATTATAAAAAATTGTTTTATTTCCTGGTTGATTGTAAGCTCTTTATTGTGATCCATAAAGTCCTGTATGAGCCAGCCCCTCCCTATCTTATAACACTCTACCTTTTGGGGACTTTGCACCAGCTGCGTTTTGTTGCTTAGAGCTTTCCTCCCCGATGTCCCTATATTACTGGCTCCTGCCCATCATTCAAATCTTAGCTCAGTGGTTACCTTTCCAGACAGGTCTTTCCTGGTCACTGCATCTAAGTAGGCCTACTAATCCATCCCTGGTCACTAACTATTATGGAATTTGAAATTCAAACCTGTGTTTTTCTCCTAGTGTTTTATCACTGTGTAGTCAACTGACTTGTGTCTTCTCCCCCAGAAAAAAAGATACGTTCTGGTTCTAAGCCCCAGTACCTATTAATGTAACCATACTTGACTGAAAATAAGGTATTTGCAGGTATAATCAAGTTAAAATGAGGTAGTACTATACTAGGGTAGGCCCTAAATCCAGTGACAGGCGTCTTCATAAGAAAAAGAAGAGAGATATTTAGACACAGAGACATGCAGGATACAAACAGAGAACAGAGACATAAAAACAAGAGATTAGAATCATGAGGCCACAGCCAAGCAATGCCTGGGACCACTAGATGCAGGAATAGGCGAGGAAAGATTCTCCCCTAGAGCCAGCGAAGAGAGCACAGTCCTGCTGACACCTTGATTTCAGACTTCTGACCATCAGAACCGTGACGGAATAAATTTCTGTTGTTTTGAGCCACCCAGTTTGTGGTAATTTGTTACGGAAGCCCCAGGAAACTAATACACATGGCTTGAAACTAACTTGTTTATTTTTGATGTTCTGTTTATTATCTGTCTGACTTTAGGAGTATGTTTACCTTGTGCAAGCAGAAGTCAATTGTCTTCTTCACCACTTTAATTCCAGGGACTGGAATGATGCTGCCTAGAGCACAGTAGGTATATATTAAACGAATGAATATGTGAATGAATAAGTGGACATGATAAAAAAGTGAAAGATCACTTATGTACAGATGGCCAATGACTATATTGGAAAAGTTTCCACTTAATAAAGACCTGCAGTTAAATAAAATTGAGATAAATTCTTTAATCTATTAAAATGGTAAGTGTGTAAAAGTCTTCACAATAGCTGCTCTCAGCAACAGTAGAGACATAAACCATTTTCTATAACAGCTAGAATGTATTAGACTGTTAAAACTGTTTTAGAAAAAAATTAATAATACATATTCTTTGAGACTTTTCATTAATTTATTCTTAGAAAACCATCACAAGGGTTGATATCTTTCTTTTTCTGTAAGTATATTCTTCCTGGAATTGTTTAAAATAGTTTAAAGACTAGAAACAAACAAAATGATAATACTAGAGTATTGACTAAATAAATATTGGTACATAGTTAATTTTATGTTTCTAAAGATAATTTTATATAAAAGTTTAATAACATAGATATCTGCTTCCAGCTTACTGTTAAGTGAAAAATTATCAGGTTATTAACAAGTAATATGCTATTATTCCAGTTTTGTAAACATATCGTTATAGTTGCATCTGTACAAATATATGTTTAAAGACTGTATACATTAATAGCAGTTATTCTAGGTTGTGGGATTCAAGAAATCTTTATATTCTTCTGTGTGGTTTCCTATATCTTCCTACATTTTCTACTATAAATAGTTTATAAATTTATAGTCAGAAAACAACTATAAATTGAGAAGAATTGAGAAAATTTCTTTCATGGCTTACAGATAGCATATCTTTGCATAATGCCAGCGTGCTTTTTATAAATAGGCTTGAATTTTTCTGTTAATAATACATTTAAATCTAAAGATTTTCTAAAGCTAATGATGTAGCACAAAAAATAATTAGCCAATTTACAAGTCAGAGTTCATTTACACTTCTCTTGGAAAGACTAATAATTTGTTACCTTAACCTGTATCTTGATTATGGTGTAGTTAGATAAAGTGTGGAACAGCAGACAATGCAGCTATAAACACAGCAGTGGGAAGCTCAAACATTTTCTATTTCATAGAATAGTAATGGCTTCAATGAAGCCTGAAAAGTTGAGCTTAAATTATTTTCTTTGAAGGAAAGATGCCATAATTAATAAATTAATTTTTAAGTATTTTTTATCCTGTAGCCATTATTTTTGTAAACTATGGGAAAAAAGAGGAAAAAACAGATGATTGTGCTTAAGAACTCAAGGCTTCCTAATGAAATTTGATATTTCTGGCCCCATATAAAAATGCCATGAGTGATTTGTGAAGATTGAAATTAAAGAATATAGTTAGCAAAGTCTATGCTCTGAAATAATGGGGAAAATGATGCCTTTGTCATTCCCCCCTCGCTTGGTAAAAAGGAACTGCGGGCTTAGAGAGCCCCAGCAAACGGGGCAGCTGATACCTGCATGCCAATTCTGCCTCTGCCAGGTGCTAGCTCTGCATTCTTGGGTTATTTACGTAACTTCTGATAATCATTTCCTTATTCTTAAAATAACATAGTAATATACATATTATCTGAAAAATTGTTTTGCTGCCTAGTAAGTACTTTGAACATTGTAGTAATTTTATTTTCCTATGGGAAAAGGGAGCATATTTTGATATCCCTGAAATTCATTGTTCTTGCTTAGAAATATGCCCATCACTTTTGGAGTACTTTACCTAATTCTAATCCGTTTACTGGGCAGTTCAGTTCCTTTCTGTTGCTCTGTCAAAGCCAAGAGAGAGCCTGACTTCTCTGCTGACATCTAAGTCTTCAGAAGAATGAACTGGCACCTCATTGACCTATTTCTGATGTAATTACCATCTAAGAAATGCATACCTCCCAAGTTACAACATACAAAGTCAAAGAAAGGACAAGGAACAAGCCTTTTCCTATCGTGAGTGTGAGTGTCATTCTCAGTGCTTCTGCTACAGCCAGATTTCTTGCTCCCCTGTGTTTCTGCAGTCTCTTGGGCATAAGCCATGGGTTGAAGCAGCCAACTCTATGATTATTCAACTCTTTAACTTAAAACATTGGCACTTAGTGAGTTAGTGAGCGATGGTCCTGCACTAACACAAAATTGAAAAACAAAGCACTGATAAGTTATAATTATGTTATTCTTTTCTTTGTGCCATATTCCTATATCTTATTTGTATTTAATTACATTGTATGTCTACTTAGTAGATAACATACTATTTTTTCAATTGAAACCATGATTTTTATATGTTTCACTGGAAATGTTTGGAAAATTATGAGCCCTTGGACTTCATTGAACTGTAAGTTTTATCCTTCCGTTTCTTTTCTTTGACCCATTTATTTTGGCAAGAAAAACATTTATTATACTTGAAAAGGCTTCCTTCATCATGGTTCAAACATGAGGCTCAGGTTTTTTGAACCATGTAAGAACAGTGCATACCAGAGACTGTATCTGAGTACTTGGTACATATTTGCTAGTGGGTTGCTATTTGTTGATTAAATAAATGAGGGAAATATTGAGAGTCTGTGACAACTGTATCTTAAACTTTGCATCAGATATAACCAGACAATACCAGAATTATTACATTGATTACGGAAGTAGAATCTGACCTCCGTCTAGTTCAGGATGCCTTTGCAGCTGTTAAAGAAAAGACAAAGTATCTGCTTCAGGACTCTTTTCCCGGCTTTGGAGAAAGGACTCCAGTGAGGTTAAGAGCTGATTTAGAGTTACAGTAGTATATCCATCAATACAGTGCTCCAGTCCCACAGGATACTCAGAAAACATTTTTACTGATTGTTTCTAACCTTTACTTTCTGTCTCTTAGGCATTTCGAAATGAACAACAAAGCAACAAGTCTTACGCTTACAATCTTCATTTGGCAGTAAGTTTTACTAGCTTTGTATATCACCCAGACCTATTTCCCCAAATGCTTTTACACATTAGAGTTCATCCACATACATCTCCAAGGTTACTTAAGTTTGAATAGCCTTCAGTTTGGGAGCAGTGTTTTTATAAGGATGATAATAAACAAATTTTAAAAGCTACACTGAATTAATTGTTATAAGACTCCAAGTAACCATAAAACAGATGGTAGTGACCCAGTATCATTTTTTGTTTGCTTCTGTTGAATAATAATCATTTTATAAAAAGCATCTTATTTTCTATTGAGCTAAAGAATGCTCAGCTCATTTTCTCTTGTTGGTTTGTTTCTATTTTATATAAATCAAATCAAATAAAGTGATTTTGTGATTTTTAATTTGAGAAATCTCTCATTTGAAGAGATTTCAGTGCTTAGTGAATTAACACCAGGCAGGGTGACACCAGTTGTGGTGGAAATACTAGTAAAATGTGATGTGATATTGTTAATTGCAGGGGTATGAGAGCAGCATTAAAACAGTATTTTAAATATATGCACTGTGCATAGTACTTTTTTAGGAAAATATAATGATGCATCACATCCAGTGAAGGATATATTGCTACTTCCTATTCTATATCTTGAACTTTAATTACCTTTCAAAGGCCAGGGCATCCTCCTTTCAGACATTTGCAGTCATTTTAGCTGCTGAATTATACTGTTGAGAATAAAAGGATGAATTAAATTGCCTTCTGAACTGTGGGAAGTTATTATTCTCTCCATCGTCACTGTTAACAGGAACATGCCTTGGCTCTTTTACAAATTAAAGTGAAATTTCACAATAATGGCAATTCATTTCATTAGATGAACAAGTGGTACTGCTGCAAATGCTCTTGTATGTACAGACACAAAACACATTACATTATTGCAATATTCTTTCATGTAGAAAATATTTTATTTATACTCAGTGTACATGGAAACACTTAAGAATGTGGCAAAGTGTGAAAAGGAAGGCTATTAAAAGATCAGCTCAATATCTTCTTGCTGAAAACTCACTGCTGTGTTGGCCTTGACATGACCTATAGAATTTTATGGCAGGAAACCAACTTTGAAATTTGTTCTGTAGCAAATCATCATGGCAATATACTTCCAGGAATTAAATCCTTTACATCGTGTGGCAGTGTTGCCAGAGAGCGTGTACGGTCTCTTCTGATAGGAACCATGGAGGAGTCTTTGGCCAGAAATCCAAAGCCATATGTTAGTCCTGTCAAAAATGATATGGATCTGCTTAACAAAAACCTTGCTCGGTGGCTCTGCCAGGAACCCCGTGGCTGTGTCCTGCCGGAAAGCCATTGCATGTGTTATCACTGCCAGAAATTGACGCTGCCCTGGGATGATCTAACAGCACTAAAAACTCAACCTCTGGGTTTCTACCGCCAGACTTTAACTATTAACAGAGCCTGTGAGTGTATTACAGGGAAATAAGGCCTCTGTGACTTCTCTAGGGTGAGGGTGGGCAATCTTGTTGGCTTCCAGTTGGTGGAGCTTATTAGCTCTTTGGAAAGGATTCTGGCTGGGATTGTATTAGTTATTTGTTTCCTAATGTACATGAACTCTAGCTAACATTTTCCCCAAAATGGACTTGAATGATAGCTTTATTTGTAGAAGGGAAACAGA